>NC_000010.11:117870368-118495451 GCF_000001405.40 Homo sapiens | reverse complement strand
ACCCCACAGATTCCATCACCTTTGATCAGAAGCAAGTCACCAATCCTGCCCATGTTTAAGGGGAGGGGACTACACAGAGGCATGGACACCAGGAGGCAGGGTGTGTGTGGGGGTTCTTGAAGTTGGTCCTCCACACCAACATTTCCAGCCTATAGGCTCACACCACCATTGACACTGAGGATACCAACCTTCAGGTATTTTTGTGTTCAAATTCCAGAAAGAAAAATATCTGACTGTGGCCGGGCATGGTGGCTCACTCCTGTAATCCCAGCACTTTGGGAGGCCGAGGTGGGCGGATCACAAGGTCAGGAGATTGAGACCATACTGGCTAACATGGTGAAACCCCGTCCCTACTAAAAAATACAAAAAATTAGCCAGGCGTGGTGGCAGGCACCTGTAGTCCCAGCTACTCGGGAGGCTGAGGCAGGAGAATGGCATGAACCTGGGAGGTGGAGCTTGCAGTGAGCTGAGATCACGCCACTGCACTCCAGCCTGGGCAACAGAGCGAGACTCCGTCTCAAAAAATAAAATAAAATAAAAGAAAAATAATTGACCCAGCTACCCCTTTGCACCTGACTACTTCATACATCCCGACCTTGGGTCATGTGGGCCACCTCTCTGGGTTGATCAGCCTCAGCCAGGGATGGGGCCACATGATGCAGCATGGCTGGGTCAGGCAGTGACTGGCTCCCTTGCACACAGAGGCAAATGGGGTCAGGCCCAGCAATGTTGGTCTGTGGTAAGGTCCTGCCCTGCACACATAGAAGGCATAAGAAATTCTACTCCCAACTCTTGGAAGAGGCAAAGAAATTTTCTTTATTCTCCTTCCTTTGCTCATAGTCTTTATCAGAGGCCTCCAGAGAAGAGGAAAGCTAGAAGGAAGGAGCCCTTTGAAACAGGATCCAGTTACATTTTAGACAAATTGAAGGAAATGTTACTTCACAGAGTAGACGGTAACCTTACTGAATGCTTCATTCCAAAAGCAAAGAAAGCTAGGAATATAAATGGATTAAAAAATGTAAATGACATAGTCATAATTTATGTCTATGAAAATAATTCAAATGATTAGCAGTATGGGAACAGTTAAACAAATTATGGTAAATTAACATCATTGAATGTTATATAGCTCTTAAGAATGATTATTTGAAAACCAAAACAATGGAAAGGTAATTTTGATCCAAAGCTGTAAGAAAAAAATTCCTCAAAATACGAACACTTAAATATGAAAAGATTACAACTTTGTAAAATTATATAGGCATGGAATAGAACATGGAAAATGTTTGATTAGGAGAGTATGAGTAATTTTTTCTTTGAAAGTTCTTTATTATTATTATAAAGCTTATTATGCAAAGAACATAAAAAGTAAAAACAAATGACTGAAAATAACGGCTAAGATTATTTGAGTGGCTTGCTGCATAGCTGACCCTATGATAAATGCTTTCTATGCTTTCACCAGGGTAGTCCTGGCTACTATCTTTAATTTGCAGATGAGGAAACCAAGGCTGTAAGAGTTCAAATAACTTGCTCAACCAGATAGAGGGCTGTGAACCCAGGATGTCTGGCTCTTACTCTAGGGTTCTTTCAGTCAATTTTAGGCACTATAGGCAAAGTAGATGGGGCCTGCAAGCTCCACAATGACATGAGGAAAATTGGAAACCT
This sequence comes from Homo sapiens, assembly GCF_000001405.40. Classification (NCBI taxonomy): domain Eukaryota; kingdom Metazoa; phylum Chordata; class Mammalia; order Primates; family Hominidae; genus Homo; species Homo sapiens. Next base: position 118,493,792 of record NC_000010.11, on the reverse strand, counting down.
AAAAAAACAAACAAAAAACCCCACAATGCATTCAGTTTAAAGTCAACCTTGATAAATGTAGGATGAGATGCCCATAGAATGTGACATTACATTAACTGTATTATCAAGTTTAGGATTAGCAACAATTAAAGTTTCTCATTTTGTAAGAATCCTGATTGCCTATGGTGATTTTTGCAAAGTCATGGCCAAGTATAAGCCAAATGGGTTCATTTTAGACAAATAATCTCACCAGTAACCCTAGAAAAATCATCCCAAATATTTTTGTAGCCCAAATAGTCTACAAAGTGGGTGCAATTAAAATATTTGATGTGGTGTGGGGTCTAAAGACTATAGAAGTCTTCAAATAGCCCTACCTAGAACTCATCAATTTCAGCTGATATCTATTCTACCTCTTTCCTGCAAAGAGAAGATGTTGTACCTCAGTAGGGCACAGGCCTTTAGGGCAGTGGCGAGAAAGCAAGAAAGAGAGCAGGGGTGAAAGGAGAGGCAGACAGGGGAAGAGGGGGCTGTGGGGGAAGTGAGGGGCTCAGCCATAGGACAGTGGACTCCATGGATCGTGAATTTGACCCTGTATGGTCTAATATCTGAGTTCCTAATCTTATATTCTTGTGAGGATGTATGCTCTGTGTGTGTGTATATGTGTACACACACAGGTACACCAACCCATGCATGTACGACATATAGGTGTGTTGTGCAGCGGCTGCGTTTGTGGCACAAACACTCAGGTTGGTACGATGCCCTTACCTTTCTGCAACATTACAACTTTATGGGTCCATGTTTTTCAGCAGGTTGCAAACCCAAACTGTAGCCATCTCCAGAACTAATCCTATGCTTAGGGCCAACTGAATTGTGGAATGTTTTAAAATAATGAGGTAGCAATTGTTAAATAGTGAACTCAGGCAGCTTTCCTAAGGTGAATATTTACTAAATTACTGGAGTTGGTTTATTCTTTTCAGGTTTTCATACCCATTTAAAATCAAGTTTTAACCTAGGCTGTGCTCTGTACGGAAGTCACTCTCCAGGAATTTTAGGGGTCCATCCCACCAGCACCCTCAGTTTTGGGGACATTGATCAGGCCAATTATGATGTTTCCTGAAGCAACTGAACCAGATGTTTTGAATGTTTAGTTGCTTGAAATTTCATTATTGGCTTTCCTGTCCTCCCTCCATCCTGTCCCCAGATCTCTTCTCTATCAAAAGATCCTTCTCAATTTACAGGTGGATTTTAAATATAACCTTTCATTAAGTTACTCAAGACAAATTTATGAGAGGAGGCCTCTGTACACCAACTATGAGGCAATTATGAAATGGGAGGCTAAGATAACATCTTGGGACTGGAACCCCTTACATTTCTAGCCTTGCAAACTCATTTTTGATGACACCCTTTAAATAACATTTATGGCCTTTTTTCCTCCATCCTGACCAAGCACTGGGATCTCATTGTGATCACCATGGGCCGTATGTTACTTGATCGGTGTAATGTAGAATAATTACCGGCCCATTGCACTTCATTACACCACTGTAATCGGTGGTGGGTCAGTGTTTCAGCTACAGCTGCTGTGAAAATTGAGCTGACATGGATACTGTGATAGGAATGATAGTATGGGGGCCCCCATGCAAATGACAGAAATTAGCATCCGGTCAATGGGTTCTGAAATGCAATATTCAACTCAGCCCAGGACACCTGCTTTGGGTCTCTCATTTTCTCTCAGATACAAGGTGATGATCATGACATAAATGAATCTTTCCACTTGTGTTGCACCTCATAAAAGGTCACGGAAATGCCAAAGAATGTTAAATACCACGGAAATGTTTGGAGAATAACATTCCTTAGCATATCATCTAATTGTTTCTAATGGTCAGTTTCACCCGTGCAGCTGACACCCTGCATCAGTTTAGATCCAGTCTGTAGATAGCTTTTATAACATTTACACATTATAAAGCAATGATAAATGGTCCAGAGTTGTAAAAAGGCTATGAGACAATCATATAATTTGTCATTCAAAATAAGACACTTTTGAGAGTAAAAGGGAACAATGTTAATAATTACACTGGGTCAAGGGACATAGACCCGGACTGTTCCTGGCTAAATGGAAGAGATGGGACCCAAGGCGTAAAGCACAGCTATGATCTTTGTTCTCTATCCTTCTCCTTGCAGCCAATGCTAGCATCATCTGAAGATAACAAAGGTCATGAGCTGGGCCCTTCCCCCACAAATCAGGTGAAATGCATTCCACTGGTCCTCTTAGTCCAGAAGGAGATGTTAACACAGGCCTGGAGCTTCTGAATCTAGGACAAATATAGAGGTTAGGAGTTGTCCCTGCATATCCTATATATGTATGTATTTATGGGAAAGCCTCACCTTGAAAAATACCATTATGGAAACCATGGGCAGAAGAGGGGGAGTATGGAAGCAGGACAAGGAAGAGTCTGCAGGGAACAGGAGGAGAACTAGGAGAATACAGTGTCCTCTGGAGTGAGAGAAGGACTGATAGACATCTGCCAATGGAAGGTGTGGCAGCCAGTCTCCCAGACAGCTCCCACTGGTCCTGCCCATTAGTATCCATACCCTGTGTGGTCACATCAACAGGGCTGAGCTGGTGTATTAGTCTGTTTTCATGCTGCTCATAAAGACATATCTGAGACTGGGCAATTTACAAAAGAAAGAGGTTTAACAGGACTTACAGTTCCACGTGGCTGGGGAGGCCTCACAATCATGAAAGGCACATCTCACATGGTGGCAAACAAGAGAAGAGAGCTTGTGCAGGGAAACTCCCCCTAATAAAACTGTCAAATCTCATGAGACTTATTCACTATCATGAGAAGAGCATGGGAAAGACCTGTCCCCATGATTCTATTACCTCCCACTGGGTCCCTCCCACAACACATGGGGATTCAAGATGAGATTTTGGTGGGGACACAGCCAAATCATATCATTCTACTCCTGGCCCCTCCCAAATCTCATGTCCTCACATTTCAAAACCAATCATGTCTTCCCAGCAGTCCCCCAAGGTCTTAACTCATTTCAGCATTAACTTAAAAGTCCACAGTCCAAAGTCTCATCTTAGATAAGGCAAGTCCCTTCTGCCTATAAGCCTGTAAAATCAAAAGTAAGTTACTTCCTTGATATAATGGGGGTACAGGTATTGGGTAAATACAGCCATTCCAAATGGATAAATTGGCAAAACAAAGGGGCTACAGGCCCCATGCAAGTCCAAAATCCAGTGGGGCAGTCAAATCTTAAAGCTCCAAAATGATCTTTGACTCCATGTCTCACATCCAGGTCACACTGATGCAAGAGGTGGGTTCCTATGGTCTTGGGTGGCTCTGCCCCTGTCACTTTGCAGGGCATAGCCTTCCTCCTGGCTGCTTTCACAGGCTGGCATTGGGTGTCTGCAGCTTTTCCAGGTGCACAGTGCAAGCTGTCAGTGGATCTCCCATTCTGGGGTGGAGGATGGTGGCCCTCTTCTCACAGCTCCACTAGGCAGTGTCCCAGTAGGGACTCTGTGTGGGGTCTCCGACCCCACATTTTCCTTCTGAGCTGCCCTAGCAGAGGTTTTTCATGAGGGCCCTGCCCCTGCAGCAAACTTCTGCCTGGGCATCCAGGTGTTTCCATATACCCTCTGAAATCTAAGCAGAGGTTCCCAAACATCGATTCTTGACTTTTGTGCACTCACAGGCTCAACATCACATGGAAGCGCCAAGGCTTGGGAGTTGCACCCTCTGAAGCCATGGCCTGAGCTCTATTTTGGCCCCTTTCAGCCATGGCTGGAGCAGCTGGGTTGCAGGGCACCAAGTCCCTAGGTTGCACACAGCATGGGGACCCTGGGCCCAGTCTACATGTGAAACCATGTTTTCCTCCTAGGCCTCCAAGCCTGCGATGGGAGGGGCTGCTGTGAAGACCTCTGACATGCCCTGGGGACATTTTCCCCATTGTCTTGGAGATTAACATTCAGCTCCTTGTTACATATGCAAATTTCTGCAACCAGCTTGAATTTCTCCTCAGAAAATGGGATTTTCATTTCTATTGCATTGTCAGGCTGCAAAATTTCCAAACTTTTATGATCTACTTCCCTTATAAAACTGGATTCCTTTAATAGCACCCAAGTCACCTCTTGATGCTGCTTAGAAATTTCTTTCACCAGATACCCTAAATCATCACTCTCAAGTTCAAAGTTTCACAAATCTCTAGGGCAGGGGCAATATGCTGCCAGTCTCTTTGCTAAAACATAACAAGAGTCACCTTTGCTCTAGTTCCCAACAAGTTCCTCATTTCCATCTGAGACCACCTCAGCCTGGACTTTATTGTCCATATCGCTATCAGCATTTTGGGCAAAGCTATTCAACAAATGTCTAGGGAGTTCCAAACTTTCCCACATTTTCCTATCTTCTTCTGAGCCCTCCAAATTGTTCCAAACCTCTGCCTGTTCCCAGTTCCAAAGTCACTTCCACATTTTCAGGTATCTTTTCTGTAGCACCCTGCTTCTGGTACCAATTTACTGTACTCATCGTTTTCACAGTGCTGCTAAAGACATACCTGAGACTGGAAAATTTACAAACGAAAGAGGTTTAATGGACTTACAGTTCCACGTGGCTGGGGAGGCCTCAAAATCATGGCAGAAGGTGAAAGGCATGTCTCACATGGCAGCAGACAAGAGAAGAGAGTTTATAGAGGGAATCTCCCTCTTATAAAACTGTGAGATATTGTGAGTCTTATTCACTATCATGAGAATAGCATGGGAAAGGCCTGCCCCCATGATTCAGTTGCCTCCCACTGGGCCCCTCCCAAGACACAAGGGAATTCAAGATGAGATTTGTGTTGGGACACAGCCAAACCGTATCAGCCGAGTAATCAATAGGACACTGAGGAAGTGATACAGTGTGCCTTTTGAAGCTAGGTTATGAATGACATTGTGGCTTCCACTGTGCTCTCCCTTTGCTGACTCATGCTGGGGGAAGATGGCAGTCATGACAGGAAGACACTCAAGCAGCCCAATGGAGAGGGCCATGCAGTGAGGACCTGAGGCCTCCTGCCAAAAACTATGGGAGTGAGCCATCTTGGAAATAACACGGTTAACAAAGAATATATTCCTTTTAGGCTTCCCACAAGAAATGTCCACTAGCTTTTCAAGGGAAGAGATACTATCAGATGTGACAAAAAATATGATTTAAGGCACTATATGCAAAACCCTGCCTTATTACTTTATGCCTACACATTTTGTTTTCCAGGGAAATAATCTGAGTCTGTTATGATTGCATTTTTATTACAGGTAAAATTTTATGACATAGGGTAACCCACATAAAATGGATCTATAATACTTTTTCTAAGTGGGCCAACTTACAGTACAGGCCACTTGGAATTGCTGGATTATGTCCAAATGGCATAATCATTTTTCTGAAAGATAACTACATTGTCATCTGAATGCCTCTGATTGAAAAAAAAAATAAAAGGAGATGTGGCCACATAGCCCTGCTGGAGTTTACTGACATTTACTTCCTTGTGAAACTCAAACTGCATGTGGCATTTGCAGGGTGAGCTGAGTTTTCTCTATTAGTTTCATCCAGACCCAGACCCTCCTTTGCCCTGTACTTCCCCAGCTAAATCACATCCCTTGATACACTCTAAGTCATGAATTAGTAAAGAACCAACCAACTGCCCTATCTGGAGAAGCGTGTTTAATCTTTCATGGCCAGCTCCAGGAAGGATGCCCTTTGAATGACTGTCTTGCTTTTTTTTCCCCATGCCCCTCAAGAGCTGACCAAGACAAATGCTATCTTGATTTTGTCAGGTAATTTTTTAAAAAAATACTTGAGCTCACAAAGTGAGGAAGGAAGAAAGTCAACATCTAAGGTTGCCATGAACAGCTGTAGAGACTGTACACTTCACAAGGCATGCAGCAAAGAAGGGGAGAACAGCTGAAATTCAGACCACTTGCCCAAATGTGGGCTCTGGCCTGGTGGAGGACAGGTGATATGGGAGGGGGTCAGGAAAGTGCTGGGTGGAGAAGAGCAGGGTCCCTGGCAAGGCCCCACCCTCAAGCCTGAAGACCTGCTGCCCTAAATGAGGACAGGCATTTCTGTTTTTGCACCCGAAAAGTTGCCTTTTGGCCTGCCACGCCCCCATGTTGCCTCCATATAAACCCAAGACCTTAGTGGGCACACAAGCAGCTGAATGTGGAGACCAACAGACCAGCGGACCAGCAGGCCAGCGACAGTGGAACAACATGGCAGAGAGAGAGAAGAGGAGAGATATCTGGATACTGAGGGGAGTTCGGCTGGTGGTGGTCGGAGAAGAGCCCGGCCACTGGGTGGCCCGACTCCAAGGAAAGACCGCCTTCCAACTCCATCCCCACTTCAGGCTTCCCGTTCATCTTGCTGAGAGTCACTTCCACCACTCAATAAAACCTTGCACTCATCCTTTGAGCCTGCATTTGGTCTGATTCTTTTGGGGCACTGGGCAAGAGCTCAGTATACAGAAGGCTGTCACACTGGCCCCCTCTGCCCTTGCGATAAGGCAGAGGGTCCCTTGAGCTGATTAACACACAAGCCGTCTGCAGACGGCAAATCTGAAAGAGCTTGGTAACATATGCCTACTTGGGCTTTGAGAGTCGCAGATATCCACCCCAGATGCTGCCGTCGGGTGGGAGTCCAAAAGTGCTCGCGCTGGCCTCTGCACCTGCCTGTCTGCATGTTCCCCTTAGGGGTTTGAGCTGCAGGCTGATCAAGCAGGCGAGCCACACCCGTATTGCACGTCCTGCGAGAGGAATCAAGGAACTCTCCCATTTCACAGGGACCATTTTCTGATTCACACAAAGGGCCCTGTTGAGGCCAACACTGTTCCTGCCAACATTGTTTCTTCCCTTTGTCTTGTCTTTTTCTTCCGTTCTCTTTTCACTTTAACAAAAAAACTACGTAAAATCTCGTGTAATTTGTTTTCCTCCTCGAGGAAAGGTTAATTCTTGTATCCGTAACTCATTTGCAGGAAATTAGACACAGGAGCAGTTGGACACTTAAGATAATTTGAAAAGCCCCTTTGAAGCTCTTTTCCTTCAGATTCAGTTAAATAGGCTCTTTCACCATCCTGAATTCCCGATGGGGCTCAGTGTCCTGAGGAGGGCTTGAATGGGAGTGTCTAGGGGAAACGAGACTGGGCTGGGGTATAGAACTGACTGGACTGTTCCCCAGAATTCCCTGGTCTTCCCCTCCTCAAACACTTCCTTCCAAGGTTTTCATCAAGCTTTTCAATGTTTGTATCAGCCCAAGATGATGGGCCTTTCTTTGTATCCATACATAATTCCACCTTTGGTTTATCTGTCACAACAGTCAGAGGACTGAAATCCACAGATAATTCAGAAACACCTGATGAAGGCAAGTTTCAATCTTCTCTTCCTTCTAAATCTTTTAGCCAAGTTTCAATCTTCTCTTCCTTCTAAATCTTTTAGCCAGGGAGAGCACGAGTGATTGAAATGACAGATTCAAGTTTTGTCCTGGACCATTCCCATCTCCTGGAATGGTGAGCTCCATGGACTTATTTATAAAGGTTGTTGGATTTTATTGTCTTCCTGGCACTATGTTTTCTTTTACTAAGGGCAGTGTTGTGGAGAATGATCTGGAGTCAATTCCTGGCTCTGCCACTCTAGGCTGGGTGACCTCGGGCCAATTATTTCATCTCAAAAAGACACAGCTTCCTCTTTTGTAGGATGGGTTTATGGCGAAGAGAGATCATGGAGTCAAATAATAGGTAAATAATATGTGTGTGTGTGTGTGTGTGTGACTGTGAGAGTGTGGGAGAATGAGTGTGAATGTGAGCGTGTGTGGTGTGCGTGACAGTGCATGCGTATGTGACTGTTAGTGTGTGTGTGAGTGTGTGTGTGAACGAGTGTGTGTGAATGTGTGTGTGGTGTGTGCGTGTGTGTGGTGTGTGTGTGCATGTGTGTATGGGAGTGTGTTAGTGTGTGAGTGTGTGTGTATGAGAACGAGTGTGTGTGAGAGTGTGCGTGAGTGTGGTGTGTGAATGTGTGTGTGTGGAGTGTGTGTGCTGTGGTGTGTATGTGTTGTGTAAGTATGTGTGCGTGTGAGAGTACAAGTGTGTGTGTGTGAGTGTGTGTGGTGTGTATGAGTTGTGTGTGTGAGACTGTGTGTGTGAGACTGTGTGTGTGTGTCCCTTATTTGTTCTGTTTACCTAAGGAACCCTGATGCCTGCAGTGATTAAATTCCCACTAAACCCAGATCCTTCACCCTCAGAATAGGATTTCCCACCTCAAAGAAAGAGGATTTTTAACATAGGACCTAAAGCCAACCAAGGGGCTTGCTGAGAAGAACCAATACACGATGGCATGGGCTTTGCAGAATACCCTCCTCTCGACCCTGTGATTACACACTGTGTGCCTTGGTCCTCTCACCTGTGAAGTAGGCAGGGTGACATGATGATCTCTAGGTACCCCTTAGCTCACACATGCAATAAGCCTAAGTCAACTTTTTATTTGTTTTAATTATCATCATTATTCAAAATCTCAAAATTATCACTGATTACATTGCTAATAAAAATAGTTACTGTTTAATTGCTTATTATGTGCTAAGCACTGTGATACGTTCTTAGCAACCATTGTCTGATTTGATCCTCACAACATCCAAATGAGGTAGGACTATTACCCTCATTTTGCTAAGGGGATTGGAAACATTAAGTGGCTACACTGTGATCAGCTGCTGGAGATGGGTAGTGCTGAGATGGTCACCTGGTTCTGCCTCACTCATAAGTCTGATCCTAACCCTCTGCAGTACTTCACAGGGTAGAATAGTAAACTCCAAGCCCCATGCCACATTTCCTCACTGCATTTATTTAGTCAGCTCCTCCACCATTTTCCTGTTGTGAGCAGTGCTACACTGGGCGTAGGAATTGCCTTCCTGAAGTTCTTATTTTCTTGTACAACACAATGTAGTAGTAATGATGGATTACTTTAGTCTTTAAGCTAGTATCTAATGTTGTGCTGCCCTCAAAACATACTTTGCAGATTAACCTTACTAGTTTTTCATCTCTTTTCTAAACTGACTAGTGGGGAAATTACTCTTAAAAGTGTCCAAGGAACTAAAGCTAAATGACATATGTCCTATGACTCAGCAATCCACACCTGTGTGTATGACACCAGAAATAAGCACTTATGTCCACTGAAAGACATACACAAGGATGTTCACAGAGGCTTTCTTAAGAGCTCAAATCTTGAAACGACCCAAATGTCATTGACAATAAGAACTTGTGTAGAGTTATACAATAGAATACTAGATAGCAGTGAAAATGAACAAATTATAGCAACATGCAGCAACACGGAAGTGTCTCATAGGTTTAGTATCAAGCAAAAGAAGACAGATGCTAAGAGTACATACCACAGGTCAAGCTAATGTACGATAATAAAAGCCAAAATGATGGTTATTGACTGGGAAGGGCTATCAGAGATTTCCGGGTGCTGTTAATGTTCTGTATCTCTATCTGGGTGGTGGTTACACAAGTATATGTATATCGTAAAAATCTATCACTTAAGATTTGTGTACTTTATGTAGGACAGAGTTCAATAAAAGAGAAAAAAACCAGCATTGGAGGACATGTAGTTGTTTGGAACTGATGTTGGCCCTTGCTAGTTGACTCAAGATCTCTGCTGTTGCCCCCTTCCAGAAACTCCTCCAAGATTGTTCTGAAGTCAGTCCTGACCCAGTGGGTGACCTTGATCCACCAGAAATGCATGGAATTCATTGCACCGCTAGAGATTCCGTGTCTGGGGTGAGCCTCATGTCATATTTTGTTGTAAGCAGATTTCCAGCGGGTTTGTAGCTTTGCCTCAATCCTGGCCCACTGCTGGGGATGCTGATGCCATGCCTTTCTCCTGCCAGCATATTCATCCCCACGTGCTTGAATTCCATTTTCACACCTCCAGTCATGGGGTATAGGATGGACTGATCTTCCAGAACTGTGTTAGCGTGACCTGCCTATGAGAATCCCCATTATTGGAGCCACTCTTTTGGGTGGACCACACCCCTTCCCCCATCAATTACCGAGAGACCCCTCTGGGGCCACGTATTGGACTTCTGGATCCCAGAGCAGCGCCCCTACAGGTGGGTCAGTTCACCTACTGACGGAGTCCACCTACCCCACTGGGTCACGTTGGCCAGCCCCAATCATGAAGCACATTACCCCTCCTACCAACCCAGATGGGGACAATGAACCCCCTATCAGCTGCTGCATTTCTGATATGCCCCTATCAGATAGAATATTAAAGAAAACACAGGTCTGTCTGGAAATACCACCAAACCTCAGTGTACAATGAAACATATATTAACACTTTCTTTTGTGCTCTTTCTTGTGGCATTTCTTTGGAGAGGAAATGCTGTTTTGCAACTACCCATTAACCATTAATGTCTTGAGGCACAGTGGGAAAAGGAGAAAAGATAAAGGGATAATGCCTGTGATACAGGCCACCCAAAAGGTTCACCACGATGTGAATTATTTCAAACATGTTCGATCTGTTTCTATAATTTTGTTATTCATGAGACATACAGGGAATGAGAGAGCAAAGTAAACACGGCCACGTACGTGATGGATGGAGCACACAAAGAGAAACTCAGCCACAAAATGCAGCAAAAGAGCAGAGCATCATAGGCAGAAAAATTACATCTGGATTATTCTACTTAAATAGAAGAAACATAAATCAAACTGACGGGCTCGGAGCAATGTGCATTGGAGTGATAATGAACAGACAGCGTGGACTGCCCTCTCCCTTCCTCATGAGCCAAATCCTTTGCTTCCTGTGTGATTCGGCAGAAGTCCCAGGAGCCAGTCATGGTCCCAATTCTCCCGCCCAGTCCTGCTCAGTCCTGTCCAGTTCAGCCCAGTCCACTGTGGTCTTATTCCTCTCTGCGCTCTCTAAGTCATCACTGACAATATTCTCTCCTTGCCGTTATGCCTTCCTATTTATTTCATTGGTTATGTTTGAATATGCCTTTATTTTATCTTCTCTCTCAGACGAAAGCTTCTCCAAGGCCCTTGTGTCCTACTGGTCTTTGTACCTTTTTCCGTGTCTTCGGCAAAATCCTTTAAATACAGCGGGTCCATGAAATGTCTATACACTCAGATATACCCGTGTGTTTGCTGGTTGATTAATTTCAAATGCACATTAAGTTTTCTCTGCAATTTGGACTGTGATCAGAAATTTTGCCTGTACAGCACTTTTGGGGGGCAGATGGTAAATTACCATGGAACCACCAAATAGAGGATCCTATTTGGACAAACAAATCCATTTATAGCAGCTGTTTCTCTTAAAATACCTCCAACTGATTCTTAAAAAATGTGACAAGTTCAAGCATTTTAAATAGTAAATTGTTTAGTCTAGATTTCTCCAATTAAGTATTTTCAGAGAATCACTGAGATTTGAGAACTGATTCCTATGTTATTATACCCAGTAAGAACATCACAAAATCAGTGACCTGTGTATTCTCTCAATGATTCTTTTCTAATGTCTCAATTTCTTTCGAATAAGAAATAGCAGAAAGGTTGAACTATATGTACATCGTATTCTACCTAAGTTCTAAAATCGTTGTAAATCAGAAATATCTCATTTTTTCCCAGCCTTATAAATGTTGAAGTTGCATTCATCCACTTTTCAACTTGGATAGTCAGTGTGACCTGGGAGGAAATGGTCCCTCATGTTTGCTAAGTTCCAAATATGACTCACACACTGTGTACCTCTCCCACGTATGAGGCAGTGACTATAGAACCTCTCTGCGTCTGCGTTTCCACATCCATGAGGATATTGAACCAACATCAAAATGTGGTCATGATAATTAATTTGGTCAGTGTATGTAATATATAGCCTTAGTTGAATGACTGGCACATCATAAGCACTACGTAAGTATTTGTTGAAGAAATAAAGATAAAATAAATCTAATTCTCACAACAGTACTTTGTGGTAGGTACTTGCAAAAAGTCCATCTACCAAAAATAGCTAAAAACCAACTGATTCATTTGTTTTTATCCTTAGGTTTACAAAAAAAGGATATTACCAGGCAATCTTCTCTTACCCTTGGTGGCAGTTATTTTATACAGCCTAGCAGTCTCAACATTATTTGTTTTGAATAAATAAATATAATTATACCCATGCTTGAGGCCACAAGATGCATTTCCTCGATACCAAGAGTGAAAAGATACATGGCCATATTTTCTTGTAACATGACTAAGTCAGTTTCACACTTGGCAAAGGAGAAGCCTAGCAGAATGGGAAAATGTCTTAATATATTAATTGTGTATGACTGAGTTTCATACAGTTTCAAATTTTCTGAAAGGCATTAATAACAAGAACCTGTAATGACTCAAGGGAAACAATGACACACTTGCGTTTTATTCTATGTTTTATGTTTAATTTATTATTATTATTTTTTTACTTTAAGTTCTGGGATACGTATGCAGAATGTGCAGGTTTGTTACATGGTTATATATGTGCCATGGTGGTTTGCTGCACCTATCAACCCGTCATCTAGGTTTTAAGCCCTGCATGGATTAGGTATTTGTCCTAATGCTCTCCCTCCCCTTGCCCCCACCCCCAAAAAGGCCCCAGTGTGTGTTGTTTCCCTCCCTGTGTCCATGTGTTCTTATTGTTCAACTCCCACTTATGAGTGAGAACATGTGGTGTTTGGTTTTCTGTTCCTGTGTTAGCTTAATGAGAATGATGGCTTCCAGCTTCATCCATGCCCCTGCAAAGGACATGATCTCATTCTTTTTTATGGCTGCATAGTATTCCGTGGTTTATGTATGCCACATTTTCTTTATCCAGTCCATCACTGATGGGCATTTGGGTTGGTTCCAAGCCTTTGCTATTGTAAATAGTGCTGCAGTAAACATATGTGTGCATGTGTTTTTACAGTAGAATGATTTATAATCCTTTGGGGATATACCCAGTAATGGGATAGCTGGGTCAGATGGTGTTTCTGGTTCTAGATCCTTGAAGAATTGCTACACCGTCTTCCACAATGGCTGAACTAATTTACACTCCCACCAACAGTGTACAGTAACACTTCAGTATCTGATTGTCACTAGAAATGACCATTTGCTGTGTGTAGTTTTTCAAACAACTAAATCTTGGTCCTTTAATCACAAAAGCTTTAAATATTTTAAGGTTTTCTAAAAAACGATGGGGATATAAAACCATTCACTATCTTATTAAGCATAGTCTGATTAACACCATACTCGAGAATATAAAAAATGCTGAACATGTTAACTTTTGTTGTATGTAAAGCAAAGGCCAACATTTGCTTCACTAACGAGTATTACAGTAACGTGTTCAGAGATTTTTAAGACATTAAAGGATTCTGTGCCTCCCATCCTGAATGGCCCCACTATTGATGGCATTAAATATTATGTCAGGGTTTTGTATTTTTATTAGTTCATAGAGCACTGTACGACTATTGGGCTTCACTTTACCAACTATTGAAAACAATTAGAACTAGTTTCTGAGGCTAAGGATAAAAAGGTAGATCAAGCAGGTGCTATACGAGTATATACCTATAACCATCTACTCAGCAACATGAGTAATTGTTATTGGTGCTTAAAGGAAGGGGAAGAAGGAAGAGAGAAGAAAGGAAAAGGAGGAGAGGCACAGGGCATCCAGGAACTTTTTTCTTTTGCAGTTGAGATTGGTATAAAATGGAGGTTGAGAGTGTGCAAGAGCTGGGAGGGCGCATTAGTCCATTTTCACACTGCTGATAAAGACATACCCAAGACTGGGTAATTTATAAAGAAAAAGAGGTTCCACGTGGCTGGGGAGGCCTCACAATCATGGCAGAAGGGAAAAGGCACATCTTATGTGGTGGCAGGCAAGAGAGACTGAGAATCAAGTGAAAGGGGTTTCCCCTTATAAAACCATCAGATCTTGTGAGACTTATTCACTACCACGAGAACAGTATGGGTGTAACTGCCCCCATGATTCAATTATATCCCCCCAGGTCCCTCCCACAACACGGGGGAATTATGGGAGCTACAATTCAAAATGAGATTTGGGTGGGGACACAGCCAAACCATATCAGAGGGTCTGATGGATCCATTGTAGGGTTTCTGGAGAGATTGGAGCTGGAGGGGAGGCCGCAGCATAGTTTCAGTTCTTGGGACTATTCTGGCTGCTGGGGGTGCTCACATGGAGAACCCTCTCGGATGACACCACACATATTAGGAACATGAAGTTACCTTGCACCTCCATCATGAGGGGAGCCCAAGCTGTTTGAAACATTTCAGATGTTTTCACAAAAAGAATAGTCTTTTCCAGAAAAGTCAAATTCTGCCAATATTTATAATACAATTGCTCTTAAAAACTATGTATTGGTCAGGCTGAATTTTGAAAGATAAGAACAGCAATGCCTTTGGATTAGAAAAGACACAAAAATAATGGATGAAGGACAAAAGGCCCTAAATATTATAAGACAAATTCTGAGCAACTAACGTTGCTGTGCCCAGTTCACAACGTTTAGTGAGCAGCGCTAACCTGATCAGTAAGGCCTGATCCTTGTTCTGAGATGCTTGGCCACGTGTCTTTTTTGTCTCATATAATTGTCCCTGGCTTTTCCCAGGCCTGGGAACTGAGTTTGTCAATTTAGGAGCCCACAGGCATTGCTGGTGCCTGGGAAGGTATCTTGCATTGAGTAACATCTTCAGTCAGCTATTGGAAAGAAGTGTATGTATACGGAGTTGATTCTAACATATACTTTTGTTGGCATTGTGATTGTTATTATTGTGGTTTGTCCTTGTGTCTGATCTAATAACCTCCCAGCACCCTCCCTGAGAGCTTATCTCAGCAGGAGGCAACTGTGGGTGAGAATCAGCCTGAAGTCTTCTCCTCATCCCTTCAAGAAGGAGGCAGGATATTTTCATAAGACAAGATGTCGCCACATCTACTCCGGGCATTTTAGAGCTCCAGTGGCCATATTAGGGCTTCGTGGTAAAGAAACTGCCAGGTATTGACATTCAATGAACTCTTCTAATAATGCCAACAGCTGACGTGTGCGAGCATTTGTTGGTAGCAGGCACTACTCTGAGCAGCATGTTCATTCTTTCATTGAGTTTTCCAGCAACTCTGCGGTACTAGTGTTGCCTGAAACAAGGATCTAGACCAAGCAAGCAGCTGGCTTGGGGTCCTAGAGTGAGTTAGTGATAAGGCCCTGGGCTGCCCTCTTACCAGAGTTATAGCACATCTTTACCATGTCAATCAGGAAGTGAGTTGTGTCTCAAAATTCAACTAGTCCAAGGTAGCACTGAGAACCGAGCTGAAGGCTAAAATTACCTGGGATGAGGGGAGGGATGGTACACAGAGTAAATTGAACCTCTTAAGGACAGGTGTGTTGTATGAAAACTATGTGCTAAGTTAAAGGAGCCAGTCACACAAGACCACATATTGTCTGATTCCATTTATATGAAATGTTCAGACCCCACAAATCCAGAGAAACAGGAAGTTGATTAATGGTTGCCATGGGCTGGGGGAGGGCGTTAGGGGAAAATGGGAGTGACTGCTGGGGGTAAGTTTTCTTTTTGGGGTTATAAAAATGTTCTAGAATTGATTCTTGTGATGGTTGTTCAACTCTGTGAATATTCTAAAAGCCTTTGAAGTATACACTTTAATTGGGCAAATTGTATGGTATGTGAGTTACATCTTAATACTGTTAAGATATATTAATAATAACAAACCCTGAAGTTTTGAGTCTGGGCCCAGATAATTCAGGGCAAGAAAGAGGCAGCTTGAGAGATTTCAGGCACACGTGGGATTCATAAAATTCCCTTATTAGAGGAAGAAATGGCTGATTAATTAAATTTATATAAATAATTCATGTTGAGCATAAAAAATTTAAAGCACCCATGAGCTTGATGCTTCGAAATAACCATTGCTAATATTTTAGGGCTTATCCTTGAGAATTTTTGTCTATGCATATGTAAGTTACATATATAGAGAAACTGGATCCTACTGTGTCTGCCGTAATTTGCTCTTCTCACTAAGCAGTGCTCTATCACAGGGGCTCTCAAAGTGTGATGCGTGGACCATCAGCATCACCATCACCTGGGCATCTTTTAGAAATGCACATTCTAGAGCCCCATCTCAGGCTTACTAAATCAGAAATTTAGTTGGGGTGGGGCCAGCGATCTTGTTTTAAGACGCTCTCCATGTTATCACTGATGTACACTAAAGTTTGAGAACCAAGACTCTCCTATATCTGTGTTTGCATTTGAATACTTGCAGGCCTTTGCCATAATTTTTGACTAATATTCCAGTTTTTTGCTACTATAAATAATGCTGCAAAGATCACCCTTATACTATCTATGTGCATTTGCTTAATTATTTCCTCAGATATATCCCTTAAGTGTATTTACTGGGTCCAAGTCTCAGGCTTTAGACACTTCCAAATTTCCCTCCAAAAGACCATCCTAACTTACATTCCTACCTGCAATATATGAGAATGCCTATGTGTTGCTTCACATTTTTGGCAATTCTGGCCATAATTTTTAAAAATATGTAATAATAAAAGAAGTAAGTAGGAGGGACCATTATGTTTAGCTTTTATTTCTTCGATTACTCGTGATCTTGAACATTTGTATGTGGTTATTTACTATGTTTCTTCATTTATGAGTATTTTGTTCATGTCTTTTATCACAATTTTTATTGGATTTTCCATATGTATATTTCTTGTAGAATTTAATATATCTTTAAGTTGTAAGGACACCAACTCTGACTATCATGTATATTGAAAATATGTTTTCCAGACTATTTGCCTTTTAACTTTGTGGTTTCTTTTTTCATTTAGGAGTTTAAATTTTAAATTTTATAAATTTTGCTTCAGTGCCATTCTTAAAAAGCAATTCCCATAAAATATTACATAAATACTTATATATTTTTTGTTAGCACCTTTATATTAATTTTTTTAATGCACATGAAATTTATGTTGGCATAATTTGTCTGAGTTTTTTTTCTAGATTCTTTATTGAATAGTTTTAGCTTTCCTGCTTGATTTGAAATCTCAGGTGGGGATGGTAGCTATATCAAAATTTCTTATATGCTTGGGTCTGCTTCTGAATTTCCTAGTCTATTTAATTAATCTGTCTTTTTTGGACTCAGTTTTAATTATCAGAGCTTTAATATATTTTAAGAGTTGGGAAGGCAAATGCCCTCTTGTTAGTTCTCCTTTTTCTCCCATTTTCTCTGATTATTCTCACACATACAGTCTTCAAATAAACTCTAGTCAAGTTTGAAAAAAAATTGGAATCTTAATTGAGATTACATTCAATTCACGGCATGATTTGTCAGTATTAACATCTTTAAATACCAGATCTTCTCATCATAGAACATGATATATATATATATTTTTACAATCATTCAAATATCCCTTTGTATTCCTGAGTAGTTTTGTGGTTCTTATGTAGGTTTTAGTCATTTATTGAGAAGTTCGTGTCTAGGCATTAACTTTTTATGGCTCTTATGAAGCATGCATTTTCTAAGTGGTTATTAATTTTTGTTTGTCAATAATATAACAATCTACCTCGTTGAAGCTTCTTATTAATTTCTAATATTTCCTCATAAGTTTTGCAAGCAGACAGCTAGATCATCTAAAAATGCTGATGAGGCCAGGTGCAGTGGCTCATGTCTGTAATCCCAGCACCATGGGGGGCCAGGCTGGATCAGGAGGATCACCTGAGACTAGGAGTTCGAGGCTGAAATGAGCCATGATTATACCACCACACTCCAGCTTGGGTGACAGAGAAAGATGCTGTCTCAAAAAAAAAAAAATGATGATGATTTTTCTCTGAATTTTCCAACATTTATTCCTGTTACTATTGTATAAGCTGGTACTTCTAGAACAATGTTAAACAGTCATAATAAGTAGACATCCTTGTTTCATTCCTAGATTTTAATGGAAGTGTTTTCCATGTTTTATGCATGATGCAGCTATTGGTTTAAAAAAGTATGTGTGTATGTATATGTGTGTATGTATATATACACACATATGTATGTGTATGTATACATACACACATATATGTATGTGTATGTATACATCCACACATACATCCACACATCCATCATGACTGTTAGTAGCTTACATTCTACATTTACCAAGAGCTTTTTTTGAACATGAATGTTTATCAAATGTCCTTTCAGAACCTATCAAGATGATACTGTGTTTTTTCATTGCCCTACTTAACAATTATTTTCAATTCAACATTGTTGATCATGTATTTTATTACTAGTAATTTTACTAAAAAAAAACGGAGACACAAAGATAAGCTAGGAAAGCTAAGTTATTTCGTTTCCCAGCTCTTAGCAGATTAGAAAACACCAAAGAGAAAGAAGGATGCTGGACAGAGGCAGGTGCTGTCATTCAGTTGTGGCCAGCAAGGACCAAAGAAACCACACAGAACATGGGTCTCCAAAGTCACACCTTCACCACTTACTCGGGTCATTTGGAGGAGCTCCTAAAAACCAAAAAACCAGGACCTATGCCCAGGCGAATTAGAACGGTGCAAGTGTGTGTTGGGGAAATGGGGATAAATCAGGCATCCAGGTCGACAAACATGGTAGCTAAAATGATGCTGCAATTTAACTGAATGATGTCCTCAACTTTGCTTTAGTAGAGTCCGCCAGCTAGTTATTTGGCAAAACTGGGGTGGCTAAAGTCTGCTCAGTGATATTGCCATTATTGTTATTATCATTATTAGGTCAATCTGTATAAAACTGCCATTTTTGGTAGATAAAATATGGTCAAATATCAATAATTTCACATGATACAAAGTAATATTATTAATGATTACAATTTTTTATCTATCACATACCAGCAACTGTATTGGTATTTCCTACAAGTGATCTAATTTAATTTCCAATAACAACTCCATGAAGTACAGAAAACCTTCAGATGAGAAAAGAAGCCCAGAGAAGTTGAGGAAGTTGTTTAAAATCACAGAGCTAGTAAATGGTAGAGCCAGGAGGCAGATTCAGGTGAGTCTGACTCTAAATCTTACGATATTTCTTTGACAACAGGACAGGCTTCAGTCTGTTTCATTCACTGTTGTTTTTTGGCCGTTGACCCAAGCAAGGAAGTAAAGTCTGTTTAGTTCTCAGTTCCATAGAGCAGGAACTCTCAAAGTATGGCTGCAGACCATTAGCATCACCTGGGAACTTGTTATAAATGTAAAATCTCAGGCCCCACCCAAGACCTACAGGATCAGAAACTCCAGGGCTGGGGATGGCAGCTGGGATGATCCTGGTGCACGTTAACATTTGAGAAGCACTGCCGGAGGTGTCAGTAATAATAGCTAAATTGTACTGAGCACTCACTGTGCACCGGATCAGAACCATCCAACTGCCATATGAGTTGGGGGTTTGTAATTATCTTAATTCCTATTGCCACAGAAGCAATATTGGAGCCTGGCAGAGAGTAAATGGATTGCCTGAGGCTCTGCCGAGAGCAGGTGGCCAAGTCTGGGTTTGAGCCCGGCTCTGATGACTGAGTCAATGGCTTTAACCACCACACTCTGGCACTCATCTCATCGTTGTTGAGAAGTACCAAGGTATCCTTCTCTGCAAATAGCGGATGGATGGAGAAGAGATGGTACTGAGGTAGAACAGGGCATCCTTAGGATGGGGAAGAAAGAGAGCCATTGTTTTGGCATAAAAGTTCCCTTTTAGGAGACTGGGGCATTCCGGATAAGGTGCCCTTGTTTTCCTTCCCACAGGCCAGATGCCTTTATTCAGGCACTTTGCAACGACCGCACTTCATCTGCAAATGCCCCGTGTGAGTCGGGGGCTTTGTATGTTGAGGGTCTTACTGGGGATTATTGTAAGGCAAGAATAATGGTGATATTGTTTGCAGAGGCAAGGTGGAAAATCAGACCCGGGTGGAGGATTTATTTTTCTGCCATAGAGCTGATCGGGGCGTGGGGGCGCTCTTCAAAAGTTCACTGACTGTGGCGCTAAGTCTTTCTATGTGGAAACACTCCTGGATGACATGGGCAGATTCCCGGCTAATACTGTGCACACCCGTCTATCGCCAGGCATCCAATTCCCGGCGAATTTTGCAATATAGTGACAGTAATGGAAAGCAAAATGATCTCTAAATAATGGTTTAAGATGGTTACTTGATAAAGGGCCCTGCAATAATTATGATCAATGGAGCATGGATTCAATATATATTGCCCATTTAGATGCACCAAGATTAGCTTAACAGCTTTCTTTAATGTTCTGAGTATTTTGCGTGTGTGTGTGTGTGTGTGTGTGTGTGTTTGTGTATGTGGGTGTGTGTGTGTAAAAGAGGAAGGAAGGAGAGGGAGCAGAGGGGAGGAGGGAGGGAGGGAGAGGGCAGGCTGCAAGCTGCTATGAGCATTACTCCCCTTCATATTGATCAATGTGGTTGAGGTGACACCGTGTTGAGGAGGAAAGGAAATTGAGCTTCAGAAGTTGTATGATCCATTACCAAGAGAAAGCAGTCAAGTGTCATGTGTCACAGACAGGGCTTTTGTGGAGGGAGGTGGAGGCAGGGGAAGGGGCTGGGGAGAGACACCTGATATGAGTTTAGTCATTTTGCAGAGGGCACTTTCTGGATGATGATTTGGTGTCGGCACGGAAATTAGCCATGCAGGCAGCCAGCCAAAAGAATCCCTCCACATCCTGGGACACGAGCGCCATAAACTAAGTGAGCTCGACAGCTGGGCCGACCGTGGAAATGTGTTTTACCAGGAGGGGTAATGGTTTACTTGACACTGATCCTAATCCTCCCCTCTCCAGCCCCCCAAGGAGGGAAATTTTCCATGACAGCCTGTCTAGAAATCTGGGTCCATTCGCTACCTTTTATGTTTCTGGGCTGGTCCCAGGTAATGTACAGGGTCTGTGATCAGTGTGTAATGATGAGGGCAGCATGCCATATGGGCTGAAATTCCTTGGGATAATGAGGATCAAATGATTGCAGTTTTAGTCCTGACTTGCTTTGATTTGTCAGTTAAAATAACAACCCCTTCTCCGCTCTTTCATGAAAGGGCATCAGTAGGAAGTGTCACTGTTTCACATGATGAGAAGCCAGACCCTAAACCTGCTAGTCTCCCCCGATGCCCCTGCTGATTGTGAGTTGCTAATTGACTCAGTGATTTTCAGGCCTGGAAAGGCAGCTGGAGTTTAGATGATAATAACATGACTAATGCTCACTGAGCATGTACTGTGTGCTGGAGGCTTCCTTGTGGTGTTCTCAAACTGTGACTTGCACATCAATCTCCGGGGAGCTGATTAAAATGCAGATTCTGATTCAGTAGGTATGGGGTGGGGCCTGAGGGTCCATGGTTCTTGTAGAGTTCCAGGTGGTGCCAATGCTACGGGTCAGCAGCCCACCCTTGGAGTAGCAGGGGTCCAATGGCAAATCTCATTTGATTTTCACATGTACTCCATGAGGGGGTACCATTATGAATCTCATTTTATAGGGGAAGAAATGAATGGAATCTTAAAGAGGTCAAGTGTCTGCAGAATGCTCCACAGCTCTTTAATAACAGAATTGAGATGCAAAACTGGGCATTTCATGCTTCTGTCCCTCTTTTCCCCCTCAGCAGTAACCATGGAGATATGCATAGTACAATGCATTGCAGAATCATGAGCTGGAAGCAGCCTGGATTCCTGAGTGACTGTGTGGAGGAGAGATGTACCACAGAGTCATTCAACCCAGATGGCATGAGTAAGAAATGGATTTAGCTGTGTAAAGCCACTGAGACGTCAGGACTCGTGTGTGGCCACAGCTGGCTGCATTATCCTGACATGCACAGACTCTTGGCCGCTGTGCTCAGGCTGATGTGTGCACTTCATAATGCCCACTGGCCCCTGGTCATCAGGCATCCAGCTTCGTCTGGAGCATCACATTGTGAATGAGCTGTCCCAATGGGGCCCTCCAGGAATCCTGAGAGAAGGGAAGGTGATCTGTGTGACTTTTGAGCTTTCAAAGTAGAAAAGCTCTGTCTGAGGACCTTACCCGGAGCTCATCGACACCTCAGACCCATTTTCAAGTGCTCCAGACCTGATTAAACCCAAAGGGCAGTTTGCCACGTGCTTCCTCTCCCACCTTAATTATTTAGATTGTGTAGCATTTGCGTAAAATCTAATCCAGATGTTTCTGATTCATTTAAGTTTAAATCACCAGAAAATGCTCTTAAGTTGCTATTTGATGTTGAAGAGGTTCTTCGAGCATTTTCCTCCCTTCTTAATAGGAGAGGTCACATTTGGGTAGGGGCAAACGAATCCTATGTACCTAGAGGCTTTATCTGATTTGATTTGAAAACCCATTTTGGTGAAATCTGAGTCAGAACTCAATTTTACTTTGACCTCCTTTTCAAATCCCTATCATGGCTGTCTCAAAGGGAGAGCTGGAGTAATTTGCATGCAGTTGATATCAGGGATTCTTGTTTGAAAAAATAATACCCCCAGACCTGGCCTTTCTGGCTCTGTGGTCTGACTGGAGCTGGCAAGTGGCCGCTCCCATCTTGAACTACAGGAGAAACAATTCAGGCCAGGTGAGCATGCTGATTTCACTTTATTTTGTGACCTCAGTATTTGCTCAGCTGAAGCAAATCAATCTGGCACCAAGTGTCTGAGAACTGATAAATGAGGCTGGGCTTGGTGGCTCATGCCTGTAATCCCAGCACTTTGGGAGGCCAAGGTGGGAGGATCGCTGGAAGTCAGGAGTTCGAGACTAGCCTGGGCAACAAAGCGAGCCCTCTCCCTGACCCCTGCTTCCCCTACCACCCTGTCTCTATCAAAAAAAAAAAAAAAAAGAACTGATAAAAGAGTTCTTAATGCAAGGTTATCAATAGTCCAAAGGCAGTGATTTTCAAAGTGCAGTCCCCAGACCAGCAGCATCAACATCGCATAGGAACTTATGTATTCACTAAAAAAAAAAAAAAAAAAAAAAAAAAATCATAGAAGAAACACATCTTCAAGAGCCTTATCCTAGACCTACTGTATTAGAAACTCTGGAGGTGGGGCCCAGCAGCTAGTGTTGTAATAAACCCTCCAGGTGATTCAGATGTGTTCTGAAGTTTGAGAATCACTGGCCTAGGCCCTTGGGTAATGCTTGCTATCTTACTCAGCCATACTTGTTACTTGCTTTGAAGGAATTAATGAGATAACATTGTCACATGATTCAAGACACTCAGACCCGGGCTATATTTACACAGGGCTGTAAGAGTGACCTTTTTGATTGAGTTGGAAGACCAAAGAAATCAAACAACCCCTTGAGTTGACTTTTCCCCTCTTGGAATTGACTTTTATTTTTTTTTCTCTTTCAGTGTCTGCATTGAATGATTGTTTAGAGGCAGTGTGATACAGCCAAGAGGCCTGTTTTAAGCAGGAGTAGCTTCGAAGTAAACATTCTTCTGATAGCCACAGTCACTTTCTGGAGCTCGGAAAATATAATTTCCTTAGTAGTCTTTTCTGCACCACTGGGTTTGGCAGGTTCTATGAGAGAGCCTCTTCTCCCTGAGTTCATTTATCCAGCCTTACATTCCTCCAATGGTGATGGAGCTGCTGCTACATTCTGGTGCTATCTTAGAAGGGCTTGTGAAATCAAACCAGAGGCCAAGCTCATAACCCCTGTGCTTAGCCAAAAAGTTCCTAGACCAGAGGATGTCAAGGACAGGTGAACGAGTGATCAATAACACAAAGTTCTATAGGAGTGATTCCCAGGGTGGCCTGGGGTAGGTGGAGGGATAGCTGTGCAGTGCTTCCCAGAGAAGGTGCCACCTGGGTCTCAGAGGATGAGGAAGGGTTTTCTGGGTAGTAAGGGGTGGCACATAGAGAAACATGGAGCCAGGAGGGAGGACTGCAAGTGTTTCAGGATGTCTTGTGTTCGGGGAGCATGAGGGAGAGAAAACCTGGAGACGTTGTTAGGACCAAGTCACAAAGAGTCTTGCACGACATGCTAAGTTCCCTCTGGTCCTTGGCATCCTGTTTAAGCATATCCTCCTCAATAAGCATCCACGTTGTCTGTGTCACCTGTCACTCATCCCTCTTTCTCTCTCTCCTGGCAGTCTTGGAAAGGCAGTAAGGTACAGTAGAAAGGAACAGAGTCCAGAATCAGAAGACCTAGGATTGAGTCCCAACTCAAAGCAGTGAAGATAAGTGCCCTATACACACCATACCCTATGGTGTTTGTGGTGGCAATGATGTTGTCATCACCCTACTTAGTCATCCACCAGGTGGAGATCAAAACCCTACGCTTTACATCCGACGTGCTTGCACCCTCCTTTCGACTTTCTCCTCTTGCTGTTATCACTCACTGGGATGAGACAGCTTGGCTGCTTCTCTGTGCTGTCATGATCATTCCCACCTCACCCTCTGCTCAGGTCATTTCTCCTGCCCATCTAAGAACATGCCACCTCCATGAACCTTCTCCGCACACCCCAGTCCACAGAAAGGCATCCCTCTAATGTTCAGAACATCCTGTCTGTCCTTTCATCGTGTGGGACCTCAGGGATCTAGTTTTTATCTGGGTGTTATTGGGGTTTATGTTTTCTCTCCCCAGCTTGAGGGAAGATCCTTCGCATAGACTCCGGTGAAGTCTAGGCACCAGATGAATACATGGTAACCCAGGAGGTTGGTGCCCCACTGCGTCTTTGGAAAGATTGATACTAATAGCTCAGTGTTATTTTTCACAGGGAAAATAAACCATACGTCACATATAACCATAAACCTTTAGGACTTTTTGGGAGGTGGGGTATAGGAAAGATGAGTTCTTTGAAAGTGTAGGCGCATATTTCTAGAATGCAAATCTGATCACATGACTCCCCTGCTGAAAACCTTCAGTAGCCCCATGTTCCTCTTGGCATGAAGTTCAAATTCCTTGTTATGACCCCAACCCTGAGCAGCATGGGCTCATCCACCCTGTGATTCTCTCTTCTACCCCTCTGCCTCGTGTTCCAGGCTCCTGCCATGATAAAGGGTCCCTGGGGTCCTGAATGGGCATTTTCTCTCACCACTGCACCTTTGAGCAACCACCAGACTCTGTCCCCTCCTCAGTTACTTGGCTAACTCCACTCCTGAATGCCAGGAGCTTATGCATCACCTCCTGCAGAAAAGGGCTTCCCTGATCCTCTTGATCTAAGTGCTCTCCTGTGTGTCTTATAGGGCCATGGATTGCCCCTCTCATAGCACCCATTGCATCTATATTGTGCCTGTGCTTATTCTCCCTAGACGGTGTCCTCCGTGAAGGCAGGGGCCCCTTCTAGTTCATGATGGGTGGGTGGGAGGCTCTTGATTTTTGGTTCCATGAACAAGTGAATGAATGCTTTGCTGAAAAGATAAAACCAACAGCTTACAGGTTAGAATAACATTCACTATGCAACACTAGTAAGTAAAGTCCCCGCTTGAGATCGTCAGTCGCTTTTGGGGACTAGAGCAGGGAGTGCATTTGTACCTGTAATAAAAGCACCTTTGACTGAGAGTTCCAGGAAATCCTCTTAAATGACTCCATTTCTATGCTTTTATTGACATATATTCTTGCTACTGAAAACCTGTCATGACAATTTCACATTTCAAAGTGCTGAAAGAATGTGCCTAGGTTGAAACTTTCTTTCATTTGCCAGGATGTCAAGTTTTATTCCTGGGTGCATTTTTTTCCCTAGCCGGCTTTTCTGTCCTCGATAATGGAGGGTTGTAATGGAAATGCTGCAGATTCATCGGCTGCAATGTGGTGAGCATCACTGTTATAATACAGCCAGCGATAGGTACCTGCAGTCCACAGAATGACTCTTGACTGAACAGAAGAAGCAATTTTGAGAGGCGATAAGGCATGCCACGCTTAGGGACTGCATAGTCCCTCCTGCAGAATAGTTAAGGAATTATAATAAAGAGACAGGTCCACAATCATTCTTTCAAAGTGGCTCTAAACAGTCGTGATAATGTGGTATCTGAACTTTTAATGACACCGAAAGAGAAGGCTCTCTGTTGTCGTTGCAAATGTTTGCAAAAGCACCTCGAGACAGAAATCCCAAAGAATTTGCTTCGAAATAACCTGCCAGCCACCCATTTGCCAAATATCCTAATTAGACACATTTACAACAACACTGTCAGGGTAAGAAATGGGATGAGGACTTTTGAGATGATAGAATGGGTGATATACAAATATTTTGGGTGAGACATAATCAGTTAATTGGTTTATTAAATTATAAAACCATTGTTTGCCGAAAGAGCAATAAAACTAACGAAATGAATAGTCACCCCTTTGAAGACTTCTTACATTAATTATGTTTTTGCATCACTTGCAGCAGCGGTGTTAGACAAAGGGCTTTTTATCTTTACATGCCATAGCTACAATGTATTGTGGCACAAATGATGGCACCGACTTTATGTCTACATAATTACAGAAATCTTATCCCTTTTGTGTTTGCACATCATTTTCGGTTTTTTGGAATAGTTAAACTCCATTTTACTTTTTAATAACATTTTAGAAATCATTGTGATTCAGGTAAACAGAATTTGATTGCTTTGATGGATTGAAAATGGTTAGCTCAGCCCGAGCTTATTTGATTTGTTTCTTCAGGGATTACAAAGAATAGGATTTTATCTCCAGACTGACAAAAGAGACAAACTCTGCATTTTTGCCTATGCAGTGCCAGAGCTGCTAAGCCACAGCTCCCCCACAGGGAAATATATTAGGCAGGGGCTGGATTTTTATTCACGACCTGCATTTTCATTCCATCATACATTAGGTGGGCGGGGAGGAGGCGTACTTCACCCTTATTTTGCTTACGAGATTTTTTTTTTTGTAGTAAGAGAAAATCTGGGTGATTGCATGGCACTAAATACAACAGATCCCAGGAAGACAATTTGATAAAACAACGCCTGTCCTTCTTACTAATGGTCACTTTAGGCAAAGGCCCATCTGCTAATTGAACGAGTTTTAAGAGGCAACATGCTGATTACTTGCCAGGGCTCACCTAGAGACAGGTCGCTGTGGGTTTCCTGAAAGCTCCAATCCAAGACCCAAGCAGATTGTGTGGTGTTCCTGATACTGCTCTTTATTTTATCTGGTGTGACCTGTGACCTGACATGTGTGTGGCAGGAGGAGACCAGGAACATGTGATGTATAATGCAGAGAAAAACTACAGTGCATGGCAGATACCCTTGCTCAACACAGCCTTCTTGGATCAGGGAGGATGGCATCCCCTTAATTTTTGGCTCTTTAGGAAAACGTCTTTACATCCTGACTTCCTGGGGGATGGGAGCTGTGGTTAGCCAACTTTGAGTTGTTGGGTTTCAGAGACCTGTACTGATCCTGTCGTGGGCTGGTAACAAAGTACTTGGAGAAAAAGCAGTAGGATTTGGAAAGAAAATCTGGATCCAGATTTCTAACCAATCTCATCACCTGTTTGACCTTGGACAAAGTTTTGAAACCCACTTATCTCAGTTTTCTCCTGGAATCACTGGAGGGGTTAAATTAGTCCACATAAGCCCCTGATCCAGTGACTGGTATGGAGTGGAGGTCCAATGTGCGTTTGTTGATGCTGCTGTTTATTGAGGGTGTGGTCATCACCCTGAGTATCTACCATGTGGTCGAGAAGGCTGCACTCAGATGAGGAACAAGTGTTTGAAGCACACTGGCACCTTTTTGTACTAGAGGTCCCTAATGAGGGATAGCATCTTAATAAACCTATATAGGGTTACAGGAAATCTTGTTATATCACGATGGGGTCTTTTGATTGTGACTGAAACAGACCAATTTCATATAGATTCCCTGCTAGAAACAATTGCAAATGTTCAGCAAATACCCTCATGCAAATAACCACCAGGCCAAATCTCATTACAACAAATCCAGTTTATAAAAAGCAAAAAGCAACAACCTAAACTATCCCTAATGGCACTAAAACGTCCTCCAGTCTTATTTGCTGCTTAATTGATTTAAAAAAGGAACTAATGCAATAAAAATAATAGTTTGTGCAATCCTTTGAAATCTTATACAATGCCATTAGACCTATTCCTGGAAACAAACAGAGTCAACTCATAATCAGGGTTAGGAGATGCTAATCAAAGAAGGTTCTCAGGGGGAGGTGATTTTTTCCTTCCTTCCTTCCTCCCTTTCCTTCCTTCCTTCCTTCCTTCCTTCCTTCCTTCCTTCCTTCCTTCCTTCCTCCTTCCCTCCTTTCCTCCTTCTTTCTCTTTCTCTCTCTCTCTTTCTTTCCTTTCCTTTTTTTCTTCTTTCTTTCTTTTAAGGCAGGGAGGAAAATTGAGGCTGGGAAAATTGTCTATGTGCAAAGGTAGAAATAATGCAAGTCATGGTGGAACCAGAGGACAGCAATCTGAGGGGAAAGAGAAAAGCTGGCAGAGTTAAAGCATCTCCGCCTGAGGGTTAGTTCCTAGCTGAGAAATACGAATGATATTTGAGGAAGAGCAGTTCTTACTCCAGTAAGGATTTACCGAACACTCAAGAAACTAGCCTTCAAATGATTTTCCATGGCCTCTACAGCTTAAAATAGATCCCAGGCCCCCTGAATGTCCTAGCTAAAATGGTTTCTTTTGGCATCATTCACAAGGAGTTAAAACCATCTTGCAGATATTGGCACATAGAACCCAATTCTCTTTCTCTCGCTGTTTACTCCTGATATGGTTTGACTCTGTGTCCCCACCCAAATCTCACCTTAATTTGTAATTCTCACGCATTGAGGGAGGGACCTGTAATCCCCAGTGTCGAGGGAGGGAGGTGATTGGATCATGGGGTGGTTTCCCCCATGCTGTTCTCATGATAGTGAGTGACTGCTCACGAGATCTGATGGTTTTGTTTGTTTGCTAGTGTGTGTGGTTTTTTTTTTTTTGAGACAGAGTCTTACTCTGTTGCCCAGGCTGGAGTGCAGTGCACCATCTCAGCTCACTGCAACTTCTGCCTCCCAGGTTCAAGCAATTCTCCTGCCTCAGCCTCCCTAGTAGCTGGAATTACAGGCACCCGCCATCACGCCTGGCTAATTTTTGTATTTTTAGTAGAGATAGTATTTTGCCATGTTGATCAGACTGGTCTCAAACTCCTGAACTCAGGCAATCCACCTGTCTCGGCCTCCTAAAGTGCTAGGATTACAGGCGTGAGCCACCATGCCCAGCTAATCTGATAGTTTTATAGGGTGCTCTTCCCCTTTGCTTTCTCTTCTCTCTCTGCCACCTTGTAAAGAAGGTGTCTGCTTCCCCTTCCGCCATGACTGTAAGTTTCCTGAGGCTTCCCCAGACTTGCAGAGTCAATTAGATCTCTTTCCTTTATAAGTTACCCAGTCTCTGGGAAGTTCTTTATAGCAGTGTGAGAATGGACTAATACAACCCCACAATAGGTCTGCCGTGTGGTTGTAACCATGCATTTAGATGAGTCCAACTTGGCTTCCTGCCCTGGAAGTGATCTCTGTCTTCCCATCTCCTTTTTCTTTTTTTCAGTGAGAAACAGACCCATAGTGCAGGCAGGACTGTTCCGAGGATGGGATAGTTGGGGGGTTAGGGGCATATGTGAGGGGGGACGTGTAACTGGACCACATCTGGGCAGTGGGGTTGACAGCAGAGCTTCCCAGTATCTGTGTCTCCCAGGCATTAATGTGACAATCATAAGTTTTAGGAAGCTGAGTTGTCTTCTATGCCAGAAGTCAAGAGAGTCTATGAACAATGACAGAAGCAGATTGGAACCCTAGGCAGGCAGATTTGTGAGGTCAAAGCCAGCAGGGGTCTGTACTGAAGACAATAGGTGTGAGACTTGAAGACACCCACCCCCAGAACCCCAAATGGGGAGTGGGAACAGCAGGCAACCTCCTCAGCTGTGGACAGCCACCTTGCCCAAGGTCACACCCTCCCTTAGAGGAACCCACATCCCATGATTGAGCGAGGCTGGAGGATGAAGCCCTGGCCATTTTGCCTCAACAGGGGACAACTCTGACAGGCCACATTCATCTAGAGCTCTGTGCCATATTGGCAGTCTTCTCCCTCTGCCCAATCCCAAATTCTTCCTTCATTCCACATGTGTGGATCCCCTATAAACATCTTGCAGCCCAAACTCCATCACAGCAGCAGCTTCCAGAAAACTCCACCTATACTGGCAGGAAAGGACTCTGAACATGATGCCCAGAGTGGGACGGAGAAAGGTTTGTAGACAACAGGTGCCAGTTTGGCAGCAGCAGAATTAAGAAATCTACGGGCATCTGCTGGGCAGTAAAGCAGGCAGGATTCTGGATGGAGCCTGGAAGTCAGGGAAAGGCGTGGGTCATCAGGAGAGGGGTGACGATCCTTTGTGGAAGTCCCCGGATTATCCCAGCGTGCTCCCTGGTAGGGCAATATGTTCGGGCTGCTATAGCAAAGTACCATAGACTGGGTGGCTTATAAACAGTCATTTACTTCTCACAGCTCTGGACGTGGGAAGTTCAAGGTCAAGGTGCCAGCAGACTTTGTATCTGGTGTCTGGTGAGGGTCTGGCTCACAGCCTGCACCTTTTTGCTGCGTGCTCACGTGGTAGAAGGAGTGAGGGGTCTCTCAGGCCTCTTTGATAAGGACACTAATCCCATTCATGAGAGCCCCACCCTCATGACCTAATCCCATCCCAAAGGTCTCACCTCCTAATGCCATCACCTTGAGGGTGAGGATTTCAGTATGTGAACTGTGGGGGACATGAACACTAAGGCTATAATATGCAGGATGTCATGTTAGGGACTGGGCAACTTGGTACTAACAGATGGGAGAGCAGACAGATAAATTCATCTGGCTAGAAAGAGGGACGATCAAAGAACTCAAAGTAGACTCTGAAGTTGTCCCGAAAATTCCCTTCCTTCTTAAGCCAAAGCATCTTATGGCAGGTACCCTACCTGTTGTTTGCATGTAGAAGATGCTTTCTTAGTAACTGCAGCATAAATGCATGAACAAATAAGTGTTGAAGAGTCCCTGCAGCCCGACCCAGAGAGCAGTGGAGGTTGGCACAGCCCAGACCCTGGGGGAATGTGGATACTGGCTGCTGTGAGCATTGTCCAGGGCTGTTGAAGAATTAAATTTGTTCAGGTTCACCCAGTCTTGTCTATGGTTCTGAATACCTTTCAGCATTCAGGCCACAAAGTGATGGCTGACAGGCACAATTCCAGCCCATTTGCATATATGTAAAGTTATTTGACTTGGTACTGATTTCTTTGCTTGTCAGGCATTTCCCTCTTACATTTGGCATGCCATGTCAAATTCTACATTCTTTTCATCAATCTGCTCTTACAACCTACTCCACCAACTGTCCCGCAAATGAATTTCAGGAACAATGGCCAACAGTGCATTAGAGAGTCTTTGTAGAGGGATAGCTGTCTTGAGCACCTTTCATCCACAGGGACATCTTGTGTCTCTATCTTGCTGGAAGGGAAGATGTATTTTTAGGTTTTAAGGAAGAAAAATAACTATATCAAGGACAAAGTTATGAAATTTATAGGTCTTAGCACCCATTGATCATTACCCAAGCTAAGGATTAATTCCTCATGAAAGCTAAACTCATCAATTTTATTTGGATGTTTCCATTTTGAAATTCCCTTAACCATAATTTAAAGGGGATAGTGAACATTTTGGAGACCTGGAGAAAGTATCTCACATAAAATCTGATTAGCTCAGTTTATGTCCTATGAAACTTTCTGGTGAAGACAGGTGAAAGGGTTCTTTAATTTGCCATTTCTTATATAAATACATTTATGAGTTCTGAAGGGAAAATTCTTTAGAGTGTAAAGTACAGTTCGTTATGCTATTTCTGTGTGGCGGCTTTCACATCCTACGAGGGCTTTGAGCTTTTTTTTTTAAATATGGCTTTCATCCTTCAGGTCTCAATCCTGTAGGCACATGCCAAGCCAGCCTACTTCATTAGATAAATCTGACTTCTTGGTCTTCCTCTTGGCTGGGTTAGGGGTTGGGCATCAGAAAATGTAGGGTCTTTAGTGAAAAATGGGACACCTCACAAACTCAGTGCGGGTACGTTATTGATGACCAGAACCAAGGGTGTCAAGTTGAGTGAGAGAGTCTGATGAGTTACCATGTCCTACCAGTCTCTACTGCCAGTGAGAGGGGGCCAACCATAATTGTTCTGGGAGAATGATGACTTGGGGCTGGTGAGACTTTGGTTTATAATCCAATGAATGGTGAAACTGTTTACACACCTCTGGTTATTTCACCATTTGAACACTCTGACTACCAATCTTGCTATCCTAAGAATATATCATTGGACATTCTTTCTTGATAACTGTCTTCCTAGTCAGAAAAGATTATTTCTCCTGAGTCATAAATTAGTATGAATGCCCAGTGAGGATAATTATAATAACGATAATGAAAACAATAGCAACCATTCATCTGTGCCAGGCACTGTGCAAAGATACTTTATAGCCATACAAATAGCTCTGCCATTTAAATTTCCCAATAATTTTGGGACAGAGACCTCACTATCCTCACCGACAAATGAGCAAACTAGGGCCCAGAGAAACGGTGCTATTGCTGGATAGCTACAAAGTGTAAGAGCCCCCAGGTCTGTGTGACCCCCAAAGCCCATGCTTGTAACCACCATGCTGAGCTCTGCCAGAAGTACGACTGGTGCTCTGGGGTACCTGAGGCTGATTGTACCACAATGGCCCATCAATCCCATTATTGCCAGCATGTCTCCTGGTGCACATATGCAAAAAATTCTCTAGAGCTGGAAGAGCTTGGCTGTACAGAATGTGTGTTATCAGCTTCATAGACATTACCTAGATGTTCATTATGTATTACATATTGATTTAATACACACTAGTTATTATTAAATTTCAATTAATTAGTTATTCATTATTAATTAGTTGTTAAATATTAAATAGTGATTGTGCCAATTCAAAAATTTTCCACTTTCTCCACATCCTTGTTTTCATCTGGATCTGTTATTGCCAGATTTTTTTAATGAATGATATGTTGGGAGCTGAATACTGTCTCATCAAGATTTTGATCTGCATTTCCTTCATTCCTCATAAATCGTGCAATATACTGGCCATTTGGGCTCTCTCTTCTACGAATTGCCTGCTTGTGCTTTTTTCTCTTGTGTTCTATTGGGTTATTTGCCTTTAAAAAATAGATTTCTAGGAAATCTTTATATAGCCTGGATACTAAGATTTCATTGGACATTTGTGCTGCAAATATCTTCTGCTGACACTGTTTAAGGTGACTTTTACAAAAGTTGTATACAGGATAATTGTATACATCCGTTATTGCTTTTTTCTAGGCATTTTTGCATCCTATTTATAGATAGTCTCCTTTTTTGTTGTAAACTTCTAAGTTTGGGTTTTCAAACTGAGGCCTATATTACATTTGAGATATATTATTATTATTCTGTACTTTGACGTATGATCTAAATTTATTTTTGCACAGAAGAATAATCAGTTTCTCCAGTACCACTTATCCTGAGTGAGGGCCTTCTGCTCTGATTTAAAATATCCATCTCTCCTATATCAAGTTTCCATGCATATGTGGGTTTGTTTCTGAGCTTTGTCTATTCTTGTGCCAATACTGATTTAATTAACGTATCTTTATAAGCAAGTCATGCTTCTTAATTCTTGTTCAAATGAATTTTGTTATTCTTAGTTATATAGATTTTAGCCTCAGCATGTCAATAATCTACTAAAAAACGAATTTGTTGTCTGATGAATTAAATTCACTGATCTTTCAGTGTTTAAGGATTTGAGCACATCGTATAGTGGGTTTCACTCACCAGGTGAATTCATTCATTAATACAATTCATCTGCAGCTCACCCAAGCTGGCTTAAAGCTGACCATTGACTACATTTTTAACCCTCATTGCGTGTTTAATTAAATACATGTCAGGATTTTAGTTAATTTGATTAGTAAACTGAATCTGAGGTCTATGGGTCAGAAGATAGTTGGGCTTTGTAATTGTAGATAAGAATCACATGAAATCATATGAAGAAGAAAGTCATCTCTGCTTAGAATACAGCCGTCCCGATGCATTTTACAAAAGAAGCCACCAGAGGGCAGAATGAGCACGAGAGTCCCACTGGCTTTCCTGGGCAGAGGACGACAGAAGCCCTCATCAGTTCTGACCACCGCACGTTCAGTGTATTGAGCTGGGACAAACGTTTTTTGGGAGAGATGTTTTTCAGCTGCTTCTCAGGATGACGTTTGCTGCTGGTCTTGTCTCAGTTGAAGTATTTTCCCCCAGCACACCGAAAGAGGAGCTCACTTCCTGATTGTTGCAATCAAACCTTTGACTTTTGTCACAAGTAAATGCTGTTTAATGAAATTTAAAAAGGAAAAATAAACAAGCAAACAACACTCCAACCACGTAGCAGGATCTCAAACACTTCAGTGCAAAGCCAGGTGACTCACCAAATGATATAAGGTCATACTTCCAACTGGGCTATTTTCTAGCTGGCAACACTATTTCGTTTCTACTGATAAAAGATCCTATTTATTGGAGGGCAAGTTGATGGGTGGGTATTTCATGGCCACGGAAGTTATTTGGTGACAACCTGTCCACTTTTGCTTATATTGCCAACGCAAACAGCATGATCTTCTGGAGTACTGATTTGTTCACAAATAGAAAGGACATCACATTTTGTAATTCTCTTTGCCAAGGGAAACAAACCAAGGTATAATGTAGTTGTTCCTGTCAGGCTAGGTAGAAGAAAGGAGGAGCTGAACCTTCTGTGGGCGCATGCCTTCCATTCAGCATGTTTTGTGGAATGCGTGTTAGGCATTCTCCCTAGTTCGAGATGCCTTGGAGGCCACTGTCCTGTCTTGATTTAACTGAACCTCATTGAAAGAGATCCCTTCACACTGGGGAAGTCGTTCAGAACAGTAAAAGATAAGATCCTTCACATAAAAAAAAAAGTTTGAGTTTGACTACATCCGCAGTAGCTGTGATTATGACTTCTGTTATTTAGTTCAAAACTTATTACAGGGTTTCTTTGGTTCCCCATGAAATTCTTCCATCTTTATTTTCATGGCAAACAGTAGCTCAGATGTCCCCTCCTCTGGGATGCCTCCCTAGATGTCACCAAGCAACATCAGCTACTCTTTCTCTCAGAGGCTCTTACTCTTGTCACTGGCATGGCCAAAAAGTGTTTGAATGTTCATGCCAAGGCTACTGAGAACAGACAGCACGGGTCCCAGACACCAGCACAGATTTGGGCACATGGCATAACTCACCAGTGTTTGCAGAATTAAAGTGAGGGTCTATCCTCTCTTCCCAGGCCCTAAACAGAATCTTTGGAAAACACCACCAAGCTTTCATGTAACCATCTCGGTGTAACCCAGCAGGCTGCTTTGATGCGAGGAGCTTCAGCCACATGGCTCTGCTCTGCCGACATTTGGGTGTGTGTTCTCCAGAGCTCTGTAATATCTGAAAACTGATTTACCCTAGCTTAAATCCAAGGCTTTGACACTTCAAAAAGTTGAATTTTTCTTATTCAACATAATAAATGGCTTTCCTGTGCCTAGGAGTTTATGGTTTATGTCCTGGGAGGGAAAGAAAGGGTAATAAAAAGAATATGGCCTTCTGGGTCAGTCAATAGGTACTCAAATATTTGCTGTCAATTTGAGTCAATGATTCACAGAGTTGAAAATATTAAATACACTACAAATAATTCATGCATTGAGTGCCTTGCTAAGTGATTGACAGCTATGCTAAGTGCTTGCTTTAAAGTTTTATCTTCTTTAATCTTTAAAACTCTTTGAGGTAGATAATCTAGTTAGTCCCATTTTACAGATAGGAAAACTGAAGTTCAGAGAGTTTAAGTAAGTCTCCTGATGCCACACAGCTTGTAAGTGTCTGAGCCATGATTTGAACCCTGCCATTTTGACTCCAGCAGAGTTCCTGCACATGGAATGCATTAGATAAATAATAGATGTGCTCCCCTTCCTGTTCCTGCTGCAATGGCCTCCTAAAGCCTTTGTAAAAAATAATACTGTTATGGACTACTCAGGTTTAAAAAATGTGATATATATTTCTATTTAGCTCCTGCCCCTTCTGATCTTTCTCTAGTAATGTCTGGGAGCTACTGTATTCGATGAAAACAGAACTCCACGTCTCCAAGGCTACAGGCCTCCTGAAATGGAGAAGAGACCCCAAGCAAAGTGGTCTTTCCAGGAGACATCAAGTGCGGTCATCACAGTGACTCTCCTCTCATCTCCTCCTCACAGCATTGGACTTGCCTTTAAGATCTCCAGTTTAGAACAGCTTCAGCTGGGGGATGGCAATGGGGAATGGGATGGAAGCCAGAATTTGCTCTCCTAAATCTGGCCCGAGCGATAGAAGGCATCTTTGGCCTGAAGAAGTGTAATACAAAGAAAATCCTAATTGCTACAGCTAAGTAATTAGAAGATCCAACCTATATATCATAGTGTGGCCACCCCTTTAATTATGTGCACAGTTCGGTCGGTGACTAATGCATCTTCTTTCCTAGATGAGCGTATTTAATATCCTGTGATGGCAACAAGTTTCAAGCTGATTTATCGTTATTTTGTTTGGTCAGATGATTTTCCTGCATTTTAATGTGTTTTGTGGTTACATATTTGCTATGAACAAACAATGCTTTTCCCAGGTAGTACGCTCTAAAATGCTGGCTGCACGATTTGTTTACTATTCTTTTAGGCCTCTGAGAAATCAAAAAACATTATGTACTTATTTTTGAGTAGCTGCACTAAAATCTTAAACAGTCTCCTTAGAGCCCTTCTTTCTCTGGCAGTATGTACACACGCAATAAAATATTTGAAAAATTATCAATTTCTTTGAGTCTCATTCTGACACCTGGATAGGAAGTTTTGATATGAAACTCTAATAACCATATGACCAGCAGCATCCACTAACCGTGAGATGGTATCTGACTTCAAAGGTGCTAAGGACAACACATTCTAGAATGCACATGGTATTACATTAGACATGCCACTGAAATTTTAAAAAGTAGTAATAATAATAAACAGAACATTTTAAACATACACTCTAAAGGCTTATGCTCAGATCCAGTGAAGTGGTGGAAAGACTCCAGGCATTGGAATCAGACAGACTTGGGTTCAAATCCCAACTCTGTCTCTCATTAGCTGGGTGGTGCAAGGTGACTTTGTTTAACTTCACTGGAACTAAATTCCAGTAAAAAAGGAATCAGCTTACCTTCTTTGCACAGTGTCTCTGAGGATGAGAGACTTTGCCTAATGAGGCCCCCAGCCTGGTACCTGGGATACAGTGGGTGCTCAGTGAGTGCTAGCTCCTATTGTAATTGTAACCCGAATACATTTGGGCCTTCCTGCTCACAGAATCCAAAAGAAACACGAATCAATTTTGAAAGCCCTGGTGGTAATGTGTACATCCTTGAAGCACTCTTTCTTGAAAGGCAATAGAGGGGAAATTGCACACACACACACACACACACACACACACACACACACACACACACGCAGCCAAACTTCTAAAATAGCCTCTATTCCTCTCTCTCTGAAGTACCCCAAATTATTTTTCTCCCTTTTTAATTTCAAAACTCCAGCCCCACACCAGTTCCCCAAAGCCTCTCTTGTCCCTTTGGCTCCCTTCTCCCCACCCCCCTCAGGGGCTGTTTTCCAGCCAAAACTCAGCCCTCCCTGGCACAGAGAGAGTCTCCTGCTCTCAGCCCTGCGACTCCATCCCTGGCCTCATCTCAGCAAAAGCAAGACAAGGGGCTGAGCAGAAGAAAGCCTTCCTCTTTAGAAGGAGAGAAGAGAGAGGCCAGAAAGTCTCATGCCCTGTATGTGAGAGGAAACACTCTCAGGTTATGTTCAACAGAAATTATTTTAAAAAGCAAGCTACGCGATTAGAGTGTATGCTCTTTTTTGGGTTGTTGAAGAGAAGTGAATGATCGGAAAGTAAAAGAAAATAGTAGACCAGGGAAGAAGGTGAGAATGACAATAGAAGGGTTAGGGGGCTGCAAAGGGGAGGAGAGAAGAGAGGGATACATTATGGGGAGGCCTGAGAGTCACTGGCCGCCTGGGAGCCGATGGCTGTGTCTTCTGCTTCCATAGCAAATTGCTGACTTGTCCGGAACATTTATCACTTTCTCAGCGCTTTTATGTGGATTGATTTATTTTCACAACAAATTTATTTCTGTGTGTTGATTTGTTCTCACACTCACCCCAGGAGGTAGGAACTTTAGTATCCCCACCCTACAGATGAGTCCACTGAGGCAGAGCCGATCTCAGTGACTTGTCTGAGATCCCAAAGCCAGAACCCAAAGTCAGGCAGCCTGGCCCCAGGGCCCACATTCTTAACTGCAGTGTTATCCAGCAACCCAGGTCACAAAGAAAGAAACACAGGAACGACTTCAACACTGCAGATTAGCCTGCACCACCCGAAGCCTTTTAGGAGAAAAGAAAGGAGGCCCGTGGCTGTGCAACTTGTTCCCCAGAGGCCAAAACTGTTCTGGAACGTGATTGGTCCTTGGTAAACATCTGGGGACAGACAGACAAGTGTGTCCAGTGGGACGGGAATGAATTTTAGCATGAGAGGAGAAGGGTAGGGATCTCTCTGCCACCATGCAATGGAGAATTTTCACCATGCAATGCAGAATTTTCAACATGAAACCCTACTATTGGCCTATTTAAAATTCTACTACGAAAATGACAGAGTTTTCAATAGGAAACCCTACTATACTGGATAGGCCATAGTAGGGATTTGGGTTGAAAAGTAACCAACCAGCCAGAAAGACACAAAGCTAGCAAACGTTTCATGGTGGTTTGGGGTAAGTGGAAGTTGCTTTTTTTTGTTTTTCCTTTTAAAAATATGTCCTGAAAGCATAAGGGATATTTCTTTAGAATAACCCCCCTTATGAATTACACGAATATCCCAACATCAAAGTATGTGAGGAGAAGCATCAGGCGTGGCACCTGGCATACGAACAACATCTCCCAGCAGGACATTGCAAAGAAAACAGCAGAGGATGTCCAGATACTTTAGTTTTGATTTTGTTTTAAAGGAGCTTATAAAGGATAAGGAGGACTTTTCTAAGGTTCTGGTGTAGGGGCCCAGTTTAAACAAATGCCATTGAAATCCAGTAATAGAAACCCTAAATCAGTTGTAGCCTCAGGGGACCTCTTTGCCCCTGTGGACTTCAGAATTGTCACTGTGCTTCTTGATGGAACTCGAAATAAAAGCAGAGGTCCATTGCAGAAGGTCCATTTTAAAAAAGATTTTTGTGTGTGGTTTTTCCTACCCAGTGCTAGGTTTGGGATTAGCATCCAAAAATGAAGGTTATTTCTTTCTATCCAGCTCTAATTCTGAATCTGTCAAGGGATACTCGTCCCATTTAGTGCTGAGAATTTCACAGGCGGTAAACAGCATCTGGGCATCACTTACCTCCTTTGATGTTGAACACAATTTACAATGAAAGCTTTGGGAGACATTTAAAACCATGCAAGGTCCTAAATCATTAAAGGAATGTGGTGCTAGACTTTAAAAATGATAATTGAATGCATTCAACAATAAAGCTGCCAAATCTTAGTGGCCTGTTTGCTAGAGGCTCTTTTGGAGAAACTGAGCTAGATTTAACAAAAAAAAAGCACATGGTAGAACTTCTCAAATAAGAAATTGTTGTTACTTGAATTAAACACAGATTGAGGCAGGTAAAAATAAAAAGAAAAATAGATGCGCTAATAACATCCAAATTACCAAACAATCAGAATGTAATCATACTGGACACCTTTTGGAGTGTGACCCAATTATCCTTCTACTTCTCTGAGTCCCTGTAACTGTCTGGCCCATAAATCTATCACCTCTTTTCCATAGGCCAAATGCAGCTTGGTTTGCTTGGGACATTCCTAATTTATGTCTTTTATCCTGATGTAAATAAAAAAAATTTTATTATAGAAAACTTCGAAAATGTATAAAAATATACACAATAGAATAATAAGACTCTGTGCATCCTCATTTCTTCTCCTGTACTATTTTTGTTTGTTGGGTTTTTTTTTGTTTGTTTGTTTTGTTTTTTTTGAGACAGGGTCTCACTCTGTCACCCAGTCTGGAGTGCAGTGGCATGATCATAGCTCACTACAGCCTCGATCACCTGGGCTCAAGTGATCCTCCTGCCTTGGCCTCTCAAAGTGCTGAGATGTGCCACTACGTTTGGGCTTCCTGTACTGTTTTTAAACAAATCCCAGGCATCATAATTATAAGAGATAAGACCATAAGAGAAAGCATAACCATAATACTATCATCACACTGAAGATTATGAAAAATAATTTTGTAATATAATGAAATATCAAGTGCTTAAAATGTAACTTTTCTCATAAATGTTATAAATGTGATCTTTTTAAAGTTTTTTTTTGTTTGAATTAGGATTCAAATAAGGGCATGCATTGATATGTCCATTAAGTCTTTTTTCATCTTTAGGTTTCTTCCTTGTATCTTTTTTCTTTCCATTTATTATTTTTGCATCATAATTCATGAATTTAAGTATATTTTATGTGTTTTAATTTATTACATCTATTATCCTTATTGGTACTCAAATTGTTCCGTGTTTGGCCAGTGGGCATATCTTCATGTTGGCTCTTGAGTTCTTTGACAAGATCCCAATAGTCTTTGATAGCTTCCTTGCTTCTGATAGAACAAGATGGTCCAGGCTTATCTTGTGCATTTCCTGCT
The DNA here is from genome assembly GCF_000001405.40 of Homo sapiens. Classification (NCBI taxonomy): domain Eukaryota; kingdom Metazoa; phylum Chordata; class Mammalia; order Primates; family Hominidae; genus Homo; species Homo sapiens. The sequence continues at coordinate 118,453,149 of NC_000010.11, read as the reverse complement.
GCAGTCCTGGAATCAGCTATTGCTCCAACAAGTCCTGTTTTCTTTTAGCAAGGCAGTATTTAGAGACCACAATCTGGGCACTTGGCATGTTCATTCATTGGTCATGGTTTCTACGCCTTTTCAATGGATATAGCTAAGACAATTTTAAAGATAAAACATAACATGAGTGTATGCTGATACTTCCACCTCAAGTTCAGGATTACAAGATTTTTACTTTAAAATTTTGATCTTATGTTTGTATCTTCATGTTCTCACGCCAAGAATCTTGAATCACCAGTCCTTATGTCGCTGCCTCTCCTGACATTTTGATCACACGAAGCTTATTATTGAATAGATTCCTCAGGAAGAGCACATGAGAAAAAAATATTTTGAGTTTTTAATGTTCTTAACAGTTTACACTCACTATTTATACTTTGATATAAATTTGGCTGGATACAAAATATAAAATCACATTTTCTTCCCTTGGTTATATTAAATATATCACATCATTTTCCTTTGACATAAAGCATTGTTATTCAAAAGTCTGATGATAATCATATTTTCTTTCTAAGTGACTTGTCTTTTTTGTCTGAATGCCTGAAAGATTTTCTTCTTAAAGTCTAGCAGATTTTTCAAAACTACATTTCAGTGTTGGTTTTTCTGAGCTTTCCTCCCTCCCTCCTTTCCTTTTTTCCTCTCTTCCTTCCTCCCTCCCTCCCTTCCTTCCTTCCTTCTTTCCTTCCTTCCTTCTAAGTCCATGCTATGTCCTTTCAATATGCAGTTTCAAGTGACTTTTTATTTCAGGAAAGTTTTCTTCAATACTTGATTTCAGTATTTGACCTATTCCACTGCTTTGGTTTTCTTCTTTGAGGTGGGGGGACTCCTATTATACCTATGTTGCTTTTCTTTTTCTGTCCCATCTCCTATATCCATCATTTTCTTTTGAGTCCTTTTCATATCTTTATTTATTTTAAATTTAAAAAACTTTTGTCTTTTTGCCTTTGCATTTCATAAGGCATTACATGTTGTGTTTATTCACTTTTGTATTTTGTACCATTTATTCTTCATTTATGAAGTAATTTATTACTTTATTTCTGATTTTTTTCCTGAGTTCTGTAACTTCATTTCTAGATTTAAAAAATCTGACCTATGATGTTTAAAATATTTTCCATAATTTTATATCATTTTCTTTATTTCTTTTAACTCATTTTGAAATAGTAGCTGCATTTCTTATCAATTTTGAGGGCATGTTTTCTGACATGCTACATATTCTCTTCTTTATTCTCTTATTTAAAATAAAAACTTTGTATGGGATTCGACCATAATTGTACTTTCTTGGTCATTATTATGTAAAATTAATTTTCTTTCACTTTAAGGAGGGGGTGGGGGAGTTAGAGCACATCCTCAATATCCTCATGTCAAAGCTCTAGAGCTCTCTCTTCTGATTTTTTTCCAAGGAGTGATTTAAAAAAGTATGGCTTCATACTTCAGAGAACTGCCCCTGATGTTGCCTGCCCACAGTTTTTATCTGGATCTTATTTTTTTCTTTGCTGTCCCTGTCCTATTCTGGATCAACTCCCAATGTTTCTTCTAGGTGAGGAGTTTGTCCTAAAAGGAGACATTGCTTTGTTTGTTTGAGAGTTTATAGGACCCAGACTACAGCAGCCCTCTGGACATCTTCCACAAATCTTTGCACTCACCTGAGAACTGGAGTGTGCAAATATCCCTGTCACTTTCAGTTGCTATTTTCAAGTGGACCTGCCACATTTTCAGTATGTGTCAATGGGGGAATCTGTGGATTCTCCTGTTCTCAGGTCCTTTTATGCCCCATAGCTTCCTTTTGCTTCCACCTACATGGATGCCATGCAGATCTTGTAGCTCTCCTAAAGATTTAGTTGCTTTTGGAATTTATGGGGATTCCTGTCACTTAGGTTTTCTCTTCTTTTCTTTTTTTTTGGGTAGATATTGCTCATGGGTTTTGATTTTGCTACCCTCGTTGCTCTAACCATGATTATGGGAAGGTTGGGAAATTTAAAAAAGACCCTGCTACTACTGCATATTCTCAGTGTTTCCTCCCAATGTAATTCTTAATAGCACCCCCTTTACTTTCAGAAGTGAAGTTTGGATGATAAATTTCATGGTTACCCTACACATTCGCAATCAGGAATCCAAACAACTCTTGAAAACCAAAAGATTTTCTAACTCATTTGGGGCAAATTCCAACCTGATCTGAGTTTATTTGACAGCAAAGCCTGTGGTAGCCTGATCTGAAGATGTTTATAATTTTTATTTGTCTCATTTATTATGAATATTCATAGATTTCCTGCAGAAATGTTCATGTCTTTAATTTTAGAATGTGACCTCAGACCCAGTGGTGATGTTATATAATATACAGTATATGAACCACATTGACGTTATAGAATATGAAAAGCTGTGAAAAACAAAACACATTTGTACCCAAGCATTTCGGATAAGGAACTGCAGACCTGTAAGATACCTCACCCCCATTGCCATCGAAAATTATATCAGGATGGCCATCAATCCCAAGCCAGGTGATTAGAGTTTCTCTCCCTGGAATTAGGAACAGGAGCTCTGGACTACTGCTGGTGCTGGCATATAGACAAGTGCTTGAACTGAAGAGACCACAGAATCACCTGGGGAGACAGTGTCTAACTCATCTGTGCAGAGAGACAGAAAATGTTAACTGAAGACACAGAGAGGTGCACAAAACAGATCTAAAAAGGTCAACTGTGAAAAGAAACCGTAGGACTGGAGGCAGAGAGTAAATATTGCTTATGCTAGCTTTTTCATTCGTGATTTCAATCACTCATGAGTGAATTTGTCATTGCTTCCCCCATCTCCACCAGACACTTTCCTCTAAGGCAGATGTGAACATCTAAAAATAGTCTAAAAGGGCAGCTGCAGAAGTGATAGAGAGGCTGACCAGGATAGTCTCATAGAAATTTCAAGGAGCCCTTAGTTTGAAAGAACTTATAATTCATTCATTCTGCCAATAAATATTTATAGAACCCCTTCACATGCTAGGCACTGTTCTAGACTCCCAGATGGTGGCAGGGAGAACAGGACAAAATCCTGGCCTTCACAGAGCTGACATTGCCCCTGGCAGAAGACAGAAGATAAATAAACAAATCAGTCAGATGGACACAAAAGATGAAAAACAATAAATCAGGAAGGGGGAGAGGGGATTGATTATGTGTAGGGTGAGGTTTGAGCTTTTAAACAACATGGTCAGAAAAGGGGAAAGTATTCGAGGACCAGGTGAGACAGGTAGTAGGGCCGGCCAGGTGATGGTCAGGTTAGACTCAGGGAAGAACGGTTCTCCTAGGCCACTGCAGGGACTTGGGCTTTTACTGTGAGTGTGATGGGAGGTGAATGGAGAGTTCTGAGCCCAGGACGGCTGTGATCACTCTGGCTGCTGGGTAGCGAACAGACTGAAGGAGGTGGGGCAGGAGTCAGGAAACCCGCTGCTGCAGGAATTCCAGAAAAAGGTGGTGGTTGCCGGGTCCTGGAAGGTGGAGTGGAGGTGGGGTTCTGTGCTCAGGACCACGTGCGCTCCTCTTCCTCCCCTGTAGTCAAATTTGCCAGGGTCTTCTTGGGAGTTTTAACAGTGTGTGATTTTTATGATAATTACCTGCTGCAGGTTTATAGGCGTCCTGTCCCATGTTTGATGTAGCAATTTATGAAACAATGACACCATTTCACACCTTTCATCTTAAGGTTTGAAGAGGATGACACATTTTCTGCTCTACAGAGGCCAATTAATTAACTTGATTCCAGCCTCTCCACAGAGGAGGGTGCTACCATTCCCATTTCAGAGCTGGTAAACTGAGGCCCTGTGCTGCTCTGTGGAGTCCCTGTTACCCTCTGTTCTTTCCCCTGCACTTCATGAGCGGAATTTTGATTTCAGAATATCCTCATCCAAACGTTTTTGAACTTTTGGAACTTACATGTAGCTAGCAATGGGAATGATTTAATCTGGAATCTTCATGGTGGGGAATGGAGTAGGAATTCTAAATAGGAAGTTGAGCTTCCCTCCCAGCCATATTCAGGAATGAAGATTCTAGAAACCCCATTCAGTGGAACTACTTCTCATGCACATTTAACATGGGCAGGTTTCAGCTGTATGTTGGGAGAGAAAAGGCAGAAGAGAGGCGGCCAGCAGGGGGGTGTTCCCAGAGGAGGTGAGTCGTGCACGTGTTTGCCTGGCTTGGTGATTCTGTGTCCCATCCACTTGAGGATATCGGCAGTGACACTGTGTCCTTAGTGAGTCCCAGTCCCAATTTCGAGCTTCTTGCTTCTCCTAGTATGAGACTTGTATTAAAAGATGAGCATCTTGGGTCCCTAAGTCTAAGCCAACTATTTCATCTGATGTCCAGTCAAAGAAACAGTGATTTGTTCCTATGCTGGAGGAAAAACTGCCTATGCTAAATGGTCTGGTAAGTCCGTGTTTCCCAGGAGAGGCTTGGTACAATCTTGCACTCTTATGGACAACATGAGGCATTCTCAAAATAAAGTGGGTTTGCACTGTGTGCCCCTCTCATTCCTAATTCTCTATTGTGGGGTCTTCAGCTGAGGGCCAGGAGCCTTCCAAAGTGGATCTAAGAAGAAGTGGGTGCTCCAGAAGAGAGTGGCCCTTTGTGTGTCATTGGAACCGATGCCCACTTGTTTGCCAAGAAGCAGTCAGGTTTACCTTGGCATTCTTCTTCCAAAGTCCTGGTCACGAGTAACCGTGTGGGCTGATGCATGTCTAGGGACTTAGGACAGCAGGGTAGGCAAGGATTTTTCTTTGGATTCAGGGCAGATTTAATCATCTTTCCTTCCTGAGAGTGAGAAGCTGCCTCCTCCAGCCTGTATCTGTTCCCTTGCTTTCTTCGTGGAGGAGAAAAAAAGGCAGTACCCGTCTCATATACATGTGTGTCTTTTCTGATTGGTCTTGGTTTCAGCAACAGGCCAGCTGGCTGTTTAGGAAAAAAAATAAAGAGCTCAATGCACATTGCCTGTGTGGGTCTGAATTCTACCCCTCTGCCAAGGACTTTGAAGGCACAGCATCTGCATCCACGGCTGTCATGGGCATTCAGGCTCTTGGATAACAAGATAAAGGGCAAAAGCTGAATTTTCTTGTGCCAAGAGGAGGAAGAATATCAGAGCCAAGAAGATCAAACCACTGCTGCCGAGAGTGGCTAAATGGTACCCATTAACCTCTGTCAGTGCTAGAGTCCTGGAAGGGGAATTTTGTCAGAAATCAGGCCTGAATGTAAAACAAGGTTTGGCTGGCTCAGGATAACCACAGGACAGGGGAGGGGTATGGGAATTTACAGTGAAAGAAGCTAAGCTGTTCCATCCCCGTCTGCAAGGATGAACCCCAGGGTTGGAATCAAGCATATTGTGAACTGATGGGATGCAGTTCCGTCCCTCATCCCGTGGAGGAAGTGGACAAAGGGAGTTCCTGCTTGTTGTGGTCACGATCCTGGCAGGCAGCCACTTTGGATGGGGCTGTGCCTGTCCTGGAGGGCCGGGAGTTGGCCACATCGGGTGTCTGTCTTCTGTGAACTGTTTCCATGCTTCCTGCTCCTGGCATCTGGGGGACTTGCAGTTTTCTACCCCGGCTCAGATTTGTTGGCTCTGTTCTTCACTCTGGCGAGAAAAGAATACTCACCACATGTTAAACGACGGATATATTGAAACTAGGATATCCAGTCCTTTGCTAAAGAGAAGACTGGAGGAACAGATCACCTGAGGATATCATTTGAAAGGCCGCAAGCAAGCAAATACCCCAAAACCACTCGGCAAGAAATTCCTCCTCCTTATTCTTTGATGGGCTGTCAAGCCTGGCTTAGCTTCTTAGCAAAAACCACCTTTCCCCCCAGCTAGTGAAACTGGACTAATAAATTTGGGTGTTCACCAAAGCCAGCCAAATAAGCCAAAATACTGCACTGAGCTCCATGCAGCAGTTATTAACAAAGGCCACTTATTCCAAAGCAAAGAGCCCTAAAACTAGGCCGAGAGCAGTGCACTTCCACTGTCTGAACAACTCCCCTTTTCGTAGAGTTGTTACTTCTGATAAGTTCTGGATCTTGTATTATTTGTGTTTTCTTTTTCTAGTCATCTAGTTTTTTAAAAAGCGGATAACTTCTTGCAGGAGTCAATTATGTTTTTATCGAGCGTAGCAGATCTGCAGAATCCTAGGCTTGGATGAAGTCTTCCTGTTCGATGCCACCCTGCCTCTCTGACAGGGAAGGAAAGTGGGAGCTCATTATTAGAAGATATTTTATTTTATTTTTTAGAGATGGGGTCTGGCTTTGTTGCCCACACTGGAGTGCAGGGGCATGATCATAGCTCCCTGCCACCTTAAATTCCTGGGCTCAAGCAATTCCCAGTTTCCTCCCACATCAGCCTCCCAAGGAGCTAGGACTAAAGGTGCATGTTACCATGCCCAGCTGATTTTGTCATTTGATGTAGAGACAGTGTCTTGCCTTCTTGCTCAGACTGGGAATTCCTGGGCTCAAGCAATCTTCTAGCCTATGCCTCCCAAAGTGCTGGAACTACAGGTGTGAGCCACTGTGCTTGGCTTTAGAAGATTTTTAGTAAAAGAAATTCAATCAGCAATTTTTGAGCATATGTATTGTAGAATAGTGTTTTTAAAATCATAGGTGAGCAGTTCCATGAGCAGTTCAGGACCAGCATAAAAAGAAATCAGTGAACTAGAATCAAGCAGATTGCACAGATCAGCTCAAATCACATACAATGAAGGTCAGATTTGCTTCTTGAAATTTTGTTCCAGTCGCTTGTATACAAATGTGACTGGATCACAATGGAAAGTACGCTGCTTATAGCAGTTCGTAATCAAGACAGCTCAAAAGTCATTGTGCATAAGCGACTTGGGTTCTGGTCCCAATTCTGCCACTGCTTCTGTGACCTTGGGCAAGACTCTTATGGGTCTCTGTCTCTCATCTGTAAAATGAAGCAATTGTCTATGACGTTTCCTCAGTTTTAAAATCCAATGACTAAATACAATTCCCAAAGAAATCAATTTCAACATTCAATAATTATCAGTCACAAAAAAAGAAATTGCTCCACATTGTCAATGTCTGTCTTTCAGGCTTTGGAAAGACATGCTTCCCCAGGGGCTCTGAAGTGTGCAGACCATGCACATGAACGAAGCCCAAGATGGGGGAAGCCACTTCATTAAACCAACTTGGCTCAGGGATAGTCTTTTTGGACTTCCAACAGAAGTTTAGTACCCGATTTCTCTGGTTACACTACAACTATATTTTGGTTATATTTGAAAATACACATAAACCCTCTTTGGGATGATAGGGGAGGGTGGATGGAGAAGGGCAAATAATTGCTCAGGAAATGCTGAACTTGGTTAATGTGGAAACCACTCCCAGCTAATGTTGAGCCTTGGGCCACTCACAGTTCCTGCTTTGTATTATGACTAATAGAATGTCAAAAAAAAGCATTGATCTAATAAGAGCAACTAAGGAAACCAAGAGTAAGCCAGGCCTCTGGGTGGAGAGTGATGGAAAGCTTCTCATTTCTAGGCCAAGGTTCTTTCAAAGCAATCTTTAAAACTACTGATTCCTTCATTCATAAATTTGTAAGGGCCTAAGAGCATAATTTGGAAGGCACCTCACACTATTACTTATATCTCATAATGCTTGTTGGGTATCATCTTCCAAATTAATATATCCCTGAATTCACATACAGAAAAACCAGGGCATCTCAGGCACAGCTGGGAGAAGTCAGCTGTGTTCTGGGATTTAAAACATATATCTTTAGGAATGGGTTCTGTTATATAGCTGCTGTGTGGATTCCAGGAATGAAAGTGGGTTCAGATTCTTAAATCTTAGGTCTAAATCTAGACTTCAGGTTTGCAACAATAAAGCAGGGTAGGTTTGTTAGGATTATCTTTGTTCATTGTCCTTTAATCTTACCAGTGAATTTTGTAGTCACCAAAATGTCAGAATGGGAAGGAAGCCTGCCAACGACCTCATTCAACACCCTTATTTTCAGAAGAAGAACACGAGGCACCTGTTTCTAGCCACTATTTTTTTTTTTTTTTTTGAGATGGAGTCTTGCTCTGTTGCCCAGGCTGGAGTGCAGTGGCACCATCTCAGCTCACTGCAACCTCTGCCTCCTGGGTTCAAGCGATTCTCCTACCTCAGCCTCCTGAGTAGCTAGGATGACAGGTGCGCACCACCACCCCTGGCTATTTTTTTTTGTATTTTTAGTAGAGACTGGGTTTCACCATGTTGATCAGGCTGGTCTCGAACTCCTGACCTAGTGATCCGCCTGACTCAGCCTCTCAAAGTGCTGGGATTACAGGCGTGGTCCACTGCACCCAGCCTCTAGCCGCCTTTACTACGTGTGCATGCATCAAATGCCTTTAAGGAAATATTATTTTGCTCTTAAAGATTGAATTATCAGTAATTAGTTGGCTAATTGTAAATGGAGTTTTGCTTTGTGTTGACTTTTGCAATATTCAATTTCAGTATTGGTAAAACACAGTGCCTACCAATGCCATAGAAAAATTGGACATCTTCTATCCATGACCCAGTCCCCTCAAAACTTAAAGCCAGAGATGCTTTAACATATACAAGAAACATTTGGGGTGGGGGGTGGGGCAGGTGGGAGCTTTATTAGCTTTGATTTTGACCCTGTTCTCATAAGTTATGCAAAATGTGTCATTTATATGAACAGCCCAGAAGAGCAGTTGCCAGCTGTAATATAAAAAATGATACCACAGAAACTGAGACCTGGTTGTGGCAGATACTCTGTCAAAGGAATGATTTATAATCTGGAAATACAAGCAGCAAGAGAGGCCCACCAGCTAGGGCTGTATCATCTAAAGCAATCAAATCCCGCAAATATAAAGCAATTTTGCATTACCATTTCCAAGTGCTCCCCACAATAAGGACTCTTGTATGCCCAAGTTTAATATTCAGAGCAGAAACCACAAACTCTAACAGCCGCTCCTGGTCAAGATAGTTAATAACAGTTCCCAGGCAAAGGCAGGCTGTAATAGCATCACTCCAAGCAGCTGGGGATTTGCTTGTATGTCAGCCTCTCTCTGAAAACTAGAAAACGATGGTGGGTCAGACATCCATTCACTTTATATATTGATATAATTTCATCAGAATTTATGATGTGGGAATTATTGCACAGGCAAGAAATGTAATCTATCCTTCATCTCACACAATACAGAAAAGATATTATGTTTTTGAGAAAAATATACTGACTTGTTGAATCAGATTATGCACGTGCAACCCTAATGGATTTCAATATTCCCTTGGACAAGTCATTGCAATTTGCGTTGTATGTATTAAATTGGCTTGTATATAAGACGTTTTTACAAATAATAAAGAATTCTAATGCCATTTCTTCTGTCATTTTCTCAAGTTCTGGCATGTGCGTTTACTCTGGTAAATTTTAAACATCTGTGCATGTGTAATAGCTTATTCTAATTTCTCTAGGCCATATTTAGACTCTTAATATCTAAATATTGCAATAACATATATAATTCTCTTTCATCTCTGTGAAGAGTTTGTGAAGCTTCAATTGTCAAGTCGAATAAATGCTGATAGCCTTCAAAGACCATTTTATAGATGGTCATGACAGTGAGTCCATTAGCCCTTCTATTGTTTGGCCCTTGAAGCCATATTGATTACCTTGAATTCTATAGTCTCCTTCCAATAGGAATCTGAATATAAAATATGTTTTTAAATTAAGTGCTTTCAAGGTGGGACTTGTTTCATCTAGAACTAAACACTCCTCAAATCCAAAATTCTTTTTATGTATTTCAAGGAAGAAATGACATCTGACAAATTCAGAGCAGTGCCCCACACCCACTTGCATCCAGAAACATCTTTTTGTAATCCTTTTTTTTTTTTTTTTAAATTTGAGACAGGGTCTCTCTCTGTTACCCAGGCTAAAGTTCAGTGGTATGATCTTGGCTCACTGTAACCTCTGCCCCCCTGGTTCAAGTGATTCTCCCAGCTCAGCCTCCTGAGTAGCTGAGACCACTGGCACACACCACCACACCTGGCTATTTTTTTTTGGATTTTCAGTAGAGATGGGGTCTTGCCATGTTACCCAGGCTGGTCTTGAACACCTGAACTCAAGCCATCTACCCGCCACAGCCTCCCAAAGTGTTTGTAATACTTTTTGATTTATGACCATGGTTAATCCAGGCAATCAAAAGTCACTGTTATAATCATTCTAAAATGGTTCTGTTGAATTGCAAATACATTGTAGAGTTAAAATCCACATAATCTGGAACTTAATTTTTTGATAATATGTGCATAAAAGAAGGTGTATTTAATCCAAGTAGGAAAAACTGATGTTTAATTGGCTGGTGTCTCCAAATAATAGTAGCCACTCTTCATTTTGTATCTACTGCCACACACCATTCCAGGGGCCTAATGTACATTATCTCTGGTCCTCATCTCCCTCTACTTTGAGGTCACCATTTGACCCTCATTTTGCAAATGGGGGGATGAGCATTGACAAAGATTAAGTGCCTTCCTCAAAGACACATGAGTAGTGAGGGGTAGAGCCTGCATTTGATCTAACATGGATCCCAGAGCCTGAGTTCTTTTTAGTGTTTCTTGCAGCTGCCCCTTTCTGAAAGCTGGCCAGTCCTTTCAACTGTTTTTTGAAAACCCAAAAGCCACGCCCAACTCTTTCTTCCTAATTATCTCCCACTGTAGTCTTTTATGTGACATAACCAAACGTCTGTGGAGATGGGTAGGGTTCAGGAAGCCATTTGTTTCCTTAAGGAAAGAAGACTAGGATCAGGAGCAGCTGAACGGCCCTAATTCTTTGCCTTCTTTTTGCCTTGAACAAGAATGCAGTAGCTGGCGCTGCAGCAGCCAGCTTGCAACCATGAGGTAGAAACTGAGAGCATTTCAGGCATGTGGACTTGACATCACTGAGCAAAGAAGCCAGTGCCTGAAGCCTCCCACCTCCATATGTCTTATTATGCAGGAAAAACAAACTCCTGTCTAAGATGTTTTAAGTAGGAATTTTGTAGCCAAATGTCCACTAAGGTACACCCACCACCACAGAAAATTTTCCACCATGTGGAAAATTCATTCAGTCCCTTGTTTCTCACAGGGGAGACCAGGGGAGGGTTTTCTTACCCCCGAGCCTCTGGAGGGTAGGATCTAGTGAGGAAGGCTGTGTGACTGGCAGCTAGGCAGAAGCCACATGTGGGATGTTTAAAAGTTCAGGTGACCCTAGGCACAGGTGGGAAAGTCTCAGGAGGAGAGAACACCCAAGAATATTTACTATTCCTTGAGAATCACATCACCGTCTCACTCCCTACATCTGTTCTTGTCTTTTGAGAGGGTCCTTGATCACTAAATAATAATGTGTTTGGATAAAGTTGCTGAGCTGTGAAGCCTCATGGGATTTAACTTTTCTTAATCTCATTCCACTAGTCTTGTGCATCCTGATTTCCATCCTGGTTGCTCTATGAAGACAGGGTTGCTGGGTTTAGCAAATAAAACGTCAAGACACATTTGAATTTCAGATAAACAACAAATACTTTTTTTTTTTAGTACAAGTATGTCGCATGGAGTATTTAGTGTAAGTATATCCCATGGCATATTTAAGACATATTTTATCTGGCAACACTCCTTGAGGACTCTGTCCTCAGCACAAAGGATTTGTACCAGGTCATGCCTCAAGGCCCTTTGTCATTCCTGTACTCAACCACTCCATGTCATCTCTTTGCTTTATTTTACTTACCCATCTTTACCAACTGTTACCAAATTTTATCTTTTTTTCTATTGAAGCAGTTTTTATAAGTAAAATTCCTCTTCCAAGGAAACCAATAATTATTTTCTTTATTAAACAGAACAAGCTGGTAGAAAAATGCTTTGCATATTGAAACTTCTACATCCTAGAATGTGGCCTTAATGATTATATTTTACCAACAACAGTTTGTGTATAAAAATAAAAAACATAACTATCAAACTGCTGAAAATGTAACACAGTGTCAAAATTATTAGTACACAATGAATTTCCCTGAATAGAAAAGCAAAAAAAAAAAAAAAAAAAAAAGAGGAAAGTTGGAAAACTTGGCAAGGAGCATGAATGACAATTTACTAAGCAATAAAAAGGGAGGTGTACAAGTGATCAACAAACAGAAGGAGAACAAAAGTGCAAATAATAATACAGCAAGAAAGAATTAAAGAAACAATTAATTAAACAGCAATATGCCATTTTTTACCTTTTTTTTTCCTTCAACTTGTAGTTTAAGTTCAGGGTACTTGTGCAGGATGTGCAGGTTACATAGGTGTATGTGTGCCATAGTGTTTTGCTGCACAGATCATCCCATCACCTATTTATTAAGCCCAGCATCCATTAGCTATTCTTTCTGATGCTCTCCTTCCCCAAACCCCTCTCTTACCAATTTAAAAAAAATCCTACTTCTGCTCAGCCCCTCCAATTCTGATGCCTGATGGGTGATTTCCATCTCCCAACCTTTGGCCCTTTGCTGTGGGTGGATCTACCAGGAACTCCTTCCCATACATGTGAGTCCTATGAAGCCCTCCTCCAGCAGGCATGGCCATTGAGGACAGTTCCCGCCCACATGAAGGTGGGAAGCCAATCTCTCCTATATTAATGGACATGGCAGCTTTATTCTCACTTTGATGATGAAACGTTATTGTTCATCCGTTTATTTACTGGACACACAGAGATTGAGCATATGCTACATGCCAGGCACTATGGGGAAGAAATGAGTAAGTCATGGTGCCTGATTTTGAAGATCCCACCATGACTTGCAGAGATGAACTAAAAACAAATGATGATGATGCAGTGCTAGCAATGCTAACAGACAATGCCTCAGAGGACCAGAGAAGAAAGGGCTCTCTGCATTCACCAGGGACGTAAATGTTGCTCCTCTAGCATGGCTGCTCTTCTCCTGTCCCCTATCCAAATCCAGTCTTTTCCATTGGCTGGATTTGTATACAATTTCCTGCTGACCCATCACCTGCCTTATTGATTCATGGTGCCACTCTGGCACCTACTCTGGGAATTCCCAGATGGCAGCACAGAGCCCTTTATGCCTGCCTGCCTCAGCACAATGAAGGTCCTCAAAAATATTTGAAGAGTGAGACATTAATGTGCTTTTTAAAGCAGGGCTTTCTTAAAAATGGAGGAAGTGAGAGGATTACGTGGCTTTTTAAGGGCTATGGCACAAGTACGTTTCTGAGCAACAATTAGAGGTCACAGCTTTGAAATTTATGGTCACTCGGTAGAGTCAAGCAAGAATTGAATACACATAATTTCCAACTCCATCTAAAGCAGAATATCTCTGGGCCATTTCCTGCTAGTTACCTCGAAACAGACCTAAAGTGTTGCTTTTAAGCATTCCTAAGCTACACAGTATTTATTTAAGTACTTCCAATGTGGAAAGCCTTCTTCTCTCCTGCAATGTGTCATCACATCTCTTTAGGGGTCCCTGTTGGGATCCTTTCCACTGGCCAGGGTCTCTGCACACTGTATGTATTTAGAGAAGCACTTCTGCCTGTTTGACTATTCTGTAGGTCTGTTTTTACTTAGCAACACACAAGAATGGAAATGCAGCTGTTAGATTCATCTGGCCTTGGTGAAATACGTCTACTTTACGAGTAAGATGACTGAAATTTACATTTTTGTTACTCTTCAATGCAGGCAGGCATTTAACTCCTATTTGCAAGATCTTTCCAGAACATATCTCAAGAGACCCAACTACTCCAATAATGATGCTGGTAATATTGGGGCAATGTGAAAAGAAGAATTAACTCTATTACTGTAGTTTACTTTTAACAGTCATGTAGGGATAAGGGGCTAACAGTGGGCTGACAGTAGACCAGGCAGGGCTGCAAAGTGTGGCTGCCTCCCCTCCTGCAGCTCAAGGCCCTAATCAGATTGTCCTGTTGAGTTGTGTGGCTTAGATGACGGGTGCTTGCACACAGAAAGCTGATGAAAAGGCAGCTCTTATAGATTTTTTGGGGGGAATTGTGCTTTACTTACTTCAAGAGTGCTCAAAAACAATACTGATTGTCATTACTGCCCAAGAAAATTGATAGCTGTTAGCATTTTAAATTTGTCCCATGTCAAATGGGTTAAATGACAGAATGATTCATTGATCTAGTTCATGCTGCAGAACACCAGATTTGGATGAAGTCAGTTAGAATATATCTCATGGTCAGCCTTTTCATGTTTGTTTGTTTCCCATTGTTATTGTAATCTAAGCTTGTATTGCTACAGACACTGTTTATTGCAAACCTCCTAACTGTTCTGTTGCCTTCTTATCCATCCTCCAAACGAGTCCTTTAAAAGTATCTCCTTTAGAGGGAGACATTTAGAATGACAACCACACAAGAACAGTAGCAAACCCCTCCTTTAAAATTCTATTAAAAAAATCGTCAATGTTACCTGAAACATAGGCCACTTTCAGAAATTTCAGCAAAGATTGGAAGGTGAAATTTAAGAATGCATGAATAATCAGAAATAAAAGTAGCTCTGAAAAAAAGGTTTGAGGCTGGGCACAGTGGGTTACACCTGTAACCACAGCACTTTGGGAGGCTGAGGTTGGAGGACTGCTTGAGGTTAAGAGTTTGAGATCAGCCTGGACAACATACTGACACTCCACCTTTACAAAATTACAAAAAAATTAGCAAGGCACAGTGGCTTGCAACTGGCATCTATAGTCCCAGCTACTCAGAAGGCTGAGGTAGGAGTACGGTTGTTCGAGCCTGAAGTTTAAGGCTGCAGTGTCATTGCACTCCAGCCAGGGACAGCGCAAGAACCTGTGTCAAAAAAAAAAAAAAAAAAAAAAAAGAGAAAACTTAAGAAGAAAAAAAAAGAACTTGTAAGACTACACCTGAAATGCATGTTTACAAAAAAACAAAATATTTCTGAGAATGGCTGGAATTTATATTCAAAGATATAACCAAAGATGCATGGTTACTAAACATCTTCATCTTATTTATCCTGATATGGGAAGAAAGAGAGGAAGGGAGGGAGAGAGGGAGGAAAGGAGAAAGAGAGAGAGAGAAAAGGCAGAAAACTGAATCAAAAAAAGAAAACAGCATTAGCTTACCATTGGAAGTAATAAAAATTAGAATTAAAATATGAAAATTAGATCAGTAGAGAAGATAAAATGAAGTCATATAAGCTGAATATATAGCAAAAAGTATATAGAACTGGAGGGTAGAGAACGGATCCTAGGTGGGTGATAGGAGTTCCTGAAGAGAGGAATATGTGTGCACATGAGACTATAAATTGAGAAGGCTATAGAGTTGATGTGCTATAGACAGGGACTAACACTGAAATATAGCTTCATGAAAAGAAAAGGGATATTCCTTGTTTACAAGTAAAAAATTGAGGTTACTTAGAAAGGAGAATAAACTGGAGAGGGTTTTTATCCTTTCCCATTTAAATGATCAAAATTAGACATGGTGGAATCGCATTTCAAGGAGAAAGAATGTGGCTAAAGAATGTGTTTCATTCATAAAGACAACTGAGTCAGAAGTTCATATATTCATTTAACTTAGAGCGCTCAGGAAACATGGAGGGTTTTGAGTGTGATGTTAGGGCCAGGGGTGGAGTTGGGGTTGGGTAGCAACACGGAGGCTGGAAGGATGGGAAGGGATCATCCAGGGAAAGGGGGTAGAGTAGGAGAGTGCAGAGGGATGGTGAGAAGCAAGGCTGGGTGGGCACTTGGTGGACAAACCACATTAAGGACTCTTGACTCTATCCTGAGTACACTGGAGAGCTACCAAAGTGTTTCAACTAAGAGGATGAGAAACAGTTTTACATTTAAGAAATCCTCTGGATGTGCAGGGGAGAATAAATGAAATATGAATAAAGCTTGGTGGGAGAGGGATGAGTAGGGACCTTGTTGCCGTTGTTCAGACAAGAAATGATGGTAACTTGGACCGGGGTGGTGGCAATAGAGTTAGAAAGAAGCAAATGTACTTGAGAGATATTTAAGACACAGATGGAAGGAAAGGAATGGAAGAGTGTGAAGTTGAAGTTGATACTGATGTTTCTGCTGGAACAACTGGACTGGGGAATTCAGAAGAAGCAGCAGTTTGGGGGAAATTTTGGGCACATGCCAGGGAAATATCCTGTAGGCAGATGGTAAAATCAATGGGTTTGGGCTGCAGATATAGATTTGAGTGACTTCAGTATGAAGAGAATGATGATGTCATAGAAGTATATGCAGTTGACTAGGGTCAGTATATAGAGTAAACTAAAAGGCATTCTCAGAATAGCTGTCTTAGAACATGTAAAATTCACAAACCCTTTTTCTTAAAGGATGTTGGTGGATGTAACAAGCATAGGTTAATAGATGGTGAAAAGTAAATAAGCAACACATATTAAGAAAAGCGTTGTTACTGATAAGTTTAACTAGTTGAAGCTACCACTGAACTAAAAAAAAACTCTTTAAGTCAAGAAAACTGAAGAAGCAAAATAGAGATATTTCAGGATTTTAGGTTAAATAAATGAAAAAGTGAATGAATGAAGGAAAAGGAGGGAATTTCAAAATGCCAACAGTCTTTGTCTGCCATAAAAATCAGTCCAAAAATATTAACAATAAATATAGTCAAATATAGCATTAAGAATGATTATCAAGTGTTTTCGGTAATAACTGTACCTATCCACAGAGATGTGACTTAACCTATAGGCCAAAAAGGGAAAATGAAATCTCCAATCAGAGTAACCCTAATGTATATCAGATATACACAAGCTAGAGGTAGGGGCTTGTTTTGTTGTGGTAGGTGTTATTGATAGTTCCATTTTACAAATAGGAAACTGGAGCTCAGTGAGGCTGAGAGATTGAATTACATTGTTGATTTTAAATCTGATGACCTTTTTACTTGTGTATTTCATGAAAAATACACGACATGATAACTGTATTAGTCCGTTTTCATACTGCTGATAAAGACATACCCCAGACTGGACAATTTACAAAGAAAGAGGTTTAACTGGACTCACAGTTCCGTGTGGTTGGGGAGCCCTCATAATCATGGTCTAAGGCAAGGAGGAGCAAGTCACATATTACGTGGATGGCAGCAGGCAATGAGAGAGCTTGTGCAGGCAAATTCCCATTTTTAAAGCCATCGGATCTCGTGAGACTTATTCACTGTCATGAGAACAGCACGGGAAAGACACCTCCATGATTCAGTGATCTCCCACTGGGTCCCTCCCACAACACTTGGGAATTATGGGAGCTAGAAGATGAGATTTGGGTGGGGACTCAGAACCAAACCATATCAATAACAAAAGACAAATCACATAGTAGTAATTATTCCACTGCAATAATGACCATCCTAAGCATTTAGAGTACTGCCTGGCACATAGGGGTCTTCAAATAAGTAGGTTTCAAATGACTGGTTTAATTAATTAGCTAATTAATTAAAAATAAACATAAACGCTCAAACTTGCTTGCATTAAGAGGCAAACTATCAAAATCAATTATGTAATTCAAGAGAAGAGACACCTTAAAAGGAGCATAGATATACACAAATATAGTAAAACAAAAGCACAGGAAAAGAGGTATTGCAATGGAACAAAAAGAAAGCAGGACCCAGGTAATTAATAACAGTAACATGGACTTTCATGTAACAAAGTATGAAGGAAGACAAGGATAAGCCAAAGACAAAAGACAATTAACAAAGGCATAAAATACTTAAAAACAAAACCTAAAATTAATACCAAATAAGTAGACAAAAAGACTTCGAGGAGGTTAAAAAGATAAATAATGGAGGAATTAATAAATATGTGTTAGATTTTTGTTTTATAACCATGGAACAGTCCTTGTTTGTGTATCCTCAGAATATTTAGAAACTGAATACAAAATACTTCCACAAAGAAAGATCTCAATAAGCTTTAAATCACCAAACTATAATTTGTTAAAACTTCACTAAATATCTCAGGATTTATATATACATTAAATATACCCACAAGTGGTTTAAGAGCAGACAAGAAAATAATGGTAATTTAAAAACCCATATAGATATAAACATGTATACATTCTAATAACTGAATTTAGACTTTTAAATTAGATGCCCCAATTTTAAGAAAGACAAAGTGGCATAATATCTAATTTTAAGATTGTAGACAAGACAGAAAAGAATAAACTGAAGCAAATAAGTAGAAGAAAATAATAAGGGTACAAGCAAGAACAAGTAAATTATGAATATAAACTGGAAGAGTTGATAAATTAGAGCACTCAATCTTTTAAAAGATTAATATATTAGAAGAACCTCCAGAAAATGTAATTGGGAAGAAAAGTTGAGAAACAAAATTCTAAATGAGAAAAATATCATAATAAAAATAAATGTAATATTAAAATAGCGATATTATGCCTCAGTATGGTCAATTTTGAAACCTGATAAAGTAAATGAAATTCTGATCATTTAAAACTTGAAAATGAGCACAAGAAGTCTTGCATAGATCAATACACAAAGAAAGAATTGAAAAACTCTTTTTTTTTTAATTTTTTTTTATTTTTAATTATACTTTAAGTTTTAGGGTACATGTGCACATTGTGCAGGTTAGTTACATATGTATACATGTGCCATGCTGGTGCGCTGCACCCACTAACTCGTCATCTAGCATTAGGTATATCTCCCAATGCTATCCCTCCCCCCTCCCCCATCCCCACCACAGTCCCCAGAGTGTGATATTCCCCTTCCTGTGTCCATGTGATCTCATTGTTCAATTCCCACCTATGAGTGAGAATATGCAGTGTTTGGTTTTTTGTTCTTGCGATAGTTTACTGAGAATGATGGTTTCCAATTTCATCCATGTCCCTACAAAGGACATGAACTCATCATTTTTTATGGCTGCATAGTATTCCATGGTGTATATGTGCCACATTTTCTTAATCCAGTCTATCATTGTTGGACATTTGGGTTGGTTCGAAGTCTTTGCTATTGTGAATAATGCCGCAATAAACATACGTGTGCATGTGTCTTTATAGCAGCATGATTTATAGTCCTTTGGGTATATACCCAGCAATGGGATGGCTGGGTCATCCAGCCAAACTAAGCTTCATAAGTGAAGGAGAAATAAAATACTTTACAGACAAGCAAATGCTGACCGATTTTGTCACCACCAGGCCTGCCCTAAAAGAGCTCCTGAAGGAAGCGCTAAACATGGAAAGGAACAACCGGTACCAGCCGCTGAAAAACTCTTAATAATATTACTGCTTTCCTATGAATATCAAAAGGCAAAGAGAACCAATAGATTAATATAAGGAATAGAAAATTACTATTATATAAAACTATTTTGAACATAGAAAAATATGGTAAATTACCTAATTTAGTCTCCATGAAAATACAGCTTAATCTAATCATGATTTAGTTCTCATCCAAAACAAGATGAAGATAACAGAAAACATGGGTGGAAAGACTTATGAATATATATGTGAAATTTTCAAATAAAATGTAGTAAGAATAATTCAGTAATACTTTAAACAAATAATTGTTCAATAAATTTACTCCTGGAATGCAAGGAAAGTTCAAACTAAGAACTGACTATAATTACTAAAAAAAACTTGATGAAATAATTCACAGTTGTAGGTCAAATTTTTAAAAATGAATAATTCATCTTAAATATAGCAAAAGAAAAATTTGACAAAAGTTTTTCATTTCTAACTTACAAAACTTAATTGGAATAGGATATTTTTCAATTTGTTCAAGAGAACCAATTTAAGATACAAATAACAACATTGACAGACATTGTGCAGGAGTGAGTTTAAAATTATAAGCTCTAAAAAGTACCCAGGGTCATATAGTGTATGGTATTGGTTAAATACTCTTAACAATCAGCTCTCCTGGGAAAAATGCTGTATTTGTCCCCTCAAAATGTCATGTTGAAATTTGATTCCCAATATTAAAGCTAGAGCTGGGTGGGAGGTGTTCCGGTCATGGGGGCAGACCCTCATGAGTGGCTTGGTGCCATTCCCTTGGTGATGAATGAGTTTTCACTCTATTGGTTCACACCAGAGCTAGTTGTCTAAAAGAGCCTGGCACTTCCTCTCCACCCCTCTTTCTTGCTCCCTCTCTCCCCATGTGACACTGCCTGCTCTCCCTTTGCCTTCCACCATGATTGTGAGCTTCTTGAGGCCCTCACCAGAAGCAGATGCCAGCACCATGCCTCTTGTACAGCTCGCAAAACTGTGAGCTCAAAATAAACCTCCTTTCTTGATAAATTACCCAGCCTCAGGTATTCCTTTGTAGCAATGCAACATGGACTAAGACAAGGAAGACTGACGTAAAGACTGATAAGCTTTGAAAGTATATGTGTTTGAATAGAAGGCCATTTTGACTTGCCTCAGGTCAAAGAATTATATTTGGTCAGTGTCAAGATTCTGTGGCCCAGACAGTTACCTACCAAAGAGTTATTTTCACCCTCCTCTCTCAAATTGAAAAAAGAAAAACTAATTTTTAGCTGGGCACATTGCTGCTGGGTTAAAAAAATAATTAGATCCTTCAGGCTCCATGACAGCAGCTAGATTTGATCATATATCAAAGTTACAGGCAATGGGCTGTGAAGCTTCTGGAAAGTCTCTTTAAAATGGGGGAAGTGTACCTTTCTTTTCTCATTCTTTAACCTGCTGCTTGGAACGAGAATGAGAAGATGGAATGAGAAGATGATGGCTGGTACTCCAACAGCCATTTTGGAGTATGCAGATGAAGGCTGTCGTAGGTTGAAGCAGACAGCTGTTCCATCAGAGACTCAGCTTGAAGAAGCCTGGGCCTCAATGACTGTGAATCTGTGAGACTCACTTGTTTTAGCCATGGCTTCATGAGTTTCTATTACTTGCACTTGAATCTTACCTGAAGTGATAAAATTCCCAAGGAATAATTTTGAATTGGCTCTAATATAGAGATAAATAAGTGATGTAGGTCCCAAAGGCCACAACCATGATAATTTTAGCTCAGTTAATTTTTAAAGGATTAGTAATTTAACATTCACGTTGACTATTAAAAACTAATCTCCTATATATGTTTCAAAAAAACTATTTGCACAATCAGATAATTAAGGTAATTTGCCATAGAAGACTTTTGGCTATAAATAAGTTAAAGGTGAGGAATGCCTAAAATAATGGTTGAGGTTTAGGTTTTATAATAGTTAATCTACAGTCTTTCCTTCTAGAAATAACTAAATGTATATTGTAAATATATGTTTCTCTATATAGTGTTTAGCTAAATAGATGTATATTTATTGCTATAAATATATAAATACATGTTCTAATGTATAAATATAAATTTATTTTATACTATTGCTAGAACATACACATTATAATTTCTATAATTTTCTAGCAAAATATAGAGTTTTAGCTAAATACAAATGAAACATGAAATAAATTACATTCTTTTTTATCAATGAAAATTAATTAGAGTTTATGCAGGAGTCTTGTTGACAATAACATTCAGAAGTATTAATGTAAAAACCTAAGAAACAGCATAATAAAAGATGCCAGTGACTTACACAAAGACATCTTTATTGGAAAATATAAAAGGTTAGAATAAATGGTCTAGAAAAGGTTAGAATAAAGGAAGCTTAAAATGCTACTAATTTTTCCTAAGATTACATATAGGCTAAAGTAATCTCACTTGAAATTTCAGAAGTTTATTTTGGATAAAACAAAAGTCATTTATGACTTCATTTGAAAAAGTAAATAGTGTGACTCTCAACAATGTTGTTGAAAAGAAAAAAGCCAGTCCTATCAAATATAAAGCCATACTATAAAACAACAGCAGTAAAAAGTACAAGACTAGAGTACAAACAAATAAAATAGGTCAGTGGAACAGGATAGAAGCTCATAAATTAAACAGAAAAATTTAATATGCAATATAGTATTAAAAGCAATAGCAAAATGAAGAATTATTTTATAAATGTTGGGAGTGAGGAAAATTCCTTTATTCCTTGTTTTCTATGTACCAAAACCAATCTCCATATGGAAAAAAATTTAAGCTGGAAAAGATCAAATCAATGAAAATCAGCCAAAAATAAAATAGAATATCAGGTAGACGGAAGGATGAGAACTTTCCAAAGATTGAAGCAACTGAAGGAATTGCAAAGTAATAAATTGCAAACAAATTTTAAAATGCCTCTGCAGTAAAAATATAAAAAGTAAAAATAAATTCAAGTTAGGTAATATATTTATATAAAAAAAGACAAACTGTAGTACTTTTTGTAGTGCTATTTATGTAGTGCTATATATTTATAGGGTATAAAGATCTTAATGGATCTTGTAAGAATAATATGAAGACTCCAATGAATAAATGGACCAAAGATTTGCCCAGACAATTTAAGTTTGAAGAGATACATTAGTTTTAAAAATATTTAAATTAGCTAGTAACAAAAATGCAAATGAAAAGTACCACTTATTTAATTTATTTATTTATTCTAACTTTTAGGTTCGGGGTTACATGTGAAGGTTTGTTACATAGGTAAACATGTGCCATGGGGTTTTGTTGTACAGAGTATTTCATCACCCAAGTATTAAGCCCAGTGCCCAATAGGTATCTTTTCTGCTCCTCTCCCTCCTCCCACCCTCCACTCTCAAGTCGACCCTAGCGTCTGTTGCTTCCTCTTTGTGTTCATAAGTTCATATCATTTAGCTCCCACTTATAAGAGAGAACATGCAGTATCTCGTTTTCTGTTCCTGTGTTAATTTGTTAAGGATAATAGACCCCAGCTCCTGGGATTCCTGCAAAAGACATGATCTCATCCGTTTTTATGGCTGCGTAGTATTCCATGGTGTATGTGTACCACATTTTCTTTATCCAGTCGGTCATTGATGGGCATTTAGGTTGATTCCATGTCCTTGCTATTGTGAATAGTGCTGTAATGAACATTCACATGCATGTGTCAAAAGTAGCATTCATTTTTATTAGGTAAAAGTTTTATTAGCATTTATTTTTGTTAGGTAATAGTTGATGATCATGAGATTTTTAGTAAAATTGGCAAATAGTAATTATTGGAAGTAATAGAAGCTAGTATAACCCTCTTGCAAAACAATTTGGCAATACAATTCAGCACCTATGAAATGTTCCTACTCTCTGACACAGTCTAATCACTACTGGGAATTTATTCAAAAGAAATAATCAGAAAGTAAATATGATGTGTAGAAGAACATGTTTACTGAAACATCATTTGTAATAGCAAAAAAAATTTTAACTAGAGAAAAGGAACTAAACAACAACCATTACAAATTATAATTATAAATATTATGTGAAAAGAGAATTTTTACATGATAACATTATGTAAAAAAGAGCATATCACAAAATTGTATAATAGTTGTAGTACAACTATATAAAATGTGAGTAACAGCATGAAAGAAAGTATGAAGAAATTATAAGAGTGGTATCATGCTGAAATTATGGGTAATTTTGAAATGTTATGTAATTTTTCTAGGAAAACCATTTCAATCTGTGTGTGTGTGTGTGTGTGTGTGTGTGCATATAGTGTGGTGGTTGGTAATTATGTGACCTTGAACAGGTTACAGGAGACCTTTAAGTTGCACATTTGTAAAAAACATAATAATAGGATCCACTTCATAGAGTTGTTACAAGGGCATAATGAGGTGATGCATGTAAAACACAAAGTACTAATGCCAGAAATCTGGCACCGAGTAACAGTTCATCAGGGTTAGGGACACAGCAATGATTTTAGGTATGAGGCTGACGATCTGATTGCTGTTCCTGTATTTTTGTATATCTCCATTGATTCTTCACTATTCACAGAAAATTGTTCAAATTTACAATCTCGACATTTAAAGATGGCCATTGTTTTGCCCATCCTATCTCTCTACTTTTCATTTTCAACCCCCTGATATCAGTTTTCTGTTCTCGTCAGGCCAATCTGAGATTTTTGTGTACAGTTTTGTAAACATTCAGCCGCTGAACAAATACGGAGAAACAGTCATACTCGGGCAGTTCTTCGTGTGCTGCAGGTACATTTATATTCTAGGGGAGGGAGACAGACAACAGGCATGCCAACAAACAGAACAAGAAAATGCTGAACAGTCCCGAGCCAGGCTGCTATTTCAGCGTTCTGCACTGTTACGGTGTGTTGGTTGTTAATGGCAGGTTGCAGCCACTCTGATTGGTTAGTATCTGTGCCATACCTGTTGTCAAATATTTTAAATATTACACAGGAAAATCAGTGTCATGCCCACTCTTTTGCTTGGTTATTATTATCTTAAAAAAATCACAAAACTTCTCTTCATCAACCCAAACTCTTACCAGCCACCAAAGCTCAACCCAAACTCATCCCTCCTCGGCAAAATGCTTTCTCCCAGCATTCCATTCCACTCACCACTTCTTTCTCTAAACATTATTATCTGTTCTACTCATTTTTCTTTAGCTGGATAGGAAGATCCCCCGGGGCAGAAAACATGTTGTTGTTGATTGGTTAGGTTTTTTTTTTCTTTTAATAATTTATCAAAATTTCTGTTACAATGCTGAACATATGTACCCTATAAACATGCATTTGAATCAAGAAACATGTTAACTAAGAAAAGATCATCAGAAAAGATTCATCATAATTCTGATTTACTTCAAGAGGTGATACCAACATTGATCCATCAATAACTCCTAAAGGAGATTTTCTGAGATTATTTTCCCTAGGCCTTAGTAAGGGACCAGTTCTGAGAGCAAACTGGGACCTTGGTCAAAGGCTTGGCCAGGAACAGTGTCACATGTACAGTTATACCACACTAGGGTATTTTCTTACAAGGCCATTTAAAACTAACTAATATGTGAGAAATAGCTAAAATCTTGGAGCTGTCTTGCCTAATTGAAGTGCCTTTTTTTTCTAAGATGGTACTGTGTTGCCAATACCCAGACATCCAACTCAGAGGAGGAAACAGAAGACGTAAAGATGATAGCTTAGTGCTCAGCTTGGATGGAGAGTGTAACTTAGAGAAAAGGCTGTATCCTCACCTTGAAAGTGCTCTGTTATAAAGAAATCAGTCAGCTTTATGCTGGCAATGCCCCAGCTCTGTATTAACTTCCAGATTAATGTCAGATCATACCCCAGGAATTATTCATGAAGCCCCTCCGTACAATGTAATTGCAGATTTTGGCATCCAGAGTGAAGTCTCATTGTTTTATAGATTAGCTTCTCTTCCTGTACTGCGGAAGAGACAATGATCTGACACAACTTAGTCTAGGGGGAAAAGGAGTTCATGTTATTTCACATGAAAAAGCGTTTGTCAAGTGAGAGTTCCTCGGTCTCACTTTCACTCCGCCTTGAGAATGGGAACCCGTGGCCACACTGAGAGGAGATGGCTCTGGACCCATGAATGGTGACTTTCATTGCAGATCTTTCCCAAGTGAATGGAATGGCTCTTTATCTATGCTTAAGAATTAGTTTTACCAAACCAAAGCTCTACTAATCTCTGCTACAACATCACCAAATGTAATTTATGCATGTGGATGAAGAAACCTACTGGTTTCCAGGGAAGGGTACCAACCAGCAAACTATCTAACTACAAGGAATCATTAGAGACTAGTCAATGTAATCAAAATTTAATACATTGCAAAAAAGATTCAATATTTTTCTGCAAATGTCAAGTTACCTTGGGGATCAGCACCCCTTAATTATGAGATCTTAGACTCTAAGATCCCTCAGACTGTGACTTATAAATGTGAAGAACAGCAGCTTGTTTCTTAAGTGGAGTTTGCTCATTTTACCACGTTTATAACGAAGATAATAATCTTGAGCCAATCATTGTGGGTCCAGTTGGTACATGGGTAGTTTGCTTTCTGTGGGATAAGTATGTGTGTGTGTGCTCATGAACGTGCATCTACAGATATGTTGTATGTGTGTTTACTATATATATACACATATGTGAATATACATGTATATATAACTTTTGTATACAAATAAATATATTCATCTGGATCATTTAATCTGACAATTTAAATATTTGAGCAATAATATTCTCATATGTCTCATCTCTACTTGACTGTATGTTTATAACTTTGACTTGAGCATGATTAGTTACTGAGAAAAAAGATTAAGGGAGTGAGAAAAAGCAACAAGAGTTTAAGTACAGCAATTTTGAAAAACTGTATGGAGGCTCCTAAAAAAGAAACTAAAAATAGAATTACCATATGATCCAGTAATCCCAGTTCTGGGTATTTTCCCAAAAGATTTGAAGTCAGCTTGTCAAAGAAGTGTCTGCACTCCCATGGCCTCTGCAGCACTAGTCACAATAGCCAAGTTATAGAATCAACCCGTGTCCACAGCAGATGAATGAATAAAGAGCATGTGGTATGTATACACAATGGAATACTATTTAGCCTTAAAAAAGAAGGGAATTCTGACATTTGCAACAGCATTTGGAGAGCCTTATGCTAACTGGAATAAGCCAAGCACTGGAAGACAAATACTTCATGTTCTCATTTATAGGTAAAATTGAAAACAATTGAATTCATAGAAGCACAGAGTAGAATGGTGGTTACAGAGGCTGGGGAGTGAGAGGAAAGGGGAGATAATGGTTGGAGGCTACAAAATCTCAGACAGGAGGAATATAGTGTTCTTTTTAGTTCTATTGCACAGTGTGGTGAATATAGTTAATAAGAGAGTATTGTACATTTTAAAATTGCTAAAAGAGTATATTTCAAATGTTCTCACCACAAAAAGTGTTAAGTATTTGAGGTGATGGGTATGTGAACTAGCTTGATTTAATTCCACATTGTATTCATAAATCATAACATCATTTTGTACCCCATAAATCTATACAATTATAAGTTATCAATTTGCAATAAAAAGGAGTAGAAGGTAGGTTACTAAAAATAGTTTCACACACAGTGATGAAGAACAGGCCATCATCATGGGCTTGTTCTGTGACCTGTGAATTAACCTCAGGTTGTTTTCCTCCATGGAAATTCATTAAAGAAAGATGGAATCCAGTATACAGTAGATTCCAATAATAATTTAACTTGAAGTTTCATAGAGATATGATTTATCGTGGCCTGATGAACAAGATGTAGTTATTTCCCTCTTATATCACTTCAGCTATTTGGGAAATTGGATAAGAGAGAAGATTCATTATATACAGTATACACTGTGTATATCTGTATCTTATACCTACAGATGCTCCACTTTTTAACAGAGAAAAAATATCTTCTGGCATATCTGCAATATCCCGAGTTGCTCTTCAGCAACCCTTAAGAGTGTTTGAGTTAGTACCTACGAACCCACTTTAATTCTGAGAACCCTTCAAGAATATTCTGCACCGCTGTGGCGTGGAGTTTTATCGAGCACTGTATGAAATAGAAAATGCATTTTCTATTTCATAAAGATGAAACTTTGAGCATAAGGATGTGATGTTTTGCTCTGTGTATTACTGAATTGGCACTGCAACTCCTATGTTATTTTTTGTGGGCAATTATATCCTTTCTATTTGTGGATTTTCCTAAATACAAAGTCTCTGGACCCTGGATAATGAGGACTTTATATCTCTTCTGTCATTCTTTTAGATTGTGACATTTTCCAGCACAGAGATCTCTCCATACAAAGGAATCTTTTGTAAAATTAGGAAGTGGGAATTCCAGGTGAGGTTTTGCATTTTATATGGTCATTTTAGACCATTCTTCACCTTTAATTGCTTGTTTACTGTGTTTTCCCCGTCAGTCTGCAAGCTCCACATTGTAGAGACCATGTCTGTCTTATTTATATCTGCATCTTCTCTACTCAGCCTCTGATCTGTAGGGTGGGGGCACATTAAATATTTGTTGAGTAGATGAATAAGTAGTCTCCATGTTAATGTGTGTCTACTACATAAAAACTATTTTAACTATTAGCCTTCTTTTATGAAGGCCAACAAGGAAGATATCAATAATTCCTGCAAAGCTAGCCCCTTTTCTCAAGAATCAGAATTTATAATACTATTGGTCTTATATGGGTTAACTATAACAACCTTGGGAGACAAATAGTATTATAATATATATAGAGTATATGTATAACTATATATAGGGCTAATCATAACAATCCATATAATATATATATAAACTATATATGTGTGTGTTATATATACAACACACATATATATTAATTATATTAATATATATTGACTATAATATTAATTATAGTCAATATATATTATAGTTAATATTATAGTTATATAACTATAATTATATTATAGTTTATATATTAATATAATATATATGTGTGTTGTATATATAACACACATATATAGTTACCATATAGTTAACCTATTCATATATAGTTTTATATATGTTAACATATAAAACATTCATATATACAGTTCATATAAACATTCATATAAAACATATAAACATTCATATATACAGTTTTATATATGTTAACATATATAAATAGTTATATATGTTAACTATATATAAATACACTTATCTTTGTTAACTATGTATACAGTTTTATATATAGTTAACCCATATATATACAGTTATATATGTTAACTATATATAAATACAGTTATATATGTATACAGATATAACTCTGAGTGTGTGTGTGTGTGTGTATATATATATATATATATATATGTTAACTATAACAACCACAGGAGACAAATAGTATTATAACTTCATATTACAGAAGAGGAAGCTCAAGCTTGGAGAGGTTATTTAACTTGTGCAAGGTCTCAGAGTTAATAACAGTCAGAGAAGTGTTTATACCCAGGCAGTCTGTTTTCACGGTCTTAACCCTCATCATATTCTGCTTCTTCGTGTTGTGAGAATATTAGAATAATTATTCTGATTTAGCATTATTTTATTTCCTTGTTGCCAGGTCATTAGTGCCAGGGCAGGGGCACATATAGCATTTGATTGTCAGAGAGAGATGTTAGAATCCTTCATGGTTTTCACTGACAAATTCTCTGTTTTTTTCCAAACACATAGGCAGAATAAACTGGTACACCTGTATATCTGGAGAGAAGAAAGTGTATTTCTAAAAATCTCTGAAAAAAAAGAAAAATTTATTTTATAAAATCCCAAAATGATTTCCCGTGGCTTAGTGACAAACCCATCCATCTTAAGGGGAAACCTTTCGGCTGTTTGTGGGCCACTTCGTAAGCAGACGTCGGTCCATCCAGCAGAGGGCGGACGAGGTAGCAAAAACCTCCAGGTTTCCAGCTGTGCAGCCCGGGCTCTTAGGCAACTCTGGAGACTTCAAAGCCACCGGCTGAGGATGCTGTGCAAGATGGTTGCCGCCAGGGTGTTAGCACAGGAAGAAAGGGTACTGTTTCTACTGGAATAAAAATAGACAATGAGAAGCCCTTGATAGAAAGAATTGGCGTGTCTCTACTCGGGACAATGTGTGCGTGAGAAAATGTGGTGCTTGTGTGTTACATTTAGAATCAAAACAGAGTTGACTCCAAGGACACTTTGGCGGAGACCTGGATTCCATTTTCATTAAGGAAAATGAGGTTGGAGTGCAGCAGGGTGAAAGGATGCTGATGCGAAATCACACAGTTTAGAGGACGTCTAATCTCTTCAGCAATAAAATGGATGAAAAGACTTTTTTTAATTTTTTTATTTTATCACTATTTTCACAATAAGTGGTGGTGAGATCAGGGGATTCAGACCAATTCTCCCAAGGAGACCAAACATGGCGCCCTCCGCTGCCATTCTTAGATCTGTGACGTCTCCCTCTCCAGGCATTCTTGCCTCATGATACTGTTGTGAGCACTCCGGAGGGCCAGGATTACTGAAGTCAGCCTCTGCTACCTTCACAGAAAACAGTCTTCAAAACCATTAATTCTGTGCTGGGGTTATACAGTGTTATCTTAGGGAACTCTTTTGAACTCAAAGTTATTTTGAAAACATGTGGTGTGTGTCCTATAGTGTGAGACAAAACTAGAAATTCAAAATATTCTGGTGAGCTCTCAGGGATGACCTGTGAAAGCCATGATAACTCCATGCAGATAGGGACTCGCCGACTCCTCAGCCCTGTGTCACATGCCCTTTCTTCCAGAGCGTTCCTTTGAATATATTGTGGATAACACTGATTACCAGGCCTTCAGAACAGGGTGATGGGTGCAATAGAACATTTTGCAAGCTTTCCCCTCACCATATTTAATTTTTGCAGTTGTACAACACGGAATGAGAAAAAGGCTGTTGTTTTCTCATTTTGACAATAATGTAGCTACAAAAACAATAATAAATAAATAAAATATGCTCTCGGCTAGAAATCAGTGGGCTTAATTTCAGGGCAATACCAGTTTCTGTGGCTGGGTTATCAGCACTGCATGTTTATAATGGAATTACTAGCAGCTTCCTCAGCAGCGGTGGGCAAAGGGCTTGCACTTAGAAAACACACAGAATTGGAATCTGACAGTCAAGTGTCTCTGTAGCCCCTGATATCATGATTTGTGCTTTCTTCACTGAGGCAGGTGAACTCTTCATCTCAAAGTTATTACGTTTAGCCCTCGCCAGAATGGACGCAGCCAGGAGCTGATCTGTCTTTCAAAGGGCAAGATTCCTTTCTGTGCAGAAAAATAGAGGCAGCGGCCGGAAACTTCAATCAGCGCTTTCAGATTCCAAAACTATGACACTGTCACACTGGTGTCATTAAAGCTAACTAACCATATTAAACGAATATTAAAATATGGGCTCCTTTGCATAACATAATGAGCAAAACCGCTTTTAAGTTTCTCCCTGTGCTTTGAGGTGAGGTGGCATTTACATTCCCGAACTTTGAAGTCAGAACAAAATGTACAGGTAGAGGGTACTAGATCAAATAATAATCAACTTCAAAAAGCATTTTGGCTGTTGGATGTCCCAGGGCTAATTTCCTGTAGACATTTTAAATGTAAATGTCTAAACTCATTTAAAAATTGTAAATTGGTCTAGGTTCAATCAAAAAGCATCCTGACGCAGAACAGGGAGACTAGGCTAATTGTCATTTGTTTGTCAAATGAATTCCATTTGGAAAGCAATGAAACCTCCAAGCTAATTCTTTTAAGGTGAGCTGGTAGTTGTATTATCAGTTAAATGCAGTAAAATGCGTAATCATATGATGATAATGAAAACTGAACCTGTGTTAGCGCCGGGGCTCTGCCTGCCACGGGGCATAGAGTGATGAAATTTAAGTACTGTAATGTTGCCTTGGCCACAATGGTACCAAGTCTGGTCTTTAGCCTTACAGACACTTTCTTTGCATTTTAAAAAACTTTATCAAAGCACCGTGGCAATATAGAACATGTCAAAGTGAAATGCACTGTAGGCAAATTGAGATTTCATTAAGTTTAAATTTATTGCTTTTGACTGATGTATTACCATGCTTGTTAAGAACCAGTAATTTGGAATATCTGTCTGCCTGGTAAAATAGCTTTGTCTCCTTGCGTATTACTTTGTATATACTTTGAAAGACCACAATAATTCAGAGTGAGCGTGGGCTGTTTTTTTAGTAATGTTTGGAAAATTGTAAGGCATCTGGCCTTGTGCTCTGACAAACTTCCACATACTTCATCAAGGTATTGGAGGTTAATTGTAGAACTCTCATTTATGGGACTTCTGTGAATCTTGCCAAACTGTATGATGCGTGCAAAAGTGGAGAATTGGAAACGTCGCTTCTGCTGATCTGTTTCTTCTTCATACTCATGAAATGGGCATAGATGTGTGATGAAAGATGAATAATGATGAAGGATGTGCCATGTTCAGTCAACAGAGAAACGGAGCTATAGCGGTTTGGGGAAGGCAGAGGATATAGTTCAACCGAGATATTTTACAAATAAGGAAAGAGAGACCCAGAGGTTACGTAGCCCTGGCAGAAGTGGACGAGAACCCAGGATGCCCTGTAGCATTCACGTCTCAGCCTTGATGTCACCTGCTCAGAAAGGTCTTCCTTCGCAGTTCTGGACTTGGGTCATTTTCTACCAGTGTTGTGGGTCTCTAACACAGCAGATGGCAACATTTCTATGTAAAGGGACGCACAGTAGGCCAAGAGGCAAAATTGACGATACCATGTAAGTACTTAAATGACAACAGAGAAAACAAATTAGCACAATTTTTAAAAAAAGGAAACTCAAAATAGGACAATTAAGCATAATTTTTTTTGTAATGTAGGTCTATGAATGAGAAGACACATTCCACTTGTTGGGGTTCAAGTATAAAAGCCATTCTTAGCTTATGGGCCATAGAAAAACAGGCAGTGGGCTGGCTTTGTCTGTAGGCCATAGTTCGCAGACGCCTGTTTTGTCACGTTACACTGCTTAGTTTTCTCCAGTGGACACAATCACCTTCTGATTGTTTACTGGCTTAATTGTCAGCCTTCCCACAGTAGAAAAGGCAGGTCCTGAGAACAGAGGCTTCGTCTGTTCAGTTTGCCCCTGTGTCTCCAGCTCCTGGAATAATAATAGGTGCCACAGTCCCATGCCTGGTGCATTAGATGGTTGTTATTCAGTTGGTGTTCTATTAATATAGAGAGAATCTAGATCCTGCCACCAAACCGAATAGATAACATAAGTGAACTACCAAAGGAATAGGAGAGGCTCCTTGTTCGTTTAGCACTTCTCACTTACCTTTTTAATTTAATTTAATTAATTTGTTTTATTATATTTTACATTCTAGGGTACTTGTGCACAACATGCAGGTTTGTTACATATGTATACATGTGTCATGTTGGTGTGCTGCACCCATTAACTCGTCATTTACATTAGGTATTTCTCCTAATGCTATCCCTGTCTCCTTCCCCCACCCTACTACAGGCCCTGGTGTGTGATATTCCCCGCCCTGTGTCCAAGTGTCCTCATTGTTCAATTCCCACCTATGAGTGAGAACATGTGGCATTTGGTTTTCTGTCCTTGCGATAGTTTGCTCAGAATGATGGTTTCCAGCTTCATCCATGTCCCTACAAAGGACATGAACTCATCCTTTTTTATGGCTGCATAGTATTCCATGGTGTATATGTGCCACATTTTCTTAATCCAGTCTATTATTGACATTTGGGTTGGTTCCAATTCTTTGCTATTGTGAATAGTAGCACTTCTTAATTACCTTACAGCAATGGTAGCATAGAAATAAATAACTCAAACTTCAGGTTATTTATGACTTATGTCAATATTTTAGTCCCTGAATTCCTTTCTGATCTTATTATTACAAGGAAATAATAATTAACCAGAACATGGCATATTTTAACATCCTTACTATTCTGTCTTATTTGGCTGTTTATAAATACCCTCTTGGTCATGATCATAAATGAGTTGGATTCTGTCCAACTGCTCTGCCACTTCTCAACCTCCAAGTCTGGGTTGTCTGCAGGGGAAAGCAGCACCATGTGGCCATGTACGTTGGTTCAGGTTGATATCCTTTGCGAAGCCTTTCCTGAGGACCCCAACCTTCACAGAGTCCCATTCTCTGAATACCTTGTACTCTGCATCATACAGAGCATGCACTGTTCTGTTCCAGAGCAGTACGTTCCTCTCCTTCTTTCATGGGTATTGGTGTTATCCGCCCACATGGATAGGGAATAAGCCTGAGGGTAGCAGGCTCTTTCCTGCTTTGATATGCTACACAGTACCTGAAACATAAAATATGCCATATTCTTTTTTGTATTATACTTAAAGGAATAGGATGAAAATCATTTCAAAAGCCCATATTGAGAATTTCATTTTAAAACACACATACCCAGACACAGGAAGGAAGAATTTTCAAGGTAGTCATAGCCAGCTCAACTTCTTATGCCACTAAATTACAATGAAAATTCATAATCAGAACAGGGACCTTGAGTCACTTTCAGTGTGCCACTCATAAATAATTTTTTCATAATTATCAGCATAAGAAGAATTTTATGAAGATGCTTCACATCTAGGTTTTTGGTAAGGCATTTTTGTTGACTTTCAGTTAATCAAGGGATTCAAGGAACCAGTAAGGTCAGGCTTGCCTAGACTGTACTTTGTAAAATGCAAATCCTTCAGGAATCTGTTGTCAAAGATATACATACATCCTGAGTGACAGGCTCTGAAATCCATACCATAAGTGTGCTTTTATCTGACATAAACTGTCTGTTCCATAAGACTCTGTTGGAATGAAGAAATCTCTCTGCTTTGCTGGCCTAATCAAAATAATTAGTAGGAGGAGAGAAATGGGCAGATTCCCAGAATTGGTCATTTCCACATGATTAACATCAGAGGGGCTGGCAGGGAGAAAATGGTCCCCTCAGTATTCTAATTGAGGACTGGTCTTTAGGGTGGTGGTTCATAACTGGGGGAAGTGAGGTCAATTTTGCCCCTCATGGGATATTTGGCAATGTCTGGAGACATTTTTTATTATCTTAACTTGGGAAGGGGAGTGTTACTGATATCTTGAGGGTAAAACCCAGGGCTGTGGCTAAACTTCCTTTGATGCACAGGACAGCCCCTGCAAGAAAGAATGGTCTGGCTCCAAATGCCAGTAGGGCCCGTGTGGAGAAACTCTTCTTTTAACGCAAACCTTCTTCATTTGGGAACCTCTGGAGTGCAGATGTGGAGTGAGCTGGGGCTTCTTGCCTTGACATTTGGATTGTACATAATGGGACCAAATAATGCCAACTATGGAGGGATCCATGGAATTTGAAGTGTAGAGTGGAGAGGTGCATCGGAAGGTATCAGACAATGAAACATACTGAGTTGATGAATTTGGAGGAAGAGGTCCCCAAAACACCATTTCCCACCCAATCAGCAGAGCCACATGTTGTTTGAACACTCATATGTCCCAGTTGAATTGTATCTTTTGTAGTCCTCCAGTGCCCTACGAAATCTCACTGTATTATCAATTTGCTAAGCCCTAACTAGCTACATCATTTATTTACTAGAATTTTTCTGTTCTCTAGATTGTCCATGGTGAGGAAAGCACCACACACACACACACAAAAAAAACTAATTTATTTTAAAAATAAATTATATTTTAGAATTACAACTTATTCAATATACTTTCCACTACTTTCTATGATTATAATGACAATTTGGTCTACAGTGATGACTCTGAGGCAATGAGTGACCCTAATTCAGCAATGAAAGACTACCTGGATATGCGTATTATATCACAAGGCAGGGGAGTTAAAAAGAATTTCAGCCAAGGTTGAAGCAAGAAGTTTCTTAAAACTTCTGCTAATCAGAAAATTAAGTCAATTCCCGTATTCTAACTAATTGATATTTAATGGAATGTTGTAATATTATATATTGAGGAGTTGCATCTTTACAGAACACTCCATGGCTTTCTCTAAGTAATCTATAACTCTCTGAGTTATTCATCTCTGAGTAATCCATAGTTATCTGAGTTATTACAGTTCTCTACAGTTATTAGAATGTTACTGGATTGAATCTTTTGAAACAAGTAGATAATATTATGCTCCAGCTATGCTAGGTGCATTACATAAAGACTTTATAATCTTCGCAACAATCCATTGGAGTTTAAATTATTAGTCCTATTTCATAAAGATTGAGGTTTAGAGCTAGTAAATGGCTTGCCCAAGGTCATACAGCTGGAAAGGACATAGTAACTATGAATCCAAGTCTATCTAGCTTAACTGCTGCATGGACATATTGAAATGCTTAAATGCTCTTTGTGGTTATAGGGTGACAATTTTATGACTCCTTATCAAGGTGGTACAAAAGAAAAATAAATATTTGTTGGTTTTTTTTTTAATCAGTCTGGCCAACCTATAATTCTGAGGGGAGAAAAGGGAATTTTATGGACAGACTTATTTGAGTTGGCATTGACCTAATCAAGTTAATGGGAAATAAGCAATCAAATGAATAAACAAACTTTCATTTGACTCTAGAGCAACAGTTCTCAGAATATGGTTCCCAGACCAAACAACATCAGCATCACCTGGGGAACTTGCTAGAAATGTAAATTCTCAGAAGAAATCTACTAAATCAGAATCCCTGAGGTGGAGCTGAGACCCTGTTTCAACAAAGGCTCCATAATTCTGTTGTACATGCATGTTGGAGGATCTCTGCTCTAGATGTAACTTACGTTACTTATGGTGTCCATTTGAGCTCATAACCTCCACACTACTACATCTCCAACACCTTAATTGAATTTTTTCACATTCTGTGCTCTACTTTTATTAGCAAGAAACAGTTGACAATAAGAAGCTGAAGTCTCAGGCTTGTTTAAAATGCCAGTTCCCCCAGGTGTATCCTAATAAATTCAACATGTGCTCAGCTCAATCTCATACATTTTCTATAGCTATAGGATTATAGGATGTTAACCGATGGCCTCAGCATTGCCTCGGCAGCGGTGCAAGTTCCTGACTTTAGGTGAAGTGTATTCAATATAGTTTTAGAATTTGGTGTAGTTTAGCTTGATAAGGTTATTTAAAAATTGGTAATCTGTATTTGATATGGATGATAACTCTTAATAGTATGAAATAGTTGAATGTTCTTAAACCATTCTGAGTAAATGGGAGATTGCTGTCTACTTCTTTTCACTCTGGAGCTTGCCAAACTTTTAATAGAAAGCCACGTGCCTTCTTCAGATGGTCATTATAAAATAGAAAAACTTACTGATTCTTAGAGAATTCCTGCTTCACACACACAACTTCTGAAAAGAGATTGTAGGATCATAAGTGGCTCATAACAAAATTATCAGAGTGCCTATTTTTGAGGGAGAGTCCTTGTTTTGATCCTTCTTTTCCGTCCTAAGATGTCTCCTGTGAACTAGTCCAGGGTGGGAGGCTAGTGAAAGAACACTAATGTTCTACTCAGCAGGCTCCTGTCACTGCCCCTGCCCTTGCATGCATTTCCCAAAGATTGTACTTATTAACTTAATTCTGTTGGACTCGTAAGATGAAACATGCAAATTCACATATGTCAATATATTTGTTTATGAAAATGTGTGTTTCCAGGCAAGAACCCTTCGAGACTGTGGAGAAAAGAAGTGGTAGCCCCATTCTAAGTTATCCACCTGCCATCCTACACTCTGGATCTTATTGGGATTATCTTAATTCAGGCTTAGATTCTGGTTTAAAAATATCTTTAAAAAATAAATTTAATTCCAAGTTAGAACATGTAAAACTGTGCAACACACAAATGTAATAAAAGAGTCGCTGTCCATGTTGCCATAGGAGGGAGGCAGGACAAATGCGGCACCTTGAATAAGTTTTACCTTTTTTCACCTTATCTCTTAAAGTGTTACTGAATAACGAATAGTTTGAGGACCATGTTTATTTCAGCTCTGGAAGTAGGATCTGCCACTCAGGAGAAACAAGATAGATGTTTCAAACCAACAGCAGTGATAAGCGGCCCTGTGCAAATAAATTTGCATGAGGGATGCTCTACAAACCCTCTCCATAGGCACCATGACACCTTGCAAGGGAAAACTTGTGCTGGAGAAAAGTTGGAAGCAGTATGACACATAGAAGAGAAAAAAACCCTGACCAACTTCCCCCACCCCTTATAAGCAACAGAAGCAGAGGCCCCATTTGGCTCAGGGTCTCTAAGTTCTGTTCAACATAAAAGCCAGACAGCTGTGAAAGTCCAGCCTGTAGGACAGAGTCCCGGAGAGCCATAAGAAATAGCACCCATTGGACAAAGATATTGGAGTCATCTGCATAGTTGCCTCAGCAGTGCGAAATCACTCCTTGTGGAGGCAGACATTTGGAAACAGATAAAGCCCATGAAGAATGCCTCTTTTTGACTTCAGAGATGAATGTAGATGTGAACACATTACTGCTGTTTTAGGGAGGCTCTTCTCTGTTACAGATAACCGGGATTGGGAATATTGGATTACCTAATAATGGCTCGCTTTAGTTCTGCCATCAGCACTTATCAGGTACATTAGTTTAAAACCTGCAATTTTGAACTCAGCATTATTGAGCTTTCCAAAGATTAAGTTACTGAACTTTTGTTGGTGAGTGTCTCTGCGAAATTTCCTGAAAAGGATAGTCCTCCTTCTTTGTGTGAAAGTGAAGCCAAATCACATACTTTATTGATATTTATAGACATACAAATGATAGAGCTAATGTACTTTAATGCCTGCTACTTGATGGAAAGGCTGTGGGCTGTGCTTTCGGGCTTTTGTTTTTCTTAAGATAATGTGGAGTACTGTAGTCTCTTTGTGAGCCTAATCAGAGCAGGTAGCTTTTTTTCTTTCTTTTTGTTTTCCCCAAAGCCTTATTTCAGAAAAAGGCTTACACCAAAAGTCTATTTCAAGAAAAGCTCTGTGTGTGCCCCTGATACGGGCACGGTCTTTACAGTGTTCTAGCACCAAAAAATACATCCCTATGTCTCCTTACTGGCTTAGGTGGAAACCGTAGGAACATGGAAGCTTTAACAAAGGCAAGTCGATTTTAACACTCTGTACTAAAAAATACCTACACTGAGGAAGAGAGTCTTAATCTCCCAGCCATGAAGATTTAATGTTTTCAGAGTAATTTTACAGACATTCTGCCTGTCAAGGCCCAGTACGGTTTAGAGTTCTCGAGTCCCCACAGGCTTAAGCATCCAGGCATGAACCAACTTTGTAATTTTTGAGCCAGAGGAATAAATGTTGATCCGTGGTGGCTGAGCAGAATTAAGAAACAATTTACCTGCCCTCTCTTTAGGGAGTTTGCATACAACTTCTGCTCATTAGAGGTGACTTATAAGAAAATTTAAGGAAAAGACAGAGCAACTGCCCCCACCCCAACACACACACATGTACACAGACACACACACATAGACACACACACACACACACACACACACACCCCAGTTCAGCCTTCAGGTCCTTCACTGTCTGGAAGCAACAGAAACAGGGGCCCCATTTGGCTCAGGGTCTCTTAAGTCCTGTCCAACATAAAAGTTAGACAGAATATCCACCAAAATTGGTAATAAAGTCTTAAATTTCTCCGAGAAAGGAATGAATATGTAGGAAAAATCATAAATGGCCTGCATGTACTGATAAGATGCTGGAGAAAGAGGTGGGGTTTGTTAAAACAAAAACAAAAATAAAAATCCGGGGTCCACCAAAGTCTGTTTCTATTCTGGTGGTTCTGAAAATTCTGAAAGCTTAGATTTCTGGGAGTCATTGGTAAAATACATTTTTGGTCACTAGTGTTCCTATGATAGTCATAGTTAAAATATATTTTTAACCTGAGCAACCTCTAGGGCTTTGGTTATATTTTGATTTAAAAAATTAGATTGACTGAAAAGTTTATGAGAAATATAAACATCAGGCAAAGATAAGTAATATGCTTTATACCTAAATTTGTCTATTGCAAAAATAGCAGAGCTCAAGCTATTTCGTGTCATTATCCTAATCCGTAAGCATTTAGCAACTTGTGTCAATGGTATTTGCCTCTCAGGTCACACAAAGAAATCTATCTTAATAAAGTCAGAAAACTATAACCTGTTTCTGCATAATTTCTAATATCCTGGTAGGGGGTTCAGTTTCCATTTCATCAGAAGATATTTTTAGTGGTAAGTTGCTTTAAATGGTGAATCTGAAAGTAATACTCTTAGTATCCCACTGGCATTAGACAGAAAATTCTGAATTCTCTTTCTCTGCTGTTTTGGTTCTGAATCTTAAATTTGGATATAAAAGGAATCTTGCTAGGGAACTCTGTTTTCCTGACCTGAATTAGAATTTAGTATGGGCTGAGATCTCCTCCCTGGTAGACACTCCCAACTTGTATTTCTCACTGGTATATATCCAAGTGTCTATTACACAGATTCACTCCCAGGTGTGGGAATGTATGCAAATACCATCTCCAATCTTACAAATGGTCTGGCCAAACTCTCCAAAGGGCCCGTGGCTTCAAATGGGGCATTAAGTAAATGGTTCATTTTATTTTTTATTCAAGCTCAGGAGACTTAGGCTTTTTCTCTAGCCATTTAAACCACCTATGAATTAAGACAATGAAAGGAATCGAGTATTTCTCTTTAAACAAGATACACTGTTGTCAGCTGCAGAATAAAGTCAGGAGTTAGATTTTGCCTGGATGCTGAATTCTCCCAGAGCACAAAGGGCGTGTAGAGGACAAATGGGTGTGGGGACATTAATGGAACATAGAGTTCCACAGTTCCTTCTCAGAGACGTGACTCCAGAGAGGCGAAGAAAGGAAACGCCAAGAGTGAGAGGTCACCCCGATAAGTACAAAGAAGTCGCTTCCAGCACTTTCTCCCATTGTGCCTGTTACACTTATTGGTGTGAATAATGTTGTTTTGTTTTCAGAAAGACAGTCATGAGCAAAAAAAAAAAAAAAAAAGAACGGTGAGTGATAAGCCAAGCTCAGGAAATTTGAGAATGACACATTTGTGATAATATATGTTAATTTAGTTGGAGAGATGTGAATATTTTCTTAAAGAACAAAGAGAAAGACAGACTATAGCTTAGAGTCACTCATTTAGACTTTTATACAGGCATTACCCATGTTCAAAATGCACAAATCTCCTCGGAAACAGTTTTTTTTTCCCCCAAATACATTTTGTTGTGGTGGCTTATTTATTTAAAATTACCATATTTTTCTTGCTTTGGAGATAAAAACTCTAGTGGAGCCAGACTTCAAATAGATGATGTTCTGAGCACGTCAAAACAAAGAAAGTGTTTCTGAAACCAAATGAAAGCGTTTTTTGAATGACTCCCTCCTCCATTCACGTCTCCTTTCAGCTTAGCGGCTCTGGCTCAGATAAAGTCCCGAACACCTCACAGTCTATTCAAAAGTATCAGATTCAACTGAAGGTGAAGAAAATGGGCTATCTGCAGTATTCATGAGTTGGAAACTTCCCAAGTGTGACCATTGTCTGAATGACTTTACAACTGCTTGGGGTATGCATTACATAACAGATATTCACAGGCACCCAGTGCTCCTATCAAGCCAAGCCTTGTAAGCGAGTCCAAAGGACACCCGCCCCCACCTACCCCACTCCTCCCCAGCCCCATTCTTTCCTAATTCAGGTCCCAAGAAAAATACTGCCCAGTCTTTGAAGTGTGCTATCCTACTCCTTGGTTTACCAGACTGAGCTAAAGGCCTTGATAACACTTCTTCAAGTTCATGAACTAAAATGTTTTGTTTTCATAGCATTTGGCGTAGTTTTTTCTCTAATTGGATCAAAGCACAGTTTAGTACACCAAAACTTTCTGAAAATCAAGAGACAGATTCCTTTACTGGGACGAGGTGAGAAATAACCAAGAAAGTATTCAACAATCTGAGTGATCCTAGTTCTGTTCTGCCCAACAGGAGTGGAATTTTCAAGGCCCTGCTATAGGATAAGAAGTTGCAAGATGAACGTACTATTTATTTTTAATATTTTCTCCTCAAAATAACTGTCGTCTGCCTAATACCCAGCCTGAAACCGAGGTCAAACATAAGTACTTAGAACCTTGTACCTCCAAAACATGGGGTGGTGGAAAGGTCTCCTGAATTTGAGTCTCCGCTCTGTGTCTAAACTGTGACTTTGGGCAAGCAAGTAGATTTTTCTGGCTTATTTTTGCATCTAACTAAAGAGGGTACTGAATCTCATCTCTAAAGCCACATCATTTTATCTGCTGTTCTCCTTTTATGCAAAATAGCATCCTAGATAGATGTTAAACCAAGTGTGAGGGCTAAAACCGACTCTGAACCTGGTGAAGAAAATGAGAACAAAGGCCTCAAGAATAGCAACAAGATTACTAGGCACCTATGGAGGGTTGAATTATGCCCCTCCAAAAGATAGGTCCACATCCTGACCCCAGGAACCTATGAATGTGAGCTTATTTGGAAAAAGGATCTTTGCAGATATAGTTAAGGTAAAGATATTAAGATGAGATCATCTTGTATTACATGGGCGGACCCTAAATCTCATGACAAGTGTTCTTGCAGGAGACAGAAAAAGAGAAGACACAGACACAGAAGGAAAGCAAAGTAAAGACAGAGGCAGAGATTGGAGTGATGCAGTCACAAGCCAAGGAAGGCCTGGAGGCAACCAGAGCCAGAAGACTGAAGGAAGAATTCTCCCCTATGGCCTTCAGTGGGGGCACGGCCCTGCTGGCCCCTTCATTTTAGACTTCTAGACTCCAGAACTGCAAGAGTATAACTTTCTGTCAGTTTAAGCCATCTGGTTTGTGGCATTTTGCTGCTGCAGCCCTAGGAAGCCGATCCAGTGCTGATGTGGCACCTGTCCTTCAAGCACACACTCACTGGAGTTTGCACGGGGCTATGCCAAGCACTGAGAGCCATTCCTGTTCTTCTCCGATGCCAGCTTGGACTCGGGAAAGACCAAGCATGAAACCTTCTGGAAAGCGGCAGTGCTGTGGGGAATGTATGAGCTGCTACTTCAGGAAAAAGCAGCTCTCCTCTCCTGCCTTGACTGTGTAACTCCCCTACCCCTAAACCCTCTTGGTATCATGGAAAGTCCGTGCACTTGACCTCAAGTCCATGCTTCTTGAAGGAGTGACTGGTCCACTTGTAAGTTTTCTGAAAGCTTTCAGGAAGTAAAATTTTCTGGGCAGGAGTTTATTAGTAGTTGGCTGATCTTAGCAGAAGGCAGAGAAAAGGGATGAAGAAAGAGGTGCCTGCTCTGTCATCCTTACCTGAATCATCTTGACCACCAGCAGAGAGCAGCTTGGGCCAGCAGGAAAGAAAGAATGAAGATGTCATGGGGGTGGCCCAAAGGCCCAACTGGAGAGAAGAATTCCAACTGATGACCCAACCTCCAGAGAGGCTGTCTCAGTCACTTCCACGCAATTCTGTGTGTCTCTGAGCAGTCGGTGTCTTGTTGGAGAAGGGAGACAGTGAGATGAGCTCACTGGAGATGAAGACGCTGCTTCCCCGGTATAGTTCTCACCCTCACATCTGGGGCTCCGACACACCATGTGCCCCAGTGAGAGGCTCAGGAGGGAGGTGAGATGGCTCAAGACAGCTTACAAGGACCTTCACGACCTCTCAGGTTCCTCCTGATCCCTGTCCAGGCTCATCTTTGATATGCACTTTGAACTGAGCACCTCAACTTTGCTGACTGGCCCCCTGCTTCTTGTCCCCACTTCTTCGTGGGAACTTCAGAGTTCAGCTTAGCTGTCACTGCTTCAGGGGAGCCCTTTGTGATCTAGATCGGGTCATGCACCTTTTTGAGGAGCTAAGCCACCTTGATGTTACTTTATCAGTGCACCTGTTGCACTGAATTGCCAATAATTTTTCCCTACCTGCCTTTATCTCCTATGTAAGCTCCTTGGGAAGGGGCAGTATGTCTGTTTTTTTTCTTTTTTTTGCACTTTATATACCTGTAATCATATGTATTACGTTAATATGGCCTCATACGATTTCAGGCATTACATAAACATGATAATAAAAAGTGAATGTCTGCCCCACCCTACTACACCCTCATTCAGTGTCTAAAAGGTAAAGTCTTTAATAACTATTTGGTAAGTCTCCTTCCAGACCTGTAGTTTTCCATTCACAAACATGTGTACATACACTCTATCCATCCTTCCATCCATTCATCCATCTATCATTTATATTAATCTATCTATCTATCTATCTATCTATCTATCTATCTATCTATCTATCATCTATCATCATTTCTCTCTCTTTCTTTCCCTTTACTGTGTGTTTTCTACAAACTGCTTTTTTCCTTTAACATCAGGACTTGGAGATCTTTTCATGTTGACACATGATGATCTACATAATTTCATAGTAACTCACTCACTGAGAGATGGACGATCAGGTTGTTTTCATATTACGAGTCACGCAGCAAGGCTCACCGTCTTTCATACACAGACTGCACAAATGTAAGTATTTCTTTCAGACAGATATAATTGCTGAGTTAATTTTTAACCACTCAGACAATTTCCACAGGGAACCTCCCTGCCTCCCTCCATCCTTTGCCTCTGACCTTGGAGCTGAACCCCAAATGGCTTCTCTCTCAGGGGCGTTTCCCCCTCTTTTTTCTTGAGCGGTACTTTCTGCTGGACTCTTAGCGTACTTTTCCATAGATTTGATCCCTTCTATTGTTCAGAAATTTCCTAAAGCCCTGGTCAGTCTCTCGTAGTTTCCAGCACTGTTATGAGGATGCGCGTGCACACACACACACACACACTCTCTCTCTCTCTCTCTCACTCACTCAATCACACAGTCACTCACACACTCACATCTCTGTTCTGATGATTTGTGAAATGTGGATGTAGGAGCCAGCAGACCTGTGGGCTCTGCCTGCTCTCTTGAGCCAGGTTGTCACAACCTCTGTATGTCTAGTACCCAGCATCATTATACGACAACTATTAGGCAAGAAGAAAGTATTTGTTGAGAGAATAAATGAATTTTTGTTTTAGGCAGGTACCAACATTTGATCAAGGACCAATGATCCCTTAAAGGGACTGATTTAGTACGGATTCTTGTGTTACTGGATTATCCTTCAATTAACCACTCACAACTACAAGATATTGTGTTGCTGACTACCTATGTGGGGGTAAAAACGAAGTTGCTTTAAAGGAACATATTTGCATTCTTAATTTCCATATAAATTCAGGCTAAAGGATGATTCCTTGTTATTCATGAGGGCCTCGAAACCTCCTACCAGACAGCAACAAGTACATTTAATGGAACTCAATTTGATGTCTCATGTCCCATAAAAGGACGTGTTGGTATACAGTATGTCAGGCACTTGGCTTTTAAAATTTCCCTTTAGAGACTTGCTATCAC
This sequence comes from Homo sapiens, assembly GCF_000001405.40. Taxonomy (NCBI): domain Eukaryota; kingdom Metazoa; phylum Chordata; class Mammalia; order Primates; family Hominidae; genus Homo; species Homo sapiens. The sequence goes on along the minus strand of NC_000010.11, from coordinate 118,408,554 downwards.
TTAGATTTAAAGGGATACGAGACTGTTAATGGGACAGCATCCAAAGATGCTTAGAAACAACTACATGCCCAGAATACTTTGCTGAAATTTGCCAAGTTCCACTTGAGATTCACAGAACCTCTCCAGCAACCTGGATTCTAATGATTGAGCCCAAACAGGCCCTCGTCTCCAGCCCTGCGCTTGTTCCCGTGCCCCCACCACCAGGTGCTGCAGATGCGAGGCCTGCTGGGCCTTCCTCGGCAGCCATCTGTCAGCGAGGCCTTCGCTCCTCCAGGCAACAGGCGTGTTGATAAGAATATACACTTTCTGCAGTTGACAGACTTTGCTATTCAAAACACTGTTAAAAAAATGGCTATAGGAATTTAATTAGCAACTTCCATTAAGAGATTAGATGAGAAGAACAGAGAGAAACCAAGGGAAAGGCTTCTTAATAAAATCGGAGAAGCTGCAGAATTATTCATAGCATAACAAAGGAAATGGAGAATCTGCTCCATGAATTGTTAGAGGTGACAGATGTATTCTGATGTTTTCTCATGGCCTGGTTGGTCTATGACTAATGAGGCACCGTGTGAAGGGCAGAACTTCAAAGAGCACCTCTCACTGGCTGCAGTGGGTAGCAGGTGTGGCAATGGGCAGTGCTGCAATGCAGATGAACCTGTATGCTTTCAGATGCAGCCGTGTGTTCCCTGGAGTTTGTGGCTAGTCGACTTAGCTCCAACATTCAGAGATTGACCCTAAATGGGCCAATTGGCTTATCACCATGCCATGATCTCCCGTGCCTCCAGAAGTCGGTCAGCTGACTCAGAGGTGTGCGCTGGGTCCAGAGGGGCAAGAGGATATAAATGGACCAGAACAAGTCTATCCATTCCATGAAGGAAACTGACTGGGATGAGGTATTCAGCAGCATCTCTGTTATGTGTATATGGGGAAGGGCAGATACTCAGTTCTTATGTAAGTTCAGGGGAATTGCAGAACCCCCCCATTATATTGGGTAACAAAACAAAAGGTTGGTTCAAGATCCTATGATTGAAGACCCACGCATGACTATTTGTGATTTCTTAGTGCCAATGTTCTTCCTAAAGAATGTACAGTAAGGGAACCAGGTGAAAAAATAGGCCACTTAGAATAACATTCTGGAAATCTGGCTTCCACCCAAAATGCTACCAAGCATTCCTCACCAATAGCCACTTCTGTCAGAATGAACTGTTTCCTCATATCCCTGAGACAAAAGAATGGTTTCTGCATTACAAAGCATCTCTTCCTTTTGATTTGATTGAAAGTGTTGATAAACAGATTTAGATAAGAATCCCCAATGCCATATCAGATAGTATCAATGAAAACAACCAGCTTGTTATCCTCATTTGTTAATTGACATAAACTCAGATGTTGTAAGATTATCTTTACATTTTCCAGAGGAAGTCCTGATATCCACAGGGAATCTGAAAATACAAAGATTTATATAAACTTGGGTTTGCAGCAAAACTGACCTGTACTATAAATCTGTCAAATACATGGGTGTACATGGATTTTACTAGACAGGTATGTCTAGTAAAGTTAAAATACAATTTTTATGAGATTAACTATGCTTAGCTCCGAAGTCAAAATTAGGTAAAAGATGCATTAATTAATAACGGAGTCATAGCCTACATACTGTGAATACAAGATATCTCTATAATGGGTTCTAGTTACTAAAAGGTTGATTAATTTTTTTATTTCCAAGAAAAAATAAGGTGAATTCAAGATAGTGAGATAGATGGGTGGATTTAAGTGGGGGAAAGAAAGCTAGAAAATTGCTGATGGCTTGGCAAAAGAGCCAGAGGAAATTATCATCGTTGTCTTTTGTTCTTGTGACCTCAAAGCTGTTTCTTGTAGTTGTTAGTGTAAAATGAACTAAATTAGAGAATGTGTGATTTCGGTGGTGGCTAAATGCAGCCTGGCCTACTTTGTGTGGCTCATACTGCTGCTCATAAGCCTCTGTGGGCTGATGCAATGATGGCCTTGACTCCTTCTGGGGCTGGCACATGCTGGTGGGCTCTCTAATGCCACCGCTCCCTCCCGCTTGCTCCCTGGGTCCCCTTTCTTCTTCATCTACTCTGGAAAAAGGCCACTTTATGATGCAAGACTTATCATTACACAGTCTTTATCATTAAGGAGGGGAATCCCTGATGTGTATTTCCACAGAAAGAAAGGGCTAGAGGGGGCCAATGGCAATAAACATTATTTTTTGACGTTGTTGGTAAAAAGGAGTCCCACTAGTCCCCCACTTCAGTTTCCTTTTCCGCACCATGCCACTGCAATAGACATCTGAAACACACCTTCCTCAGAATCTGCTTCCTTTAGACTCAGCTTCAGAACTGAGCCAACTGCCCTCCTTCCTTCACAGACCTGGGAAGCCAAAGGGGCTTTCCTGCTTCTCACTTCTCGTGTTGTGGAATGGCCCTGCTGCTCTTGAGATGTCTCTGGCTATCAGCCAGGTTTAGCTCCTGGAACCTCTTGCTACAATACCATGAAGTTTTCCCAGGCTTCAGCTTCAGACAAGAACTCATTTGTTCCTCAATATCTCTTAAATATTTACCACATGTCAGGCTCTCTGTTCTAGGCACTGGAAATACTGCAGGAAAAAGAGAGAGAAAGAAGTCTTCCCTCATTGAACTTACATGACACTAGAGAGATCTAGGCAACAAGCAAGTGAAGGATGATGGTAAGCACCGTGCAGTTTCCTCAGCTGAGAGAGGAAATGCTGGGAATTCCTTTCAGGCATGGAGTTAAGACTTAAACCCATCGTCAGTTTATGATGGAGTGTGTGAACAAAAATTAAACACCTCCTTAGATTTTTTTTTTTTTTAAAACAAGCATGGAACAGAAAATCTTGGAATGAGGAAGCATTCTTGGCTTTTGATCTTGAGAAGTCAGAGGTGGCCAAAGCTATTTGGGGATGGAGAGGGCTATCTGATCTTTAGGGAACAGCCAGCCAGCTTGTCCCCAAGATTATCCTTCGAGGAGAAACGCTGTCCCTCCATCCTGCAGTATCTCTTTTAAACTTATGTTTAAATAGCTATACTTAAATGATAAGGCGCTAGCCTTTCACCTCCAGGATCCTAACTGGATTCAAACTCTAGTCTTCTGGGAAATGAGTTTGGTCGTCTAAGCTGAGCCTCATAGACAAAAGTCCTTATCTCCAAACTCCAAGCATATTTCAGCCCATCATGGCAGGACTGGAAGTCTGCTCTCGGGGAAAGAAAGGGAATGAGCTGGGGTTGAAAGTAAATTACTGAAGTAGTTAAATCAATCCTGAATTCAAATCCCAACTATTTAAATGATAGTACCTTTCTGTCCAGACTACAAAACTGCTTTTCAGTGCTATGCTTTTTAGCTGCATTCCAAAAAGGGGAAAAAGTCATTTAGAGCAGTTAAGCCTCCAAAAATGAGGTCAAAGCTGCAAAGAAGCACAAGCGTGAGCACCTTAATAAATGTAAATTTTCTTTGAATCGTTTCCATATCTATCTACGAAGAATACCGGACGTCTTTGCCCCATATGTGCTGCAAGCAACGCCTGTGACTTTTATCTCTAATATACTTGAAGATGTCTAAACATGTCAGGGAAATATCATGTGCAAAGATTGTGTGTTCTAAAGCAAATTTGGTTGGTTTAGAATAACATAACCAATGTTGTCCCCAAACACTCTAAAAATAAACATAGAATAGAACCAAAAAGAGACTACAGAGGAGCCGGGCTCCGGTTTACTCTGCTTGACTCAGAAAGGAATAATTACAGGCAAGGAGCTTTGACGACTTAGCCTATTGATGAGAAATACGCCATTGAGGGATACTTGGACTGTTTTGAATAGTTTGCTTTCCAGGTATTCAGACTCAGGCATTTATTTACCCTGCTTTGGGCTGGCTCCCACCCCTCCACCTTCCATTTATCAAGTTAGCATTTTGCTCACAATAAAATGGATGACAGTTTCATTACAGAATGGCATCACTTGTCAAACTTTGAATTACTGATCATAAAAATATCTGTTATGCTTTGAAGGATTGTTGGAGGACTTCCATTTATATATATATATATATATTTATCAGTAGGACTGTTTAGTGCAACATGCACAAGGGAAGAACAGAGACGGGGGGTGGGGGCGAAATCAAACCCGGCTGAGGAGCCCAGGGTTTGCTGTCTCCTACCCATACAAACAAACCTCTATCACAGCTCTAGACAGCAGAAATAAAAGGGAGCTTTTTGGCTCACAGCTATAAAAAAAATTATCATAGTGATGAAGTTCCTCAGCCATCAACAGAGCTGTGATAACGCTGTTTGATGATGATTTTCCCATGAATGTTAAACAGCCGCCACTGCGGAGGCAAAGGAGCTTATCTGCACCTAATACTGATCTCTAATTCCTGCCCTTCTTGAACCATCCATTTTCTAACAGCATTAACTGGCAAATTTACATCCCATCTTAATGCTGCTAAAGAGGACAGGAGATGAAGAGTAAATGACAGCAGTGTAATGAGGGTGGCTTTTTTCTCCTTTCTCTTTAATGGCTGAAGATTTACACAATTGTCTGTAAGCTTATATAGAGAGCTTACCTGAACCTTTTCCCAGCATGGATTCAACTTACAGGAGCTTTTGTTAACTAAACACACATAAATATTTTTAAGGCGGTTTAATAGTGTGACTTCAAAAGGAAGCCAAAGGATGGAAAAAGAAAAAAATAATAAATGTCATCAATAACATAAATGTCTTAAAGGGCTAATGATTTCTGAACAAACAAGGTTGTAAAAATAATGTTCTATTAGGTTGCTACAACACCAAAAAGCTTTCAAAATACTAAAAAATGATTAATTAAGACAAAGATTTAAAGAAAGCTACGTTCCTCATGCTGCCAAGACCCGGGATTTCTCTGATCATGTAACATCCATCAAAATACTACCTGTTCACTAACAGGGTGTGAAGAGATAGAAGGCAATTTCAATGGTAAATCTGAATATAGGGAACTACAATAGCTAGATGTGGGAAAATCCTATTTGTGCCTCCAGATGATAAAAGGAAACCAAATAAAAATCACCATGGACGAGCCATTTAACATCACAGGCTAGAAACCTTGAAGTTGTCTTTGACTCTTCCCTCTATTTCGTCCCCTTTATCCAATCCATTACCAGTCTTGCTTTTCCTGCCTTTGAAATGTTTTTAACATTTACTCCTTCTTTTCTCCCACTACCCTAACCCATGTCTCTAGCACCTGTCAATGGAAATATTGTAGATTTCCCATTTGCCCTGCTTCTAGCCTCTGTGGGTCTTTCCATAGCATTATTAAAATAATACTTCGGTATTTTTACCATGTAATTTGACTTTAAAAAATCTATTAATGTCCCCTGCCCCCACCGCTTTCTGCAATGGTTCTCAAAGTATGGTCCACAATAATGCTTAGGCATACCTTTAGTGAAAGATGTGCAAGACCTGTACATTGAAAACTAAAAAACATTGCAAAGCACTAAATGAATGGAGAGATGCGCCATAGTCAAACATTACCAGAGATATTGGCAAACTTTTTCTATAAAGGGCCGCGTAGTAAATGTTTTTGGCTTTTTGGGCCACATAGTCTCTGTGGAATATTCTTCTTTGTTTTGTTTTTACCACTCTTTCAAAATGTAAAAGTTATTCTTAGCTCACAGGCATATAGAAATAGGCTAGATTTGGCCTGCAGACTGTAGTTTGTTGATCCCTGGATTAGAAGATTCAATATTGCTAAGACGGCAATAAGATGGTGATCCTCCCAAATTGATCCATGGATTCAGTGCAATACCAACCAAAATCCTAACAAGCATTTTTGAAGAAATAAGAAAGTTAATTTGAAAATGTATACATCAAAGCAAAGGACTTAGAGTAGCTGAAACAATTTAGAAAAAGAACGGAATTAGAGGACTTATAGTACCCCATCTGGTGACTCACCATAAATCTATATATCAAGACAACGATGCACTAGTGTAAAAATAGATCAAGGAACAGAATAGAGAGTCTAGAAACAGATGCACAATTATAAGGTCATTTGATTTGATCAAAGATGCCAAGGTAATTTAATGGGGAAAAGATAGTTTTTGCAACAAATGGTGCTGGAAAAGTGGGATATCTGTATTTATATAAAAAAGAACCTTAACCATTACCTCACACCATATACAAAAATTAACTCAAATAAAAATGTTTTCAAAAAGGAATAAACTGATAAAATGAGTTTCATCAAGATTAAAAACTTCTGTTCTTTAAATGATATAATTAAGATAACAAAAAGGAGAGTCACAGACAGGGGGAAAATTTTGCAAGACATAAATCCAACAGATGGCCTGTACCCAGAATATCTAAAAAACTCTTACAAGTTAATAATAAGACAAACAACTCAATTTAAAAATGGGCAATTGAACAGAAATTTTCACAAAAGAAGATAGCCAATAAGCACATGAAAACATGTTCAACATCACTAGTCATAAAAGAAATGCAGATTAAAACTACAATGAAAAACCACTACACACCCACTAGAAAAGGGAATATACTGGCAATACTAAGTGTTGAGAAGGGTGTGGAGCAAATGGAGCTCTCATGCACTGCAGACTGGAATGCTAAATGGTGAAGGTACTTTTGAAAACTGCTATGTCAGCGCCTTATAAAATTAAACATGTTTACGATATGTTCCAGCAATTCTACTCACAAGTATTTACCTAGGAGAAATGAAAATACACATCCACACACACAAAAAAATGTGTAGGTAAATGTTGATAGCACCATTATTGTTTATAACCAAGAACTGGAAGCAGCCCAAGTGTCTAACAGTTGGTGAATATAATAAAGAAATTGTGGTATATCCATACAATAGAATACTACTTAGGTATAAAAAAGAACAAATATTAATATATACAACATGGACAAACCTCAAAATAATCACGGGAAATGAAGGAAGACAAACATAAAAGACTACGAATGATCCCATTTACATGAAATTCTAGAAAAGATAAAACTATAGTGACAGAAAGCAGATCACTGGTAGCCTGGAACTAGTGGTGAGGGGAGGAAAGTGAGTGCCAAGTGGCATGAAGGTATTTTTGAGGATTAGGAAACGGTTTCGTACTTTGAGACCAGCACTAAATTTCATCATACTGTACATTTAAAACTGGTAAATTTTTTCATGTATAAATAATAGTTTAACAAAAAAGAAAAAAGACACTAGAAATTTTCAAGTTTTGGTGTAGTATGCATAAGAAGATGATCCACAATTACCTGAAAAGGCTATTAAAATACTCCTTTTTTCCAACTATGTATCTGTGTTAGAGTAGACTTTCTTCATATGCTTCAACCATGCTAAACATACTAAATGCAGAAGATTTGAGAATCCAGCTGCCTTCTATTAAGCTAGACATGAAAGAAATCTGCAAATATATAGAAATAATATTCTCAGAATTTTTGTTTGTTTTGGAAAATATAATTATTCTTCAGGAAAGTGTTATTTTTATCATGTAATGGGTTTATCACTGTCATTTAATATTTTACTATCAAAAATGTTGATGTTTAAAATTTGCTTTGGTTTTAACTTGTATGTAGTAGACACTGATAGGTAAAACCTATGTAAACAGAAGCTCTTTGGGGTTCTCAATAATCGCTGGGAGCATGAAGGGTCCTGAAGCCAAAAACTTTAAGAGCTGCTGCCTCATAAGACTGAACCCAAACTAGGACTCAAAGTTCTGCATAACTGGGATATTATTATCTCAACTTCATCACCCAGGCTGAAGTGCAGTGGCGCCATCACCGCTCACTGCGGCCTCAACCTCCTGGGCTCGAGTGATCCTCCCAAGTCGCTGAGACTACAGGCACAGTGCATCACGCGGGGCTAATTTTTTGTATTTTTTGTAGCGATGAGGTTTTGCCATGTTGTCTAGACTGGTCTCGAACTCCTGTGCTCAAGGGATCCATCTGCCTTGGCCTCCCAAAGTGCTGGGATTACAGGCATGAGCCACGGCGCCCAGCTCAACTTTTTTTTTTTTTTTTTTTTATTCTGCAGTTTCCTCATCTGTGGGGATCAGAAAAGGATCAATTTCAATGAGTTCTTGTGAGGACTGCATGAGTTTGTGCAAAGCACTTAGGATAGTACTTGGCAGATGGTGAGCTCTCGATCCATGTGAGGCTCTATTATAGTTGTCCTTGCGACAGCTCCCTTCTCTGCTTCCCTCTCATCTCTGGAAATGCTACTTCTCCATGTTGCCCAGGCCTACTTCTCCTACCCTGAAACTTGTGTGATAAATGAGTGCCACTCAGTTTTGCTCTTTTTTCCAATTGCTTTATATCTAAAACTGCTTTAAACCAAACTTTTTCTTAGGCACATTTTACTTAACACAGAACTGGACAAGCAATGAATGCTTAATAAGTACTTGTTAGTTTACAACCCTGCAGTATGGGAACAATGATAGCGTCTTTATCATCTTCTTCATGGAAATGTTGTGATAATACATGTGATCAAATTTAATTTTCTTTAATGATGGAAAGGTCCGTAAGTAAATCAGGCCCTCTTCTTTGCATCCCAGTGTGTCCTAGGGCCATGATAAGGCACCTTTTCAGACACCAATTATTGTTAAATGAATGCCCCTATTTAGATTTTCCCTTAGTGTTCTGAATTCCTTTGGTGTATTGAATTTTTCATACCTAACAATGCTGTTCTGTCAAATAAGATTTTAGGGAAATAGCAAAATTTTGGCTTCATAGAACACAGGAAGATGACATTTTCTGTTGACCTTGTTAAATATGTTCTCACTTGAAATTTGTATTGTCCAGTTTCTGCCCATGAGAGTCTCAGGAAGGAAAGGATTAATCCATAACATTCCAAAATGAACAAGACCTCCCTGGCATTTTGAAAGTATTTTTGCAAATGCTTTCACACACTTCAGTGTGTATAGAATTTTTTCAGATATGGTGAACTCTAAATTTTAGCCAAAATTCTAACTTTTCTCAATCATGAGCCTAAGAAATCTTGAGGAGAATGATTTCAGATGTGCCTACACCAGAGGCACAATGTGATGTTATCACACTGAATTGATCACAATGACCTGATGCACAACAGATGGAGAATATTCATTCATTTAAGAAACATTTAGGCTGGGCGCGGTGGCTCACGCCTGTAATTCCAGCACTTTGGGAGGCCGAGGTGGGCAGATCACGAGGTCAGGAGATCGAGACCATCCTGACTAACACGGTGAAACCCCGCCTCTACCAAAAATACAAAAAAAAAATTAGCCGGGCGTGGTGGCGGGTGCTTGTAGTCCCAGCTACTCAGGAGGCTGAGGCAGGAGAATGGCGTGAACCCAGGAGGCAGAGCTTGCAGTGAGCCAAGATAGTGTCACTGCACTCCAGCCTGGGCGACAGAGCGAGACTCTGTCTGGAAAAAAAAAAGAAAAAAAAAGAAATATTCATTGAGCATCGACTATGTACTTGGAACTGGGGACATAAAGTGGGGTTTGATTCTAGTAGCAGGAGACAGCAGAAATGAAAACTATTTAGTTTTCACTCTCTGAAATGAGGTAATTCCAGATAGTGATAACTGTAATGACTGCAATAAAATAGGATGATAGGATGGAGAATGACTGGGCCTGGGATGTTATTTGGATAGATGTGCAGAAATTGCAGCTAGTTATTTCATAGCTATTCAAAAATGTATGTCTAATGAAAAATTCTAATGTGGATTATCTCTGTGAAGAGTGATTTCATTATCTCCTTTGCACTTTTCTGTATTTTCCTAATTTTTTACTGGAACATGTACTACTTTCATAATCAAAGAAAAATTACATATACAAAACTTTACAGTGATGGCAAGCAGATTCAAATTGTGTTCATCCTATGAAGAAAGATACCAGAGATCTAAAATTCTAAAGAGAGAGAAACTATTATCTGTGATTTTCTATATTCGTGATTCAGTTGCCTAAATTAAATAAGTTGTATAAATTTGTAAATAAATTTGTAATAAATAATTTTGTAAAGCACTTAGAAGAGTGCTTAGCCCCTAGTTAGTGCTATGTATGCGCTACATTAATAAATAGGCAAATACGTTGAAATGATGTCCAATTCAGTTTAACAAATAACTTTGGGGAAAACTACTACATACAAATCTGTTTTTTAAGCATTGTGGAGTAAAAAATAATGAGCATAGCATGGTCTGAGATTCAAATTTAACTGGGTGTCCTGTACTTTTTAATTCTTTCTCTCTCTCTCCACCCTCCATGTCTTGCCCTCATTTTGTGAAGTCTACCAGCCCAACCTTCAAGAAGTTTAGAAATCGCTCTTAACCAGAGCTAACTTTAAAAAACTCAAAAAAGGAACATTAGTATCCTAGATAGTTGTGTGTGTGTATTTCCACTAGGAATTTAAAATTTCCCAACTTTCAATGAATTATTTGCATAATTCAAATGAATGGTCCTTAAAAGAAATGAGCAATCTCCGTATTGTGGAGTAGGCAACTTCTGGAGCTGGTGGGCCTTTCCTGGGTCACTGCCTCTTCTTGCCTTGCTGTTTTCTTCCACATCTGATAGGCAGTGCCTGCAAAAAGCTTTGGGTTCCTGTCCAAGGTCTCTCATGGAAGTGGTTGGAGGAACCCCAGTAGAGAGGCTGAGGCAGGTTGTTTGCAATGTTGCACCTTTACGGTGGCTGGAGTGAGCCCATCTGGGTGCTGATCAGGCCGATGCAGGCTATGTGTGACGGGAGGGTCAGAGCTTAAGCAAAGCACTACCCAGCTAGATGTCCAGGAGTGGATGGAGCCAGAGGCCGAGACACCCACCATTCTTGGAGGGCACCTGTCAGAATCCTGGTAGACCTGGAATGGATGAGAATGATGAGGAAGTTTTGGGTAACAGCCACGAACCCTGGCCTCCCTTAATGCCTGTCAACTAGATGGCCAATGAACAAGGTGGAATGACTTCCAGTTACAGGGCTCAGTAAACAATGTCTACAAACAAGCATTGCTCTTTGGTCTGCTGCATCAGTGATGGTGCTGACTTCCTGATGTTTTTCCTTCAGAATAAACGCTTGAAAACTGGTGAGTATGCATTCAGGATTTTGCTTTATAATACCGTGCTTTAAGATGTCACAAAGTAGCATCTGTAGTTTGTCCACAACTGTTGTTTCCCATCACCCCACAGCAAAGACAACATCCTTTGAAGTTTTTTTTTTAAAATTGCTTTCTTCCCGTCAGCACCAGTTCTAAGCATCAGAGAACCCAGACCTTTCCACCTGAACCTCTGTGGGCTTAGCCCTGCCTAGGTCTGCTGGTGCATTAGGAAACCCTCCCCAGGAATCAGTGAGGCTTGAAACCCAACCTCTAATGTCTAGGCACTGGAGTGGACAAAGCCCTGGGCATCACGTGAGTCTTGAACTCCTTCCTCTACCCCAGTGCAAGACAAGCCTGCCCCTCAGCCTCTGCTACCTGGTGTACTCCCGGCACCCAAGAGAGCCCAAATTCCATTTCTGTCTCCTAGAATCTGCCAGCTTCCTTCCCTTATAGTTAGCCGTGGTTTCCAGATGCCTTTACCTAGTCCTGAGAATAGATTTGTCTATCAACGATCTAAATGTCTCTGGATATTGACAACTACATCCACCCAGAATTCTCAACACTGCATTTTAGCCTGCTACCTGGACTGCTTACTGTAATTGTATCCTCTACATTTTTTCTTTTCTTTCTTTTTTTTTTTTTTTGAGACAGAGTTTCGCTCTTGTTGCCCAGGCTGGAGTGCAATGGCGCCATCTCGGCTCAATGCAACCTCTGCCTCCCGGGTTCAAGCAATTCTCCTGCCTCAGCCTCCCGAGTAGCTGGGATTACAGGCATGTGCCACCAGGCCTGGCTAATTTTTTTATTTTTAATAGAGACAGAGTTTCTCTATGTTGGTCAGGCTGGTCTCGAATTCCTGGCCTCAAGTGATCCACCTGCTTCGGCCGCCTAAAGTGCTCTATATCTTATATTTGGGATAATTAACTTGAACCTCTGCCTAGTCCTACCCTCTTTGTGACTGCTCCCATCAGCTCCTCCACCCAACCTTGCACTCATCATGGGGTGCGTTCATTGCCTGGCTTCTGCTGGAGCTGGTTCCGGCTCACCAGCAGCCCACATCGTGGCTCCTAGCATGTCCTTTGGTCAAGACTTTCATCACATTGGAGAGTTCCTGCGCAAGCTTAGCTGCAGCCAACACCTCTGTTAATAAAATGACTACATCTCAGAGTCCATTTGCCAATAGTAACAATATGCTTAGAGCACTGTAGAGTTTGTTGTGAGCTAGCTAATTTGATGTGCATCCATTCCTATGAAATAGGTAGGTCCAGTATTACTTCAGCTTACAAATGAGAAAGCTAAGGCTGTGAGTCACTTGCTCTTTGAAATACAGTCCCAAATTACTTGGCTGAGGTCACATAGGTGAGTGGCTGAGTGATGAATTGGATCTGGGTACTCCTCTCACTCACTCATGCTGCCAACGCCGGTTATGTAGGATTACACAAGAAAGTCAAGTCTGACGCCCAGCGGTTTGTGAACTTGATTGAGAAGCTGGGTGTTATATTCATCCATTCAATAAATATTTATTGAGTGCCCACGATGTGCCAAGCACTCTTCCTAAGCACTGCTTAGGACCCGTCGGTCAACCAAAGGGACGAAAACCCCAGTTCTCGCAGCCCTTGCATTTAGTGGTCTACTTTTCAGGAATGCTAGGCTGCTAGTCCTGAGTTCAGACATGACTCTGCCCCTAGTTTATCCTCTGCAAATGAAGATCACTGTGCTGGTGACTCCAGGCCTTGTCCAGCTTTGGATCTGTGATCCTGTGGTCTGCCCCTTGAGGACTCCTCTCAGCCAGGAGCTGCCAGTCTCCCTGTGGGTCCCTGATTTGTTTACAACCTCTCGGCAGCAAAACGACTACAGCAAATCTGGACAATACTGTTGAAAATTATCTCAGGGAAGAAGCAAGAAATAAGATAACACTATTCCTCCTTAGTGCAGCTGTTGAAAAGTGTTGGTGATGCAATAGACAGGGCACCTTTTAATGTCAATATTTCCAGTGAGGCTGAATGAAAGCAACTCTACTATGTGGCTTGATTTGCAACTGGTTTTTACAAAACAACAACAACAACAACAAAGCCATTTAACTGGTAAAAATCATTTTAAAAGAAAAACATAATACCTAAATCTGGGCGAAAAATATAGCATTTTTGTGGTGCGTATAAAACTTTGGCATAGAAAATAATATATAGCTGAGTTGATTCACAAAATAAGCCTAAGAGATCTGTTATATGTTATAATTATCTTAGAATCTTTTGTACAATGGGAGCATGAAAACCCAACTCTCTGTGCTGTCAGAAATGTTTTCTTTCATTTCTTTTTTTTTCTCTTTTTCTAATCTTCCTTAAAATTTTGGTGTGAATTAAACTCACCGAGGAGGAAACCAGTGAACATCTTCTGCAATGCAGTTATGAAAATAAGAGCGGAGTTGTTATTGCTCCCATCTGGGACGCCAGATGTTTGCAGACTGGTGTGGGAGTTGCAGCACGTTTCTGACCCCAAACTGAAGACCTGGTTAAATGTGTTTAAAATATCCCCCTTCCTGCTCCAAACATGACCATGCAATCGAGTAAGAACAGAAACAAAAATATGAATACCTGGCGTCTGCTAAGAAGGCATGGGAAATAATCACTGGCAAAGACTGAATTAGAATCTGGTTTTATCTATTGTTTGTAATACAAAAGGAGGGCAGAAAGTTCTGCCATGCAGGCTTTTGTTGTTTTAATAAAACCACACCCTGTTTTACTACTGCTGAAAGCAGGAAGTCCAATAGAGGAAGCTTCCTTAGAGCTTTTGTCTTGAAATGTCAGAGATAATATAAATTTTCTTTTATTCATGTATCTAGAGGGTCAAGAGTGGACACATATAACAAAACTGAAAATACCCCATAATCAGTTGTAATATATCTCTGTCATTTGTTTAAGGCCAAGTGGTCCACCCATTTATCATCTTAACACGAGAGCCTGAAGGAAATGCTCTCATCTGGGATCAGTCTGTTACCCATCATTTGTTTATTCATAATCTTAGGAGAGTAGGGCTCCCTTTGCAGGCTCTAATGAGGGAGGATAGGGAAATGAGAGGTCTAGCGGAGGACTGAACTTCTGCAAACAACCTCTGGACTTCTAGAAGTTTCTTTTAAGTATGAAACATTTGAGAAATGCTCCTCATAATATATGTGCAATTTGATAGGTCTATAATATGATTAGTTCTTCCAAGTTGAGAAAAAGCATATAATAATTATCTTGACCCACAATAGCATGAAATAGTTTTCATGACAGTTTGATGACAAGGATATGAGGAAAGAGTTTCTATGCCATAAAGATCATGCATCTCCTTAACTCTGTTGACAGTAAAATATGGATTTCAGCTTAGCCTGCGGCTCAGGAATACACTTTGTTGAAACAGTAGTTTTATGTCTTTCTTTTCTAAGACCAAACAGGATTACAGGTATGATTTACTGAACAAAAACTTCAAGGATTTAAAAAAATAATAATTGAACTTTAAGAAAACAAATAAATTAGAAGATAAGACTCTGTATCATATTAGGATTAATAAAGTTCTTAATGTTTATATTTATAACTGGGTGCTGGTGTACCTCCCTTCTAAATTTAGTCATATAGCCTACATAGATATTTTTGATGTTAATAATTTTTACATATGCTAAATAAAATGATTAATTTTATAAGGCAGGTAATTTACTTGTACTGTACAGAATAATTCCTTAATGTATCTGCTTCGAAAGTTTGGATTTCTATGTGTAATCTTTTCTTAGAATGACCTGAGTATGTCATAAAGCTTCCGTTTTCCATCCCTTGTGATTTAAAGTCAATAATTAAACATAGATACAGGGAAAGGATACAAATATCCTTGTTTCCTTGCCTAACAGCCTAGAAATATCTGCAGATTGCTCTAGATCCCATTTAATGCAAAGGTTTTGTAATAAAGTTTTATTAAAAGCTAAAGTTTAAAAGACTAAGTAATTCTTCTAAGCCACAATAAGGTTTTCTCTCTTACATAAATAGAATGTTAATTAAATCTTTACATAATGTATACACAATATAGCAAGGCAGTTGTCTACCTCCGTTTCCTCATGTGTGAAATGAAGAATTTTAAAATTCGTACCTAATAACTCTCACATTTCACAGTTGTAAATAGTTCCCAGCAAGTAGAGAGAAAAATGATTGAAAGAAAATTTGTATGTATGCGTTTTACAATGGGCTCTGGGCCTCAGAATTGAAATCTTCTCTCCGTCATACATATTTTCTGGATATGGACGTGCTGTCAATGTACAGAATGCCAGTGGACATTTACTTGTTTATAATCAAGGCGGTGGGGAAGTATTTCTATAGGCTCTCACAGGCTCTGCCCAACAGACTATTATTTTCATCTCAAATTTTAAGACGGAGAGGCCTGTTGCTCACTTCCCTTGTGGATAGAGCCGGGAATGAGAGCATGACATCCAAGAGCTTAACTACCAAATCTGAAACTCATTCGGGGGCTGTCCTCAACAGATGTCTTAGTGAGAGCTCCTAAGTGGAGCCAGGGAAGGGTGGAAGGTTAGGTCACACTGCAAGGAGAGAAGTAACTTGCCAAAGAGTCAGCGCCAAAAGCAAGAAAAGGCCCCTTGGATTTATTGCTTGGGTGTGGGGTCTGGTTCTTTCTCTGGGGTCTGCAGAACAAGCGTTGCCTCTGGCTTCTTCCTAGAGGAAACCACTGACTCTTGGTATTCAGGAATGCAGAGGAGTCATTTGACCTTTTGGACGTATTTGCATTTGGACGTTGCAAAGGCTAACAGGCCTTCAAGAGCTAAGGACCAGCAGAGGGTGGGCACCAGCTGAATCCTAACTCTGATGCTTATTAGCAGCGAGGGCTCACACAAGTTTACCTCACTTTTGAGCCTCAACGTTCTCATCTGTAAAATGGGGATGCAATGTACCTCCTCATGAGCTTTAGGGAGGAAAGGGGCTATTACAAATGAACCAATTGCCCCCTTCAGGGCTCTGTTCCCTAATGGGGTGAGTCCTTGCCTTTCCCAAACCCACCCAATTATTGGCTGATCTTCTTTCATTCTCCAGTTCAGCTTGTTCTTTTTCTTCTCCAAAAATTGAACTAGTTTTACTGATCTTAAAAACCATTTCCTTGGCTATACTGCCTCTTCACACTATAATTCCCACTTGCAAGCTTTCCTTCAGCACTAAACTTATCAGGACAGAAATAATCTATCTCTTATGCATCTATCAAGTGCCACTTCAGTACTCTATAACCTGGTTTCCACCTCCATCATGCTACCAAAACCAGCAGTCAGGCTAACTTGACATCTGCAGGTCATTGTGAGATAAATAGCAACATAGAAATATTTATACATACACAACACATACACATACATGTGTGCTAGTGTACACACATATTTCATTTTTCCAGCAACTGAGAGGTTCTAGAAGCAATGACATCTCAGTAGCAGTGAGCTCACCAAGTGCCTAGATCTTGGTTTCCAATACCATTCTCTAACAAAACGAACCAGGTCTCCTTAGAGAAATGGCACATTTTAGAACTGGGGCAAGAAACAGACAAAGTGATTCTGGAGCATCTTGTAGTGCCCAAAAGTAAGTGTCTTACTGAGTTCAGGCTGTTATAACAAAAATACCATAAGCTGTGTGGATTAAACAATAGATAATTTTTTTTCACAGTTCTAGAGTCTGGGAAGTCCAAGATCACAATGTTGGCATGGTAGGGTTCTGGCAAAGGCCTTCTTCCTGCCTTGTAGAGATGACTTCTCATTATGTCCTCACAATGGGAGAGGCGGGGAAGCAAGCTCTCTCTTGTCTCTTCTTATTAGGGCACTAATTCCATCATGAGCGCTCCATCTTTGTAACCCAATTACTTCCTAAAGGTCCTATCTCCAAATACCATCATATTGGAGATTAAGGTTTCAGCATGTGAGTTTGTGGGGGACACAGACATTCAGTCCATGCCAGTAAGGAAGCAATTAAGAAAAAAAAAAGCTCACAATAAGAGCGATATGTCAAAGAGACACAGGAATAAACTGAAAAAGACTTCTGCAAAGCTGAAATAATTTAAGCAACAAAACAAATTAGTTGAATTATAACCCACAGTATAAATAAATATCTATACTGATGTAAATGACTATGTAAATGAATAAGTGGGGGAGAAATCTCACATGCAATAGAATTTCAAATAATTTCTGTAGATACTCTCCCCTCAAGACGGTGGAGCATAATTTCTCATTCCTTAAGTATGGGTTGTGCATAGTGACTTCCTGCCAAAGAGCACAGTATGAAAATGGGAAAAAAGATGAACTTTACAGGGGTGAAGCCTGACAACCACGACCTCAGCCAGGTGACCCAAGTTAACATGTACAGTAATAAGTTCTGTTGATAGCATGTGCCCTTAATATGATGAGGACAGCACTTTACCTCTGTGGGTTTTTCTTTCCAAAGTCCATATTCCCAGTCTAATCATGTGGTAAAATATCAAATAAATCCCAGTTGAGGAACATGCCACAAAATGCCTGACCGCTATTTCTCAAAACAGTCAAGGTCATTGAAAACTAGAAGAATCAGAGAAACAGCCAAGAGGACCTGAGGAGATAAGACGACTAATTGTAATAAGGTGTCCTGGTTGAGATCCTGGAAGAGAAAAAGCACATTAAGGTAAAAACTAAGGAAACAGAAACTATGGACTTCAGTTAATAATAACATATCCGTGATGGTTCTTTAGCTGTAGCAAATGTACCATACAAATGTAAGATGTTAAAAATAGGAAAAGCTGGGCACAAGAAGCCAAAGAAGAGCCAAGAGGAGTGCATGTTGTGAGATCTCATTTACACAAAGCTCAAAAAATAACAAAGGTAACTGATGATTTTAAAAGTCAGGATAATGATTCCATTTGGGGAGAAGGAAGAAGGTAATCATTGGGAGGGGCCCAAGGGGGTTTCTAGGGAGCTGGTGATGTTAATTTTTTTAGCTGGTTGTGGTGACATGGGCACGTTCACTTAGTGATAATTCATCTTAATGTTGTCCTTTCCAAATGGGCAAATTCATCTTCAAATAGATGAGAAGTTAATTTAAAAGATACTTTTGAATTCAATGACTATTAGCTTTAGTAAAACTGCTCTAAACAATTTTTCTATTTAATGTGTATTTTAAAAGTAAATTGTTCATCAGAAACAAGTCAAGGGTGTTTACTTTTACCACGACTAGTCAACGTTGTACTGGAAATTCTTTCTAGACAGAATAATTAGAGAGGAAAATGAAATAAAAAGCATCCAAATTGGAAAGGAAGAAGTAAAACTATCTCTATTCACAGAGAACATGATCCTATATAAGGAAAATCCCAAAGAATTCACATGAAAACTAAAGCTAACAAACAGATTCAACAAAGTTGCAGAGCACAGGATAAACACACAAAACTCACCTATGTTACTATACACCAACAATAAACAATCTGAAAAGGAAATGAAGAAAGCAATTCCATTTACGATAGCATCTAAAAGATTAAAATACTTAGGAATAAATTTAACCCAGGAGATGAATGACTTGTACAATAAAAACTATGAAACATGACTGAAAGAAAGTCAAAAGATCTAAATAAATGAAAGCACACCCAATGTTCATGGGTTTGAAGACAATACTATTAAGATGGCAATGCTTTCTAAAGTGATCTACAGATTCAATGTAATCTTTATCAAATTCCCTAGAGCCTCTTTTTTGTTTTTGCAAACTCTCAAATTCATATAGAGTTACAAAGAGCACCAAATAACCAAAACAATCTTGAAAAAGAACAGAGTTGGAGGAATCACACCTCCTAATTTCAAAATGTACTACAAAGGTACATTAATCAAAACAGTTTGGTAATGTCATAGGATAAATTAATGGGATAAAGAGTCCAGAAATAAACACAAACATCTGTGGCCCACTGGCTCTTGATAAGGATTTCAACTTCATTCAATGGGAAAAGAACAGTTTCTTCAACAAATGGTCTTGGGACAGCTGGATTTCTACATGTAAAAGAATGAAGTTGGATGCCTACCTCACACCATACACAAAAGTTAATTCAAAATGGATCAGTGACCTAAATATTAAAACCAAAGCCAAAAAAGTCTTAGAAGAAAACATAGGGGTAAATCTTCTTAACCTTAAATTTCAGAATGTATTCTTAGATATGACCTAAAAACACAAACAAAACAAGAAAAATAACATGTTGTACTTAAATTTAAAACTTTTATTCATCAAAGTACACCATCAAGAAAGAGAAACAACCTACGGAATGGGAAGTATTTGTCAAACATGCAGGTGACAAAGATTTAATATCTGGAATATAGGAATAACTGCTAAAATGCAGCAGCATCACAAACAACACAATTTAAAAAATGGGCATTTTCCCAAAAAGGATATACAAAGGACCAATAAGCACATGAAAAGATGTTCAACATTATTAGTCATTAGGGAAATGCAAATCAAACCCACAAGATATCAATACACCTCAACTAGAATTGCTAAACAAAACAAAAACAGAAAATGACAAAGGTTCAGGATGTAGAGAAATTGGAACCCTTCCTTGTGCATTGCTTGAGGAAATGTAAAATGGTGAAGTGTAGCTGCTGTGGAAAATAACTTGGTGGTTCCTCAGAAGCTAAACAAAGAGTTACCATATGTATTCGTCTTCTTGGGCTACCATGCAAAATACCACAGACTGGGTAGCTTAAACAAGATAAATTTATTTCTCACAGTTCTGGAGGCTGGGAAATCCAAGATCAAGGTGCTAGTTGATTCAATTCCCAGTAAGACCTCTCTGCCTGGCTTGCAGATGGCCACCTTCCTCCTGTGTCCTCACAAGGTGGAGAGAGAGCTCTGGTGTGTCTTCTTCTTCTTATAAGGGCACTAATCCCACTATTAGGGCCCCACCCTCACAAGCTTATTAAATCTAATTACCTTCTAAAGGCCTCATCTCCAAATGCCATCACATTGGGTGTTAGGGCTTCAACATATGGATTTTGGTGTGGCACAATTCGGTCCCTAGCACCATATGACCCAATAGTTCTACTTGTAGGTATATACACGAGAGAATTGAAAACAATGATTCTGGGTGGGCCCAGTGGCTCATGCCTGTAATCCCAGCATTTTAGGAGGCTGAAGCAGACATATCACTTGAGTTCAGGAGTGAAACCCAGTCTCTAAAAAAAAAATTTAAAAATTAGCTGGGCATAGTGGAACACACCTATAGTCCCAGCTACTCGGGAGGCTGAGGTGAGAGGATTCCTTGAGCCCGGGAGGTCACAGCTGAGTGGAGATCATGCCACTGCACTCCAGCCTGGGTGACAGAGTGAGACTCTGCCAAAAAAAAAAAAAAAAAAGAAAAAAGATTCAGTAGATGCTTGTATACCAGTATTCATTGCAGCATTATTCACAATAGTCAAAAGATGGAAACAACTCAAGTGTCCATCAAGAAATGAATAAGCAAAAGGTGGTATATACATACAACAGAATATTATTCAGCCATCAAAATGAATAAAGTTCTGACACAACGTTCAACGTGGATGAATCTTGAAACCATTGTGCCAAGTGAAATAAGCTAGACACAAAAGGACAAATGTATGATTCTACTCAAATGAAATATCTAGAATTAGGTAAATTCATCGAGAAAGAATGTGGATTAGAGGTTACTAGGGGCGGACGGTGAGGACGGGAAATGGGGAGTTATTGCTTAATGGATACAGAATTTCTGTTTGGGGTTATAAAAAGTTCTGGAAAAAGATAACGGTGATGGTTGCACAACACTGTGTATGTAATTAATACTACTGAATATACACTTAAAAATTGTTCAAATGGCAAATTTTATGTTATATATATTTTACCAAAATAAAAAAATTGTAAAAAGTTTGTATGTAAGAATTGCCTAAAGAGAGGGAAAAATAGTAAATTATCCATTATAAATTTTTATTCAGCTAAATTTGGGACCAACCCATTGCTAAATTGAATGATAGATCATATTCTCTCTCTCTTTCACACACACATACACACACACACACACACACACACACGTGATGGTTGCACAACATTGTGAATGTAAATAAAGTCCCTGAATTATATGCTTTAAATAATTAAAACAGCAAATTTTTTATGTTATCTATATTTTGCAGCAACAAAACAGAGAAATAAAAAACGTACAGATTAGGGAGATGAGAGAACTTGCAAATAAGTAACTGGTGGAAATGGGATTCAAACCCAGGTCCTTCTGATTCTATGGTCTATATTTCTTAGACACATAAGACCTAAGTTGAACGGTACAGAACTATCTTTCATCTAGAATGTTGAAGCCAAGAAGTAATAGAACAAAAGTGACCTTTACCTAAGATCATCCTGGTGGGACGGATAGGTGTGGAGACAGAGTGGACCCCAAAGATCAGCTAATACAATAATGCAAGGAAGAGAAAACTAGAGTCTAGACTGGGGATGTAGTTATGTGCATGGAGAGGAACGGGGTGAATACAAATACAGTATAAAGGAAGTAATGACAGTGCAAAGTGATAGCTGGAAAAAGACAGTGAAGGACAGAAAAAGTCTACCCTGGGAAGACAAGAGCGCTGTGCTGCTGCTGGCAGTAACGAGGTATTTGAAGAAGACTTCTCATTATCATAACATACCCAAGAATGTGTTCTCATCTCCCAACCAGATGAATATGAGTGTCACCAACAAAACTGAGCTTATTATAATTGGCTCTTGGGTACTAGATGTCTGAGAATACAAACCCCTCTACAGACTGTCTCCCTTCTATGGAGACAATGATTAAGTTAACGCATAATCAATGGGGACAGAGGAAGGGGAAAAGACAAAGGTAAGATACAAAGGATATATTTTTCTATATTTTATCAAAATTAAATCAAAGACAACGGATATTCTTACCTAATTTTATTGTCTTATCTCTCCAAGCACAAAGTGTAAAATGCTACCTGCCTTTTGCCAAGGAACCCAGGTTTTGTTGGTCTCTTTACATATAGACTATAACCTAAATATATCTAAAGACACAGGCACCTATCAGGACATGTGATTACTAATAGAGAAGGAAGAAATGTAAGGCCAGGATAGGGTAGGGATACGGGGGGAGGATTAAATTCCCACCTGCCTACATTCTCTGGTTTCAGATGCTACTTCTGCACATCTATTGCTGGAAGAGAAATCATAGTCTTCTTCCATAATGGCTGCCGCTGAAGTTAAGCTGACAAATTATCTTCCACAGCCCATGGAGAATCGGCAGAGCTATCTAGAGACACAAAGACTCTGACGCTTACGCTATACTCCTCGATTCTCACATTTTCCCCCAAGAGACTGAAACGATAGAGTTTTAGAGAAGTTGCCAGATTTATATATTCTAACGAGCAAAAAAAAAAAAAAAAAAAAAAAAAACCCAAAGCAGGTCTATTAATTCAATGAGAATATTACATCCTTATGTGTTTAATTGCCATTCCTTAGGAAGCTCAGGACTTTTTCACTACAGGAAAGGAGTATATTGAAGCTGAAAGAAGATATTGCTGAAAATAGAGCACAGAAGAGGTTTCTGATGCAAACGTCATGTAGGTATATAGTAAAACAACAGACATGCAAATATAAAGGTTTCTTGGGCTACCACAAAGCATTAGAATAATGAAATCAGTTCAAATGTTAATAACACTTAGGAAAGTCGCTAGAACTATAATGATTATATTTAATCTCACAGACTCAAAGCAGTGACTACATTAAGTGAACATCATGTTCACTGTTGCATCTCCAGTGTCTAGCACAGGTGCGTGGTAGGTGCTCAATTGAATTTGCTGAATGAATGAATAGTAATACAACTCAAGTTGGCTTTAGCGATGTTATAGAATCATTCTAACTGCATTAGGGCAAAAGATTTCACATCGGAGTAATATAGGAGGATTTTAATGTATTATTGAAAAAAATGTAGCTTCAGTGCAAAGTTGCTATGGCTGTGAATTTGAATCCAAAATAATTACACCTGTAAGCATTTTAAAGTTGCATGGTAAGTTTGAGGCTGATGTGAACTGGCTACTCATGTAATTTGAAGGGAGTGGAAAGAAATTAGAAATTACAATCTTAACTACTTCTCAAGGTTGCATCTTTCTTTCCATCTCATTCCACCTCACTTTTTTTTAGATTGGTTTTGTCCTGTCATTGTGCTTACCCAGACTGACTTGTAGGAGGGTTCCAATATTTCTGGTTTTCTTTGCCTAGATGTGGCCAAATCTCTCCAATTTTTGGTTTGCCTGACATGAGTCAGAAATATTTCAAAACTATCTTCACATACTCCATTAAGGAGTGTCTTTTATCCTGGGTCACACCTCCCATGCCCTCAGTCACAGATGGCGCAAGTGACATGATCTTTTACGGCCACACATGGTAAATGGTCATGCATGTAGGAATCCCTAGGTTAAAATACAGATTCTTGCTCAGGAGGCCCCAGGGTGGGGCCAAAATTCTGCATTCCTAACCTGCCCCGTGGTGAGGCTGGTATTGCTGGTCTACAGGCCACAAACATTGAGTAGCAGACTAGGTTTTACACATCTCATTTCTTTCAGCTGCACAAGGTGTATGAAATGCTATAATACTCAATCTCCTAGACTGAAACAATTTTGAGTCAATGACACTGCTCCTTCCCCACCTCCAGAATTTTCTTCCAAGTCTCAGCTCCAGCTGTGAGCCCAAAGACCATCCCCCACCTTGCTCGGGGCTACTCTGCAGCTCTGTGGCAGGTGGTTATCTTCCATTACCCTCCGGGATGTGAAGTTTCCCTCCTGTCTAACCCTAGTGAATTAGCAATTGTTCCCCTGTCCTGGACTGTCTTGCACTGACTATGCCAAAATCTCCCACAACTCGGATCCTATGGACCTCTATGTTTCCAGTCTCTGGAAGCTTGACCCTTGATATTGATCCATTTCATGTTTCTGCATCATTTCATAAGCTCCCTGTTAAGCTCCATCGTTCACTTGTGGTGACAATTTTGGACCTGGAATCAATCATGCTACCAGTTGTGTGAACTGGTTGCACTGCCCCTGTCCTAGTCAGAGCCATGAGAAAGACTCCCATGAATGTTGAACTTCCTGCTTCACATGCCCATACCACTTTTGCCCTCCTCCAACCTGCAGCTGGCATGGTATTTTTGAAATATGAATCTAATGACCTCTGTCTTTCTCTCCACCCAAGAAGGCAGACTATTTCCTCATTCTGTCCCTGTGCTGTTCAATGAGTTTTTCTGATCCACCCTTTAAATGTCTCAGCTTCGGGAAGGGGATTCAGCTACAACTTCTTACCTACAGCCCAGAGCCTCATCATCTCCTAGCTAAGCCTTGAGGTTACTGAGATCAATAACTCCTTCAAGGCAGCCAGGGTGTAGCTCACTGCTTTACTCAGTTCTTTCATCAATTCTAGCAACTAAGGGTTTCCCATTTTTTAGGATTCTACTATGTAGCAAAGAGGATATTTGTCATTTCCAGGAGTTTGGGCAGGGCTGTTTGCTGGCTGCCTACTCCTCTGCCTCTCCAGAACCCCCTCGCTCTCTGTCCTCATCCTACAGGCCCTCTTGCATCTCCTCCAAGGTTCAGTTCCTCATTTGATTGTTTAATGCTGGTCTTTCTCCCTACTCAAGCTTCAGATCACAAGCAAAGGTCAATTACATAAGAAGTATTCCTTAATTGCTTTCTAAGTCTAGCTTCTCTCTTACCTGTTTCCATAGTTCCCAGCTCTTCTGGCATAGCACCTGTCACAACTGTACCTAGTAATGTCTGCCTCCTCCTCTAAAACCTAAGGCAGGGGCCACAGCAGTCTTATTCCACACCGGACATAGTCCCCATAGCACAACATGGAAAATAATGAAAGCAAATGTCCAATGAGCTCTTTCTGTATGCCTTACCATGACTCCATCAGTATCCCCATTTTTCAAATAAGGAAACGGAGGGATAAAGAGATTAAACAAGTTGCGCAAGGCCCAAAGCCAGCACTCAGCAGATCTGAAATACAGTCTGGCTCCAGAACCTACTGCCTTAACCTCTATTTTGGTAATACATGGTTGCTGCTCAGTAAATTTGTGTGGAATGACTCTTCCTGAGAGTCCATGGGCTCCTGCACTCTCTGCCAAAGCCAGCCCAAAGATGCCTCATTTCTTCCTTTTGCACCACAGGTACTTCCCCAGGGATCTTCTATACATGCATTTCCTCGGTGAGGAGCCCCAGGGGCTGAAGCTCATTTGCATGGCAGAGGTGGCTGGCAAGCCCTGAGCTTGGTTACTGGTAGCTGGTCATTGGTCACTGGTCTGCCTCCTGCCCCAGGTTTTCTGTGAGAACTTACTCAAGTGATATATAGAAGGGACCTTTCAGAATGCTACAGCTACTGAGTAAGGTAGATTCTGGTCAGTCAGTCTAGGGTAGGGCCTGAAATTCTGCGTTTTAACCCCATCCCAAGTGATGCTAATGGTGCAGGTCTGCAAATTTTGAGTGGTCAGGAGCCAGAGCGACATATTCCTCTGAGCTTTCATTTCCTAGTTTATATTTGGAGCTAATCCCATCTACCTTGCAATATTAAAATAAGAATAAAAGAATGTGTATAAAGTACCTGGTCTTGTAATTGGAACAGATTAGGTGCTCAGTTAATCGTCTGGTTGCTTTTCCCATTTTATTTTTTTAAACATAAGTCAATATCCAATCTGGAAAGATTTTATCATCTGACATTATAATATTTCCACTGGGAAATTAAAACACATGCATACACACAGAGAGCTCTTAAATGATGTTTGTAAAAAAGGAATCCAATCAATGCATTTAAAATATCCATTTAATATTACGTATTATGTTAATAAGTAGTCATCTCACCCCTTTGAAACTTAAATTCACTCTCTGACCACCTAAACTCCAGATGTTCTCAGCCTGACTGTTAAAAGCTGATGATGAATCACGCTAAGAAGAAACTCTCATTGCTTCTGGGTTCTCACCATTACTGCAAATCCGTAAATTGCCCAGAACTACAGCTTTGAAGGCTGTTCGCTCGTTAAGATTTCTATTATGAATTTGTACTTAATCTTTGATCCTGACGTATCTTTAAGGCTTCCTATTTAATTCTTTACCAGATCCACCATTAAAAGCCCCGGTGAACCAGCCCTCTCCATGGCTGCTGTCCACTGCTCTCTCCTCTTTATATGTGTTTGTGTCTCCTGTCTTCCTGGGACCCCTGCTGCCTCCGCCTGTCGCTGTTCCGGGGGACTCTACAATGGACTGATTGAGGAACTTCTCTTGGTCTGGAACTCAGTTACTGACATTTTGACTGACACCAAGCATGAAAATCACATTACCCTGGTTGTATAAAACCTTCACTGGCTACCTGTAAAGTACAGGATTATGTGTAAAGTCCTAGTTATTAACTTACAAGTCCTTAAATTGACTTGGGTTTGAATACCTCAGAGACATTCTGGAACCATACATCCCCAGTCGTTTTCTTTGGTCTCACTCAATTGGATTAGTTCTTTTTGGCTGAAGACATTGAGCTACAGGGCATTTTTAATGTTTGCTCTCTACTTATGGAATTTATTAACCATGGAGGTCAGGCTGTCTTACTCTCTGTCAAGCTTTCAGTTCAAATTTAAGAGGTACCTTTTCCAGATTGTTGATTTGGTTAAATAAGCCATAAATCGATCCACCGTTGTTTAGGTTTTGGAGCACTGTTCTTCTTTGGTATTTTTGTGAATCTTCTCTAAGAGTTTGTTTGACATGTCACAATTAACTTTTATATTATTTCACTTAATAACTTTTTTTCCCCCACATGCTGGCTTGAAACACTGTCAAAGTGAATTTACTAATTAAATGCTTTGCATGACATATTACCTTTTCCCATTTGCTTCAGAAGGATGTCACAAGGACAACGAGATGTTATATGTGAAAGTACTTGGATTGTGAAATATCAGGTTTTAAGTTCAATTATGTACATATATTCACTTTATTTTGGTTATTCATCAATCACTCCACTGTTAGGGTGCTCAGATATTAATTGTTGAATGGTGAATGAACGCCAGACCCAAAGGGAACACAGGTATAGGTCATGGATTTCTTGAGCAAATTTTAATCTACCCTCTTTTAATAAGGCATAAATATGTCTAAAGTTAGCTAACAATAAAATCTTTAAAAAGCAGGCTGAGACAACATAGAAAAATATGGCACTGGATACTGCACAATTAATGGCTGAATATACTCTAAACTACAGCTCTGCAATTTCCAAGAAGAGTGGAGTTCCCTCAGGCTGGGGAAGCATGGGGGAAAAACTGGTTGTGACAGGCTGGATTTGCGTTGGAGCCACAGGGACGTGTAGCAAGGGGATAGGCAACAAAGAGGTGGGGTATTACAAGCCGACGAAATAATGGCAGGAAACAACAAATCACCATGGTTTTATTTAACTTGGAGGAGGGGCATATACATTAAACCCACTTGGCTGGAAGTTGATTCAGAGAAAAAGATAGTAAGTAGGGCTTTGTTATACATTTAAGTTACCAAATTAATACGTTTCTCTCTCTCTTCTTTTTATGAGGAGGAGATACTTCTTTCATTTTTCTGAAAGTTGCAAGACACTTGGTTGGGGTCAGAGAGATGGGGTAGGAAGGATGGGGACCTGAGGAAATTTCTTTGGGGAAGTAGAAATAGACTCAGTTGCTGGTTGTGTTTACTTTTTTGTTTTGGCTTGTGTGTTTGAGGAAAGGTTGGTGGGACCAGGGAGACAAGGCATGAGATCCAATGCTGGAATTCAATTGCTTATTTGAGCATCACTGCTGCAAACATCTAAACACATCAAACCTGCCTTAAAGGTCTCCCATATCAGTCATTGAATCCAGTTTGGGAAGAAACGTATTCTCAACGTAGTGTAAGAAAGCCTGGTCAGTTCAATCCAATCCAACTCAATTCAATTCAACGATAATTACCATGGCCTTCTGTGCTGTGTCATCATTGTTGCTGCTGTCTGGAGGTAAAGGGAGGTGGCAGAGCTTAGAATCTACTTACAAAGATAAACCTCACACCCAGGAAACATTTACTTATGCAGCTTAACATTAAGCTTCATACCCAGGAGACAGAGGCTGAGAAGTACCAAGATTAGTACTAAGTATTGTCCATTGGCGCTCCCAAAATTCAGAGCAAGGACTGAGGAGGAAAAGAAAGGATTTGGGGGCTGGGTGTGGTGGCTCACTCCTGTAATCCCAGCACTTGGGAGGCTGAGGTGGATCATGAGATCAGGAGTTGGAGACCAGCCTGGCCAATATGGTGAAACCCCGTCTCTACGAAAAATACAAAAATTAGACGGGTGTGATGGCATGCACCTGTAGTCCCAGCTACTCAGGAGGCTGAGGCAGAAGAATCCCTTGAACCGGGAGGCAGAGGTTGCAGTGAGCCAAGATCACGCCATTGCACTCCAGCCTGCACGTGACAGAGTATCGGAAAACAAAACAAAACAAAACAAAAACCCAAAAAACTGATTTGGGGAGAGAAAGTCCTGAATTGGCTCAGTGGAGTGGGAGTGTCAACACTCAAAGTGTGGTCCTTGGGCCAGCAATGCCAGCATCCCTTGGAAATTTATAAAAAATGCAGACCCCCAGGCCCCATCTCAGACCGACTAAATTAGAATCTGCATTTTGGCCGGGCATGATGGCTCACATCTGTAATCCCAGAAACTTGCGAGGCTGAGGCAGGAGAGTCACTTGAGCCCAGGAGTTCAAGACCAGCCTGGGCAATATAGTGACACACTCTCTTTACAAAATTACAAAAAAATTAGCCAGGCACAGTGGCGTATGCCTATAGTCTCACAACTTGGGAGGCTGAGGTGGAAGGACTGCTTGAGCCCAAGAGTTTGAGGATGCAGAGAGCCATGATCATGCCACTGCACTCCAGCCTAGGTGACAGAGAAAGACCCTGTCTCAAAAAAAAGAAAGAAAAGAAAAGAAAAGAAAGAAAGAGCAAGAGAAAGAGAGAGAAAGAAGGAAGGAAGGAAGGAAAAGAAAGAAAGAAAAAAAGAAAGAAAGAAAGAGAAAGAAAGAAAGAAAATAAAAAACAGTCTGCATTTTAACAAGACTCGTAAGTGGCTCATGTGCATGTCAGTGTAGGAAGCACTATGTCAGAAGACCCCAGCCCATCTGTGCAAGATAGAAAGCATCAAACAGAAACCCTGAGGAAAAGAAACTCAGGCCCTTGGGGTGCCCCAGTCGTAGCTGTGTACTCCCCAAGTCTCTCCCTCTGCCAGATCTCCTGTACTTTAATGGACCTTGCATAGAGCATCCAAGGACAGGGGTGGCTGTGAAAGCAAGGAAAGTGCCACTTAATGGCCAACTATGTTGAAATATATTCTCGAGTTTTGACAGAAATGTAGAAATATTTAGAAGGTGGGCACATGTTTGGGAGTAGGCAAGGATTGAAAATGCCCTCTCTAGCAGGTCTGGGTCTACACATAAGTGCCTGCAGGTATGGATTTGATCCATTGCTTTCAAAAGTAAAAAAAAAAAAAAAAGCCACTCACCTCCCTGTTTCTGTCATATCTGTCACATGAGTTCATGCTTGCCTGGTTTGAATTAAAGTAGATCATTATGTGGCAGGGAGAGAATAGACATTTTAATGGAATTGGCAAAACCCAAGCCACAATGTCCAGCAGAATAGGCTAGCAGTTAGCATAGCAGTTAACAGCTATGCCATGGCTTTCTTCATGTGAAAAGGGTTCCTCATGCCTAGAATCAACAGTGCAATTAAACAGCTATACAGAATATCTTACAACTCCTTCCTGCCTGCCTGCCTGCCTTCCTTCTTTCCTTCCTTCCTTCCTTTCTTCCTTCCTTCCCTCCTTCCTTCCTTCCATCTTTCTATACGCTTTAAAAAATATAACTGGTTTCCATGCAAATCAAAACCAGCTAAAAGATTGCCAAGGCCAAGATGTAACTGAAGATGGCATTTGAGCCTTTGTGTCTCCTTTGTCTCCTGAGGTATCATCATAAAATAAAAGACTTCATCAGGTAATGTTTTCTTCATTATTCAACATCACAATTCCAAAGTGAAAAAGGATAATTAGACATTCGGTGCTGTCGACACATAGTTTATGAGGAGCTTCTAGTTAATTAGTTATGGTAAAAGGTTTTTATATAGTCATGATTACTTTAGATTTCAGAGGAAAAGAAGCAAACATATATGTAATTTATTTTATCTGTTGACAAGTTTATCAAAGTGATGCTGATGTTTTGATGACCCTTCTGCAACTTCTTCAGATTTCCCAGGATAGAATGCAAAGTGTCAGGAGGGGATTTTAACAGCACAGCTCGTGTTAACTCTGATAGGAGCTACACGTCTAAAACCTTTACACATCGTCTTGCTGGATTCTGTAAGAAAATATCACCTTCTCGGTATCCTGAATTTCCTTTGACATCGATGGAAGACTTACCTATGAACTAAAGAATGGTTACAGTAATTTTGTTTAACATCTGAGATGAGCCAGCTTCATGGGAATACTTTTCCCTTGCTAATTTCTGGGGTCAGCCACTGAAGCAAAAATCATGGCAAAAATAATACTGGGAAATGTAGCATTCTATAATTTATTGGTTTAAAGCAAGTTTATCAGCACCATGAGACAGAGTGAGAAAAAAAATAGAAATTAAAAAATGTTTAATTTATAAAAACTCTCTTTGTTTTACCAGGTGTTTCTGTCAAATCTCAATCTAATTAAGAAATGAAGATAACTTCAAAGTAAGACCGATATCCTTGGTTTTGCCCTTTGTGTCAGTAGCAGTTTCAATAATGTCTTAGCTGAGGGAACAGCCAGATGACATCTGTCCTGTCCTACACCCACCTGGGTGCCCCAGAGTGCAGGTTCTCCAGTTTCCTGCAATGCCAACCCCTGAGAGACAGAATTAATCAGGTAGCAACATGCTCTTGATTGTTGATCTCCTAAGATGTCACATGGCTAATGTATGCCTGGGATACAATCAAGGTGTATGCAACTATGGGGCTAGAACGCAATTTTCCTCAATCCCAGTTGAATGCTTTATTTATTAGAACAGAAGATGGAAACCTGAGATAGAGGCTAAGAAGGCAAATGGGCTGATTTTCTACGGCACCATGCAAAATGCTAGTGTCACCTTATCCACTGAAAGTTGCCAGCTGGTCAACTCCAAGAGTTGATGGGAGGCTGGTGCTTCTCTCTACTTCTGCCATATTATCTGATGGCACAACACGTCTAGACAGATACATGGGAAATCATAACAGCTGCCATTTCTTCAGTATTCAGTGATGCTTGCACCATATTGTATACAATATGGATTTCTTTCACTTAGTCAAGGCCTTGCCACCTCTTAGATGAGTGACTTGGGACAAAACACTTAATCTGTCCAAACCTTGGTTTCCTCATATGTACAATGAGACTAAAAATAGTATTAAGACAGATAACAAATACCTGATCAGTACAATGCCAGACACACAATAAATGTTCTGTAAATATCAGCTATTGTTATTTTTACTCTGAGAATAACTCTAAGAGTTAACTACTTGCCAGACACGGTGGCTCACCCCTGTAATCCCAGCACTTTAGGAGGCTGAGGCAGGTGGATCACTTGAGGCCAGGAGTTTGAGACCAGTCTGGCCAGCATGGTGAAGCCCTATCTCTACTAAAAATACAAAAATTAGCCAGGCGTGGTGGTGTGTGCCTGTAATCCCAGCTACTTGGGAGGCTGAAGTGGGAAGATCACTTGAACCTGGGAGTTGGAGGTTGCAGTGAGCCAAGATCATGCTTCTGCACTCCAGCCTGGGCAATAGAGTGAGATTATCTTAAAAAAAAAAAAAGACTTAAATACAATTATTATCCCCATTTACCAGATGATGAAACTCAAATTTAAGGAGATTAAATCACATGGTGAATGTGTGGTAGAACTGGAATCCAAACCCATGTCCCATACCCAAGTCATTGTCTTCAATATAAATAACTGTAATAAGCCTGAACCACATCTTTCCCTTAACTCTTCCTCTTGCCACTCCATTCTGGTTGACGTACTGGATTGAAAGCTCTGGTTTCCTTCAGCTCTTTGGACTGGCTTTGTGTGGATCTGGAGGAACTACAAGTCTAGTCTGTATATCCCTGCATTGTTTGCTTCAACTTGCCTGGCTTTAAATCCTTCCTAATTTATTTTCTTCTACTTAAAGGTAGGTGAGGGGAGGAAGAGCACCTAACTGGGACTTCCCAGACATGCTTGTTTTCCTCGCCCACCTGACTGGTCTTTTGTGATGAATGGCAAGGCTTTCACTGCTATGTCTTATTTTTGTTTTTCTCTATAATCCTCCCTGCATGGTTTCTGTTTCCAACATTATTCTCCAGAATGGTAACATATTTTTCTTGGAAAAGTCAGTTAGAGACCTCCTCATTTTCCCAGCCAGAGAAAAATCAGTCTGAGTATTCAGCACCTCCAATATCCCATCTACTTTTTTAAGTGAACTAAAAAGGGTAATAAATTATTAGTCTAGGTTTCAAGTTTGCCAAATGCAATTCTACAGTATGCTGAAATATTATATAAGAATCATATTAGCAAACTATGGTTTTCATAGCCGAAGTGAAGAAAGTGACTAAGTAAATTATATTTGACTGGGGGCATGGAGGGCCTGAATAGGTAAGATCAAATAGTTACTGGGTTGTCATTAATGTGATTCTTATCCTGCATGCTTATTTCCACCCTAAATCTAAACATATGAGTTATGCCCCAGACATGAAATTATGACACAGAGTTATGCCCGAGAAAAGAGCAGCCATCTTTAACCTTATTTCTTTGAGATGATGAAGACAATATTTACTATTTCTATGTTTTTTTTGTTTGTTTTTTTGAGACCAGGTCTCATTCTGTCAACCAGGCTAGAGTGCAGTGGTGTGATTGCAGCTCACCATGGTCTTGACCTCTGGGGCTCAGGGGATCCTCCAGCCACAGCCTCTTGAGTAACTGGGACTGCTGGTGCACACTGGGTTAATTTTTAAAGTATTTGTAGAGAAGGGGTCTCCCTATGTTGCTCAGGTCAGTCTCAAACTCCTGGGCTCAAGTGAGTTGAGCTCAGGCTCCCACCCCGGCCTTTCAAGGTGCTAAAATTATAAACATGGACCACCTCACCCTGCCTATTTCTAGGTATGTTTAATGAGAATACTTTTAGCTGCAATTGTAATCACTACTAGTCATCTTGCAATCTAGGAAACAAACATAGATTTAGAATGACAAAATAATGCTTGGAAATAACCTCCCACAATTTGTCCCTTCTAAAGGAAATTTAAAAAGATTTCATATATTTAAGGTGAATGGTTTCTAAAATTTGTGATACTGCAGGTCCAGTTAATATCTTAAGCTGACTTATATAGCATACCATAATATTCAAAGTTCCTGGATAAATAGTTCTCAAGTGTGTTAATTAATTCTCAATTAATTATGTTAATTTATACTAATTTCTAATGTAATTACAAAATTGGAGATTAACCTGGAAATTTGGAGGAGCAGTGTTTCTATTAACTAAACAGGAATACATTATACAGGCAAGAGCGAGGCAGGTTCTTTTTATTTTGTTTGGCTAGTTTGATGCCTACGAAGTACAATATAATCTGAAAACATCTAACTTCAGTATCTAATCCACCTGCAAAATTGTGGAATCAGCTCCAACATTCCCTTCACTCCCACCTGTATTTTTTGTCTTCAACATTCCTGAAATTTTCAGAAGCTGTTATTAGCAATGAGAAGATCATCTCTAGCCCTAAGAGGAAAAATAAGACTAAGTCCTTCTAAAGCATTTTGTCAGTGTCTGCCTAGGCTGTTGAAAAGCCACAAAATTGCTAGACCTGTTGACTACTGAAGGAGACTAAGAAAGTATGAGTAATCATTGTTTGCTGAACCCAAACTATAGACTCTAAAGGATGTGCTTATTGTGACTGTGGCTTAAATTACAAGGACCACTAACCTGCAAAGGTTCAAATAGATGTAAGAGAAAACTGGGGTGGCTGTTGGAGATGATAAGCAATGCCATTGTTAATGATTGTACTAAGCAGGGGTGTCTGCCCTGATTTTATGATGTATTGCTGCATTTTGCACACTAAATGGCATTTATAGAGCTTGAGGGGCTAAATTTCTCTATGACTTACTGATGATATTTACCATTTAGTCAATCAGTTAATAACGTGTGTGTGTGTGTGTGTGTGTGTGTGTGTGTGTGTGGACTGTCCATCCCAGGCTCTGTGCTAAATCTTGATTATATAGGGATAAAAAAGTAAAATCCCAGCACTCAAGAAGCTCTCACCCAAACAGAGGTGATGGATGTCTCATAGTTTTCTCAACAGAAAATTACTGCTTAGAGAACACAAGCTATCAGCAATGGGGAAAAAAAAATAAAAAAATAAAAAACTACGAGGAAGAATTGGAGGAATCAAAAGAATGGAGCACTTTGAGCATATGACTCATGGAGCAACAATTTCCAACTCAGTTCACATTACTGACCCATCCTAGACTCATGGACAGAAGTGTTTTGTGGGTTCACATAGGGTGGAATAATTCATCTCATTCCGAAGCTGTAAGGAAGGGGTCACTTTTGCCTCCTTCGCCTCGAGGCTGCAGAAAAAATATTTCCCCATGAGCTAGTAAAGAAGAAGCCACTGGGAATTTGATGTAATCCTTATTTCCCCCTCTAAAAGGCTTGTTGACTTTTATTTGGTTCTAACCCTACTTTTAACTCCTAATGAAAACAAATGTTCTTCTGAGGTAGTGCACCCATGGACTTGGGATGCTGGGAAGAATAACAAACAAATGTTTCTGAAGTGCTTTAAACATCCAAAATGAAATTTGCCACATTAAAGCCAAGTGTTATTAATGGCAGGAATTGCCAACGTGCTAAGAACAAAGCAAAGTGCCAAGCACTTCTCATTCATCTTATCCTTTTCAATTTATTGTGCTTTTCTTTAATGGTAAAACTGATCTTGTTATAAATTATTCGTCATAAACTACTTGGTTAAAATCTTATGACTGTTCATTTGCGTAAACCATGAGGTAGATTTCTGCTGTAATTCATAGTGAGCTATAATTCATTTACTATTAACATCCAAATAAGGGCTATAAACCAAAAGAAGAAAATGAGTGATGGTTGCATTCCAAGATATATTAAAGAACGAAATGTTATTTTCAGTACATTGGGATTAACTATTATTTGCAAACTCCACCACTTTGTGGCCCTCTGTCTCAAGACAGAAAGTGCAAAAACACATGATTAATCCCAACATGTTGCTTATTAACATTAATCTAGATTAGTGTCTCCCAACCCTAGTTTGTTTCAACTGCAGGACATTTCCATCTACTTCAAGAGATTTTATGGAATTCTTTCAAATTCCTAAAACAAAATTAATTTTAATTTACAGTAATGTTAAGAATAAATATATGCCATATGGCAGATTAAGGGAGAAAAAATACTGGAAAATCATACTAACAACTCAGAGAAAGATTCCAAATCATTAGCCAACTTGAGGATTCAGATAACACTTCTTAAGCCACAAACTTTCAGTAAACCGGAATGTAGTTCTAGAAACCAAGAAAAATATTACTGAGTTTTAAGTCCTCATGCTACATATTGAGGTCTCTTGACAGAACACTTTTTTTTATACCACACAGATTTCTAGTTTCGAAAACATCTACAAATTTCCTTGTTCTTTCACAGTTTAGGTAAAGATAATGTTTTTCCCTCTACTACTGTTTCATGGTTGATCATACACTTCTGCACGTGGTGTCTTCATTGATAAATGATGCTGGGGATATGTCTGGCCATGGAGAAAGAGAACTGAAGAGGCTATCTTAGTGAATGATCTTCCCTAAACTAAATCTCAAGTAGAATAAGGTTCTATGACACCACTGAGAGTTTACTATTAGCACTTGGGGAGAAATGGGTCATGGAAACAGCTGCTACTTTGTTCTTGCCTCCCCAGCCCCAGTGCCACCTATAGACACTAAACAATGCATGGCCTTGGAGTCACTCTGTCTCGCTCCCAAGTAGAGGGAGGCATGGTCAGGAGCCAGTGGTGGAAGTGATAAAAGAAAATTAGTGGTTCACCATAAACGGAATTGAAAGTAAGCCGTGTGGGTAGTGAGCGCCTGGGAAAACTGGGTGAGTGGGCAGGTAGACCAGGTAGATGGAAACTGGAACACTCATGATGGAGCAGTTTGAAATGACACCTACTGAGGGAGGCATCTGAAACCCAAAAGGAGATCCAGAGAGAGGCTCGCTCACTCTTTTAAAAAGACCAGCCCTTATACTCAAATTAAACACAAAGATATTGTGCTCGTTATGTCATTCAGGGGACTGAAGAGTAATTATAATGTCATTCAGGGGACTGAAGAGTATTTTTCTAAACCAAAATTTCTTCCCCATTTGTGATAATATGAACCTAACTCGTATTCTGGTTTTAATACTTGTTCAGAAGAATGCTATTGGAAATAATCGTTTACTATTTTGAGCATATATCTAATTTTTAGTATACTTCCAATGAAGTGAATTTACTGAAAGCATCATTATAAAAATAGCTAAGGAAGCTATTAATAATTTGGGAATTCTGAAATTTTAGATCTACCTACTGAAGAATTACACCAAACTTATATTTAACTCACTGACCCTAATATTAGTAAAATGCAAATCAGGATACATATGATGTTTCATGCTCTTGGGCTATTTTCTGAATCTCTTCCTGCAAGTGGCAGACACAAAAAAATATAAACAGACTTTGAAGGGGTTTCTGGTCCCTGTGTGATGGCCAAGAATTTTACAACTATTTTTAGTTGGTTCAGGAATAGTTGTTCATCCAACGACTTTTGTAAAACTCTTCAGTAGACTAGGATCTTGGCCTCCAAGAAGTCACAGTTCAGTGTAATAAATAAATATGCCAGCAAATAAGGTTAATACAATATGGTAGAGGGCTGCAAACAAGGTATGTACACAAAACTCTAGATGCTCATGGAAGGGAGTGATAGGCTCTTTCTAGGGGAGATGGGGAAACATTCTCACAAAAGACAGTCTTTAGATTCCTAAATGAAGAACAGGAGTGACCAAGTATAAGAGAGGGGCATGGAAGGCCAAGGGAAAAGCAAATGAAAAGGCACAAAGGTATGAAATGCGTTCTCTGGGGAAGAGGGAGGGGAAACACATGCCTGGGCATGTGTTTGACCAACAAGCAGAAACAAGGGCAGGGGTACAACATGGAAGGGTAGATGTAAAGCGGAAAAGTTCTGGGGAAGAAAAAAGCTCTTAAAATGCAAACGTGTCCAGGAAAACAATATTGGACTTGGCAACCATTCTAGCCTTGTACTTATTCCCAATTCTGAAGCTTCTAGTAAGTAGTTTATTCAAGGGATACTAACCAAATAATAGAAATCAGCAAGAAAATATATCTTTCTCTCTAGAAACATGCTTTACAGTTTATTTGCTGTATCACACTCATTTATACTGAACTCATGGCTTAGTTTTAATATTGGAAAATACTTACTAAAAAAAAACTAGAAAGGATTTGTGCCCTGATTGTTAGGAAGTGCCAGATTCCTACAATTCTATTGGAAAATTAAAAGACTTCAAGTGTACAAATTTAATAAAACCACCATCCACATTCACAACTGAACACTTTCCAATGAGACCACATTTTCACCTCCTGCGTTTCCCCTAGCTATAATCCTCCCAACTCTACTAAGAAGCTGCTGGGAAGTATGCCTATCATGAAAATTGCTCAATTTTCATAATGATCTCTGAATCATAATGGAAATCTTGGTAGTTAAGTGCCTCCAATAACATAAAAACTCCTCCCAGCCCTTAAACAGGTGGTAGAAAGAAGTCAGAAATGACTCTTAAAATGGTCTTTTTTTATCCATTTAAATTTCAGTATATCGGGCAGCATTAAGAAATGTTTTTAAATATAGAGGATGATTACATAGGTTTTCTGTATGATAATATTGTAAGAGAGATAGCTAAATGCCTGGATTAAAATCCTGGATCCATCACTTATGAGCTCTGTGATCTTGGGCAAGTTCTTGGGCAACTGACGCCTCTCTGTGCGTCAGATTCTATAAAATGCATGCAACAATAGTACCTACTAAATAGGGTTATTATAAGTATGTGGAGTATCTTCTCTTTGCTCCTTTAGTTCCACTTCCAACCTTTCTCCAACCTGCTTCTGTACCCTGGGAGGCCGACCTGTACAAGAGGCATCAATGAGCTTTCTGCTCTCCGGCTTTCTGTTGGGTTTGGCTAATGACAGTATGGGCAGGAGAGCCAGGGGGAGGAGGACAGTGAGGTCAGGGTGATTATTCCCCTTGTTCCCTGCCTGTTAGGTTGCCATGGGTTGTCTGCCACCCAGTGCTCCTGCCAAGCAGCCTCTAGGAAGAGGCTCTCTCTAGGTACCTCCAACCACTCCCTCTCCGAGGCCCTTCAGGCAGGCCCTGGGGTGGTATAGGCTCCCTGCTGCTGTGAGCCAGGGTGTTGCACAATCCCCTATTGCATTTTCTAAATCCCACTCACACCTTTGTAAATATTCCTTGTATTCAATTCGCTTCAATTTATCCAATTTGAGCGTGCCATCTGTTTCCTGCCAGGATCTGGACTAATAGAATGAGTTTCTCTTTGTAAAGCACTTAGAATAATAGCTGGCACATGGTAAGCACTATATAAGTATTTGCTAAACAAACAAAATAAATGAGATTTAGAAACTTTTTTGTAGTCGACATTAAACATATCTTTCTGTATTCTGTCATACAAAGCAAAAATCTTCAGAAGCTTTTTCCCAAATACAACTCTCTTCTCTTCAGTAGGCTTTTTGTATATGGAATAACCATCATTCTATTTTTAATCATGTTTGTAGTGCTTTGGTTGAAAAAATTCTGGTAAGCAAAATATTATTAAAGTTTTTTATTCGGTAGGAGCCGATGGGGAATTTATATAACTATATTCATTATAATCGTTATGTATATTTTCCCATTTTAATACTTTGTTGTCCTTTATGTACCTTTTAGCACATGTACAGTATTGTCTCCTTTGATGTTTTAAAACCATTTGGATTGTAGACATGTATGTTTTTCACTCAAACCGTCACATAAAACAGCATTTCACACTTTAAATGTATCCGGTAAAAACTAGAGGCTTGTTGCTTTTCTGGGTGAAAAACAAGAGATTTTTCATGCTGGTTCCACTTTTTCCATCCTCATTTCTTGAATCTAAAGTTCTGAATGTCCTCCTCACCCCCATTTGATCCCAGGATATTTTTCTGTTTTGTGTACTACCATTTTTAAGGTCACTTAAACCAGACAGCAGCAGCGGCCTTCTAGTTTGAGCTCTTGTTTACTTACTTCTGTTTTGACAAGGGGTTACCTCAGATTCGTCTTAGCAGTAACATCTCCATTATTTAAAAATTCTAATTCATTTCCTAATATTTTGGTATGGGGCCTCGAGTAAGCTGTGAAAAAGACAGTCTGAGACTTTATGGATTTGTGAGTCTCCTTTCTTTTGCATTTATGTGTGAATGACAGCTTCCCTAAGTGGGGTATCCCAAGGTCTCCCACTATTTTCCTAAGCTTTCCAGAGATGTGAGTCCAGCATCTTGTAATGATTGCTATAGCAGAATATGATAAATGTGGTCTGGTTTTTACCATTTTGATGTTAAGTAAGGTTGGTGGCTAGAAGACCATCATATAAAAATTGTTTTTTTTTTTAAACTCCAGAAACAAACACTTGGAAAATATAAACTTATTTTTAAAAGGTACTATTTATAAAGCAACTAAAAATATAAGATATCTAGGAATAAGTTTACCAAAGATTATTAAATCTTATTGAAATACATTTAAAATGACCTAAATAAATGGACAAATTGCACAATCATGAATAGGAACAGGGAGACTCAGTACTATAAAGGTGTTGATTCTCTTTCCTAAAATCTACGTATTCACTGTAACTGGGACAATCATTTATCCCTATGGAAAAAAATTCATATTTCACACTGTACATAATAAAGTCAATGTAGATTCAAGATCTAAATATGAGAGGAAAATGTTAAGACTTTTAGAATAAAATAAAGTAGAACATCTTTATTACCTTATGGTAGGAAAGGATTGCTTAAGTCAGATGAAAAAAATCACAAAGCACACAGAAAAATAATCAATATGACACATTAAAATTAAAGACTTTCGTTGACCAAAAAACACCATTTAAAAGTAAAAAACAAAAACAAAAACAAAAAACCAGAGACTAGGAGAAGGTATTCCCAAAACATCTAACTGACAAGGATGAATAAAGAACTCAGTCAGAAAAAAGACAATTCAATAGAAAAATGGACAAAAGACAGGAACAGACATGTCACAGAAAAAATATGGATGACTAACAAACAGAAAGGTGATCGATCTCATTAGAGTCAAGGGGCCGGGCGCGGTGGCTCACGCCTGTAATCCCAGCACTTTGGGAGGCCGAGGCAGGCGGATCATGAAGTCAGGAGATCAAGACCATCCTGGCTAACACGGTGAAACCACGTCTCTACTACAAATACAAAAAATTAGCTGGGCGTGGTGTCGGGCGCCTGTAGTCCCAGCTACTTGGGAGGCTGAGACAGCAGAATGGCATGAACCCAGGAGGTGGAGCTTGCAGTGAGCCGAGATCGTACCACTACACTCCAGCCTGGGCGACAGAGCAAGACTCCGTCCCAAAAAAAAAAAAAAAAAAAAAAAGTCAATATAGTGGTTACAATGTGGGGGTGTGTAGAGAAAAGTAAAATCAGAGAAGGGTAAACGGCTGAGTGTCCAACAGTATTTGGTAATGTTCCCTCCCTTCCTTCGTCCCTCCCTCTCTTCCTCCCTGCCTCCCTCCCTCCCTCCCTTCCTTCCTTCCTCCTCCCCACCACTTACCTTGCTTCCCTCCTTTCCCTTCCTTTCTCTCTTTCTCTCTTTCTTTCTCCTTCCTTCCTTCCTCTTTCTTTTTCTTTCTTTCCTTCCTTCCTTCTTTCTTTCTTTCCTTCCCTCCCTCCCTCTCTCTCTTTCTTTTTCTCTTTCTTTCTTTTTCTTTCTCTTTCTTTCTTTCTTTTTCTTTCCTTCTCTCCTTCTGTCCTTCTCTCCTTCTTTCCTTCTTTCTTTTCTCTTTCCATGGTCTCACTGTGTTGCCCAGGCTGGAGTTCAGTGGCTATTCTCTGCCTTGATCATAGCCAGCCTCAAACTCCTGGCTCAAGACATCTTCCCACCTCAGCCTCCCAAGTAGCTGGGATTACAGGTGTGTGCCACCACACCCAGCTTGCTTTATTTCTTAAACCAGGTGGAGCATACACAAGTGTTTGACATATTATTTTTAGATTGTTCATGATATATGAAATATTTAGAAATAAACTTAAAATGATTCAAACATAAAATTTAAAAAGGAATCTAAAGTTTTTCTCTTTAAAAGTTGAAAACTCTCGCCAGGCGTGGTGGCTCACGCCTGTAATCCCAACACTTTGGGAGGCCGAGGCAGGCAGATCATGAAGTCAGGAGATCAAGACCATCCTGGCTAACACAGTGAAATCCCGTCTCTACTAAAAATACACAAAATTAGCCAGGCATGGTGGCGGGCGCCTGTAGTCCCAGCTACTTGGGAGGCTGAGGCAGGAGAATGGCGTGAACCCAGGAGGCGGAGCTTGCAGTGAGCTGAGATTGCACCACTGCACTCCAGCCTGGGTGACAGAGCGAGACTCCGTCTCAAAAAAAAAAAAAAAAAAGTTGAAAACTCTCATGTCTCAGTTATAAGTGTCTAAGGATATTTCTTGGTTTATGATATTACTTTTTTTCAGTTCTGAAGAGTGTTACTCTGGTGTGATTTGATCTTTTTGTACTTTTGCTATTTGTTCGATCTCCAGAACATTTTTCACACAATTTGGATATCCTTGTTATTATCTTCTATATCAATTATCTTTGAATTTTTTATTTCTACCACATATATATCTGAAATCTAAAATTACATTTTAAAGTAGACTCACTTCTGCTAATATACATTTATCATGTATATTACATCTTCCTCAATATTTTTTCTATTCCATTCTCTGTCTCTTTTCTTTCTGAAACTTAGTTATATGTATGCTAGATC
The DNA here is from genome assembly GCF_000001405.40 of Homo sapiens. Classification (NCBI taxonomy): domain Eukaryota; kingdom Metazoa; phylum Chordata; class Mammalia; order Primates; family Hominidae; genus Homo; species Homo sapiens. Next base: position 118,366,344 of record NC_000010.11, on the reverse strand, counting down.
TTTCAGTATTGTCCCACAAGTCCCTGAAGCTCTGCTCATTTTTCCCAGTATTTTTCCTCTATATTCTTTAGATAGAATTAGTTATATTGATCTGTCTTCAAATTCTCTCGGTTTTTCTTCAGTCATTTCCATTTACTGTCAGGCCCATATGGCAACATTTATTTCAAATATTTTATTACAGTTTTTGGTCTTAGAATTTTTATTTGATCATTTTAATAGTTTCTAGTTCTCTGAGATTTTGTATTTGTTAATTCTTTACAAACCTATTTTCCTTTACATTCATGAGCATAGTTAAAATAGCTGATTTAAAATTTTTGTCTGCTAATTATTTATCTGAGTGTCAGTCTGCATTGATTGTTTTTGGCTTACATTTTCTTTTTTTCTTCATATGCCTAGTATTTTAGATATTATCCAGAAAACTGTGAATGATATGTTGCAGAGCCTCTGGGTTCTGTTATATTCCTCTGAAGAGTGATGATTTGTTTTAAGCAGGCAGCTAATTTAACTACTTCAAACTGTAAACTGTCTCCAGTGCACAGCAACAGAAATCTCTGTTTGGTTCTTCTAGCCTTAGCTGGGCTATTTGCACACATGGTTCATGAGTCAGCCAATGACTTGTGCAGAGTTTATACATAGAACATGTTACTTCCCCCTCTTTGGCTCTCATTTTTCCAAGATTTCCCCCTTCTCACTTTCTGGTTGCTATAATCACCATGAACCCTGTCTCCTGGCTCTTCATGCCAGTAAGACTACAGATTTTCTATTCATGTTTTAGTAACCTTTATTTGGCATGGATTGGGACCGGCTTTCCAGCAAAGAGCTGTAATAATGGGAACTTTCCCACTGTCATCTCCTTCTTCCATATGCAGATTCCCCTCCATTGTCTGCCTGCTTGGCTTCTCTTCAGTGCCTCTGGATAGCTGCTTTTTGTATTTTGTCCAAAACCCATAGTTGTTATGTGCAGGAGGATTACAGAAGCCATAGCTTATTTCATTTCTAGTTTGAGTTTGTTTGTTTCCCATGGTTTTTTTTTTTTTCTTCTCCATTATTTATTACTTTTTCCTCTCTGTGTCCCAGGGCAGCTCTTCTGGTGCCTAGAGTCTCACAACCTCTCCTGAAAACAGCCCCAACAGACTTCATCATTCTAATCACAGAGGCTCAAATCAAATCCAAGGGGCCAGACAGGGGATGAGGATATGCTATCAATGTCCTTGTCTTAGTTTTATTTGAAAGCAGCATAGTTTATAGATCGGCAGCCTTTTATTCAATTCAGCAAATATTTGCAGAGTGTGTATAGGGTACAAGGCTCTGTTTTAGGCCTTTTGGATACATTGATAAGCAAAACAGTCAGGGATCTTTGCCCTTGGGGAGTTAAAATTCTAAAGAAGGACACACACAATAAACAATAGACATAATAAATATTATAGTATGTGGTATACAAGGCAGTAATGTCCCAACTTCATCCTCATCCCCAAAGCAGTTTTGATTGTTTGAAATCAGTCATTCCCAACATCTTTATCTCTCTTCACTCTGTTGAGTTGTTAGAGTTGTCTTCCCAGAACTGAGAAATAGGCCGTGAATCCTGAAGGAAAAGCTCTCTGCCTCAGCTGCTTCAGTGATTCAATTTCACCACTGGATGGGGGAAAAAATGGAAGGAGCTAAAGAGGAATCCTAAAGGGACAGAGGGCAAAGGAAAAACCACAGTAGATGTATTCCTAAATTCAGCCTACTTTCCACTCCCATGTGACCTCTATTTTACTTTTAGTGCAAGGATCATACAATCAGGTAGAGTAGTTTCATCACTCTGGTAGTATTGTTCCTAGAAACTGAGAAAGTATTTTTTGTGGGGGCACAGATTATTTGTGTGTGTGTGTGTGTGTGTGTGTGTGTGTGTGTATTCTACTTGCCTTAATACTTGTATGTTTCATATATGTTATATGTAATATATATGTGTATGTATTTTACTCGCATTAATACATATATCTTTTTCATGTATTACATGTATATATGTATGTATGGGTGTATCTATTATAGGCCTTCAACAAGCCGTTTCATGTTAATTATTTTCTTATTTTCTCATGCTTTGACATTTTGGAGACTTGCTGATCATGGACAGCCTGCCCCTTCCAGAGGTAGTCAATACCTAGAGATAGTAAACACCTCCCCTGGAGTGAACCTTTCATATACAAACCAACCAATCCAGCGCCCATACCCTCAACCACCTCCTTTATCAAGCTCCTCCTCTGAGGGACACTATCCCCCTGCCCCACTTACCCTAGGGCCAGGTATCAGGAGACTTGGGGTGGTTCCTGTACCTCAGAACCTGGGGAAATTATCCGAACTAGCCCATCCTAACTGCCTACCCTGCTTGTCTTTCTTGCAGAAACTTCAATAAAGGCTCCTGCCCACGTTTCCCCCTCACTTCCTTTGCCTTCTGCCCGAAGGTGTACCCTGCCTCCTGGTGTACCCTGCCTCCTGTTTCTAGAGATACGTGAATAAAACTTCCTCCTTCATGACAGTTATTCTTGTGTCCATGTATCTCAGCATACTTGATTAAAACAAATTCCAGGTACATTTTAAAACACACTGTTAAAGCCTTTTGGAGGTACAGTGTCCTCAGTATGACAAATTTTACATATATGTACACCATCATCATTGTCATTGCTCACATTCAATAAGTTTACTATGGTCCAAGCATTGTGCTAGGTACTTTGGGGTATTTAATCCTCATGATAATCCCTCAAAGTAGATGCTCTTATTACTCCCACTTTACAGATGAAAAACTGAGGTGTAAAGAGGTTAACTCACCCAAGTTGGAACTAGGATTTAAACTCAGTTCTGCTTAACAAAGTCATTATTCTTAACAGAAGGTCAGCGCACATTTTTTGCAAAAGGCCAGATAGCAAATATTTCAGGACTTGTAGGACTTATGATCTCTGTTGCACCCACTCATCTCTGCTGCTGCTGTAGTGCAAATGCAGTCATAGATTATGCATAAATTAAGGGGCATGACGCTGTTCTGGTAAAACTTTATTTGTAAAAATAGGTGGGGGGCTGGGATTTGTGTGTCAGTTTGGCCCCTGCTCTTATCCACTTGGCTTCACTGTCTCCATGATGGCAAAGATTCTGATTAAAACTGAACACTCTTCTTCTCTCCCACTTCATAACAGTGCTCAGCAGAGGCAAGTCACTGGACCACTCTGGGCCTCAATCCCTCCTTTAGTTCTTCACTGTGAACTTCAATCCCTTAGATCTCAGTGGGAAGAGGAACTTGACCTATACTGCAGCTCTGAACTTTATAATTCTGAATTTTCAAGAACTGAGCTCAGCCACAAGGAGTTGTGTACCATCGTAGAAAAGGGAAGAGTATGTCAATGTCCACAAGGGTGGCTCCGTCCGTCTAAAGGAGACATGCAGATGAAAATTGTGAAAGAGCCTTCTCTTACTTCTTTCATCTCCAAAACAGTACACTAAATGGTCTACCATGCTGTAGCCAATGGGTGGACAAGTCAGAAATTCTGTTTAGGGGAACGAGCATGCTTAGTGAATTTTAGTATGCATCAGGCACAATGCAAGGCATGTGAAAACCCTTATTTCACCCACAATATCCCTATGGAGGTAGGTGTGGTAGTTTAGGGGTAAAGGAGGAGAACCGAGAGGATGTCAATATCCAGAGGATTGCAAGCAAGGTCCTCTCTGGACAATGCCTCATTTGGGAACCTGGCAGATCCAGAAACTAGCTATCATTAGTATGTCCAGTGGTGACAAACTCAATTACTAAATGAATAGGCCATCTGTTCTGACACATTGGTCAGAGTATCAATGTATTTATTTGTCTGGGAGTATTCATACCTAATGTGGAGTTGGTTCAACAAGCATTTCTTGAACACCTAATATGTGCTAAGGCCATGGAAACAAAGATATAGAAGAGGACATAGTCTTTGCACTGAAGGAACTTTCAGAGTGTCAATGCTTGCTGCTGAGGAATATGATGAGTGCTGGGGGGGATGGTGAGTCAGGGACAATCTGAAAGTGAGTCACACCCCAGTACAGACCTACTTGCTGGGGCACTCTCATCTAGAGCCTACCTATGGGATAGACGGAAAGACACTGAACTGGCTGCCCAGGATTATCTATAGCCTTTGCTCTGCTCCATCTTCTTATGAGACATTGAACACTAATGATAATGGCTCATATATCTTGATGCCCAGGGCACTGTTTGCTAAGTACCTTACATACATGACCTGGCAAACCGAATATGAATTCCTGAGTGTGATAGTGTAGGCCTCCTATCATTGAGCCCTAATATTACATGCTAGCTTTTTCTGCTCTATATGCATCCTAACCTGCAGCCATACTGCATTGTTTTCCATTAATTTCATGTTTCAGCTTTAGCTGATATGATACCTTCCACCTGGATTGCCTTCCCCCACTCAGTCTGTCATTAAGCTGGCCATCTTTCCATGCCTAGCTCACACGCTCACTCTTCCTTGAAAATTTTCTTTGACAGGGGTTTCTCTTCTGAACTCTTATAAAACTTTGCATCTCACTCAATGGCACTTAAATCCCTTTTTAAAAAAATCAACACTATTGGTTCTGATTATAAAGGTAAAACACTGCTCAATGGAAATGACTCAAACAATAATGGTGAAATTTTGGTAAAAACATCACACTCCTCTCATTTCAAGTTCCTCAAAGACAAGACTGTGTTTAATTCATCTTTATATCCCCTGGAATCTGCCCACTTTAGTGCCAGACTGTCTACACCAGTCTTCATTCATAGTAAGAATTACATAAGTATTTATTTATTTGAATGAATGAATTATACTTAGGACTTTTATTGCTAAACCTAGAGCTGATTTTAAAAATTTATGTGAGGTTTATGATTAATGATGCTATTAACATGTCTTTACTTCCAATATTATAATATCTCTTCTCTAAAAAATTACTGATACAATTATTTTGTTGCCAAATTAATGCAACACCTGTACTTTCTTGGAGTGTCAGGCCAAATCCATCTCGATCATTTGTTATTACTGGAAAGTCTATTGCCTCTATCTTCAGACCACTTTAGAGATGAATTACTTAATTCATGCTGAGAACATTTCAGTACTTCGGGTTGTTCACCTTTCAAAGCTCCTCAGGTATCTGCAAGAATTTGTAGTTAAAATATTCCAGGGTTGTAGGTCTTAACTTCATTGCAAATTGACTACACATTTTTATCATTAAATCATAAGCATCAGGTGACTTTCACATTTCTGCTGAAGGCATGTTTCTTATTAGGCTAAAGCTGTTCATTCTGTACAATTAACGGTTCATAGCACACTAAGGAACATTTATTAATTTTCATTTTACTTGTTTTTTGAAGGTTATGGGGGTTAAGGGTTCTAAGTTAGACTTATTGAAATTTTAAAAGGTGTAAATAGGTAAATATTATGGTCCTTGAAAAAGTGAGATATTTCCCCTTTAAGCATGTGATTAATATTACTAATAAAAATGTCATCAGCCTTCCCTGCCAGGGGGATGCAGTTAGAAAGACATTTTGTATGTACGTGTGTGGTTTGCTTTCCATATCTAATATGACATTTTGAGAGACAACTTAATGTAACAAAATTACTTTTAAAAATAGATTCTCGATGCTTTGTTGTTCTTATTCAATAATTCCAAAGAAAAATTGTATCTTCCTGTACATTTACTTAAGATTTTGCCTGACTACATTTGGTAGCTTATATCAGTGTTTGAGACATAAGAATTTTGTCTCTCTCATCAGATCATGCAACATGAATACAATTCTTGTTGAAGATTGAATTTCTGGAAAGCAGCCCTCCTTCCTATGCTTTTGTGGATAGATCATTTATCTTATACTTAAATTTGGTTTCCTTCATAAGCTAGTTTCTTAAATTATTTCTTATGCTACTATTCATAGTATATGGCATTGGTTATATATACTACACTAATTTTGGCATAGATCAAGCAGTACTTTTTAAATAGCCATATTGAGATATAACTGGCATACCATTATAGTTCACACATTTAATGAGCACGATTCAGTCAGTGGTTTTTAGTCTATTCACAGGGTTGTGTAATCATCACAACCATCTAATTTTAAAACATTTTTGTCACCCCCAAAAGAACTCCCATGCCCATTAGCAGTCACTTCTCATCAGCCCTAAGCAACCACTAATCTACATATTTTTTTTGAGACAGAGTCTTGCTCTGTTGCCCAGCATGGAGTGCAGTGGCATGATCTCAGCTCACTGCAACCTCTGCCTCCTGGGTTCAAGCTATCCTCCTGCCTCAGCCTCCCTAGTAGCTGGGACTACAGGTGCACACCACCACACCCAGCTAATTCTACTTTCTATCTTCATAGATTAAGCAACATTTTAGCAACACATCTTAATTGTCTCAAAGTTTTGGTGATTTCATGACCTTATTAAAACTAATATATTCAACATAATATTCAGGTATATAATGACATTTTTCATCTTTGTACAATTTTTATCTTTAAAATGAAGCATCTGGTTTGTCACAATTTCAAATCCATAGTTAAATGGCAGGAATGTTAGGTTTGCCTGTGCTGCCTTTCTGCTTGGTTGGTACTTTAAGAGCTTTACATTTGCACCTACAAAAATGCAGAAATGTTAAGTTAGAAATATGGTGAATATTTGAATGGTTAGCATGAAACATACTCACAACAGAATAGCTGAGGCAACTGTATCGTCCTTCCTTTTTATTCTTCAGTTTCTTCTCCCTGCCTCCCAATACATAAACACTCACACACACACAGACACATACATACTCACACACTCACATTCACACACACACACACACACACACACACACACACACAGTAGTCAAGGTCACATTTAGTGAGCAGAATTTATCCAGTGACAACAAGAAGTAGCAATACATGTCTAGTATTGATATATTATTATGCAGACTGTAAAAATAACGTGTGTTGTATATTTTGATTACATACACATATGGCTTATTTTTAAATCGTGGTGGGAGTTACAGAACATTCTCTAGAGGTTAGAAGTGCTAAAGCAGAAAGCAAAACTATATAAAATGGTATTCTAAGTAGATGTTTGATTCTACTGATTTTACTCATGGCATTATCAGAAAACCTGGAGATCATTCATCTAGTTAATCATTTGTTCCACACGTATTTATTGATTAATGACAACATAAAGGGCATAGTGCAAAACCCAATAACAATAAACAGCTAGAATTCAGCTTCCTTGGGAACTGTTGTCCAACTTCAGCACACAAAAGAGTGGCCTTTCTTCTCACAAGGAAAGAGCTCAATGAATTATGAATCTTTTCCTTTTTCTTGAAAAACCACAGCCTATATTTTGGAGGAAAATTCAACATAATTGGTATATACCCATCTTTTTAGGTGAATTAGGCCTTAACTGACAGATAACCCACTTTGTTCTAAAATTCAACAAACTCTAGGAAAATCTTATTCCACACAATCTTTTGAATATGTCATTTGCCATTTATATTTGATGGCCTTAAGAAAAAAAACTTATAAAAAGGTATTAATGCAAGTAGATAATAAAGCTGCATTCTATAAATCTATAGCAGCTTACAGTAATCATTAAAGCATGCAAAAGCCTTTCATCTATTCAAAAATATGCAGTGCACAGAATGTCTGCTAAGGTGCATGACAAGTCAGAGTTAAATATATATTAATAAATGAATTAGCTTCATAAATAATAGCCATAATGACATTTTAGGAGACAATAAGTCTGAGGATTGTCAGAAAACGGTTGATGTATGAGCTTCACGTCTCAGTGATTCTTCAAAATGAATAGGCTTTGCGAGATAGTTCAGACCCGCGACCAGCCTATTTCCTTGAATAATTTACTTGTTGTCAATTTGTACAGCCACATTACACATGCAAATTGTGCTGCCTGTGCAAACACCACTTGGAGATGATAAAAACAAATTTACGAAGGCTATAGAAGAAGGATTTATTTCACTTTCTCACCCAGGTCAAGCAATACATGTATCTGACGATTGTGTGTACCCAATTTTGTTGTAATTATATCAGCAAATTATTCCTTATAATCTTATTATTTTTAGCAGTCTCCTTGTGCTTGGGATAATTAGCTTTCTTCACTCAGTGTAAAAACAATTCAACTTGCCAGCCAGGTAGGGCATAGCTCCATTATCTGTTTTGGGTTTAAATTTATTCCCTATATTCTTGGACACTTTGTGTAAATTAAAAATTTCATAGTCCCTAATACTGTACACGCTGTTCATTCAGTGATGAATTAAGGCCCCTAAACCTCTCCGTTTGCTATTAGATATCTCACCCACTTTATATGTTAATCTGTGCTAATGAATTCCACAACCCCTAGCCACAGTGAGATGACTAAAATTATTACCACTTACAGAGATATGCTTTTTCATTTAAAGTTCAATTCAAATTGCTCGCATAAACAGTCTGCCACACAAAGATACCTCCTATAAAGGAGAGTTACTTACCTATAAGTAGAGTTCTCTGAAGGTAGTATTATCTTTGGATGCACATTCCTGGGTCACGTGCCCTCAGGTCTGTGGCACTGGGGGAGAGAATTCATCGCTGATGGGCAGGTCTTTCTTTCCTTGGGGCCCTTCATTAGCTCTGTGGCCTGTATTCCTGAGGGTTATTTGTGCCACACCCCTTTACCCAACCAATCCTGTCCTTAGCACAACAGACCCCAAGGAAATAGTGGGGTAACAGAACTGCCTAATGAGAATTGTAGGACTGGTTACCATCAACGATGGCTGATGAGCCAGAAGCAACCTCCATCTTTATAGAAGTTACCTGTAAAATAAAGCGCCCAGTAACTAAAAAAAAAAAAAAAATCTATTTTTTTTACATATAATATATAATTTAAAATCTTTTTTTTTTTTTTTTTACTTTTTGCAGAAGTAGCAATTTCATTATGGAAATAATACATTCTCATCGTGAAATTCTCATAGTAGAAAATATAGATAAACAAAAAGAATAAAAATCACACATTCCCACCAGTGGTCCCACCACCCAGTGACAGGCACAACTCGTTTCTGGTATCTATTTTTACAGACTAGTTTTCTACTTAGATACTCTCTTAAGATGACAACAAAATCACTAGTCTTATCAGGTCCCTCTTCAACCCACTCCAACCAGAGGTTCTAGGACAGGGTGCTTACCTCATTTGTCTGTTCGTCTTCCACTTAACTCATTTTAAAAGTGCTTTTGCTTTCTTTCTCTAAAGTTGAGTGATTCCCAGAGTTTTGGGTGCTGAGCCCTTTGCTCCTTCCACCTCTCTTTCCTCAACAGAACATCCAAGCAAGTTCTCATCCTGCTTTAGCCCTAATTTACTCTCTGTAATTACCACCTTCTGAAATAACCTTCCAGAAATGATGCAGTAAGACACAGAGTGTTAAGGCACAGTCTGAGGTCAGCCCTGGGGCCAGACCTCATTGTACCTTGTATACCTGGATTGTCTCGGAGGTACAGGTGGTGCTGCCCTTTTATTGCCGCCTCTGCATTTGATCCTCACAACTGCTGTGCAAGCTGGCAGAGCAGGTGCTGTTATTCCTGTTTTGCAGATGAACATCTAAACTCTGGGAGGTTAAGTAACTTGCCTGGGAGAAAAGAATTAGTACCCAGGTCTTTGCAATTCCTCAACACAGGACTCTCCATTTTAATTATTGCTCTTAATTGTTGCTTATGATTTTGGAACTTAGGGCAGTTGGTATGTTTTCAGTATTTCTCCTTAGAGATGGATTATTTCCAAAGGTAAATCTTTGGAAATCTTTTTGGTTAGGGATTCAGAGCTTCATACATTATTTTATTTTGAGGTTCCTTAATTATTTATTACCTTGAGAAGTCTATTTACATAAAGCAAATATTTTGCTTGAGGAGAGTTTATAATAGTCTACCTTTTACAGGATTCCCTGCTTAAAAGTCAAAATAACTTCTTGGGAATAAGAGTTTTCCAGTCTATGGTTAAGAAAATACTCACAGATTAACTTAATTCATTATCACACCTGGATGTAGTATGATCAGGGCCCAAGCTGAGTCATTCCCACTCTGCGCTTGTCTTTTTGCCACAGGGTCACTTACAGCATTACACACTCATGCAGTTAAGATGGCAAATCCCATGTGATATATAGTATGGGAATAATATCAACTTAGAGGAACATTTAGTACATTGTTTGAAAATGTGAAGCCATCACATGGATGATAGATTGAGCAGCCTACAATTAACCTGAGTTAATATTTGGCAGAGCCAGATGGATAGCTCTTAACATCTAATCTCACGCAAAGTGCTTTATGTTCTTCATAAATAAAGAATAATAAAAACAAAATACTTGAATTCAGCATCTTCTCTGGAACACAGTGTGTTCACCTAATTGTCTTATCTCCATTTGTGAATGGCAAATGTGAGTTTGGTTGCAGCAAGACCAAGCCCAGAAAAACGTGAAGTGGGCGAGGGTGGCTTTCTGCATCTCAACCATCCTCAGTAACTCCTTTCTTCCTCCTCCCAGTGTGCCCCAGCCCTTTCTTCTTGGGTGCCTTTGGCCTGCTACTTCTCCTTTCATTAAAACCACCTCCCCTGAACCCAGAAGGTCATTCAGTTTCACTGCAGTGCAGTTGGATAATGAAGTTTATTGTGTTCTCGCCCCCAGGATTATTTTTGTTTCGATAGGGGAAAACCTTGGAGAAGATATTTAGGGACCAGGAAGACGTTCCTGGTGACCATCAAATGATGTTATTTGGCTCAAAGTTCTCAATTGTTATGCACATCTTGGTTGTAGAACTGTTGAATGCCATATGGAAGATCTGGGTACCTTTTCTGGTTTACTCATATACAAGATGGGGATAATAAGAAACCTCCCTCCTATGACTCAAGATGGGGATAATAAGAAACCTCCCTCCTATGACTGTTGTGAGAATTCAATTAGCCAGTGTATGCAAAAGCACTTGGAATAGTTTGGCAGTTAGGAAGGACTCAGTTCGTTTTTAGATATTCTTCCATCCTCGCCCTTCTCTTCTTTCCTAGGGGAGGCAATGAGGTATAGGAGAAAGCATATGGGCTTGGGAGTTAGGTGATCCTAGACTCAGATCTAAATTCTGCCATTCGCTAGCTATGCAATCATGAGCACATAACCTTTTCTGAAGTTTAATTTCCTTTAGTTTAATTTAGGGATAATCAGAGTATCACACATGGTTGTCATGAAAATTAAGTGAGATAATGTGTATGTTATGCTTAGCATGGTGTTTTGTACCTAGCAGACACACATTAGTGAATTATTATTCATGCTAATAAATGCAAAAGATAAATATATTGAAGTCCAACAGCACGATTTTTAAGCTATTGCTTCTTGTAGTCACTTAACTATGAATGTCAGCTTGTTTGCATTTAGTAAGAGTTTCCAGGCTTATGAACCGTAGGTATCATTTCCTTTCTGTGACTATTTCCCCACTATCCAAAACAAACAAATTAAAAAATCCAATAGTATATTTGGATAAAACATTTTAATGAAGTACTAAGGAGGTGTTAATGAGTGGATTGTTGCTATAAAACAGACGTAATATATGGGAAAACATGAAGTATATGTTAATAAGACCTCAGTGAACAAGAAAAGTAAAAAAAAATATATATATATAAAAATTCTGTTAAGCAAAATTATGGAGAAAGGTCTTTGAGTTTTAATTGAAAAAATTAGCAAACATTGAAAATTGTTTCTTTTTGCAGCATCTTTCAAGTCCTATTACTAGTTAAAATGGTTTATGATTATTTCAAAATATATTTTAAATAATTCTCTTTCTATCAGAAAAAATGAATCCTGTGTATATACCATATAAAATAATAGTATATAATCTACTTTACAATAGTTTCAGAGTTGTTTCATTAAATCGGTTCTAGCTGTTTCCATTAAACTTCCTGAGTTTCATTCTTTCCTTTCTCCATAGAATCAATGGCCAAATCCTTTATATTTTTTCCTGCTTTTTCATCTTTTTCCAGTCTATGCTTGGAACAGAAAACACAGTCTTTTGTTTTTGGATTCAGTCCTATTGCCAATACTTTTTACTTTATTATTGCTATAGCCAACTAGCAGGCTTCCCTGACTACAGTCTATGGGCCTCTATTAACCCGCCTTTTCAGAGTCTCCACAATTTGAACTCTACTCAACTTTCCCATTTTTCTGATGATGAAACTGAGGTTTGGGGAAGTTTAGATTGTTGAACATAGCCATACATATTTTTGTGATTTCAAAGTCCTAGGTCTTATCATTAAACCATGCTACTCTTTCCTAAACATGGCCTAAAATTTTCCAAATTTTTCTAAGATGAATTTTCCTATCATATATACCTATTAAGCTCTTTACTTCTTCCTAAGGCCAGTATCTATCCTACCTTTACCAAAAAACTCTTTGGAATCCTGAACTGATTGCATTGCTTTCTATTTACTGTGATGTTGATAGTTTTATTCTAACATTTATTTTAAGTTCAGGGGTACATGTGCAGGTTTGTTACATAGATAAACTTGTGCCATGGGGGTTTGTTGTACACATTATTTCATCACCCAGGCATTAAGCCTAGTATCCATTAGTTATTTTTCCTGAACCTCTCCCTCCTCCCACCCTCCACCCTCCAATAGACCCCAGTGTGTGTTCCTCCCTCTATGTGTCCATGTCTTCTCACATAATAGTTTGTTGTATTCTCAATATAGCACTTAACATTTTTTTGCTTTATATTAAAGTTATTTACTTCTGTCTGTATCCCCAACTTGATTTTAGATTCTTGGATGGCAGGGAGCATGTCTTATCTGTCTTTTTAAACAAATTTTGTTTTCAGAAAAGGGTTCTTAGAATTTCTGTCTTTTTTAATTATCCTCCCCTTTCACACAAAAATAGTGTTTTCCAAAGTGCTTTGACACCAGTAGATTTTAAGTCAATGTTAAATACATGGAATTATAATTTTATTTTAAAAGAGAAGCGAGGTTCTGTTTTTTAAGAAATCTGAGTGTGTTTTTTTCTGTTCTAATGGCAATTTTTAATGAAAAATAGCAATTATTAATTAAGTCTTCTTACACAGAATACTTTTTCTCAACAAGGATATGTTCTGTATAGCTAAGAAAAACCTATGCCAAGTTTACTCATTATTCATCATTTAAATATTTACCAAGTTCCCAGCATCTTCCACTATAGATAGATAATACAATTGTCAAAGTGGTACTGAACATAAAAAGTAACAGTCCTTGATCTTAAATAATATAAACTAAAATGAATAAACCCTAACAACGACAACAACAACGAGGATGAAAAGACTCCATGAAAAACACAAGTGATGTTTAAGGAGATATGTACCTGTTTGAATTACAAACACACTTCCCAAATAAGCTTCTGTCTTACCAACCTTTCCATACATAATAACTGTAGACTCTAGAAAGAAGCAAAATAACTGTTTGAAGGCATTGGAGAAGAAACGAAAGCAGGCAAATACTGGAGAGGTTAGATACTCAGAAGAAGCAGAAGGCAAGGGATTAGTTTAACTTTTTTTTTTTTTTTCATGCTTTTATCCTGAGACCAAGTCATAGCCAAAGCTGGGTAGGAAGGTTAGAAACTGAATAGAAATCTTACTTGGGGAAAGAGTTTGGGTCAATAACAGCTGCTAGAAACTGAACTGGAATCTTGAAAAGAAGAGCGGCAGAAAGGGTGAGCCTAAGTTCTACATATAAGCTATGTTTCTATGTACTAATCTCTGGATGACCGTTGAATTATGCAAGTGAAGGGCAGACTCTAAGAAGCCCAGCTAAGGCTAAAATAACTGCCACCTATTGAGCTGCCACCTATTGCCAGGGAGACACATCTTGCACTTTGGGCTTAACCTAGTTAGCTGTCTCTGCTTAAAAATATATATATATATATATATAATATAAAATATATACATTTTTATATACATTATACATTTATTTATATATAATGTATATTCCTTTGAAGAAGCATAATAGAATCCAGAGTTTCTACAACATATCCATCACAATTTCTAGCATAAAGTCCAGAATTACTTGTCATATAAAGATACAAATAAACATGAAGCAGCTTTAAAGAAAAAGAAAATCAACAGAGGCTAATTCTGAGATGACACCAAGGTTGTAATCAAAAGATAAGAATTTAAAAAATAATTATGCTTCAGGACTGAAATGAAAATATAATAATGAAAAGATAGAAAACCTTAGTTGGGAGACATAAACTATAAAAAGGAAATTAATAGAAATTCTAAAACAGAAAAATAAAATATGTAAAATAAAAAATTCACTGGATGGCTTAGATGCAGAATGGATATGATAAAAGAAAGAATCAGAGAACTTGAAGATAGACCAATAAAAATAATATACTCTGAAGAACAGAGGGAAAACTTTTTTAACACATAGTTTTTTTCTAAATAGAGATGGGGTCTCACTATGTTGCCCAGGCTGGTTGCAGACTCCTGGGCTCAAGTGACCCTCCTGCGTTGGCCTCTCAAAGCGCTGAGATTACAGGTATGAGCCACCATGCCTGGCCTATTTTAAAAAATGATCAGAGCCTCAGAGTCCTGTAAACAAATACTAAAATATCTAATATTGGAGAAAAGTAATGAGAGAATGGACTAGAAGAAATAATGGCTGAAAATTCCTCAATTTTAGCTAAAGATATAAATTTTGTAGTTTAAGAAGTTCAGTGAATTTCAAGCAAAATATTTAAAACATAAACAGCATATTTAGAAAAACTACAGTCAAACTGTTGAAAACTAAAGATAAAAAGACAGTCTTCCAAGCAGCCAGAGAAAAATGACACATTCCATATCCGGGAATAATAATTTGAAGGACCTCAAAGGTTGCATCAGAAATAACAGAGGCTAAAAGACAATGGAACAACAGTTTTAAAATAATAAATGAAAAACCTATCTACCCAGAATTCTATATCCAGAAAAATAGCCTTCAAGAATAAAGATGAGTTCCACTTCTACCAAAGACATAGAAAGCTACAAACAGCATTAATACCTTCCTAAAAATAAGAAAGTGTCATATAAATGACAAAAGTATAACTTTCCTTGAACCCAGAACACTAAGTTCACAGGGCAAACAAATAGCTATAAATCTAAGAAATGACAAGCTCCTTCAGGGAGCAATGATATGGGAGCACTGACTCACCTGGGAAAAGCACAGGAAGAAGGAACAAAGAAGAAATGGAATAAATAGAAAATATCTAGAAAGGTGGTAGATTTAAATGACTACACCAATAATTACATCAAATATAAATGCTCCAGCTACAACAATTTAAAGAGATTGACAGGACAAAAAAGCAAGACCCAAGTATGTATTATCCATAAGAAATACAGTTTTTTTTTTTTTGAAAGAGAGTCTTGCTCTGTTGCCCAGATGTGAGTGCAGAGGCATGGATCTTGGCTCACTGCAGCCTCAACCTCCTGGGGTCAAGTGATAGTCCCACCTCAGCCTCCCAAGTAGCTGGGTCTGGCTAATTTTTGCACTTTTTTTTTTTTTTTTTTAAAGAAACAGGGTCTCACTGTGTTGCCCAGGCTGGTCTCGAACTGCTGAGCTCAAGCATTACACCTGCTTCAGCTTCCCAAAGTGTTGGGATTACAGGCATGAGCCACCATGCCTGGCCAAGAAGTACACTTTAAATGTATATCATATATACATTAAGAATAAAATAATGGATACAGATATGCCATGCAAATACAATTTTTTTAAAACCTAGAGTGGCTATCTAGATATAAAACAAAATAGACTTCAGAATAAGGAATATTACCAAGAATAAAGATGACTATTACATAGTAACAAAAAGGTCAATTCACAAAGATGTCATAAAACCCCTATATATATGGGCACCTAAAAACATAGCTTCAAATACCAGAAGCAAACCTGATATAAATGAGAGAAGAAATAGACATACCCATAATAACAGTTTGATAATTCAACATTCCTGTCTCAGTAATCAATTGAACAAGTTGGCAGAAGATCAATAAGGAAATACTAAACCTGAACAGCACCAGCAACTTGCACTAACTCAGGTTTGCAGAACAATCCATGCAACAACAAAAAATGCATAATAAAAATTTAAAAATTATTTGTATATAATAGCAATGAAAAGTTGGAAATTGAAATTAAAAACAGTTCCAACACAGTTTATAACAATTTATAGCATAAAAGCCAAGAAATAGTTTTAAATATAAAATATGTGCATGATTATATGCTTGAAACCCCAAAATATTCATGAGAGAAATTAAAGAAGACCTAAATAAATCTAGAGGTAAACTTCATGGATTAGAAGACTCAATAATGTTAAGATATCAGTTCTCTCCAAATTGATCTATAGGTTTAATGCAGCCCCAATCAAAATATTAGCAGTATATTTTTGTAGAAACTGACAAGCTAATTCTAAAATTTATATGAATAAGCAAACAAGCCAGTATAGTAAAAACAATTTTTAAAAAAGAATGTGGTTGGAAGACTGACATTACTTGATTTCAAAACACATCAGAAAGCCACTGTAAGACAGTGTATATTGGAGAAAGAATATATGCATAGACCAAAGGAACAGAATTGAGTCTAGAATATATATAGTCAATTTGTTTTTTATCACAGGTGCAAAGGCAATTCACTGGAAGAAGGAGTTTCAATAAATCATGCTGGAACAACTGGACATCCAGGTACCAAAAAATAAACCTTGACACATACTTTGTATTGTATATATAGTTGATGCAAAATGGATCATAAACCTGTAATCTAAAATTACAAAAATGTGTAGAATAAAACAAAAATAATAAAACCGAAAATAATCTTTGTGACCATTTAGCCAGTCGTGGTTAATGGAGGCTCAGGAGGCTGAGGCGGGAGGATGGTTTGAGCCCACAAGTTTGAGGTTGCAGTGGGCTGTGGTTGCCTTGAGCTGTGGTTATGTCACTGCACTCCAGCCTGGGTGACAAAGTAAGATCCTGTCTCTAAAAAAAAAAAAAAAAAAGTTATAATAAAAAGCAAAAAAAGTGTTTGTGACCTTGGACAAGGCAAGGATTTCTTAGAATTTCCTAGACATAACACATGAAGCATAAACTATGAAAGAAAATATTGATGTTAAACTTTATCAAAATGGAAAACTTTTGCTCTTTGAAACACACTGTTAAGTCAAAAGACAATACAGAGACATCATAAGTTATTAGATAAATTAAAATTGATACACAGTGAGATACCACTACACATTTATTTGAACCCACTTATTTTTTATGTCCATACCGAAGAATGGGGAGCAACAGGAATTTTCATACATTACTGATGAAAATGTGTAATGGTACAGCCACTTTTGAAAACACTTTGGTAGTTTCTTATGTAGTTAAATAAAAACTTATATAATCCAGCAATCCCGTGCCTAGGTATTTACCTAAGAGAAATGAAAACTTTTTTTTTTTTTTGAGATGGAGTCTCGCTTTGTCACCCAGGCTGGAGTGCAGTGGTGCGATCTCGGCTCACTGCAAGCTCTGCCTCCCGGGTTCAAGCCATTCTCCTGCCTCAGCCTCCCGAGTAGCTGGGACCACAGGCACCCGCCACCACACCCGGCTAATTTTTTGTATTTTTAGTAGAGACGGGGTTTCATTGTGTTAGCCAGGATGGTCTCGATGTCCTGACCTCGTGATCTGCCCACCTTGGCCTCCCAAAGTGCTGGGATTACAGGCATAAGCCACCGGACCCGGCCATGAAAACTTTTTTTTACACAAAAACCTTTATGTGAGCATTTTAGCATCTTTATTTATAATTAATAATTGCTAAAAACTGAAAACAATTCGAATATCCTTTAACTGGTGAATAGACAAACTATAGCTACACAATGGAATACTACTTAGCAATAAAAAGGAACAATCTGCCAATACACGCAGCAACATGCATGATCCTCATATGCATTAAGCTCCTTGAACTAGGTCAGACTCGAAAGACTAGACTACTTGATTTTATTTATATGACTCCATTCCAGACATGGCAAAACTAGGAGGACAGAGAACATCTCAGTAGTTTATAGGGGCTGGGGAGGGAGAAGTGGTTGACTATATATGGGCATGATGCCAACTTGGATATATTCTGTATACTGATTATGGTAGTGTTTACATCACTATATGCATTTATCAAAAATCATAGTGTACACATAAGGTGTGAATTTATATTGTATGTAAACTATAAAATTATTCCTCAATAAACCTCACTTTAAAAAAGATTGAAGGTAAAATAAAGATATTTTCAGATAAAAGAAAACTAAGAAAATCCATTGCTGGTAAATCTACACTACAAGCCATGCTAAAAGAAATTCTTTAGAATGAAGGTAAATGAAAGCAGATGTAAATTCAGATTTACAGGATGGAGTGAAGAGCCTCGGAAACAGTACATATGCGGGTAAATGTAAAACTCTATTTTTTCCTCTGTATTTCTTTAAAATACATAATAGTTTCAAGGAAATAAAAATAATGTGAGATTTACAATGTGTGTAGATGCAGTGTGTATGACAACATTAAGAGCGGGCCAAGAGCTTTGAAAGGACCCATGCAGTTCCAATGTTTCTACATTTCCCACAAATTATTAAAATGTTAACTTTAAGTAATCTGTAGAAAGGATGAGTACTGTAATCCCTAGAGTGACCATTAAAAAATAAGGGCTGGGCGCGGTGGCTTATGCCTGTAATCCCAGCACTTTGGGAGGCCGAGGCGGGTGGATCACGAGGTCAGGAGATCGAGACCATCCTGGCTAACACGGTGAAACCCCATCTCTACTAAAAATACAAAAAATTAGCCGGGCGTGGTGGCGGTGCCTGTAGTCCCAGCTATTCGGGAGGCTGAGGCAGGAGAATGGCGTGAACCTGGGAGGCGGAACTTGCAGTGAGCTGAGATCGCGCCATTGCACTCCAGCCTGGGAGACACAGCGAGACTCCATCTCAAAAAAAAAAAAAAAAAGACAACAAGATATAGATAAAAAGCCAACGTTTATATTGGTTTTTTGAAGGATCTGGTTTTGAAGGATGAAAAGATATTTACCAGGTATAAAAGAGAAAGTTATTTCAGGCAAAGGAAATAGTATATACTAAATTCCACTTGGCTTACTTTTCCATTCTTAGGACTTCCATAGTTCATATTGACATCATGAACCTCACAATTTTAGTACTTATGGTTTAAATATTATTATGTCTCAGACTACAAACTTCTTGAGGCCAGTTTCTATACAGTTCTTTTGAATCTTCAACCCTTAGCATAGTGCTGAGCATTGGGCACATAGTAACAACGATGAAGATATTGACAGATGAATCTAATACTCTACCAACATTTATGAGTTTCTTAGTTTTTACACGTGAAGGAAGGAAGGAAGCTAATATTTGTTAGCCACTGACTACATGACAGGCTCTATGTTAAAGCTTTACATGTATTCCTTCATTCAGAGACATTAATCAGACAGCGGGATGTTTTTGGAAGATGAAGGTATTAAGAAAAAGGAAATTAACATAGATTTTAATATAACGAATAAGGAATAATTGAAGAGGATGCCTCGAATGGGATCTGATCACTCACTAGGTCCTGAGGGGGAAGGAGAGAGAGAAGATATTTTGTCCCCGAAGCCTCTTTTTTGTGAGTTCCCAGGGGGTATACCATGCCACTGGGCAGTAATGATACCCATACTTTATTGATTGCATTGTGATGACACTCATCAGGAACCTCTTCTTAAAAGAGGCAGTATGTGGATAGTGGAGACAGCAGGATCTTTTGAGTCCAGTGAAACTTCCCCACCCTGGTTCTGCATGTTACTAAGCATGTGACATTAGGCAAGTTTCTTAAGCTCTTGAAGTTTTAAATTTTCTTAGCTATAAAATGGATACAATAACAGCTACCTCATAAGATTACATAAGATATTAGATACAAATTTCCCAGCATACAAAAACGCTCAATAAGCCTCCCTCTCCTGTTCTGCTTTCTCCCTATGTACAACCTATTGGAACTGAAAAATTTGGAAGTACTAGGCATGACCAATAAATAAAAAGTGCTTTTCTTTGGCAACATTCTATATTACAGAAATTTTGTTTTCTCAAATGTCAAGTCCTGTTGATATCGTAGTGTTAGTTATTCAACATATTCTTGGAAGACTAACATTGTTTATAGATGCTTCAGTCTGCAAACCTAAAAATATCCAGATAGAGGGCCAGGCACGGTGGCTCACACCTGTAATCCCAGCACTTTGGGAGGCCAAGGCGGGCGGATAGAAAGGTTAGGAGATCGAGACCATCCTGGCTAACACGGTGAAACTCTGTCTCTACAAAAAAAATACAAAAAAATTAGCCACGCGTGGTGGCGGGCTCCTGTAATCCCAGGTGCTTGGGAGGCTGAAGCAGGAGAATGGCATGAACCTGGGAGGCGGAGCTTGCAGTGAGCCAAGATCGCGCCACTGCACTCCAGCCTGGGCGAAAGAGCCAGACTCCGTCAAACAACGACAACAACAACAACAACAACAACAACAACAGATAAATTGTCATTCCTTAATCATGAAGGATATCAACATGAATCCTGAAATTCAGAGCTCCCTGGTTTCAATTCTTTTGCTTAAGTCACTAAATCCCTTTTTCCTCTGAATGCCAAAAAAGAGGTGTTTGTATAGAAAGAAATTAATATTCTCTTTCTCAGTTTCAGCAAGAAGCACATTTATTATATGTTCAACAAAGTTGTATTCACTTTTCCAACTTAAAAATATTTAAGGGGTTTCATTATATTTTGAGAAATTATTCATCAATCCAGGATTTAGCAGCCACCAAAAAGAACTCCACAATTAATCTTTCATAACATAGGTGTGACTTATAATCTCTACAATAAAAAATTGTTAAATGTAAGGAAAAACTGTTCATAAACTATAATATTTCTTGGCAAAGAAAAACTGCTTTGTGTTTTTAAAGATACGGTTGAGAATTTAAATGAAAGCTACATGCTTGAAATTAGTGCCAGATGCAACACAATTCAAGCACAATTCACTAGCTGCATCAGATATTTCACTATGATTTAGTAAAAGGTATCCAACAATTCTACATTTCATAGAAATCTCACAAATACAAGTATTTCATTCACAAAACTCATGGCTTGGCAGGCTTCCAGGGCAGGAATTTGCTGGAAGAAAGGTAAATTTATTGATTAACATAAATCAAAGGACTGACATTTTCCCTAGAAAATTGACAAAACAATAATATTCAGAAACTGAAGTTCTTACAACCAGAGCGAGAAGAAAAGTCTGAGCTATTATTTACATTTATTATAGGCATCCAGTAATGTGATAAACAATTAGGTAATTAAGAATTCTCAAATCAGTATTGAGAAACTTAATTTTAAAATGTTAGATATTTTTGAAGCAAGATTTTCCAAAAACCTTTGCTATGAAATCTGGTGTTTGTAAATCTTTGTAGTAGTTATAATTATATGCCACCTCTATCCCTTGCATTTATTAATATATGCACTAAATAATGAGCATTCTTTGATGGGATCCATATAGAAACAATCGAGATTTTTTTTTTTTTCTGAGATGGAATTTCACTCCTGTCACCCAGGCTGGAGTGCAGTGGCGCAATCTCAGCTCACTGCAACCTCTGCCTCCCGGGTTCAAGTGATTCTCGTGCCTCAGCCTCCCGAGTAGCTGGGATTACAGGCACATGCCACCATGCCCGGCTAATTTTTGTATTTTTAGTAGGGGGGAGCGGGTTTCAGCATGTTGGTCAGGCTGGTCTCGAACTCTTGACCTCAAGTGATCCACCTGCCTCGGCCTCCCAAAGTGCTGGGATTACAGGCGTGATCCACCATGCCCAGCCCCAGATCATTCTTAAACATACAAACATTAATTCCTTCCTACCCCATGCCTCAGTTCTTCCCCCTCTGCTATCTCTTTCCCCATTCTGGTAACATTTCCACCATCAGCAATTGTTATGAGCTGAATGTTTGTGCACCCCTAAAATTCCTATCTTAAAGCCATAACCCACAGTGTGGCTGTGTTTGGAGATGTGGCCTCTAAGGCAGTAATTAAGGTTAAATAAGGTCAGAAGGGTAGAACCCTGATCCAACAGGATTAGTGTCCTTTTAAGTACAGAGAAGAGACACTGGAGAGCTCCCCAAACTGTGCATATAAAGAAAAGGTGATGGGAGCACGACAGGGCAAGGGTGGCTGCCTACCACGCAAGAGAAGAGGCCTCAAAAAAAAAAAAAAAAAAAACCTACTTTGCTGGCATCTTGATCTTGGACTTCCCAGCATCTAGAACTGTGAGAAATAAATTCCTGTTGCCTAAGCTACCTTGTCTGTAGTATTTTGCTATCCCCAGATGAAGAGCAATTAAGAAGCCTAATGCAGTTACAACAGCACTCTCAGGCACACCTTCTTGTTACCTGTTTAACTTTTTAAAGATTTGGATTCAAGGAAAATCCTACTGAGAAGCTGAACAGATTTGGCCAAAATAGTTTTACACAGATCCTTAACTCATTCAGCCTTGCTTCTACTCTAGAATCAGAGAATGTGAACAGGAAGAGGGACCTCGGCGATCCAAACTTGCTGATTCAGGTTTTACTATGATTCTGGGGTTATAGAAAACTGCTCTCTAAACTTGGCGCATCTTCTGGAAGATGTTGGAGGTGAGGTGGTTTAGTGGATAGTTAATAGGCTTAACCATCTGTTGATGTGAAATTGAGATATATTACTGAGTGCAATGCAAAATTTTATACACATTTAGCTTGCTTTGAAGAAAGACATTATTGGTAATGTTAACAGCAAAAAACAGCTGAGATTGAAAATTAGCGTGGGCTAGGTAACATGTTAAAGTCTTTATGTGTACAGTAGCCTCCCTTATCCGCAGGGAATACCTTCCAAGACTCCCCGGTAGATGCCTGAATCCTGGAATAATGGCGAACCCCACATATAGTTTTTCAATCTGATAACCAAGATGGCTACTAAGTGACTAAGAACCTGGTAGCCTAACAGCATGCATGGACAAAGCGATGATTCACACTGCAGATTTCATCAGGATATCCAGAATGGGCTTGCAATGAAACATTTGAATTGCTTATTTCTGGAATTTTTTACTTAATGTGTTTGGACCTTGGTTGACCCCAGGTAACTGAAATCAGGCTAAGAGAAGCCACAGATGAGGGAAGCCTACTGTATTTTCTTTTCTTTTCTTTTTTTGAAATAGGGTCTGGTTCTGTTGCCCAGGCTTTTCTTATATAATCATCACAAAATTAGCAAATAGGTACACTTAATGTTATTCTTATTATAAAACAGTATTTCGGAAAATGCAAATATTTCTAAAATAGCCCTATTCCCATCCCTATCCATAGGGTATTTTATCCTCTTCGCAGTGCTTTTCTCTCTCTTTTTTTTCCCCTTATTTTCTATGTTCCCCAAGCACCCCCTTCTGGGCATAACACAGTGCCTGCCACAAATAAGAAAAAAAGAAGTTCGGTAAACTTTTGGTCCAGTCAGTGAAGCACCTTGGACCCCATCACCAGACGGTAGGCGCCAAGAGAGCAAGAGTCAGCATGTTTTCTGCTAACCAGAGATTAGCACGATGCCTGGTACAAAGTAGGCGCCCAATAAATAGGTGAAGAAAGAAAAAAAATTAAAAAAAAGGAAGAGAGTGAGGGGAAAGGATGAATGAATGAAGACGTTTGCAGAGGGGCCTAGAAAGAAAGCACTCTGCAAGATTCTCCCTCCTGGTGGCATCAACTCTCAGTTCAAGGTCTATGTCAGCCCTTTCCTTGCCCAGACGCATTGGCCTACAGCAGGGAATGAAGAAAGAACAAAGTCTTTAAAAATGTTCAGAAGAAAGAGAAAACGGCAAGATAAAAGAGAGAAAAAAAAGAAAGAAAGGAACCACCTCCTTCGGGCGGACTAAAAAGGGAAGCCCCAGGAGGCCGGTTGCTAAGGCGACCCTAGGGCCAGAACGGCCCCAGCCCATTGGTTGAGACGCAGGAGCCAATGAGAAGGCGCGATGTTGACGGGGTCCTAAGATGGCTGCTGGGCGACCACTTCCTGACAGGTGAGTACGGCTTATGGAGGGTTGGTTACCCGCCGGTTCGGGCTCCGGCATGATGAGTCTGGGAGGGCCTCTTGTGGGCAGCCGAGGGAGGCGGCATGGGCGGCCTCATAGCTCCTCGGCCGAGCCTCCCGGAGCAGGCTAGAAAAGCCCCCGGCCCGGGGCCGCGGAAGCGACGGCGGGGCCGCCCTCAGCCTTCCTCGAAAGGGGCGTCGCAGCGGCCTCCCCAGCCTGTTATGTGGAGGGGGTTCTCCGTCCCACCCAGGTCAAAGTGAGAGGGGATTGAGGAGGCTGTCGATAGGGAAAACAGGCTCACGTTTACAGTTGCTGTATTCCGGAAAACAGCTCCAGTTAATGGGACTGCCAGCAGGCTAGACATCCTTCGCCGGAATGTGCAGCGCTTAGTTCTGTGCCCGGGAGGGGCTTCTCTCTCTTTTGGGATTGGAGTGTGGCATTGCCGCCAGAAAGCCTGCAGAATTCCGGGTTGTGCAGCCAAGCAGGAACGGTGTACCTTTCTAGACCCATCCTCTTGCAATCTTGGACCCTGTAAGTATTCTCACAGCGGAATCGACTTAAAATGAGCCTTGAACTGTTAACTTGGTTTATTGTCTTTCCATGCAGGATCTTGGGTCTGGGAAAATGTTTTCCAGGCCTCAAGTAAACGAACACTCTCTTTAATTAAAACAGTTGAATACATGCAAAATCTTGCTAAATAAGTAGTTTTTCTGGATTCGCTCTCAGGCCTGTAATTCAGTTGTCCTTTCTGTACCTTTTTTGAGAAAAGGAACACATTCATTTCATAAAAGTAAATAGGATATTTACGTTAATGTTGATGTTAACATGCTTGAAAATAGTAACTATTTTTAAGTCACAGACTCTGATTATGATGTAAATTACAATCTTCAGATTGTTAAATAATTGTGGCTTATAATTAGTATACAAGTGAAATTAATTTTAGATCAGACGAAGTTCAGGCTTCTGGAATTATTTCTAATCAAATACAAAATATAGGAAATAAGACAGCCTTATACGATGAAAATGGAATTTAAATTCTGGAATAGAGATGGAAAACATTTACCCATCGAGCTGCTCAAATATATCTTTTGGGTTTTGATTATAAGCAGCTGTCTGGTTGTCCAGAAAATATGACATTATTACTCAAACCTCTGACTGTGACTTTGACTTTGATGTATGCAACTTAGTATAGCATCTTGCATAGCTTTCTGTACTCAAAAAGTACAGAAAAAAATTCTTAACCAAATTTAACAAGTCTGTAATTATAGGCTAAGATCATTCTCAGCCCCAGTCGCAAATCCTTGTCCCCGCTTACAACTCTGCTCTGTAAAATTCATAATCTAAAGCCATGGGGCTATTTTTGTAAAACAAATGGATCAGAATGCATTAGGCAAGTCAGTTATCCCATCTGTAAATTGGGGGCGGGGCGGGTAGGGGAGGGGCTGATATAGATAGTAATTCCTAGTGGAAGGGTTGTTGTGAAGATTAGTGGAAAACCAAGGCCTGCCACACTGTTTGTATGCCATGTGCAGCAGTGACTTGCTTTGTTTCCCCTTTCTGGTTCTAGTGTTTCCTGTTGTAACTAGGGTTCCTTCCCCTTCTCAGTGTCCTGAAGTGTACAGAGTTTCTCTGAAAACATCCTCTTGGCTGAGTTGCTAGGTAGAGGAGAGAAACCTTATCTACTGGATACTGGGCTCTAATCAGGATTGCAGTGCTAGAGAGAATGGAGTGATACATCCAGGAGTGAGGTGACTCTGGGCATTTAGGGCACTTATAATATCAAAATCATAAAGAGGCATTTTAGAGCTGTAAGACATCTCAGAGATCATTTGATCAAACCTTTATTTTATAGCTTAAGAATGGAGGCCCAGACAAATGCAGTGGCTTTCTCCTAATTATGTTGCTCAGGACTAGAAACCATTTTCCAACTTTGAAGACTTTTTCCCCCTGTAACCAGTGCACAATCTAGAACGGTTTTTATTATAATTTGATTTCTCCCTGGCTGCTTTATTTTGAAAGATTGTGTCTACTCAACCTTATTTATGAATGTTTTTTTCTGATAAAAATCAGACCTATAACTACCAGTGAACCTCTGATTAACATGTGAAAAATAGTGCTTCACTAAATTGGTCTTTTCCTGTAATGATGAATGGTACAGTCTTACTGAGGGGAAAAATAAAATAGTTTGGGCTTTTTGAAATTAGCTTAGAGACTCCTGTTACTATATTCATACTTAGATTAGGAACCACTGAACTGTACCCTGTTTTTGATTCATTGTTATCTGACCAAGTATGCTAAATAATAACGATGGGTGGTTTTCAAGGGCAAACAAACAAACAAACAAGAAACCCTAGTTATTCAGACTAGGACAGTATATAAATATTTTCAGTTCATGGCAAATTGTGTTAGCCCAGGACTAAAGATGTGTTCTGCATAGTACACACAGAATGTCTTGAGGATAATTGTGGGATGGAATAAATCTTAACTCTAGAGGTGGAGGGTGTGTAAAATGAAGAAAGTGATATTCAAAACCATAGAGAGAAAAAGGATTCTGAGTCATTTACATTTTCCTTGGGGCTAAAATGATTAAATTGAAAATTATTTGGGTTGCAGGGTAAAAAAAATGAAAGCTTATGAATTAATACATTGGCTGTTATATGGACTTGGCTATAATCTATGCTAAACAAATTTAAGTTTCTGTTTCTCTGATATTCCACGTTTCTGGAGACAGGCTGAGTGAATTTTCACAGTTAAAGGGTAACTTGGGATTATCTGCCTTAAAATAAAGAAATACGCTCTGAAAGGCATAAGTAAGAGACACTTATAGAGAATCATTCTCCACAGCAGCCAAAACAAGAATAACAGGAGGCCTAACATGGTGCCAGTTGGAAACTTTGTGAATGACAAGTATATGCTATGAATAGAAAGACTGTTTTGAAACATGAGTCCAAAGCAAAAGTCACTAAGCAGCCACTCCATATTGGCTGATCTGTAACTGGGCTGCTGCTTACACGGGCAACTCCATTTTGCAGGCTGCACAGTAAGTGGCAGCAGTTATCCGTGTTTATCAGTGACTGCTCAGTCTCCCTTGTATTTGTTTTTTTGAGAGTCACAGGAAAATGGCACATGACTAAAGGTTCTAAAGAGTGGAATTCAAAACCTACCTGATTTGAATTTTGCCTGGATTTAGAGGTGGATTCCACCTTTTTCAAACTATTTTAATTTTTTTTCCTTTGGGTACACTCAAGAAATTATCATACCAGGCAGATGCCACACTGAGGACAGTTTTTAATGCCACATGAGCAGGAGCTAAAAATATATAATTTTGAGAAAATTTAAAAAGCCATAAAAAATGCCTAACTACTTGAAGGCTGATTAGCAACAACAACAGCAAAAAGCATGCCTTCTTCGGGGCAACTGAGACTGCTTCCCAGAGGGAAGCATGTTTGGGTGCCCAGAGCATAGACTATCACCCTGCAGAGATGCTAAAACAGTGGTTTAGTAGGAGACCTGTGCCACTGCCCATTGGAGAGGCATACACGTTTCATGAGCAGTCACATCTAAAGTCCAGGTCAAGGAATACTTGGCTCAAAAACTGAGCAGAAACTTGCTATGTGTATAGCTGTCATTTCGTGAGGCTAGGGATTTTTGCCTGTTTTATATACTTCTGTCCCCAGGGTCTTGAAGAGTGTCTGGCACATAAGTGGGCATGTAAAATATTTTATGGACAGGAAGGGAAAGAGTTATTTCTAACATAGACTCCAGTGATGCTAAGAAATCCAAACCTGAAATTTGTTACTGTTTTAAGTCCTTAAATGATAATGAGCCTAAAGGTATATTATATGGCGGTGGCCAAGTCATACTGGAACTTATTACTGCTTCCTTCCCCTTGCTCTCAGAACAGGAGAAATCTTTTTTATTAATAGCATGACACCTGTTTTTCAATATTGGCATATTTTACATGATGTCTTTTGTGCTATTGGAGTATTTCAAGAGTACTGCTGTCCCAACTTTAAAAATCCACAGACAGGTTTAGGGATAGATCTGGGTTTTATGGGGCCTGGAGCTTATATAACTTCGGGTTTCTTCCTTTAAACAAAGAAATGTAAATTCTGAATAGAAAACTAGGTACAGTGCTTTGGAAGGACCTGTGCAGATGAGGAATCTTGGAGCTTAAGGTTACCATTATCTTCCTAGTAATTTGCCCTCATTTTATTCCTCCATTCAGAAAACCAAACACTAACATTTGTTATAGACACTTCACATCAGATTGTGACTATCAAGGAAGCAAATGATTGCATCAGTTGCTAAGTGAGTGCACCACAATTATTAGAAACTTCAAAACTATCTTATGAACCCTGTCACTCATAATAGAAATGATAAAAATGTAATACATGGCCACAGAAATAATAATAGCAAAGAGAACTTAACATTTATTGAGCCCCTAGGACCTCCTAAACACTGTGTTGAGGGGCTTATCTCATTTAATCCTCAGAATAGCCCTATAAGCAGTATAATTATCCCTGCATTACAGATAAAGAAATTGAGGGTCAGAGATGTCAAATGATTTCCTCATACTACTAGTAGTGTCAGAGTTAAGATTCTAGTTGGAGCAGTTAGATGCCAGAGTCCTTCCTCATAAAAAGCCAACAGAATATTTGGTGAGGATATTTCAGAGAGCCAGCAACTGATGAGGCTGGACCAAAGCCACAAAAAGTAAGATCTGATTCTTTGGACCTGGAAGGAGGTCTTTAAAAGATAAGAGAAATCTGTTATCACAAAATCCCTGATGTGTTTGTCTCAGAGAGAATGGTGGTTTCTTTTGTTTGTTTGTTTGTTTTTTAACTAGGTTAATCACAATATGGGACAGAAAACTGCAAAACAAATTTCCGTCCTTCCATTTTATTCCTTCATATTGATAGTAAATCATGAGCAGTACAACCGGCTTCTCTATTTTAAGCATCTTTTGAAGGAACTGGTTTTGGCTCAATATATGTGCTAAAATAGACTGTGCCATGAAGATCAATAGTGAGTATGTACTTGAGTATTATACTTTTAGCAAATGATAACAATTCTGCTATTTTAAGTCATTTTATTAAACTTAATGGTTCTCTCTACTAATGGACTGTATAGCTAATGCTAAATATTATCTTGAACTTGACCATTAGTTTCCCAAATATAGTATTGTTACTTTAAAAAGCTGTACATTTTTGTTAAATTGTTAGGATTATATTTCATTTAATATTATTTTAGCAAACAGTATTAAACTAAAAAGTAGGATATCCTTTTTACTACGATACCTTCCTCCAACTACTTATGTAGCTTAAAAATTTTCCTTTAGTTATTTTCCTGCTCCTTAGACAAGACGCCCTCTGAAAGCTTTGTCCATTAAATATAGGTGAAACATGCAGTTTTATTCTCTAATTGGTATAGCTTCAAATATGGTATTTTAATCCTAAATTGCTTGCAAAGTATGTTGTTAGGTTTTTAACATTCTTGAGCAATGCTTTACTGAATTTCATGTTTTTTTTAGACAAAACTACTCATATATTAGAGAATCAAGGCTCTATTTTCTTTACCTGTAGGTGTATGTTGTAACAAACTTGTTTAAACAGCTTTTAAACTTCTAAACTTTTTTTTTACTTACACAAGTGAAGATTTTAATTATTTTATAACAGGTTCATTCTATGCCATTTTAGATTAAAAAAAAAAAGTTTAGATGGACTGTTCCCAAACCATTGTTATAATTATTAGGCACCTGGAATGTCTTCTAATGGTCTTAAAATTATTTCTATGGTTATTCTACATGTGTAAATTAATCTTTTTCCTCATAGAAGAAAAGATGTGGAGTGGGCTGCTACCTCCTGGCCTAAATGAAAGTGACGCTGAGTCAAACTCGGAAGATGAAGCTACGTTGGAGAACTCTGGACTTAACTTACAGGAAGATAAAGAGGATGAGAGCATCAGAAAAACAGAAATCATAGATTTCTCAACAGATGAACCAAAAACTGAAACAGAGTCAAATGTAAATGCCTATGAAGAGTGTCCTTCTGGAATTCCCATAGATATGTGGAATGTAGGTTTTCTCTGAAATGCTCTTGCTACAGCCTGTGTGTGTGCACATGCCTCTGTGTGTCTCTGCCCTGGTCAGAATGTGCATGTATTCTTGGGACTTAACAGGGAGGGAGATGGACTCAGAATGCTTTTACTGTTCTCTGAGGCATCGGCCACTTAGATACTTGCGTTTATTTTGTTTTGTTTTTCATAGAAAGACGGAGGGGGAAAAAAAAAAAACCCAAACCACTATGTAGTATTAGCTGTTTGCCTAGCGTGGTACATGAGTAGTTTCTGTCTTTATTTAACCTTTTATTTATCTTTTTTGTTACCTACATGAGCTTCACTCTCAAATTATCAAATGACTTATTTCAAAACAAGTGAATATCAAAACTCAGGTTGTGAGTCTCAGAGAATAGAGCATCTCAAGAACTGACTACCATCATTAAATTGGTATCTTTATACACGCTGAAATATAATTGTTTTATTACTTCATTATTTTTTAAATGCATGTTTTTCTGGAAAGTATATTTGCTTCTCAATTTTTTTTTCTTTTACATAGAAATTTCAAGAATTGCATAAAAAACATTCTGAACAGAAAAGCACAACCTCAAGATTCAGAGGGAAAAGAAGAAAACGCTCCAGAAAAGGTGTTTTGTTTTAACTCAGGTTGTTCGTCGTGCTAATGCTAAGTTGTGACTGAGTTTAACCATTTTTTTAAAATATGGTTTTGAAATTACTGAAGTTAGGTATTGACACTTTGTGAATTCTTTTCAGATAAATTGAAGAATGAAAAAGAATTACATAGGTAGGTAGAATTTAAAATAGTTATCTATTTTAGGCCATTGTAGAAATTGTTGAACTAATTGTTTCTGATAGTAATCAAACATATGAACTAGTAATTGTAGTATAATTGTAGTAACCGATTAAAAACAGTAAAAGTAAAGACAGTATATATTGTATAAAACAAAACTTACTATCTTCTTTTAGTGAACCGTCCTCAAATGAAACCCAGTGGAAAGAGCTTACTCAGTATTTTGGAGTCAATGATAGATTTGACCCGCCTGTTAAAAGGAAAAAAGTTGAGAAGGTAATATCTTTGTTATTGCATCTTATACCAGCTAGTAGGATATGTTTGTGATTAGCCTCGCCTAAAGTACTTGTCCTCATTAATTCATTCAGTTAAAAAGATGCCTACTGCATACCAAAAAGGGTGCTAGATAAGTAAATATATAGTTACAAATTATTAAAAAACTGTTAAGAGAAAGAACAGGTTGTTGTGAAAATATTAAAATGGGGGCTTCACTTTAGCATGGATGGTCAGGGAAAGCCTTTCATAGAAGGTGCCACGTCACTGAGACCTGAAGGATGGAAAAAACTGTCTATATAAAGAATGCTAGCGCAGAGGCATGGATAAAGATCCTAGGGAAGAGTCGTCCTGGGACATTCCAGTAACTGTAGGAAGGCCAGCCTGGCTGGAATGGGGTCAGCGAGGAGGAGGGTAGCCCACTATATGATTACAGAGGCAGGCAGTCAGTGACCAAATTGTGTAGGACCTCAAAAGGCTTAGTAAAGAAATGGGTTTTATTCACAATGCAGTTGAGAGTCATAAAGGCTTTTAAGTCAAGGGAATGACATGACCTATGTTAAAAAGATTCGTATGACTGTTACCTGGTGAACTGATTGTGAGGCAGCAAAAATAGATGAGAACAGAACAGTTAAGAGACTTCTAGGCATAAGATGATGATGAATTGAACCAGAATGGTTCTGCTGAAGAAGGAAAAAAGTGGATGGATTTGAGGCGTATTGTAGAAGTAAAATTGATGATACTTGCCTCTGGATTGCTTGCGAGGTGATAGGGAGGGTTTGGGGCGTATGGAAGGGGAGAGAATCATTCAAAGCTTTGGCTTAAGCAGTGGTGTGGATAGTGATGTTACGAAGAGAAATTTGGGGAAGGGAAAGGATTGAGAGTGGGACCTAGCCAAAGTTCAGTTTGGGACTTGAGTGTTATTGGAAAGCAGGAGCAGAGTTGTTGGTTAGTATAATGACCTTGAGATGCACATTTGTAGTTGTCAGTCTCTAGACATACTAATACTTAGAAGACGCTTGTGTGAATTAGTAACTCACTTATTCATACAGGGAAATGTTGGAGCATGAAAATCAAGTGCCGAGTGGTAGAGCTGGAGGCTCAGGGGGCTAGTTGAAGCCCAAGTATATTGTATCCTGTGTGTAATAGACAGATGCCTCTTTCATGGATCATTGCTGTAGACTATGTGTGTACCTAGAGACCTTTGTCATTTTCTGATCCATCTGTATTTCTTCTAAAGTATCTCTGATTTTAAATCCATCATTGCATGGTACTGTGTTATTGAGGGTGCATACATTAAGGAACTGTCAAAACAGAATTTTGCATGTAATTTATATTCATCCATATAAATTACATCTGGCTAAGGAAGTTATGGCAGTTTTCTAAACAAGGAGCCTGAGCTGGCTAGGCTTCTATCTGTCTAGGATTTTTCCTGCATTTAATATTCTACAAATAAACACAAGCATAAGAGGAAAGGAAGGACTTAGTGAAGCCCGATTCTTGCATGTTTCCTGTTCTCTTGGTAGTTCAGTATAATTGCATGCCAGCAGGTTCCTACTCATTCTTTGGTTTGGGATCGTTGGTTTAAATGGTACTCCTTTGGCTGTCCTCCTAAAGTTTCTACTGCAAATCCAACAGAGTAAATAAACTTTAAAGAATGTCCACATTGGAGATGCTGAGATAAAAACTAAATAAATGTAAGTCCAGCACATAGTAGCGACTGCTCATGAAATCTAGAGATGATTTTGAAAATCTGTGATGCAGTTAGAACAAAACTAGCATGAATTTCCATCCACTATTTTGTTTCTCTGGAGCAGAGGCTAATCTGTTACCATATCTGAGAGAACCTTTTTATTTTGTATTCACTCAACCCTCTAGGATGGTAAAACAAAACAAACTTCTTAATATGTGTCTATCGTGCAGTCTTTTTTTTCCTCCCCTTTTTCTTTTTTGGAACACTGCCAAGCTGAAACTTGCTCAACCAAGAATGTCTGTTTACAGCACTGCTGTCACCTGCCTCTCAGACAATGCAGAGGCTTGTATTTTTTAAACATAATCTTCCTAATATCCAAAGCTGTTTTAAAGTGTTCTTTGTATTAAATACAGCTATAATTGTGTTTCTGGCAGCAGTTCTGGGACTTACTAGTAATTCTGTAATCATAACATAATTATTTTGAATCTGTGGGAATTTCTTTAGAATAAATTTCACTCATTAATTTCACTATAAATGTCTCAAGTATTCTTTAGTTGAATCAGTTTGATTAGTCAGCAGTCATTATTGAAGTAGTTTTATGTATACCTAATGGATACTTTTTGGCATGAAAAACCAGAGGTACTTTATTAAATGTTAGAGTAATTGTACAATGTCTTTGATGAATTTTTCAAGTTTTTTATGAGAGGAAACTGCTATTGTATAGTGTAGCTTTTTCGAACTTGGTTTTTTTTGTTTGTTTGTTTGTTTGTTTTTAGCAGAGTGCTTTTTCCAAACAGACTCTTACATGGTTCTCCAATACATAGATCAGTTAAAAGGCTGGCTTCCTTGAGTGGGTGGAGGGAGGGGCATAGGGATGTGGAGGGAGGGGCATTAGGATGTGGAGGGAGGGGCATAGGGATGTGGAGGGAGGAGGTATAGGAGAGGGAGGTTTAGGGGTGTGGTGAGAGAGGTATGGGGAGTGTTGTAGTGGTACCATGAAGATCCCCTGGTATCAGTTGTAAACCATTGCCTCTTGGTTCCTGTGTGATTTCCGTGGGGTAGGTTGATAGGTCCAGTGTTATTCTCAGAATACAGATAAAGAAACTGAAGCTCAGCATAATTTGCCTAAGAAAACAAACCAGGTGAGAAGTGAAATGAGACTTTAAACCCAAGTCATTTGGTCCCAAATCTAGATTTTTTCTGAACCTGGTTTTTATTTACCTGACTCATATGATTTTTTTTTTTTTTTTCTGAAACAGAGTCTTGCTCTGTTGCCCAGGCTGGAATGCAGTGGTGCAATCTCAGCTCACTGCATCCTCCACTTCCCAGGTGCAAACCATTCTTCTACCTCAGCTTCCTGTAGCTGGGACTAGAGGTGTGCGCCATCATGCCCAGCTAATTTTTGTATTTTTAGTAGAGATGGGGATTCACCATATTGGCCAGGCTGGTCTCAAACTCCTGACCTTGTGATCCGCCTGCCTTGGCCTCCCAAAGTGCTGGAATTATAGGCATGAGCCATCACACCCAGCCGACTCAATTGATTTTAAGTGGGTATGATTATATATATATATATATATATAAAGGTAACAAAATTATGAATAAATATATGATTTACATTTATGTATGAAAGTACCTCTTCCGCCCCTCCACTGCCTTTCTTTATGAAGAGATTGCCTCATTTTTTCCTAGATATTTAGGTTCAGTAATGCAAACTTCAATGGATAATTCATTTGTGTTAAGCTTTAAAAATTGAATATATTAACAGAATAAATATTTAATAGCAGAATTTTCATATAAATATATTGTGGTATAGTTTGACTTTAAAAGCTTTAACCACATATAAAAGATATTCTACATATGCACATATAGATGTTAGCCCACAATGTTAAACCAAGTACCCATACATTTCTTAGATATTTGTAGTCCTGTCTTCTTGACATCTATATTAAAACTTAATTAATTGGCAATTGTTGCCTCGTGGGTTAGATACTTCGTTTAGATAAATTTTTCACCTGTGGCCAAATTGCCATTCCTAGGTTTGTCTGTGTTGAGATATATCATAAATTATGTTTTGATTCTAGCCAAAAGGCAACTTAGAAGCACACCAAGGTGCTGCAGGCTATCAGTAGCTCCTCTGTGCCTCCTGCCACTCCTATAGTATGGAAGACATTCTAGATAAGTCAAATAAAGGCTACTCTTGAGTCCAGCTTAAAACTTTTCAAAAAGCCTTAATACTCAGACTCTATTTCATGAGATTGCTTACTGACAAAGTGGAATGCTTGGGTCTTGTACTTGGGTCTGAGCTTGAAGAAGTATAATGCAGTCTGTAGCCTTATAGAGATAAGCCTTCTCTTTTGCAATAATGGTATCCTGATATTTAGGTTTAATAATAGGAGCACCTTATTATTTATTGAATGACTACTATATTCTAAAAACGTGGCTAGGTATTCTATATATATGTTCTTTGACTCATCATAATCTTGCAGAGAATGTGGTTTTATTCTCATTTTATTGCATGTGTAAGATAACTGCAACCCACAGAGGTTTAGAAACTCACTCAGGGTTGCTTAGTTCATAAGTGGAGGAGCTAGTCTGAACCTAGGTCTGATCCTGCCAGCTGTGCTCTTTGTGAGCTGCTGTGAACTTACAGTCTTTAAGGAGATGGGAATGTTTTACTAAGTGTTTTGAGTGTATTTGGAATATTAATAAGTTCTTATGGAAACAAAGTTTGGGTGTACATGGAACCAGGAGTTTTTCAGAGCTAAAAGAAGGTAGTACATTTTATTTAAATAAATTGTCAGAAAGAGAAAAGGGCTAAAAACAAAGCTGAAAATGTGATAGAAACCTAGAATTTTTATTTCTAGGAGGGTTACTCATTCAAGCCAGTCTTCTTATTATCTTTGAGGAAACAGAGGCTTATGAGTCAAGTATGTCATTTACCCAGAGCTTTGACCACATCTCCTGTCTTCTAGTCCTGTGCTCTTTCCACTGTAATATGCTATTACCTTTAGATTATGATCTTAATGGCTGGGGGAATGGACAGGCAAAAGAATGGAAGCTGTTAGTGAGCAGGTTGTTGAGATGAATGGTTGGAGCAGGTCTAGTTTGATTGCTTCCCTGCGTGAGATTGGATAAGTTCTGAGTTGAGGTATCAGGCTATGCAAGAATTTGTAGTGCAAGGAAACTTGTAGTTTGATATTAATGTTTTATACAAATAGATTTTGACACATACAAATATGTGTCAGTGACATTTGAGGCGATGGTTAATATTCTGCACAGGAAAATGAGGCTGTTGTATTTACATTTTTTAAAGAAAATAACTATTTTCAGTAAAAATTAAATAAAGTTCTAGGTGCAGGTACTATTTTAAGCTCTGGGAGCCCAAGATGGAGAAGATACTCTCCATGCCCTTGAGGAATGTATATATTCTAGTACCAGGATAGATGTATATATAAATGAGTACAATACGTGTACCTTTTTTTAACCATAGGGGCATTATTACTTCAATATTACAGTTGTGAATTCTCTGGAAGCTTCTCAGAGTAGTTGGTATGTAATAAATGTTCCCAGTTTGAGTGGGGTCCTTTCACTATGAATGCAAACATGGATGACGGCAGTGTGAATATCAGCTCAGTAGCACAGACTGAACAAATGTCTTCTATGTAGAAGGAACTGGGCTGGATTCTGGGACACACCAAGCCGGTGACACACAGCCTGCTCTCACTGAGTATAGGACTCAAGAGGGGAGAATACACAACTCACTGTAGTGTGTCAGACAAGTTAGGTGCTGAAGGGACACAAGGTACAGCAACAGCACAGAGTGGAGAGCCTGGTGTGGGGTTTGGGGAGGGTGATGGGGTCATAGGAATGTAGGGCTGAGGAGCTCTGCGTAGATAGAGAAGGTAACATTCGACGTGAGCCTAAAGGGATGATTAATATTTTTCAAAGAGAAGCACATCAGAGGCACAGGGAACATTAGGAAAATGGTAAATGTGACCAGAGATTAAAAAGCATAGCTTTTTAATTGCTGAAGATGGGGTTGAGAAAGCATCTGGGGACCCCATTGTGAAGGGAGTGGGATGTTATTCAGAGGGAATATGAAGTAATGCTTTAAGCTGGGTAATGACATGATGCCTGTTTCAGAAAGAGAAGACTAGTTTGGAGATGGTTATAATATTCCAAATAAGGGATCACGTGTCCCTGAAGAAGCACAGAAGGAAGAAATGAGAGACTTTTGCCAAAATAGAGTTCAGATAGGAGCAAGGGGTTGGAAGCATTGAAGATAACTGAGGATTCTATCAAGGGTGACTGAGGAGGAGGAGAAGCAGGGCAGCAAGTGTTGGGCTTGTTACAGACATCATGAAATTGAAGACCTTGCCTTTGTAGGCCTTCAGTGTGAAGATGATTAGCAAGTAGCTGGAGATGTAGGTATTGGTACAGGGGAGAAGTCAGGTGTTTCTAATTATTTAGAGAGCTAAACCAGCTCATAGAAAGTAATTGAAGCTCCAGGACAGAGTAGATTACTGGGGAGGGTAAAAAGTAAGACGAAAAATATGCTAGTCAGAAACTTGAGGAACACTGTGATTAAGGGACAACCAGAGGAGATAGTGGGTAGTTTTAAGAATGAGGACATGGCCAGGTGTGGTGGCTCATGCCTGTAATCCCAGCACTTTGGGAGGCCGAGGCAGGCAGATCACGAGGTCAGGAGATTGAGACCATCCTGGCCAGCATGGTGAAACCATGTCTATACTAAAATACAAAAAATTAGCTGGGCATGGTGGCACACGCCTGTAGTCCCAGCTACTTGGGAGGCTGAGGCAGGGGAATCGCTTGAACCCAGGAGGTGGAGGTTGCAGTGAGCTGAGATTGCGCCACTGCACTCCAGCCTGGCGACAGAGTAAGACCGTGTCACCAAAAAAAAAAAAAAAACAGTTGACATATATTTCAGCATGCATCAGAATCATATGGATTGCTGGGCCGCCAGCCTAGAGTTTTTCCACAGAATTTGCATTTCCAGCAAGTTTCCAGGTAATGTTGATACTGCTAGTCCAGCACTTAAACTTTGAGAACCACTGGCTTAGAGTTTAGTTGATAATGGTAATTGTGGGTTGCAAGTTAGAGAGGGAGAAGGAGTATCTAAGAAGGGACTGAAGGACCGTGCCAGGGAATGAGGTTCCAGTAAAGGCAAAGCAGATGAATTAGGTAGAAAGACTTGGGGTGAGTGGAAGAATTGTATCAGGGAGTAGAATTCTAGATTATGAAGTTGTGGAGGCGGAACTTTCAGGCAATGTCTATAACATGACATACAGCAGTCTTACTCCAAGTGCATTGATATACAAAGAGATAAGGAGTGTGTGCCTGAATGTAACTCAGTGTACTACTTTCCTTATGGAGAAATTCTTGTCCCCGACTACCCCCAGCAAAAGCCATCTGGACAAAACTGTTTTGTTGTTGTTTTTAAGAGACAGGGTCTTGCTCTGTCACCCAGGTTAAACCGCAGTGGTGTGATTATAGCCCACTTCAGCCTCAAACTCCTGGGCTCAAACAATCCTCTTGTCTCAGCATCCCTAGTAGCTCTGGGACTAAAGGTGTGTGTCAACATGCCGGCCAGTACAAAACTGTGTTTAGTCATGAAGCTGATTTGTATTCTGGCACAAGCTCCTTATCTTTACGTGGACCAAAATAAACAGTTCATGGATTGGCACTGTGTACAGACCAGACCTGGTACACAGGCCATGACTGAAGCAGCACTGGCCTAGAGTATAGATTTCTGAAGTGCATCAAGTTAGAGGTCCCAGGGTGTTGTTTGGACCATCAGGAGAAGAGTTCTGCAGAAATGGAAGAAAGGGATGTTTCTGGAGACTGGTAGATGATCACAGGACAAGAATGAGTGGTGAGCATTAGATCCGTATGGCCTCAGGTCAAAGACTATGAAGCGCTGTTGAATGGTCTCCAGCTACACAGGAAAGCAAGCAGAAAAGTCTGTTGGCCTTGCAGGTATTAAGTACTTAGGTGGGGTCTGTGAGAAGGAATCGTCTTCTCTTAGCAACAGACATCAGTGACAGCGTCACTGGTCTTTATTTCTGTAACCTTTTTAGGCAAATTATGTTGTTATTTTTTACATCTCATCTCAACAAAGGCTACACAGGAACAAAATTCTCTCAGTTGATTGGCATGTTCAAACAATAGACTGATGGAAGAGACATTCTTAGGACTTCTGTTATGAAATAAGGAGGAGAAGTCTGTAAGAGGTAGAGTATTAACTGTGAATGTGGAAGTTAAAGGACTAGATAAGCCATTGTTGGGATAAAATTTGCTTCTAAGAAGCATATATTAGACCATCTTTTAAATTTTTTATTATCTGTAGCAACTATTTTCACAAACTAGAACTCCAGTTATTTAAGTCTAAGCATCTTTTTATAAATGTGTAACGCATTGTACCCTAGTCTGTTTGGTAATCCCATGAAAATATTAATTATGATTTCCTGAAGTATCTTTAGTAAATAAAAACATATACATAAGAAAATAAAATCATTCTTATGTATAATTTTCCTCTGCTGTTTAATATTCAGCCTAATGGTCATAGTCAAAGGCTGTGGAGGCTATTGACTGAAAGTCCTGAGCTATAGGAATGGGCAGTAAGAAAAGGGACAGAAGAAACTTGTGGTTG
The DNA here is from genome assembly GCF_000001405.40 of Homo sapiens. Classification (NCBI taxonomy): domain Eukaryota; kingdom Metazoa; phylum Chordata; class Mammalia; order Primates; family Hominidae; genus Homo; species Homo sapiens. The sequence continues at coordinate 118,326,753 of NC_000010.11, read as the reverse complement.
AGAATGCAGGCTCTGAGCAAACCTGAATTCATGTGATGGCTTTACTACTTACAGACGCTGGCTTTGGCCAAGTTCAGGAGTCTTGGGCTCTGTTTCCTCATCTTTAAAACAGGATAGCATTATTATTCATGGAGTTGTTATAAGAATTAAATGAGCTTTTTTACAGTATTAAGCCCAGAATCTGCCACGTAATAAACACTCCATAATTTTTAGCTATTGTTATCATTAACATTATTGTTGTTATTAAGGGAAAGCATAGGCTTTGATTCACAAAAATCTGGATTTGCGTCTTATTTTTATTAGTTCAAGAAGTTACATGACCTCAGGTAAGCCATTTACTGTCTCAGCCTTCTGGTACTAATGGGAATGGTAGCAGCTACCTTCTGGTGTTATTGTGAGAATTAATGGTCTACTTGTGTAACACATTCAGTATAATTCTGTGACATGGTCTTGGCTAGCAAATGTTTGCTTTCCTTCCAGCCCTTAATTTTAGGTTTCTTTTTTTTCTAGTCAGGCCTTGAAAAGAGGATAGACCAGGCTGTGGAGGAGTGGAATATTGAGAAGGCTGAGGAACTCAGCAACCAGCTAGCTACTCGAGAGGTGAGTCAAAAGGGTTACACATTTTCTGTATTTTCAAATTTTCTAGAATAAATTTGTATTCTTTTTATGATCATTAATAAGTTCAGTATTAAAATATTTCATCTGAGGTTTTCCTTTTTGTCCATTTTCTTCTCTTTTATTCTGTCATTTATTTTGAAATGCTAGGTTTTATTTTGTCTTTAATGTTTTTAAATCATTCTGGTCTAAAACTTGCTAGAAATAATCCATGATTGATACTGAACCTTAGATTTTACCTGGATCAGAGAGGTTTGTTTCAGGTATGATTAAAATGCTAGCTTTCTTTTCCGTTTGCATCTTTAACTCATTTGAACTCTGAGGGCAACTGTGTATTCTAAGGCCACATCCCTGAACCTTTTCTTAACCCTTGGTAAAATGCTTTCTTACTGTTTGCTCAGCACATCCCCCTCAGCCCTAAAGAATTTTGGGTCTTTTTTCTTTTTTTCTATAGTATAAAACTAATAGATATATTGGGTATTCTTTTGCCAAGTACAGAAGGCCACAAGAAGATTCTGAATTATACTCCTGGAGGTGGGGTGTGGGCAAATTCCCCCAGTTGAGAATTAATGTCAATATAGATTAAAGAGCTCATATTGGCATGTGTTTTGTTATTATTGTTGTTGCTTTGTAATTCCTTTTTTTCCTTTCTAGGAAAAAATCTCCACCATAGTCTTTTTTTTTAGTGCCTTGATCCTTCCCTCCTTCACCTCAGACTTTAACTACTCCATAGTGTTTCGTTACGTAGAGAGCATCATGGGTTATCTGGGTAAATTACTGGCCACACTCACTATTCTGACTTGCAGGTGGACTTTTTATCCTAAACTGAGACCAGAGATAACTGTGATTTCAGCAAATTCTTCTATGGAAATACTGTTGCACTCTTCCATCATTATATCTGATGTAAAAATATCTACTGTGGATGGATGTTTGTTGTGATTTTTGCGTTTTTCGTTTTGTCTTTTTCTTTTTGGCTGCAGGCTTTAAGTATCTTGTGAATTTTTTATTTTGGCGTAGGGAAAAAACAAGTTGAGAAAGGGGATTCAGAAATTATATTTTTTTCTTTAAACCTTTTAAAATCATTTGTCACATTAAATACTTCTGTGTTTAATGTGTGTGTATGTGTTTGTGTGTGTGTGTGAGAGAGAATATATATTAATGACTAATATAAAGGAAATTATAAAGCCATGGACTTCATTTAGGGAAATAGCCAAGAAATAACATAAATGGCAGTTATATGGCCTTTCAGAAAATAAGCTGACATTTTATATAAGGTTTTTAAATTGTAAAATGTACATAACATAAAATTTACTGTCTTAATCATTTTTAGCTGTGCAGTTCGGTAGAATTAAGTGCATTTACATTGCTGTCCAACCATCACTACCCTCCTCCAAAACTTTTTGTCTTGCAGAACTGAAACTCTGTACCCATTAACCTCTGTACCCATTCTCCCCTCCACCCAGCCTTGGACAGCCACTCTTCTGTCTCCATGAATTTGACTGCTATGGGTATCTCATATAAGGGGAATTATTTAATATTTGTCCATTTGCATCTGGCATATTTCACTTAACATAGTGTCCTCAAATTTACTCCATGTTGCTGCAGCATGTGTCAGAATTCCTTTCCTTTTTAAGGCTGAATAATACTCCATTGTATGTACTTGTTACATTCTGGGTTTGTATTGCATTTTGCTTATGTAGTCATCTTTCAGTGGACACTTGGGTTACTTCTACCTTCTGACCATTACGAATAATGCTGCTATGAATATTGGTGTACAAATATCTGTTTGAATGCCTGCTTTCAGTTCTTTTGGGTATGTACCCGGAAGTGAAAGTGCTAGATAGATCACAAAGTATTTTTACTGTTTGTTTTTTTTCTTGTAAGATACAGTTCTCCCCTTCCCATCTTATAAGTTCTTGTGCTTGCAGTTTGACTATTACTCTGTTTCATCTCTAAGGTAGCCTTATTTTGATTCACTGAGTATAGCTTTCATTGTGTATAACAGCATTTTATTAATCTATTTTGGAATAGAAAGGTACAGGTATCTCATTTTAATAAAGTGAATTTGAAAGTGTGTTGAATGGTGCCATAAACTCAGTAGGATTTCAGTGTTAGTTGTTATTACAGTGGCTTCTTCTATATGAATAAACTAGGAGTTCTTCTCCCTATGAAGAGCTCTGTGCCGAAAATCATCTTTAAAATTCTATTCAACAAACGTAATATCTTTTGTTTGTTAGTAAGTAGACTCTTTTGGCACTTGGAACTTTTATTTCCATAGAAAGTCTTTTAGAAATAGTAGCTTCATTTCTTATCCAGCTTGGAAGTATAGTTACTTTCAAGTATAGTATATACTTTCAAGTAATTGTACTTGAAAGTATAGCAAAATTATACCAGTAGAATATCTGATCTCCAAATTTTGGAGACTTGACCATGAAAATGTCAGGAAATGGTAGAGAGGGGCAGTACCTGTGAGGTTGGGAGAGACTCCAGTGCGTAGATAACCTTTCATGGCTCTAAGGATGGGGGAGTATAGTGAGGAGTGGCTCAAGATTTAAGGGAGCTTTCAGGGACTGAAAAGCACACAAGGCAGCAGTAACCAGTCCTTAGGGATGCAGAAGGTGGTGGCAGTCTGGTCTGAATATCTACCTCATTTGGATCAGAAACAGAACCTTCTAGATAACTGATACTTAAGTGCATTACTAGTGATGATAAAGCATTCCATGTCCTGCTGTATGTTGAACAAGTGTCTCTTGAATCCCTTTAACAATTCTGGAAATGTGTTACCAGTTGCTGTTAGATGCTAGCTGCTCTGGAGTCTGTGAGATAGTTCCGAGTAAAGCGTAAGACAGGCACATAAGAAAAACCAGCAGGGACATAGAGTATGGCTGCCCTATTGTTCTTAGAAATGGTATGGATTTTTTCTCTTCGCTGGTCTCTTTAGGATCACAGGACTCAACAAGCTGGTGTCCTATTGCTGTTGCTTGTCCAGTCTTCCTTTTGGAAGATCCCAGAGTTGCGTATTTTGTGATCTCTTCCAAGTAGCAAGTGACTGACCAACAGAATCCCCCAAGTCAGTCAGTTTCCTCAGATTTTGCTTTGCTAAAGGAAGAAAAGGTAAGGGAAAGCCTAGTCTTCAGGGTTAAAATGTGGACTCCATGTGATCCGTGCACAACTGTCCATCTTTTTATCTTTTTCTGCTTATTAGTACCCCCATCTGAAACAAGGGGAATTCACAGAGAAGCATTTATTTTACTGCAGGTTCTATGTTCCTTTTAGTAGAGTTAGTAATGCTGAAGTTTTGAGTTGAACACATTTTACTTAAAAAAACAACAACACCCTTTATATTTTGCAATTATTTCAGACTTTCAAAAAGTTGAGAAATTTGGAAAAAGATTTCCTATTTACCTTTCCCTCAGATACCAGAAATGCTAACATTTTACAACATTTGCCTTCATGTTTTCTAATTTGACATACTTTATTTAAATTTACCAGTTGTCCCACTAATTCCCTTTATAGCAAAAGAAACTTCTTTTTCCTAGTCAATGACTTTGCATTTTGTCGTCATGTTTCTTTAGTTTTTTTAATCTGGAATGGTTCCTCAGTTTTTCTTTGTTTCTCAGGACCTTAATATTTCTGAAGAGGCCAGTTACTTTGTAGCATGTCCCTTATAATTTTGATTTGTCTGCTGTTTCCTCATGATTAGTTTTAGGTTATGCATTTTTGGCAGGAAAATCATGGGAGTAATGTTGTGTGTTTCTCAGTGTCAGCGATCCAGAGACTCGTGCTGTCTCTTTGTCCCTTTCCTGATGGTGTTACTTCGATTAACTACTTCAGGTAGTGTCTCCAGATTTCTCCACTGTGATGTTATTGTTTCTTTCTTTGGAATAAATAAGTGTCTTGTGGGGAGTTAGGAGATAATCTGAGACTGTGTAAATGTTCTCTTTCTCATGTTTTCCCTGTTTGTTTTAGTGTCCACTGCTGATTTTCTTGCTTGTGACAGTTTTTATTATGGTGACTGCCAAATGACTTTTGATCTTTAAAATATGATCTCATTGTACTTTTAATCATCACCCAGCAAACTAAATCTAAAACTTGGCTTAAGTGAGCTGTTGGATTATAGAATCTTTTGTGTGCCTTTGCTAAATTTCTCAGTAAATCTGGACAATTGGGACTTGGATAAAGTTTTCCTAAATGATGCACTGGCCTGGTGTAGGGTCACCATGTGACATTCTGCCCACCAGCGGTTGCATATGAACTCTGTCCTTGTCTACCTCGCTACTATTCACTACAAGCTTTCCTTTCTATGTGCAGTTTGAAGCTGTTTGTCAAAACATACAGAACTAGCGCCTTAGAGGTTTCAGAAATGTGAGTTTCCTTTGAGGATATTAGGATTCTTTTTTTTTTTTTTTTTTTTGCTTTGTCATACTGCAGTTTTAGAAATGGGAATTGTATGATACTGACTAGATGTTTTCCATTTTTTAAGGGCTATTTCCTGTCACACTTTTTGACAAATGAGATTGCTTCAGAAATACATGAGATTTTCAGCCCTTGTAAGAATAGTAAATGTTTTTCTCATTGTACTTTTTATATTCATACAAATACAATGTTTTTTTCTGGTAAAATAAATGTGTTTAATGTGGGATTATAGCATTCTGATTAAAAGAAAAATAATTTAGGCCCTGTTCTTTGCCCTGTGTAAGTGGAAAAACATCTGGAAAATGTTTGCCGTTCAGACACAGGCCAAATTGGAAAGATACTGATGTTACTTTCATTAAGTACCCGTGAAGAATAATCAAGATGGAATTTTTGAATGAATAGTTTGGTTTGAGATTTAATTTTACATATTTATCTCCTTGGTACCAATAACCATGGATATGAGAGATGGGATTTTGAGAACTAAGTGTGAGTTTGGGGGCAGAAGCCCTTTATGAATTAAATGTATATGTGCATGATAGGTGTCCTTTTGGAAATCAGGTATATTGGTTTTTCATCAGTACCGTTTTCTTTTTTCAAGCAGCAGTGACTGGGACCTGCTGATAAAGCCTTTGCTCAGAGGCACAGATCCCAGAGTTCTTAAAGCCTTTTCCAACCATAATAAGTGAAACTAATTTTTGATGTTTAACATTTATAAACCTATGAAACCAATGGGGCAGCATCAGTATTGAGAAAAATGAAGCCAAAAGTAGAACCATGTCTGAGAATAGGCCTTGAAAACAGTTCTTAAAAAAAAAAAACCACACACACACACACACACAAAACGGTATTCCAAAATAAGACTGTTAGTGTGCTCCTGTTGTGATACAGCAAGAACATAGTTTTCCGGAATCATACTCCCTTAAATTAATGATGGCATTAAGATGTGTAGAATCTGGTTTGGGGGATGTCTCAGTCACTTCACATGTTTGAAGCCTAGATTATGCTGTCGTCTTTGGTTTTGTCATGTAATGTGATTGAGACTGTCCCTCCTGTTGATTAAATACTTTGTTAAAAGTCTTGGGGGAGAGATGAAGTAGAAACATATACTTAGGTTTGTGTCATACTGATGAAACTGTTCTAATTTGAAATATGTGTGTGTGTGTGTATGTGTATAAAATACACATTCAAGTATTTGAGTGTATTTGTGGCTTGTTAAACTCAGACTTGGTTTGATGTACATTCCATTCATTGATAATGATCATTGAAAATGCCACGCTTTGGTACTTTCTTTTCTTATACATTATGTTTGTTTAAATCATACCAATTTATAGAAAACGATAGAAACAAATATTTTAAGATTAAGTGCTAAAGTCTAGATTTAACAAAGGAAGCAGATTTAACTAAAAATTTAATAAAAATAAATTTATTTTATTTAATAAATAAAGTTTTTATTTTATTTAATAAATTAATTTTTTATTATAAATAGAGTGCTTAAATTTTTGGATTTTAAAATACAGGTAAGTTAATAATGTTAAAGTAGTAACTGCTTACTACCGATTACTTAGATTGAACCTCACATAAAAGGGGATTTCTCTCTAGGCATCTTCATGTTAGCCTGCTATAGATAAAAACCAACTTGGTTTGGCAGCAGAACCGTGAGTTTCTGCCATCCAAAGCATCATACCTATTGCTTAGGTTGATTTCAGTTATACCTATATAGTGTGATGGCAGAAATGAATGGGGAAAGAGAGGTTGCCTATGAATTTCATTTTGGCTTTTTTATGCCCTTAAAGATTATCCTTTTTCTGTAAGTAGCTGAAACAGGATGGTCTTTGAAGGCAGAGTAAACCTGACTCCTTGAAAACACCAGAACTTCATGTTGTAACATTATAACAGTTTTGCACAAGCTACAAAGAGTAATCATATTGGTTTTTGATGATTTGCAAGGCATTTAATATAATATTTACATCTCAGATCCTGTGGTTATAATGCGCTGCCATCTTTGCTGAATCTAAAACCCTTTGATTTAGAGTCATGATACGATAAAATTTTTCATATATGAAAGCTCATTTTTTGAACTTATAAAAAAGGAACTAAGGCAATGACTTCAGCCCTTAGTGCTGTTGAGCTTAATATTATTGAGAATATAACCACGGTGTATCAAAAGTAGAAATGATAAATATATCTCATTTTAATGGTACCCTCTTTATAGATGTAAGTGTTGTATTGGCAGAATGAATTGTGCCAGAAATTGAATTTTAATTTTATTATAAATGAAGTAGACTGCTTAGATTTTTGGATTTCAAAATACAGGTAAAGTTAATAATGTTGAAGTAGTAATAGTTTGTCAATATTTCAAGAAGGTAGGAATGGCCATTAAAAAAATAAAGTTTGAATTGATTGAGTTGTAATTTATAACTAAGTGAATTAAATGCTTTCTAAATTTGAGCAGACTGTTAATTTGTAGCCTAAGCTCTGTAAAGCAATTGTGGAGAACATCTAAAGGCATTCTCCTAGAAGAGGACTTTATATGTACATTTGAGGAGACAGATTTTTCGTTTTATATTAACATCTGAGAAGTAGTCCTTTCTCAAAAGTGCTGTGGATGCTGTAGCACTTGCTCTAGTATTCAGGACTTTTCCAGTCAGTTTATTGTTAGCTTTTGGTTTCCTTGAGAAAGGGTTTGACTACAATTCTTCCTTTTCATTTCAGTTATTAGTTTTATGTAGATGTAAGTGCTGTTATCTTGATGGAAAAGGAGCTTGAAGTCCCCTCCCCCTGGGAAAAAAAAAAAAAGCCCTTCCCAAATAATACAATTTTGATCAGAGTACCTGGAGTGTTATTGTGTCTGGAGTTCAAAACATTTGCTTAAATTTTGAACTAGAGATGTTCTCAAACCTAAGTTTAAAGTTACTTCTAGTCAGGGCCATTATGTTTGCATCAAAAAAATAACTGAAAAAAACTGAATTGAAAGACAATATTATAGTGAAGCAGATCTTTATTCTGTAATCCAGAAAACAAAATCGTTTTCTGTTTTTGTGAATACTTTGTGTAGAAATGTCTTGACAGCCACGTTTCTGAGGTAAAACGGTTTGCTCAGATACAAAGCTGAGCGGTGTATTCCAATTAGCTGTTCTAACAATTTACCACTGGAACCTGTGACCCTGCGGAAAGGTTGCAGATCTTTTCTGTTGTCTTAATTGTGATTTCTAGCCACTGAAGATTGGGTAAACATAGTAAAAAATGCATTAAGTATTATTTATATGTATTTTAAGGGTTTAAATTTAATATCTCCATTTGAATATTTTATTTTTATGGAAAGGAAGTTACTTCATTGCTAGTATCAGGGATGTGTATGACGAATATAATGTAGGTTTTGCTGTAAAAGCAAATGGTTGTTTTTTGTTTAAATGATTATTTCATACAGAGTCATCTAATGTCTGCACTCTGGCAAAATATATTTTATGTCTCTCTTTCAAATTTTATTACTGTGCCTTCTGTCCCTTACTTTTTCTTTTGTTTGCTTGTTTATTATTACTCTTTCCAGTAAAGCAGTAGAGTTTAGGAGACCATTTTCTTTTTGGTATATTTCACTGATCAGCAATGAGAAAGAATATAGGAGACCATTTTCTTTTTGGTGTATTTCACTAATCAGCAATGAGAAAGAATATAGGACACTGGGGAGGGAAAAAACCTTTCACCAAATAGGCTTGTGTTGATCAGGAGCTAATTCACCACCTAGGGAATGTGGGAACTCTGCCTCTGGGAAGGATATGTGTGTCTGTTGAGGATCATCTAGAACTCGCTCTCATTCATTAACTTTGGTCATCTTTCAGTGCTTTTTAATTTAAAAGTTACTCTGTGTATCATTTTGTATTCCGCACATTATCTGGGGGGCTTTTAAAGGGCTATTTTAATTCTTTGAAGCCTTGTTCTCCTTAGTTCTTACAGGTAATTCAGTTATTACATGTAGATCAACAATTGGCACAATGTATGGAAAATAAGCTGTGACTTCCCAAGTAAGAGAGGGCCTGGATGAATTTCTTTACATCTAGTTTAAAGATATGTTTGTTCCCATACAAAATTGTGCACAGCCGTGACACTGCAGCATTTTAATATCAGAAAAATAAGGCTGGTGTTCAGTGATGGTTTTTTTTCTCTCAGGTTTTTAGGTGTGCTTATTCAAATCTCATTACATTGAGGATATTTTCTTTTAACCTTTGGGGTATGATTGGGTGATCACCTCAAATGGTGTTCCTTATGCTCTCTTTTAATTATGTTTATCTGTGCTTTTAACTAACCTTAAAAAAAGATTTCAGATGTTACAAGTCTAATTAAAGAGACAGACAAAGCACAGTTTATACTGTAGAATTTTTCTGCAGTTCAATTAATCAGCATGTTTTCTCTTTTAATTAAAACCATTTTAGTAAATTAAAGCCCACAGCAAAACACATATATAATTTGTTTGTAATTAGCTCTTAATTGGTGGTAGTTGAAGCTTAGCACCCTTGGTTTCTTTCTTCATGATTGCCATTTTATTAGCAGCCAGTCATTAATTAATCTTTTTCTAATTAGCTTATAAAACTGTTGATGGCACATTATTGTAAATGTGATTTTAAGTTCAAAGCTTGTTAATAGGCTTTCTTACTTAGAAGAACAGAGATAAAGAAATTGCTGAAAACAGTACTACAGTTCTTTAAAAAACTGTCTTTCTTATGGGGGCTGTGTAAAGCATCTAACAGCTTATGGTTAATTTTTTAATGCTTTTTTCCCCTTATGAATGGCATAAGTTGCTTGAATATAAACGTCTGTATCCAGGAGTAATTTCAACAGTAGAACATCATCTTCTCCCTCCTTTGGAATACTGTAATCCACATATAATTTGAAGCCTTAATAGTCATCATTAAAACAGGTGTTATGTAAATGATTTCACTATGAAATCAGAGTATATGAATCATATATGCACATATACACACATATATGAATGATATGTGGATATACACATATAAAAGATATTTGTATATATATCTATTTGATGTGTTTTAAAAACAGGATTTGTTGGGTTATGCTTTGAAATAAAGTGATAGGAGTTGTAGGTATAAAAATAAATGATAGCTGTGTAAACGATCGTACATATATATAGATACATGTAGTATACAAACGTGCAAACATATGCAAACCTGTGCATGCACATTTTAAGATGACAGTGAAGTTAGGTTATATTTCTTAGGACAGAAAATGATTTGATTTAAAGAAGGAGTTAAGTGACTGGATATGGCCTAGCTTATTTGCTTCACCAGGGCTTTGGCATCTCAGGTGTGACCATGGAGGGAAAGGTACCAGTTCAAATGTAGATGTCTTGAATTTACTAGAGCACATAATATATTAAATTGTGGTTTGAGTGAAACACATTGGTCACATTATATTCTTTGTTGAAATATACCACCAGTTTCTTAAAACTCCTTCACTGCAAGGCATTGTGAGCTGTTTTTTAAAAATCAATATTAATGCAGAGTTTCGAAAGTTATTTTTTAAAAACACAGTGTTACCAGTCATTGGAAGTACTTTTTCTTATTTGCTTCTTGAACTTTGTATGTTATTTCAACTTTGGCTATTTCTTTGCTTGTTTTTTGGAAGGCATTTTATGATGCCATGCAAGAGACACTAGAAAGGGATAGCTGACAAGGAAAAAATTAAAAATTGGATAAAAAGTAAATGAATAATGTCATATTACTAAAAAGATGAGAGGCTAATTTGTGCCGACTTTTTGCTAATTTTGTTCAAGCCTCAAAATGAGGAGCTGTCACCCGTTCTGTGTAGCACTGATGACAGTGCCAATGATCCATGAAATAAGCTGCCGCTGGCTTTGTTCTGATAAGAATGAACAAATCTGCACCATGTTCGGCTCCCAGAATCTCATTTTCATACTTGCATGCAGGCTAAAAGAAATAAGCTGTTTGCAGGCTTGATTAATCAGACATTGGAGGGGTTTTTGTCTCTTTGATCTCTTTCGTCTCCTAGGTAACTTGCTTGACATTAATGTTGAGCTTGAGTAAAGACAATCAAGAATTGTCGACCAAACTGATATAAAAATTAAAGACCTTAACACTTTAAGTACTCCAGTAATGGTTCCGCTTTACTTCAGAAAACATCTGTTTTCATTTAATTAAAGAACAAAAGAGAATGGCATAAATATTTTTCATAGAGACCTATTATTCCATAAAAAGTTAAAGTATGATAATTGGTATTTTTAAATAAGTGCCTTGAAAGTGTTCAAAAGGGAGGAAAACTTTATAAATCTGTTACAAGCTAGTAATTTTGAGATGAGTAAAATTTACTCTGAAACGGATAAGAAATTTACAGTTATGCTAGATTAAGCGGTTTGAATCAGATACTTCAAATGATTATCAGCAAACTTTATAATGACAAGATTTTGCAAGAAAAACTAACTTTATTTTGAAGTTTGTCTTTTAAAAATCTGTACTGTGTTGCAAGGATGTGCCATTATATCTATTTTACAACCCAATATGATTTACACACGCTAAACCTGTAAAATTGAAAGGAATTAAAAAAATGTCGCCGTGCATTTGCTTGAGGTTATGCAGACGCTTTTACAAATCTTCCAAGTGGCTGTAAAGATGAATGCCTCAAGGGTCCAGCCAGGGCCCTGCTTTTCCAACCAGCTAAAGCCCTTATCTTAAATCCAAGCAAAGTACCATTAATCTTTTTGAAAGACCTTTTATGGCTTTTAATATATCCCAAATTAGAACATTTTACACCCTTGGTTCCTGAAATATGGTGATAAAAAGCCTTTAGAGCTTAATTTTCCTTACTGCATGCTCTGACCAATTTGCAGTTCTTTGTGATAATGTTTAGACACCTTAATTAAAATGCAGCAAAATATTGGATGTTCTATATGGAAAATGCTGATACTTTGGCTACACATACAAGAAATTTTGTATATATTTTATTCATTTAAAAAAATTTCTTTCCACGTTGTGTTGCTATAGTTATCTGATGACCCAAAACCATTTTTTAAATATTAAACCATTGACCAAGCTTTTGTGATGTTTACATTGAGCATGAAGATGCATTTTTCTTTTTATGGAAGTGGAAGGGGGATTCTTTTCGGCCTATTTTATTTGTTTGTAATACTGCAGCACAGCACGATATTCTTTTATATTCTGGAACCCAGGTTAGTCATCTTGACTGGGAAACTGCGTTTCTTCTCAACTGCCTCTTTCATAGAAGGTCTTATTAGCCTTTTATATTTTCAGATATTTTTTCTTTCTCCACAGAAATAAGTGAGACACGTTCATTTTAATTATACGAAGGACACAAAAAGGCTATGAGTTTTCATCATTACAAGCTAAAAGATTTCTTTCTGTAGAAAATACATAGACCAGGTTTGCTTAGTGTTTTATCAGCTGAAGAACATTTTATTTAACCTAAGCCAAGGTAAAATACAGTTAGAAAATATACCTTTTATAGGATCAGGTCTGTTTGAAAGTGTTGCTTATGTACCTAGTTGTTTATTATATTTATTAAGCTCACAAAATGATGGAGCCCTCTCATGTGAATGGCTGCTTATTAATACGTTCTAATGAATTATTTTTAACAAGCATATACTGTATTAAGGAACATATGCTGTTAAGTATTTACTGTGATGCTAGTTGTGCTGGATTTGGCCTTAGCATTGCTGGAGCACTAAAAGCTTTTACATTCTTAGAGTACATGACATGTCGAGGTGAAGAGTCTATTGAAGTCAGATGACTGCATGCCCAGACATAGGGAGCTGCTCTTTGGCTTGGTTTGGCTGTCCTAACCAGGACAGCCATGTTGGGAAATTCCAATGAGAAAAATATAAGTTATGTCTTAATTGACAACAGTTTTAAAAAATAATTTTCTCACATTGTTAATGTTACATGGCAAATATGGTTCAGATCATTTTTGTTTCTTACAGTATAGTCTCAGTTGAAATATAAGAGAAGCTAGCTGAGTGGGTCATTTTTGGTGGGTGGTTTTGGCAAAACTGAATTTGCATTTGATAGGAATGGAGTTAATGGAAAAAATATAGATTTTTCTGTTTTACGTTTTGGCGATGGGGAAGAGGAAAGAGACTGAATTGTCCACTTGAATGTGGAGAGACCTATATGCATCTTAAACACAAGTAGCCAGCTATGATTTACAGCAGAAGAGAGTTTATTAGGTATATTTACTGCTCCCTTCATAGCCTGCTGTACCTCCACATTTCCAAGCCCCCTTGTTTCGGAGCCACGTGAGTAGTTCTGACCAGTGGGCTCTGAGCAGAAATGATTTGTGTCACTGCCGAACTAAAGCATCGAAGAGCCATTGTGAGGCCCTCCCGCTCTTGTTCTGCCATAATAGTCCTGAAAGCCACATGTTGAGATGCCGGCATCACAGGTTAGAGGAGAGTCCTGCCCATCCACAGGGACTTAAAATGAGACAAGAAATAGAAGTTAGCTAGTGAGATTTGGATATTTGTTGGATACTGCAAGGTTGACTAGCCTAACTAGTTGATAGGTGTTAACTTGATTTTTTTTTTTTTACATGTATGACAAATGGATAGTTTTTCAGTGGATAGGAACTTCATCTTAATGATAAATTATGCCACAGCCTCCTTCCAGAGTTTCATTTTCTCCTGGGATGATGATAATACAGGCTTTTGATTCTTAACCTTTTTTTATTTGGTTGACTTACGTGAACTTTTCTACAATAAAGAACTGGAAATTTTGAAAAGAGAACCAAAAGAACAAAGCCAATACTAAAGCAGTCAAATGTAACTGCCAACTCCTCCCCAGCCCCACAGTTTGAAAACAACCCGTTTCACTCAATGCTCTACCTCCAGCACCTAGAACAGTGCCTGGCAAAATTATGCATTTATGCCTTTGTAAAATTTGTTGAATGAATGTTATTCCTTTGAAAAAGAGGAGGACGACAGTAGCACTGCTAAATACGGGTTTGAGTTTTGGGAACACACCGAGGTTGGTCTGCTTTACAATGGATCATCCTTTCTTCGGCGCCTTTCCTGTTGATGTTGACCAATTCGGCACCGTAGTTCAATTGTCAGCTTCCTTCCATTTGTCTACGTTCTTTATATATATGTTCTTAACTGTACTGAAAAATCAAATCTATTTTTGCCCTCATTTATAAACTACAGACAGTGCTTGATTACTACTTGTCGATTTCATCCTAAAGGAAACTGTTCTCCAAGATTAAGCTGAAAGACATGTCAAGCGTGCCAAACCTTGCTCTCCTAAGTTTGCTTCTTTCCTTACACGTGTGCTCTTAACCTCCTGCCATGCCTTACTATTGGCAAGCAGATCCCTAGAACTTAGGCTTTAACCTGTTGACTTTAGAGTGGCTTCTAGGTCATTTCTTCTTTTTTACAAGTCTGCCTGTCTACTAATATGCATCAGGTGAGTACAAGGGATAGAAAAGGCAAGAAACACCAAAGAGGTACTTCGTTTTTATTGTTTAATCTGGGTTCTTAATGGGTACTCTTGAGCTGTCCGCATTGGTGGGCATTTTAAAACTAAGAGCACACTAAAAGTAGAAGATACCATCACAATGCTTATCCTGGAGATGCTTGCTGGGGAACAGCTCTGCAGCCAGAGCGCCGTGCAGGGCAGAGTGTAAAACTGAAAGCTGGAGGGCTGGAGAAACAGGGACTGTTTTAGGTTGAGTTAAAGAAGACTTCTGGGATGGGGGGATTTCACGGTGAATGGATCTTGTAGGACTGGCAGGTGGGTGTAAGGGGGGCACACATAGAGGGCCCTGCACAGGGGACACTTAAGTACTGTGGTCCTGGTGCTCAGCCTTTTCACCTTAGCACCCCTGATATTCTTTTTTCTCTCAGTGAATTAAAAGCTGTTACCGATCATACAGAGTGCATTTATGAAGTAGTAATTAGCTTTCCCATGTTTTATTAATCACATCTGTGACTGCCAATCAGAGCTTCTGATCAGCATGAGATAACTGGTGTGACCATACTGAGTTGCTGTAATTCTAGCCCAGAGCAAAGAAACTTGATGTCTCTGTCAGTGTCTGCAGCCTTATCAGGGGTAAATTCCTGTTCAGCCTACTGCAATGCTGAAATAGCTTGAAGATCCTCATTACTACCTTTGTGGACCCTCGAGGGGCCTCAGTTTGAGAAGGATTTCCATCCAGGAGACTGGTATAACTAGGGTAAAGGGTCTATTGGGAGTCACGGGAGATATGGGTCCTGTCTTTGTATTCATTATACTTTGAGAAGGAATGAACATAGAATTTCTAATTTCTAGACATGGCTTTCTTACCCACAAGTTCTCAATTATTTGTATAAGTGTAATTACTGTATTAGCTGGAATATTTATTTTCACTTTTTTTTTCTCCTTTGTAATTCTTAGCTTGGTGTAAAAATTGCCAAAGCAGTTGCCTGCCACAACTTTGTAAAAGCCAAAAAGGAGGTTGAAAATTCACAGGCTGCCCGAAAAAAGAAGAAACTTGCATGGGGGTGAGTTTACTTAAGATTTTTGGTAGTAAATCTCCTGACTTCATAGAAATTCTGCTAATATATTTTGTGATCTAGTTCGTGTATAACTGTTAACTCATTTTACATTTTTTTCTTCGTTGAATGTTTATCAGATTATAAATATAGAGGCATTTCTTCATCCTGTTTAATGTTTATTTTGTAATCATTGGAGTATGTGAAAAATTTTTGTTTGTTTTGCTTTGGTCTCTAAGTAAACATGTTCAGCAAAGTATTTTTTTTTTTAAGAAATAAATTGAGATTTGTATGTTCTTCCTTTTAGGTTTGAAGCAAAGAAGAGATGGGAAACCAAAAGCAACATGGGATACATGTAACTTGCCAGAGTGCTTCAAGACATTTGTAGACTCAAATGCTCAATTTACTGAGAATGTTTTCCTGCCTATGTTAATATGTCAGAAAATTGATAGCACTAAAACAAAAATAAGCATAAAATTTGGGATTTTGATTATCAGCTCTTTTCAGTCTTTCTTTAAGGACTTTGTCCTATTGAAGTGAATAAAATGAAGCATTCTGTTATTTGTATAAGAAATGTAAGAAAAAAAATATAGAAAGAAGAGGATAGGATTTTGTTTATTTGTATGGATGGACCCTTGGTATAAAATCACTTTTGGCGCTTTCCATTCATTTGGTTTAGCACAGCCAGTGAGCTTCTCGTACTTTCTTTCTTTTTTTTTTTTTTTTTGAGACAGAGCCTCGCTTGCTCTGTCACCCAGGCTAGAGTGCAGTAGCACGATCTTGGCTCACTGCAACCACTGCTTCCTGGGTTCAAGTGATTCTCATGCCTCAGCCTCCTGAGTAGCTGGGATTATGGACAAATGCCACCACACCCGGCTAATTTTTTTTTTTTTTTTGTATTTTTAGTAGAGACAGAGTTTTGCTGTGTTGGTCAGGCTGGTCTTGAACTCCTGGCCTCATATGATTCACCTGCCTCTGCCTCCCAAAGTTCTGGGAGTACAGACATGAGCTACCATGCTGCCCTTGTATTTTCTTATCTGTACCCAGTGTAACTACACGTTTACTGGAACTGTGTTTTTAAGACTGACAGTTGTTTATAATGGATTAGTCGTAAGTACCAAAAAGTCTCAGTTGATATTATCTTTACAAATGACTTGACCTTAATGTTATAAAAGTAGTTACTGTTTTTTTTTAATTGGAGGCAGACTTGATATTTCAGAGTTGCATAGTAAAAGCAATTTGTTAATTTTTGTGTACTTTCAGATAAACTATTACAATAAAGAAAGGAGCAGAATGTAGTATTTGGAAGATGATTTAAATTCAGCAACGCCTAAAAATGTCTTCCTAAGTATTTTTCTCAGCCATGTCATTCTTTAAATTATGAGATGGTTCTTAGAAGAGAAAATGGTGTAATTGTATTAAACAGACAATTATAACTCAAGATAATATAACTTTGAACCTTCTAAGAACTGATTTGTTTGGTTTTCCTCCCATTCCCCATTCCTCCTTAAAAGATTGAATGAATTAATGAGCAGAAAGAGAGGATTGGTAACATGGGAAATCGTTTTCATTAGATGTACATTTCCTGGTTCTGACAGGAAAGGGGCTCCAGAAAATCATAAAACAAGCAGGTGAACAAGACCAGGTGTGTCGGCACCTCCCTGCTCAGTGCCCAGCGGAGGTAAAGAACCACTCAGCATGGTTTTTGTCAGTTCACCTCTTCTGTCGTTGTCAGAGGTTTCCTACCTGTCTGATATAAACTTTCTCTGGGTTGATAATATAAATTCAGAAACATGTAAAATGAATCATGATTATATTACTGTTATTTTTAGACTTAAAATAGTAACAAAATTTTATTTATGGTGGCACATTTAATGGCTTTTTTTTTCTGTGTTCTGGAATAAGAGAATACCTAGCTACTATTTAAGCATCCAAAAATCATATCTTGCTTTCATTTAGTTGAGAAAAGCCAGCATAGAGAAAGCAAAGTTTTAGAATATTATGTGTCATACTAATTCAGTATCCAGACCAAATGTTGGAAAGTCTTATTTTATGATTTAATATCCCTTGTTCCATTTTACAGATATGATCATGTAAAACTTACCTACAATATTCATTTCAAACTGCTAAATTAGGTAAATACAGACTTTTAGTATAGAAACCTTTCCTCTAAAAATCCATTATGGGGGAAATATTCACTATACAATCCAGTGGTTTTGTCTGAAATCCTAAAAATGTTATTTTTGAGCAGGCGAGTGGTATAGATATTCTCACACTTGGGGCCCCGATATGGGCATTTCCCTTTGACTTCAGTCTCATTTTTTTTTTTTTTTCTGTTTCTACTCCTTAGAGCATTTAGTGACCCCTGCAGGCATGTTGCACTTCCCATACTGAAGCCTTGCCAGAGTGGCCTCCTGTAGGGTCTGACTTGGGATCCTGTCCAGCCAAGGAAGCCCTTCTTCAGCCTGCTCCAGTGCCCGCAGTTGCCCCCTCAGCATCCCCTCGGGGTTCTCATGTAGATGGGAACATTTTAACTACGCGGAAGGCAGGCATTTCAGCAGAATTAAGTATAGCGGGGGCTCATCTAATAAAGGAAGCCACTTCTCCCAAGTCGTCACTCCTTTCTGGGCATGGGTTGTGGAAAGCTCTAAAACGTTATGTGTAGCAGAAGAAGGGGTTGGAGGGAAGATTTGTGGGGACAGGTTGTCTTGGATTGGCCCTGCTGACATGTCATTTGAGAGCAGTTTTATTTTATCCTTTCTAATAGGAATTAGGTATTTTACTCCTAGAAACATTATTCCTTGAGTACGCATGCTGCTCAAAGGATGTAGTCATTTGTCCACTCCATTCTAGTCACAGCAAAATAAGGATTCTTTTTGGATCAGTAATAACTTTGGTTCCTAAAACTTCAATATGTGCATTTACTACCACCAGAATGCCTGAGTTAGATCAGTAATGTAAACGTCAGTTATTGTTAACTGAGATTAATATGTTTCAGGCCGTTGGTATGGCATTAATGTAACTATGATTTACTATTTAAGTACTTTAGGCTAAAACATCTTACTAAAGAACAGTAATTTTGAGCTTTACAGCACTGGTTCTGAGAAAGGGAAGTTGGCAGTGCATTCTTGTTTGGGAGCCCTCAGGATGTTTCTGATTTTCAGCAGAACATTCTATGTCTTTCACCGAAAGGAGAGATTGAATATATAATCTTAGGTTTGCTATAATTAGTTCTGATGACAGAGTTAAATACCTCAGCCAAGACTGTAAATCAGTACGTAAACAGGTTTCTGCAACTGATCATAAATCTCAAACTGCATATTTTAAACACTTATTTTTTTAGGATGACAGATAAGGGAGCAGCAGGCTAAGGATAGGAATAAAATGTTATCTGAACTTTTAAGTCACAACTTAGAACTCACATTAAAATCTTCTGATTTTCTTTATACCTTTTGTCTAAAATATTATCTTTTAGCTTATTAATAACTTTAATAAGACAAGTTTGAATTTAATTCACAAAAAATGAAGATATAATTTATAAAATGTCCAAATTTTTGTTAAGACATTACTTTTTAAGAAATGTGTGTCTTGCTAAATATAAAACATATTGTATGAGGTTGTTGTTTAAACAAAATGAGAGTTGTACATTATTTTTTAAGAGATGATAAAGTTTGAGGAGGCAAGCCGATGTTATGTCAGATCTCATTTTGAAGTTAGTGAAACCTAGTCTAATCCAGAACCAACTGAATCCAAGTTTTCCATTTTGGCAGAAGTTGCTTTTATTTTTAGTATCTGGCAGAGCAACAAATGCTTTGCATGTCAGTTCAATATTTTTTCCTGCCAACTGTTTATTCATTGGCTTAAAATTTACACTCTACTAAAGTCTTAGCTCTGACTTTCATGAAACAAATAGTAATATTTGGACAAAATATGTACATGAAAATCTTTTTCCAGAACCAAATGTAGACTGGTATTTGTGACATCAGTGCCTTCTAGCATGGTGACGGGTCGAAAAATACTTTGAAAAGTTGAAGGCTGTGTAAACCCACGGCAGTGCATCTCAAGTGATTTTTATTATGAGGTAATCAGAGTATCTAGGTTTTCAAATTTAAATTAGTGGGTGACTTTATGCTAGAAAGTAGAATATGTGTTAGAATAAATTTATCAATATATATTCTTGGCCTTTGTAGGATACTGAGACAATAAGGTCCATTTTTCATTTTTGAGGTTGGGGAGCTCTGTAGATTTTGATAAAATGTGCAGAACTGCATTCTTTAATCTTTATTATTTCATCCTCCCTCCACACTGCTTGCTTTAAAAGAAAAAAATACCTACACACATTTTCTAGTGTTAACTGCTGTAATCAGCATAGACTTCCTGGGAAGGGATTCTTGCCTTCAGTAAAGGACATGACAGCATGTGGCCAATGGAGATTGCCACGAGGAAACCTGGAAAGGCATTGAACCATTTTGTGCTACTGTTAAAATGAGGTGTGTTGTCTCTTTATTATCTCCTACTCAATAGTGAGTATTCTGGAGGTGTCTGTTCCCTTTCCGGAATTTCTTCAAATACAGAGATGCTTCAGAGTAGCTTCCTGCCACATTGGCTTTCATGATCTTAATCCCTGGAACACAGCTATAGGCTTCTGGGAGATAGTTTATTAAATGCCATGCAGAATGCTATGTTTTTAGATGTGCATGTAAATCAAGAATTAGCTGAGGAATATCTTTTTATTAGTAGTAGTAGTAACTCATTTTTAGATTCAAGTAAAGTTTGTTTTCCAGGTGAGATGACATTTTTAAGAAATTGAATTTAAGTATGTGCTTTTATATCCGGACCAGGTTTCTCAAGGAAGCAGAATACAAGGGAATGAAAGGGGAAGGGAGGGTAGTGCCCAAGAGAAACCTCGGCTCCTAAGTGCTCCCCTGCCAGGTTTCCCCCGTGCCTGCCCACTGGCACCATCCTGGCAGCTCCAGCCCACACCCCCTCCTGGACCCTGGGCTGCCTCTCGCTGAATAGCTGCAGGGGGCCTGCTATGTGACAGGTATGGAATGAGGTAATCCTTTTCCACCTCTAATTTCTGAAGGGTGTGTCTGTCCAGTTTTTACTTGTTCATTGAATTTAAAGCCTTAGGAACCAACAGCTACAGTGCAAGCTGTAATTATTGATGTCTGTTTCATATTCATCTGTAAGTTCTGGCATTTGATCAAGAAGTCAATATATCACTTCATCTTCAGGCTGAATGTGTCTCAGCTATAAAGGTTTTATTGTTTGATGGATAGCATACAATTATGACTGCCCACAATAAAAAGTGTTTTCATTTGTAAGATGGGTGATACTAGAAGTAATTATGAATGTCACAAGGAATAGTGAAACAATGAAGCTTTGCGTTTCTTTGAATTTCTCCCTACATAATGCCCAAGGAACATTTCCTGAATGCCTACTATATGTCAGATAAACTAACTCTTGCAGATGCAAGGATGAATAAGCAAAATCTAATAGGAAATATATGTAAACCATGTTTTGAACAACTCCATTTTCAGGCGGGCTATTAGAAAATCAGTGAGTTTTTCTTTGCTGAATACAAAGACATAATCTACATATAAGAAGTAATGTAGACTTAAAAATTTTAGTTACCTGAGTATATACTTACTGTACAGGTTGCTGAATTTCCTAGCTAGGCAGTCAGCTACAGTGGCTTATCAGCTTAGTGACTGATCCATACTTGCTCACATCAGAGTGGGTGGGATTGATGCCCTGACTGTCTCCCCTGGAGATGAGGAGCATTGGTGGGGTTTGACTCAGGAATGAATGCAAATGTTTGTTCTGCACATTACTCAGTGATTTTAAGCTTAAAGTTTTCTTAGACTGCATTAACGTGTCCTTTATTTTAGCTTGGGTGGGCCACAGTACCTTCCCATGTTAGGGTAATGCTTCCTACTACTACAAATATGCCCCCCAAAATATAATGACTCAAGCACAATACAAGCTTATTTCTTGTTCATGAGACAAAGGAGAATGTTGCTTGCTATCAACGAGGGCTCTGTTCCGGGCTGTCATTCAGAGACCCAGGCTGACAGCGACTCACCGCCTTCTTTCCCTAGTAATCCTGGATGTCCCCTCGATGCCAGTCAGCTGGAAGGGAAAAGAGCATGGAAGAGCACTGGCGGGAAGTTACGGGCCTGGCCTGGAAGTGGAACACATTAGTTCTCACTTTGCACTGGCTCAGACTTCCTTACTTCATCACACTAACCACAAGGGAAGCTGGAAAATATAGACTGGGAGGAAAGAAATTTTAGTAAATAGCTTGCAGTATCTGCCACATTGCCTCAATCACATACGATGTAGTAACTTTACATTTTGCTGATGTTGAGTAGCACAAACTACTATTTGTGATTTGATGGAGTCATTTTTACTTGGGTGTGTTGACAGAGCTGAGTCAAAGTAGCTGTTCATATTACCGTGTAGTGGGTGTGGTGTCACAGTGTGATACCTGCTGAAAGAGCATTGCATGCTCAGTCAGTGAGGCAAAGGCAGTGCTTATTATGCCATAAAGGGCTGTTGGGACTTTACCAGGTAGGCGAGTAGAAGCGAGTGCATCCTAGGTAGAAGGAACGGCGTGGCACATTTGAGGTACAGCAAGGACTTTAGCAGGGGCCAGGGGAGAGAATGAGAACAGGGAAGTAGAGCAGCAGAAAGAGATGGCGTTGAAAAGAGCTGGCCAGAACCAACTCACACACAACTTTGAGAGATGCTGGGGAGATTGGACTTGTGCGGGGAAGAGTTGGGTGTCTATGGATGGTGATGTGGGATGAAGAAGGTAGTCAGAGAGCAGGCTTTTAAAGAGTAATGTTATATTAGTAGTTTAGTAATATAGAGTTAGACATTTAGTATTTAGTAAAGTAGGTCATATTTATACTTGTTGTGTCATGGTACCTGTGGAATGCCATGGAAATGTCAAATGGACACTTCTATGTAGCAACCTGGAGGTCAGAAGGGAGGGAGGTTGCAGAAATAGGTCGATGAAAGAGGTCTTGAAAGGTGGCATGTCAACAGGAACAAATGCCGCTGAGCTGTCAGGCAAGATAATGGTGGAGAGGTGGCTGTTGGAGTTAGCATCAGATGGCACCGGTGATCTTGGCCAAATCAGACATCCAGACCAGAATTGCAATAGATGGTGCAATTGCAATCTTAGGTTGGATTTCCTAGAAACAGTGCCTCAGATCTCTTGTGGAGGTGATTTGTAAAAGTATGCACTTCAGGAAACATTTGTAAGGGAGGGAGCAAAGCCCATGAGGAAGGGGAATGCCTGAAAGGGGTAAAGCCTTGGCCTTGTGCTGGGGGAAGAGGGCTCTGTGAACTCTGCTTGTGGCAAAGGAGCTGTTTTTTTTCTTTTTTTCTTTTTGAGACGGAGTCTTGCTCTGTCGCCAGGCTAGAGTGCAGTGGTGTCATCTCAGCTCACTTCAACCTCTGCTTCCCAGGTTCAAGCAATTCTCCTGCCTCAGCCTCCCGAGTAGGTGGAACTACAGGCATGCACCACCACGCCCAGCTAATTTTTGTATTTTTAGTAGAGACAGGGTTTCACTATGTTGGCCAAGGTGGTCTCAATCTCTTGACCTTGTGATCCGCCCACCTCAGCCTCCCAAAGTGCTGGGATTACAGGCATGAGCCACCGCGCCCGGCTGGAGCTGGCTTTTAAACCCGGTATCAGTCTCAGTCAGTCAGTCACTGCAGGCCAGCATTTTACATGGGATGAAAGGAGGGATGGATGGAAGGGGTGGAGGATACATACCTGGTCCTTCCAGTTAAACTATTTAATAAATAATCATGACTGAGAATATAAGCCTTAGAAGTACTGTTATTGTTCTGTAAATTTTTTAAAAACACTTTGAGGATTCATTGTTATTTATGCTCCTTGCCTTGGAGGGACATCTTGGTTCTACATATGTATAAATGTCTAGCAGATTGAAAATCTGAAATTCTTCTTTCATTACTCTTCCCATACAGTGCTCTTGCACTATTCCTCTAAGAAAGCCAAAGACACATTATACTTGTTTTTTAGATGAGGAAATCAAGGTGCTGGGAAGTTTAAGAGAACTCTACAGCCATTCATCTAGCATAAAAGGGCTGACGTTAGAACGCAGGCCAGGCCTTTGCCTCTTCCCTACCCCATTCCAGTGGTTCTTGAAGTGGGATCCATGCCCTCCTGCAAGCAGAATCACTTGTTAAAAATGTAAACTCCAGGGTCCCTCTCTGGGGGCAGGGCCTGGGATTCCACATTTTCAAAAGCTCCTCTGTAATTAGTGCATACAAAGAAGACTCATTGTCTTGGAGCAGCACCCGCTTCTTACACGGGGAGTCTGGGATGGGAAAGAGGAAAGCAAGTCAGTGCAACTTGCACATGTCTTATCACAAACCATAGGGAAGGAGGTGCCTTGTGGTATAAATACTGAGTTTAATGCCATTAATATAAACGCTCATATTCCCAAACAGACTGCCTGTACTAGTACATTACTTCCATTTTCCAAAAAAGGAAAAGAAAGGTTCCGTGTCAAAGAACTCAATTGGAATCCTCGCTTGGTACTTGCTTCCTTGCCAGCAGTGCTCAAAAAGAGAAAAAGAAAATCCAAAGTCCATGTACATAAAAGTTCCATTCCCGATGGTGGAGGGCTTAATTAAAGTCCTCAGATGTTTCTGTGCACCTTGGAAAACATTTTTATGAAATTCATATATTACCAGAAGTGGCTCCAACAATTCTTGCAGTTAAAAACCTTGTAACTCATGCAGCTCCATCAGGAGCAAGCTGCCTTTTTCAAGATTTGTTTTGCTGCTTCCTTTACCTCCGTAGCCTGTGGCAGTGACGGCTGCTCAAGGGCCTTAACTGCCAGGATGGCACTAGAGGATTTTCCAAGGTTAAGGTCAGATAACAGAATCTGGAAGAAATGGATCCCTCTTCCTGCATTTCCTTTTCTCATTATTTCAATAAATGCATTGAAGGCTTGTGATGTGTCTGGCACTACAGCAGGCACTGAGGATGCCACGCTGAACAAAGCGGCTGGATCTTCATGGGGCTCATATCCTAGAGGGAAAGACATAATAAGCAGACTCTGCAGTGTCACACAACATCACCTAGGAAATATAGAGATGCAAGTGCTCAGGCGCCAGGCCAGACGTGAATTCAACTGTGGTAGCAAGACCTTGTATCTTCTGATGGGACGTTGAAGTGTGAGAACCACTGGACTCTCATATGGTGATAAACTTTGGAGAAAAAGGACGGAGGCAGGTGTGTTGCTGATGCCAGCAAATGTTAGAATAGTGAAACTGCTACACCCTGGACTATGAAGCAAGCCAGATTTGAATCCCAGCTCTGCTACTTACAAGCTGTGTAACCTCCGGCAGGCTACTTAATCTCTCTGTACCTTGGGTTCTCCTGAGAAATGGAGATAATAATAGTAGCTATCTTATAGAGATGTGAGGATTAAAGGAACTAATGAATATGAAAGTGCTGAGAATAGATTCTCACATATAGCAAACAATATACTTGTTGGGAGACAATTCTCTGGACAATTCTTGCATTTCTACACGTCTTGGAAGCAAGGCACTAAGTACCCTTTTGTTCCAAACTATCTTTGCAAGGATGTTTGTATATAACATCCTTGGAAGATTGAGATAGTGTCTCACTCTAGAGCAAAGAACAGACATGCTTACTCCCATTACAAAAGATTCGGTTTCCTAACTCAGAGTTCCTGTTCTTGAATGAAAGTCATGCAGTATACAGGTGTCTTTTGGCCCTCTTAACTGTCATACTGTAGGAATCAATGCAAAAATGCTGATGGCTATTTCTGTTGTGAGTAAATGTCTGAACTGAGAGTCTAGTGTCTTCTATCAGCATTTGTAAAACTGGCCAACTGACTTGCTAAGTTGCAAGTAGGGTGAAATCTCAGACCCTTCGTAGTCCTTGACAATTCTGTGAAAGTGTGTAAGTGTTTGTTAGTACTAATGTTGTTATTACTCCACAGTACGTGCCAATTTTCTGGAAGAAACAAAAATGTAATTGATGGCCCTAGCCTTCAAAGAGTTCCCAGTTGAGCCAAGGAGGTTAAATATGCGAAGATGACGCAAAAGACATACAGCAGCAGGAAAGCAAAGCTTTGGAATGAAACTTGGGTTTGAATGTAGGCTGTGGATGCTCACCAGCTATGGCAACTCTGAGCCTCAACAAATTTCTATTTGTAAAGTGCTGTTGTTAATAATGCTTACTGTGTGAGGTTGTGAACATTAAGATAGTGCATGGAGAGAGCTTAGCACGGGTCTGGCATGCAGTAAGCACTCAGTTACCATTACTGATGTTGCTGTATTGCATTTGTGCTTAGGATACAAGCAGAGCACTTTCTCTCCCCTCCCTGGGTCTTTAGGGAAGTAAGGCCCCAGTACTGTACTTCCTTTCAGGTGGAAGCTGCTTTCCTTGGAACCACCAAACCCCAACTCAGTATGTCCCTGGATTCTGCCCAAAGAATTCCCCAGGGCTAAGCTCCTATAGGTGGGTGGCTAAAGGACTGGCTTCAGAGTCAGACAGCTCTCAGTGGATATATACTTAGAGATTTAATATGATATATACTGCTTTGAAGTTTATGTGGTTTTTGATGATTTTATTAATGTGCATAATAGTCCTAGCATATAATATGTGTTCAGCCAATGTTAATCAGTGCCCTAGGCTACACCACCATGATCTAATGGGCCATTCAATTTTCATGACTGTATTCCTAGGATATTTCTCAATGACTCATACATGGTAGGTGTTCAGTAAATATTTGTTGATTTAATTGGCTTGAGTGAACAAAAGAAGTAATACGTCCTTTCATCTTTTCTTTCAAGATATTTCTGCATTAAATCATCCTCAGTATATTTTTTTGAAAGCCAAGTTTTCCCAAAGCTCCTCATTTCCTCATCTCCCTCTGTGCCACTGGTTTTTCAGTTGCTGGGGGCTACAGACCCTCTCTCTAGAAAGATGGACATGTGAACATAAGCACTGCATTTTGCACACAATTTCCGTGGTTCAGAAACCACCTGAACTTTTCCTTCTAGAGGACCCTGCTTAAACACTTCCATTCTAGGGTGTCCAGCCCATTAAGATGGCCAAGAAATCACATCCCACTCATCTCCCCCAAATCAGCAAGCTGTCATGGACGGTCCTCAATACAGTTGCTACTTTGTTCCTCTATAATCAAGGCCACACAAGACCCACTTCCAATCTACTTGTGATTTAGGGATAGCAAAGGATTAAAGCAATTCAAGTATTTTAGATTCCTATTGATAGCAGAATTGTGGTTTTCAAGACGTGCTAATGGAAAAATTGTTAGTAAAAATAGGTTCATGCAGTCTTATTGATCATGCTTGTAATTCTGAAGATTCCACTTGTACTTTTTGTAACCATATTTCTCTTCTCTTCCATTCTCTAGTTGTGAGAAAACCCAGTTGTCCAATAATTGTCAAGCTTTCCTCGGCCTTAGGGAATGAGCACTCAAGACCTTTCTGGGCCAAGTGTGGTCGCCGACTCCTGTAATCCTAGCACTTTGGGAGGCCGAGGAGGGAGAGCTGCTTGAGCCTAGGAGTTCAAGACTAGCCTGAGCAACAGCAGGACTTCATCACTACAAAAAATAAAAAATTAGCCATATGTGGTGGTACACCCCTGTAGTCCCCCAGCTACTCGGGAGGCTAAGGTGGGAGGATTACTTAAACCCGAGAGGTCGAGGCTGCAGTGAGCCGTGATCGCACCACTGCAGTCCAGCCTGACCCTGTCTCAAAAAAAAAAAAAAAAAAAAAACCTTCTGGAAGCAGAAAGGAGGAGGTTTTCCAAAACCAAATCATGTCAAGTACCTAGCTTGACCTCAAAAAAAAATACAGAAGCAGGGTTGGTAATTGATTGACAGGAAGGGCAGCTCAAAGCAGGAAATGGAGAGTGGTATGAAAACACTTAAGCAGTACTGCCCAAAGGAAGAACCTGAAAAGTTCAGCCATAGATTTTCTGAGAAGATGAAAGTGTAGGCATTAGCATACTCAAGAATCAGGCAGACAGTTTTCCCCATTTGGAAGCTGAAAAAGGAATGATCTGCTGCCCAAGACAAGAAAATGATGTGGGCCCAGAGGGAACCGTCACTCACACGTACACTGTCCAGGGGGCCAGAGAAGGATTACAGCCGCCATTTTGGCTTCTCTAGAGTGAAGCAGCAAAACAATGTCTAGTGGTTGCTAGGCAACCATTAGTCCATCGCTGCCCTTTTCCATTAAACATTATCTGCCTTCTTAGATTGTTTTATTTTTTTAAACAGGATAGGTAATGCAACAGAGAATTAACGGTGCAACCTAACAATGAAAACGCATTTGAGGTTCCCGAATCAGTGAAGGCTTTGCAAAGGTTAGATCACTCTTGGGTGGATGCCGAAGATAGTGACAGTTGACTGAAACCTCTTCCCCAGACATTTCATCACTGGTCCTCATGTTTCCTAGTGCCAAAAATAATAATGTGGACGTAACAATAATCTCTGTACATTGTAAAATGTCTGTCCTCTGCTACGACCTGCTCCAAGCTAGATCTTGTCCTGAAGCAAGTTTCTCTATCGGCAAAGAGTGGATGTCAGAGGTGGTAAAATGGAGTTCTAGCCCTGGTCAGCTTTGCAGATAGCTAAGATCATGGTATCCAAAGAACCTGAGCAAAAGTACATGGAAATAACACCTGTTTATGCAAGGAACGCTTTCTGACACATAAAAATGAAGAGTAACTGGTAGGAGAGAATAAGCGTCTTTATTCAGATACACATCGCATTCGGATTTTAAACATACCTAATGACTTTTACAACAAGAGGACACTGAGGTACCCAGAAAGAGGGTGGAAAATCAGGATGAAGGGAGTTACTGCTAGCCTGTCATGTACCATGCACACAACCTATCTTTTTAAATACCAGTGGATTTCCTGTCTGGCTCAGGGGGCCTGTCTAGGAAGAGATTCAAGGAAAGTAGATGGGTTAGTTCCAGGGACTGGGGCTCAAAAATTTAAAGCCACACGTAACGTTAGCTCTCTCACTCCCACACACATTTAAGATAAAGGAGATGGCAGTAGTGTGCTGCCCAGAGGATGGAATACGCAGATAACTAGGTTTCTATACTGGTTCTACTCACTAGTCTGATCTTGGGTAATTTTTTGGGTCATTGTTCTGTAAGGGAGGGCAATAATAACTACTTGGTCAGGGCTGTTGTGACAATTCAGCAATAAAACATGGTCAATTGCAGCTAAGTATAATTATTACTTTATTGTTGCTGTTATCACCACCCACACCTCTAATACTGTTCCTGTACAGCTAGAGAAACACCGCTTTTGGTTGCCCCTTTCAGATTTGTGTTCTTTCAGGCTGCCTTTGGTGCTCTAAGTGCAATTTCATCTGGATAAGAAGAGTATGATATATGTTGCTCAGGGCGCTCTAACAGGAAGGGACTCCAGGCTCAGCTGTACCCAGCCAGATACCTGGCTTGTGGAGTAATTGACACCCTACAGGCAAGGGTGGACCAACTTCGTTATCGTGATACCTGCCAGGGTGTGAGGCCCGGTGTGACAGGTGTCAGTTTCACAGTCTGTGCAGATCCTCACATGTACTGAGATAGAACCGCCATTTTTTCCTATGTGCCCAACACCATGCTAATTACTTCTTAAGCATTATCTTATTTAATTTTACAACTCTGTGAAGTATATGCTATTATCCTTATCTTGCACACGAGGAAGCTTACATGCAAAGAAGTTGCACAACTTTCCTAAGACCAAACCCATGGTAAACCCAAGGCCCGAACCTCTGCTAGTCCATTAGTAACACAATGGCCCCTGGCGTGTCGAGTGGGCCATCTGGTAATGAGAGGAAAGAAGGCCTGGGCAAACCACACATCTGCATGGAAGTTCAAGTCCCCATCTTCTGAGAGGCCAGTGAGGTGTAGGATTATGGAGGCCTCACCCAGCGCAAAGAATGGCAGCTGACAGCGGCAGCATACTTAGGACATGAACTCCCGCACAACCAAGGGGCCCCTTCTGGTGCAGCCAACAGGGATGGGAGACATGAGATGTGCATTTGAGCGCTGTGGTTGCCCGGGGTAGAGAATAGGTAGATGAATGAATTAGGAGAAGGAGGAAAGTTTGAACCAGAGGAATTTGGTTGTCTAGACTCAGCAAAATGAGAAGAAATGTATTCAGTTATTTATTCATTTAAGACACACTTAGTATTGTATGCCAGTACATGCCAGGCACTGTACTAGGTCATGGGGATAGAATGGTGAGCCAAAAAAAAAAAAAAAAAAAAAGAAGAATTAGCCTTTTCTTGTGCAGTCACTTCCCTCTTGTAGCTTACAGTCTAGTGCTAAAGAAAGACGTCATCAAAGAATCACCCAGATAAATAAAAAGTCTATCTGGGATAAATGCTGTAATGGAGTTTGTGGTTTTAGGAGGGAGAGTAAGATGGGGAATGTGAGTTGATTGGGGAGACCCTTGAGGAAAGGAGAATGGAGCTCAGCTCTAGAAAGGGAGAAAGTGAACTAGAACGAGAGAGTGTGTAAGAGGGCTCTGTGCAGAGGGAACAGCCTCTGCAAAGGTCCTCTGAGGAGAAGGAGGCAGGGTACACTTAGAGCTTGAACAAAGCACTTGCACAATCAGTAGAATTTGTCAAGTCCACACAGTGTCCAGGCTCCTGGATCCCAGGGCTGCTAATTAATGGGAGCAGGGCGGGCATGTGGGCCCACCCCGCCCCAGATCCCCACAGCAACCTGCTCCATTGGGAGCATTGCTTGTGGCCCTCAGCCTTTCTACACACCTGTCTCCCACTCTGAGCAGCATCATTGAGTCACAGCCTCTGTTTTCCTCTATTGTTGAAGAGCTTCTACTTAGAGCTTTTACGTCTGCTATGATCCCCCACTGCTCTAAAGGGAACCATGGTTCTAAAAGAGGCTTCACCAGGTGGGAAAACCATCCCTAGGAATGCAGCAGCTTGACCACTGACCATACAAGGGTGCTTCTCATTCATTCCCAGAATGACCAGACTCCCCTGGCCTCAAACTCTCCCTGCTGGATTCTGTAGAAGGGTGAGGGTTCATTGGCCTTTGGTGCCATGCAGACAGGCGATACTTTAGGAGGACGTGGATATAGCTTAGTGAAAAATCACTCCTATTATTATCATCATTTTTTATCATCAACTAGTTAAAAGGACATATGCCAGAAAATTCCTGAGTAACTATAAGCATGATTCAGTTGAAGATCCATCGGCAAAATAATTTTTGAATAATGTGATACTAGTTAGCAAATATAAAAACTGTATCAACTTTGTCACTGTAGTAAACTACCCAGAGCATGGATATAGAGCCCTTCCATTAGAGCTGAGCTTTTCCTCCACTTTCAATTTTTAATTAAAAATTCATTGCTTTGAAAGACATCTAAACACAAATTCCCCTCATTTTGTGGCTTATAAGAACTTTGAAATTGGTGCATTGTTGTAATAATCCCATTCAAATGATTCTATTTTGTTAGGAAAGGACAAAGTGTTTTTGATCTGGAGAATTTTAGGAGAATTATATTTGAGGTTTTCAAATAAATAAATATTTAGGGGTTCCTGCCAGATGGGAAGTGACCAGAGCTGTCAGTGCTTCTTTACAAAGAGCCTCCAGCTTATGTGCTGTTTGCAATGAGAGTCCCAGCCACACACACTGCATGCTCACACATGTTCCATGTCCCCATTGCAGGGCAGTAGTGCTGCCACTGCCCGGGCAGGGCCCAGGGGCCACAATGGTGCAGGCTGAGGCCACCCTGAAGACTCCCCATTA
Organism: Homo sapiens; assembly: GCF_000001405.40. NCBI lineage: Eukaryota > Metazoa > Chordata > Mammalia > Primates > Hominidae > Homo > Homo sapiens. The sequence goes on along the minus strand of NC_000010.11, from coordinate 118,295,366 downwards.
TTTGGCCACAAAGAGGTTTTCTTGCAAGGCTAGACTTGAGAGTCTGAGTCTGAGTCTGAGTCTGGCCCCCAGTTGTGCAGACCCAGCCACCTGGCCTTGCCAGCGTTTCAGAGGTATTCCCATGCAGTGAAGCTGACTTGTGCTGACTTTACTTACAAGAGCCCAATTTATGTAAACACGATGCTAATTGATTAATTTACAAGAAGACACAAAACTCCGCAGGGAACTGGACTCTTTCATCCATGGATTAGCAGTCTCCTCTTATTAAGAAAATGACTTAAGAGGCCCAAAATCGCAGTCAGCTATCTTTAGCCATGATGACTTCCTTTTCTAAACTTCAGCAGACCCCTTGCCCGTCGACCCACCCGGCACCAGCACCACCATTCTGATGGGTACCTTCCTCCTTTTTCCATGTCAATACATTCCATCAGATTCATGTCTTCTGGGCCTCTCTAAAGTGACTTTGCTTTTCTGTGCTCCCATCTTTTAGGCACATAATTGGAATTTAATCCTCTGAGACTAACGTATTTTCAAGTTGGTGGTGGTGGCCATGTGGAGGCTCCTTACTGATGCCTTCTTGTGCCACCTCCAATTGATGTACATAGTACATATTTGTAGCATGGTTTTAAAATGACAGTCAAAAATTTTTATTGAGTTTTAATATATATACAGCAAAAGTAATCAATCTTAAGTGCTTAGCTTGATGAATTTATAGGTAATTCCCATGAAACCACCTCTTCCTGGATCAAGATATTTCTAATATCTCTTCCCAGTCAATCACCACCTCCACCCAGAGGTAACCACCATTCTGATCCTAGAGGGTTTTGCCTGTTCTTATGCTTCATATCAATGAAATCTTGAAATCTGAGATCCTTTTGTGTCAAGCTTCTTTTGTTCATCTTATGCTTGTGAGATATACTCATGTTGTGTGTGACAGTAGCACTCATTAATTTTTTACATAGATAAGCCAACCTTACTTTCTAATCACACTTTATTAGAAAATAAGTTTATATATGTATATATTTGGTAAAATTAATTGAGGAATTTAAAATTATGATGAGCTAACATGTCTGTTTAGAATTTGTGTTTCATTCATAGTTCTTGAGCTTTGAATCACATGGGCATGGTGGCTTTTACTCTAGACTGGAGGTTCTAACCCCAGAGCCTTCAGGCAACAGACAGATAACATAAATAACATAAATGAGAACATGTGTGGAGTAGGGATTTGTAGGCCAGGCACAGAGGCCCAGTATTACCAGGTCTTCTGTTTTAAGGAGAAACCAAATATACAGATTTGAATAAAACCTCACTAATTCTTCACTTTAAAAATTTTTCAAGAGGACTGTTGTTTTAAATTTGCTGGCATATATAAACAATCCACAAATCTGTTAATTGTGCCTGTCCTATTCTATCCTTTTTTCCCCCTAGGCTCTTTGCTTACCCATTAAACTAGTGAACTCCACAAGATTGTGATGATGACGGCAACATAGTTCTTAGATTTCTCCAAATCTCCACATTAAAGAAAAAAAAAGTCATAGCAACTAGACACCCAAACCATGAACTCCAACATTCAAGTGGTTGGGGAAAACTTTTTGACAACTTCGAGACCTGCCTATAATTGGCATCTCTGCAGGAGAAAGCAGAGGTAAGCAACAGGGCATCTGAGAGATCAGAGAAAACTTCCAAATAGCCACCAGGTATGTGCTGGAGAGCAGGATAGCTTCAGAATAGACACCAGATATGCACGGGGAAGCAGAGCAACACAATTTGGGAACAGGTAAAACTGAAAGGGTGGGTGCAAGACACCCGCAATAAAACCTTTAGGGGCTGGAGCAGCCGGGCCCCTGTGAACTCTCAAAATGGAGTCCACAGAGCTCCTAAAAACTGAGAATGAAGTGAGTAGACTAGGGATAACAGAGATGAAGAAGGAAAGGGAAGGTGCAGGGTACAGTTACAGAGGGAAACAGCCAGAAATTCACAGAAAGCAAGCCAACATATTTATTCACTCACACGCGCACACACAGAGAGAAAGAGAAAGAGAGAGAGAATATTCAGAACCCTGTGAAGTTAGAAAAGCTCATTGAGCCAATCTTCCTTCTACAAGTTTAGGAAAACTAAAGTCACATGTAGATAACAGCAAAAATATGCCACATAAAGTTAAAAGAGAATAAGAAGCCAAATGACATTCCTACAGGCAGTGAAAAAAATATAAAGCTCACAGAAATTATAATGCACCCCTTCAAAACAGGCTAAAAGACATTAGAAAATGACATGGGCTGTGAAAGAACAGCATAAATCAGAATTAGAAAAACTCAGGAATGAGGCGACAGAATGCAAGAAAAAAACTACAGAGAAAAATAATTTTAGAAGAAGAGTAATCCAGAAGGAACAAAGAGGAAATAAATGGCAAGTAATATTTTAAGAGAAATAGGGAAGGAAAAGAAGAAAAATTTCAAAAAAAAAAAAAGAAGACAAAATATAGATAACAGAAGTACCGAAGAGGAAATCTAATGCAAGGAAACAGAACAACTACTAAAAACTCTGCTTCAAGCAATGTTTTCAAAAATCAGAAAGAAAATGATCTGAAAACACATGTTGAAAAAGCATGCTATGTACCTGAGAATGTTACCCAGAATAATGAACACAAAACCATACTGTAATGTAATTACTGGGTCTTGTCCAACACCAAGACAAATTGCAGTAAACTAGTAAAATTGCTGGTAAAAAAAAAAAAAAAGGCATCTCTAACAAAAGAGCCTGTAACTTAAAGGGGAAAGAAAATTAGTTATCGTTAGACATTTCAAGGCAATGCTTTGGGTCATAAGAAAATAGAGTAACAGAGTGGCATACTTAAGATACTCAAGAAAATGTGAGCCAAGGATTTTAATTTATCAAAACTGATCTTCAGATACAAAAATAATTCATACATGAACTATTATTATCATGCAAATATATAGGGAAAATTATTCCATGAACTCTTCCTAAGGAATCTAGTAAAGAATGAACTTCAGACTGAAGAGACATTGATGTGATCTCTCTGTTCCCATGGAGACCATGTCAGACATGGTCATGACTGATAGTGAGCACTCTATACATGGAGACGTGTGGAATTGAGAATAAAGAGCAAAGGACATTTGTAATATGTACTAGCTCTATGATCTGACCATATATATATAGCACAGACAAAAAGTAGGAGTTGGGGGGAATGAGGAATATGCAGGAATAAATCCTGGCAAGTCATTAGGGAAACGTAAATCAAAAACACAATGAGACACCAGGTCACACTCACTTTAATGACTATGATTAATAATAATAGTAATAATAATAATAATGGACAATAACAGGTGTTGGTGAAGATGTGAAGATACTAGAACCCTCATATATTGCTAGTGGGACCATAAAATGGTGCAGCCACTGTGGAAAACAGTTTGGTAGTTCCTCAAAAAGTTAAAGAGTTACCATATGACGCAGTAATTCCACTCCTGGGTAGATACCAAAAGAACTGAAAACAGGTGTTCACCCAAAAGCTTGTGCATAAACATGCATTGTAGCGTTATTTGCAACAGACAAAAGATGGAAACAACTTAAACGTCTGTCAACTGATAAGTGGATCCACAAAGTGCAGTATATTCATACAATGGAATACTATTCAGATATAAAAACAAACTAAGTGCTTATGTATGTGACAACATTGATGAACCTCGAAAACATTATGCTAAGTTAAATAAGCTTGATACAAAAGGCCACATATTGTAATGATTCTATTTATACAGTCCAGAGTAGGCAATTGCGTACAGACAGAAAGTAATGTCCAGAGGAAGAGGAATCAGGCATGGGGACTTAATTACTAATGAGTACAGGGCTTTTTTTCTTTTTCTTTTTTTTTTAGGGGGATGGAAATCTTCTGGAATTTTTTTTAGTGGGGATGGAAATCTTCTGGACAGTGGTGATGGTTAGACAACTCTGTGAATACACTGAGGATCACTGAACTGCACACTTTTAGGATGATGAATTTTATGGTATGTGAATTATATCTCAATTTTAAAAAGTAAATATTGGCAGATTATAAAAATGACAGTTGAGCTTACATTACTCAGCTATTGGTACTGTTGTTTAGACTAATGTTTTGCAGACATGGTCTATGACCCACCTGCACTGGATCACCCAAGATAACTGATTAAAATGCATTTTCCTGGGATCTCACCCAGACCTCCTGAAACAGAATCTCTTGGAATGGGAAGCAATAGAATTTGTATTTTTAGTAAGCCTATAGGTAATTCTGTTGTACAAAATAATGTTTAAAAACTATCTTAGTGGTTAAGGTTATTTTTTATATGTAAAAAAAATCTTTCAATGAACAAGAGATGCCATGTGTCTACAAGTCCTAATAGGAAAAACAACTCTTAATTGCAGAGCAAAAGTATCATTCTGGGGTCTCCCTACATCATCTTCTAGGAATTTCCTTTCCCTCCCTCTCATGTTGAGCTCTCATCACCTGTATCCCACACCTTCCACCTACTCAATCTCTTGTTTTGGTGAGTCACTTCCTCCAGAGCTTCCCAAGAAAGAATACAGAGGAGAAGGGGTTCTTTTGGCACTTACATGATTGAAAATACCTTATCCATCTATGGCCATACCACACTGAACGTGCCCGATCTCGTCTGAAAATGCCTTAATCCACCCTGTAATTGTTTGACAGCTTGAGTTTAGAATTCTAGGTTGGAATTAATTTTTCTTCTAAATTTGGAGTCTTACTCTGCTGCTTTCTAGGTTCCATATTGCTACTGAGAAATCTGAAGATGTTGTGACTCCTGTTTCTCTGTGTATGATGTGTTCTTGGTTTTTTTCTCTTTTTCCTCTGGAAGCTTGTAATTTCCTCTCTTTGTCTCCTGTGTTCTGAAAGCTTGTGTTGATGCACTTTTACAAGATCTTTTTCATTCATTGTCCTGGGTACTTAGTGGGCCCTTTTAATTTACCATCTAATGCCTTTCAACTATGGGAAGCTTTCTTCAAATATTTTATTGCTATATCCGCCTTCTTTAAAAAAATTATCCTCTCTTTCTAGAACAACTTGAATTTTTTTGCTCTATTTCTTAGGGAATATTCTCCATTCGTGTTCCAAGTTTTCAATTGAGGGTTGCATTTCTGCTATATTTTAAATTCTTTGAGCTCTTTTATTAATCAAAATATTCCTTTTTTATAGTAATCTGCTCTTGTTTCAAGGTTGTAATATCTTATCTCTTAGAGGTTTATTTCTAATTAACATACTATATGTTTCCACTAGATTCCTTTTTAATATTCATTTGTTTTGTTTTCTGTTTTATATTATAATGCTTGGTTGTCTCATCATATTTAAGAGTGGAGGGATGAAATGCTAACGTAAAGCTCTGGGAACAGGAGGGGAACTGAAGCCCTTGGCTTTCTCTTTCGTAAGATGACCTAACTAGGCTGTGAGTTGGGAAAACATTAATGACAGTATTATAAATTGTCCCTTTCAGACTGATCAAACTATCCAAAGACTCTACTGGTCTCCCCTTGGAAGATGGAGGCCTGGTTACCAGCTTTCTGGAACCTAAATAAATAAACAGGTAGGATCTAAACTTCTTACAGGTAGACAATCTCTTGACACCTCTGGTTTTGGCATACTTTCCCCTCCCTCAACCATGACTATTGTCCTTCAGTCCATAGACATTCCCTTTTGTCTTCTCCAGAGAGGGGTAGGGAAGGATGTCAGTGCTTAGAATGCTAAGTGCTTAGGAGGAGATTTTCAGTCTTCCTTATTTTAGCTGCCCTCACCTCACCTGCACTGATTCCATCCGCCCTGAGTGGTAGGTTGGCCTTGACTTTCTCCCTGTTCTGTCAGGATTAGGCCATCTCAAATCTGCTCTATTCTTTTCTTCATCTGTTAATTTTGCTGCGAATGACTCCTTTTACATTTTACTGCCCTTGGAGACACATGCCTTTAAAAAACAATGTTTTTACTATTATCTGATAGAAGGAATGGAGGTAGATAAATTCCATCTATCATCTTCATCCAGAAGTCTCTCTTAGTTTTTAAAATAAACGTTACTGGGGTGTGATGCATGTACATTAAACTGCATCCATTTAAAATGTGCAATTTGATTAGTTGTGATGGAAGTCTACACCTATAAAATCTCCACCACAATTGAGATACAAAATATTTCCATCATCCCCAAAAGATTCTTTTTGCCTTGTTTGCAGTCCATCCCTCCCTCCAATGCCCCAGGCAACCCCTGATTTGCTTTTTATCACTGTAGGTTAGTTTGCATTTTCTATAATTTTATGTAAATGAAATCATACAATATATGCTCTTTTGGGGGGAGTCTGGATTCTTTCACTCAGCATAAAGATTTTGTGATTCTCACATGTTGTTACATGTACCAGTAGTTAATTCCTGTATATTACTGAGTAGTATTCCACTGTGTGGATGTAACACAATTTGTTTATCCATTATCCTGTTGTAGGACATTTGGTTGTTTGCAGTTTGGGGCCATTGCGACTAAAGCAGTTATGAATGTTCATGTACAAGTCTTTGCTTGGGACCTTTCATTAATTCTTAACTGAACTATTTCAGTTGACCTCTTCCTGGGTCTTACTGTCTCCAACCTCTCCCTATGCCAATGCAGCCTACATATTGTTTGCAGAACATACTTCTAAAGGCACGGCTCTGATCCTATCACACCTTCAATCATGTATCATAGTCTACAAGTAAAAGTCAAAATGCTTTATTGCCAAGAACATCCACTTATCTTTCTACATCAGTCATAGCCCACCCCTTAGCACCTTTCCTCTGTCCATAGCAAACCCCACTGTCCTCTACCTGTACCTTCTACCCTTTCCTACCCCTATTCCCCATTTCTTCCAGGAGAGCCTCCTCCCATCACTGCACATCAGATGTGCTGCAGCCTTTGCAGGTGTGGAAGAAGGGCCATTTCTGTCTTGATATTCAAGTTGGTTGTCTATCCCTCCTGTAATTCTCCATCACCTTTTCTGTGCCTCTCATGAACTCACAGCACTTTGGATAGAGGAAGCTCTCTGCTCTCTACTTAATGAGTAAACAAGTGAGTGCATTTATAATACTGTGTATAGGATGCATTCAACACAATGTGGCTTACCCTGCATCATTGGGACATGAAATAAAACGTGTAAGTGAGTTATCCAGGGATCTTAAATGTAATAGCACTTAAACTATTCAACTATTTTATGAAAATGTTTCTAAAATGAGTTAAAAATGCCTCTGCCCTCTTAACCAGATTTAACTGAACATAATTTAGAACTTTTTTTTTTTGAGACAGAGTCTTGCCCTGTTGCCAGGCTGGAGTGCAGTGGCGCGATCTTAGCTCACTGCAACCTCTGCCTCCCAGGTTCAAGTAATTCCCCTGCCTCAGCCTACTGACTATCTGGGAGTGTAGGTGCATGTAGCCACGCCTGGCTAATTTTTTGTATATTAGTAGAGACGGCGTTTCACCATGTTGGCCAGGATGGTCTCGATCTTCTGACCTCGTGATCCACCCACCTCGGCCTCCTAAAGTGCTGAGATTACAGGCGTGAGCCACTGCGTCCAGCCAATTTAGACCTTTTAAGAGGTCAGAGTGATCACTGTAATCACCATTTATAGATATGTGCCATCGTATAGGGATGTCCATGGGCAGTTGTGTGTGTAGAGCTTTTACCCCTTCACTAATGACCCCCTACATACTAGTATTTCCTTTCTCCCTTAGGCTATCATTTCTTACTGCACAGTGCCTGGTTTCTGCCTTATGTTATTCATAATTACCAATGTAACGGCCTGTAGGGTAGAGAGAATAGGTTTTGTTCAACTGCATGGACTGATCAAACTCTTAGATATGGATAGATATGCGATAAAGCAAGAACGGTAAAATGCTAATAGTAGAACCTTGGCATTGGGTAAAAAATATGTTTCCTGTAAAATACTTTCAACTTTGCTGTATCTATACAACATTTGCAAAATAAAATGTTGGGAAACAAGGCTCCTGTGGAAAAGGATTTTGGTTCTTTATCTTCCATCTTTCTCCTCCTGCATGTCTGGACCAGATGCGGAAATTGTTGTAGCTGTCTCGTGACAGTGATGGCTGTTTTGTCACACTCAGGACCCAAGGAGCAGGAAGACAGAGGATCTGGGTCCCTGGTGCACTCCTCAAACAGCTACACCAGTAATTCCTTTTGCAAGCTCTTGCTGCAGGAGGCAAACCAATCCTCAACTGTCGGAGACAGTGTTGCCTGGATTTTCTAACTGATAAACTTGGATATTCTAGAAAAACAAATACTTGTTAGAAAAGTTTTAAATTAAGATAGGTGGCTCATAGAGAGAGACAGCTCCAAAACATTTTTCTTTCCCCGGTGCCTTTTGCAATACACTTGCAATTTCTTCTCTGTGGCACAGCGTCTCATTAGATAGACATGGAAAGTGGTGGCCCAATTTTGAAGGGAGGATCTGGTGAACTCTTGAGCAGAGGACAGCAGCGCTCAGCAGGCTGTGGGGTCAGAGATTCCCTGATTCCATTTTGGAAAAGCGCCCCAGCCAAGCAGTTCAGAAGTCATTATTATGGACAAGGACGTCATGTCAGGCTGTGCACAGCCTCGAGCAGGGGGCCAAGGCAAAAGGGAGCGCAAAATCAAAGCTGTGATCCCTGGTCAAAGACTGGCCTTGGGAGCTGGAGATTTCCTGAATAGGTGCTAATGCGAAATGACTTAGTGCCCCTGGTGGGGGATCCCGATTTACTAGCAACATGCACTCATGGCTAACTTTTAAAAAGTGAAGTCCCGAAGTGTGGTCTAATAGCAGAGCTCCTTCTCCTCTTGTTAAAAAATAAATTACATTAAGAGTTCTCCTATTTTGATCACAGAGTGATTTTTAAAATACATATTTATTAGGATTGTAGCATATTTGCTAGAAATGGCTCAGCAAAGCATTTCCTTTCCCTTCCCATGCTGGGCCGGTATTTTCCACCTGCCCTCACTTCAATTCTGTGTCTCTTGAAGCCGGCTTTGCCCTAAGGAAAGGGGTCTCGCTGCCTTTGTTTACACATGGATATGGCCGACCCGCTTCCTGCGACAGCAGCTGTGGGAGGCTAATTCTCCAACCTTGGAATGTCGGGAGGCGTGTGGAGGGCTGTTCCTCTTTCCCCCCAAGACAAAAGCTCTTTACAAGCATGCTTCCTGTTAAAGAGTAGGAATAGGATCTCAAGATTGCAAAGGTTTCTAGAACCTGGTCAGAGCTGACTCTGCTCAGTGCGTGTTGTTACAGCGAGGGCATGTACTTCCCTCCACTTAGGCCCGAGAGCTGTGTGTACCTCTGACTTCATGGTGTTTGCTTGCCTGTGACCCAGAAGATAGCATCATGTCATGGACCTGAAACCCCAGAAAGTACAGCATGGTGCAAAGATGACTGTGCAGGTGTCTGCAGGTGACCCTGATTCTCACTGGGGCTCCCTGGGCCGATGCCAAGGCTGTGGGCCACTTAGAATGGCTCTGTCCTCTGGCCTCAAAGCTCTTGGATGCACTTCCTGGGACACTACATGGAATGGGTTGGGAGAACCAGATCCCCTCTGGATGGGGGGGAAGGCAGTTGAGGGACAACAGCAGCTTTCTGGGTCAAGAGTCTGCCCACCAGCCTTGGAGAGAGCAGCCCCAGCCTCCAGACCGTAAGGGCTGCCCCTGTGGGTTAGGGAGATCCAGGGTGTGAGTCTCTCTTGGGAAAGGCTTCCTTCCCAGAGAGGTTTTCCTAGTTTACCTATTCTGTGCTTGGATGTCTGATATGGTTTGGCTTTGTGTCCCCACCCAAATCTCATCTTGAATTACAATCTCCAGGTATTGAGGGAGGATCCTGGTGAGAGGTGATTGGATCATGGGGGCAGTTTCCTCCGTGCTGTTCTCATGATAGTAAGTGAGTTCTGATGAGATCTGATGGTTTTACAAGTATGTGGCAAGTTCCTCCTACACTCAGTCTTCCCTCTCCTACTGCCATGCGAAGAAGGTTCTCGCTCCCCCTTTGCCTTCTGCCATGATTGTAGGTTTCCTGAGGCCTCCCCAGCCATGCAGAACTGTGAGTCAAACCTCTTTCCTTTATAAATTACCCAGTTTTGGGAAGCTTTTTATAGCAATGTGAAAATGGACTAATACAATGCCCAACTCACTGCCTTCAGCCCAGATCTCACTCTTCTGAGCTCAGACCCTGCTATCCCATTGCCTGCTGAGCATCTCTTTACTCTCCTTCTTAATGAGAGGTCCAGGAATCACAGGATTTAGCTAACTCCAACTCAACCTTTAGGCCTCACATTAGATGTCCCTTCCCCCAGGAAGCCTTCCCTGACTCTCTCTATCCTGACAGGGTGCCCCTCTCCTATGCACCACGTGGGCCTGTACCTCCTCTATCACAAAGCTTAGCATGTTCTGCTGTGAGTCCTTGCACTATGTCTCCTCCACTGGGCTGCAAGCTCCATGAAGGCAGGACTGCACCTCTGTTTTGTTCATGGCTGTGTCTCCAGCACCTGGTTGGAGGCAGGGTGCCAAGGCAGTGCTCTGTAAATGTGTGTCCAAAGTGTCACTGAAGGGATTACTACACCATCCAAGTCCGCACACAGGTGAGTTTGAAGTGTGACTGTTAATGGTAGTGCTTAACTCACAGGCTGGCTTCAAAGCCACTTCCAAAAGAGAAACTTGTAAGATGGTTGAGCCACAAAATTGAATAAACCTCCCAAGCTAATTGGGTCTCTGAGTGCGATTGCGCTCCTTTGAATAAATATGCTTTAATACGATAGTTTAAAAACAAAAACAAAGGGGTCTTGCTGAATTAGCCAAACCTCACACAACGACAACTCATGAAACACCAGGGCGGTTTTTTTCCCTGCATGAAACACCAGGGCAGTTTTATTCTGCATTTTTTTCTGTAGTTGCCTCTTCTTGCTTTATCCAAAAGCCAGAGAAATAAAGAGGTACGTGACAGATTTGCCATTGAGCAACTCTTTGCTTTTATCAATCCTGAGGTGGGTTTTTTTTTGTTTTTTTGTTTTTTGTTTTTTTCAGAAAAAACAAGGGAAGGAAAACAACCTTGGGAATGAATTACAAAGTATTCTCTCTAGGTGCCACATATATGAAAAAACAAAGGGGACTGGGTGGGGATAGAGAAACCGGAACAAATATCTGCTGAATACCTACTATGTGCAAGGCAGTCTAAGCACCTACCAAGTGCTGTTCTAGACATTCTTTTTTTCTTTTTTGAAACAGAGTCTCACTCTGTCGCCCAGGCTGGAATGCAATGGCAGGATCTCGACTCACTGCAACTTCCGCCTCCTGGTTGAGGCGATTCTCCTGCCTCAGCCTCCCAAGTAGCTGGGATTACAGGCATGTGCCACCATGCCCAGCTAATTTTGTATTTTTAGTAGAGACGGGGTTTCATGGTGTTGGCCAGGGTGGTCTTGAACTCCTGACCTCAGGTGATCTACCCGCCTCAGCCTCCCAAAGTGCTAAGATTACAGGCATGAGCCACCGTGACCGGCCTAGACGTTTAAAGTATCTAATTGCTTTAGTGTTTGCAATAAGTCTGTGAGGTAGGTATTTTTATCCTGTTTTATAGACAGGTGAGCTGAGAGGCTGAGATGTCAGGGAGAAGGGGAGCAACAGAGGTTAAGTTACAGAATAGCACATGGTTGGGGGCTGGGGTGCTAGGATCAGACCGCAGACTCTTCAGATTCCAAGGTCATGCTTTCTCCACCATATTGCAGAAATTTTCAACCCTGATGACTGAAGCCGACTAGAGGTCTGCAAATTCGAGTTTGAATACCCAAGATTTGATGTAAGACAAGCAAACTTTGATTGGTGGTCAGAAATTACTGTCAAAGAAAGGGTTTTCCTCCTGTCGCCCCCCTTGTATGATTTATGTGAGTTTTGTTGCCTGTCACATTGGGGTTAAAACAGTCCCTAGCTGTTCTGGTACCACGGATCAAGGACGTGGGTCCCAAGTCACCCACTGCATATGGTCAAGCATTTGGGAATCAGGGATTCCTTTAAGAATCTGAAAAAAAAATGTATAGTCTCTCTTTAAAAATAAAATGCACAAAAACTTATATACAATTTAAGGAAGACCAGAAAGCCTTGGAGTTTGGGGAGTTATTCCCAAAACTCTAGGTCAAGAACCCTGAACTGGATGCTAGACTCTTCAATGACAATCTTGCTCCGTGTGTGTGTGTGCGTGTGTGTGTGTGGTGTGGTGTGGTGTGCGCGGTGTGTGGTGTGTGTGTGTGGTGTGTTTGGGGTGTGTGTGGTGTACAGTGTGTCTGCTGTGTGTGTGGTGTGGTGTGTGGTGTATGTGGTGTGTGTGTGTATGTGTGGTGTACAGTGTGTATGGTGTGTGGTGTATGTGTGGTGTGGTGTGTGGTATACAGTGTGTGTGGTGTGTGGTGTGTGTGATATGTGGTGTGTGGGGGGGGTGGTTGTGTGTGTGGTGTACGGTGTGTGTGTGCATGGTGTGTGTAGTGTGTGTGGTGTGTAGTGTGTGGTGTGTGTTTGGTGTGTGGTGTGTGTGGTGTGTGGTGTGTGTGGTGTGTGTGGTGTGTGGTGTGTGTGTTCAGTGTGTGTGGTGTGTGGTGTGTGTGGTGTGTGTGGTGTGTGGTGTGTGTGTTCAGTGTGTGTGGTGTGTGTGTGCAGTGTGTGCAGTGTGTGTGGTGTGTGTGTGCAGTGTGTGTGTGGTGGGTGCAGTGTGTGTGGTGGGTACAGTGTGTGTGTGTAATTACAGTAAATACTCATTTAACATCATCAATAGATTCTTGAAAATGAAAACTTCAAGTGAAACAACATATAACAAAACCATTTTTTTCTCACCAACATTACAATAAAAACAAGAAACAATGTTATTTGAAGATCTACTCTATATAGTTTTCCTTAAAGTTGCAGTTTCCAACAACCTATTGACAATGTGAAGCGAGGACTTACTGTGTACATATGGTGGAGCACGAGGCAGAGAGAAGTAGAAAAATAAAAGTTAATCATAGTCTTCCAGAGTCTATTCTATAGCTAGAAATGAGCACTAGGCTTAGAGCTATTTGCATGTGTCTCCTCCGGTACTGCAGCCTCCTTGCAGGTTAGCCCTTCCCTGCCTGCAGCATTTGGCTTAGGGCCTCCCAACCTGCAGGTGCTTTTGGTAGGTATTTGTTGATGAATTAACTGATATTTTTGCAATTATTCAACCCCTTATCCAATCTTATATCTAACCAATAGCAGATTACCCTGCATGAGCACAGATTACCCTGTAACGTCATGTCCTGGATTCTGGTCCCTGTGCTGCTGCTAATCAGACGGTGGCACCTTGGTCAAGTCACTCCTGCTCTCTGGGCCTCATTTATTCATTTTGACTGGCCCTTGCTATGCACCAGAGGCAGAGCTGGGAAGTCACTGGGGTTACAAGATGGATGATTCAAGGTCTCCAAGGTCAAGAAGATCTGTCTTGTAGGAAGCCTTGAATATAAACAAGTAAGGGTGATATTTTGTTTCACAACCATCAAGGCCTAGGCACAGACCCCTCAGCACACTCATCCTGGGGCCTCGCAGCCTGGTAGAGCCCTGCAAAGAAGCACAGTCAGTACCAAAAGACCATTGCCACGGTGCATGTGTGTGCCAGGTTCAGTAATGGCAGGACAAGATGCCTCAGTGTTCTCAGTTGCCAAATCTGTAAAATGGGAGGTTAGATCAGAGCAGAGTTTAGTCAATTATAGCCCTGCCAGTGGATCAAATTTGACCTGCCAGTTATTTTTGTAAACAAAGTTGTATTGAGCACAGCCATGCTCATTTGTTTACATATTGTCTAGAGCTGTTTTTACGCTATAACGGCAAGAGTTGAGTCACTGCAACAGAGATTGTATGGCCCGCAAAGCCTACAATTTTTACTCTTTTGCCCTTTACAGAAAGGTTTGCCAACCTTTTGACTAGATAATCTCTACTTTTCCTTTAATCACAATACCTCCATGACTTCCTAAGCAGGTAGAATACACTGTTTGCATTAAATGTGGTTTTCTTTAAAGAAAGTCTTTGGGTCCCAAGCAAACAGTGAGTGGCATTTTCTGAGACAATGGGTACTGGAGACCAAGTCCTTGGAATCCAGAATGGAGGCTGGGCTCTGTCCCTTGAGGAGACTATTTTTTATTCTGTACAAAAATTTGTGCTCATTGACTTGATGGACCCATTAGGGAATTGTTTATGAGTACCGGTTGGTGAGCAGGTACTTGCAATTAAAATGGACACTTCCAGAGAGTCACAGTTGACAAATGCACTCAGTTGTGTAAGAGCTGATCCACATGCAAACTGAGGGGTCTACTTGGCTTATTAGGCTAGCTCGGAAGTCATCCATTCTGTATGGGGTTTTCTTTGCAAGACTCCAGAAGAAAGCAAGAATCAGTAGATTGGAACTGGGCTTACCCCAGGAAAGTCTGAGAGGAGCAGGCTCTGAGCAGTTCCTGGGAAGATCGGTGAAGCCTGGAGCAAGGAGAAAAACAAGCAATGCTAGGCTGAACTGCATTTCACCCTGGTCTTGTACCCTTCCTTCTCTCGGAGAATCCCTTCTCAATCTTTTCTCTTGACCCATTGAAGGCAGACTCCAAGTCACTAGATCTCTTATTTATCTTGGAACCACTGTGGGTGATTGCATTATTGTCCTTAATTTCTTATCCTATCCTGTATACATCCTCTCCTAGTGGTTCTATAGCTCTCCCAGTATCTCCATGGGCAGAATGGCAGAATGGAGTTTCATGCTTCTTGAATTTGGGCTTGGCCATGTGACTTGTTTTGGATAATGATAAATGGGTAGAAGTGACAGTAAGCTACTCTGAGCCTAGACGCATGTTTTCACTTGTTATTTAGTACCTCTATAATCACTATGATATGAAAAACATGACAAGGTCAGTGCACTGGTCAATGAAGGCTGAAACCTGTATGATGTAGGGTTGCCTTGACCAACCATCAGAGCTGCAGTGGGAAACAGCTGCCAAGATACCTGATGCAGAGCCCTCAGCTGAGCCCAGCCTACATCAGCCAAATCCCAGTAGACCAAAGATATGAGCAACAATAAGTCATTGATATCTTAAGCCACTGAGATCTGGGTGATTTGTTACACAGCAAAGCTAACCGATACCAACCTCCCACAAGCTCTGGAAAAAATGGTTTATCACAAAGCAAGATATCTATTACATGAAGGGGCCAGGGAAAGTCTACCAATGGATTACCAATGCATGGATTGGCATGGATTTACCAATGGTCTAGGCAAACACTAGACATGGATAGAGTGCTTCTTTATTCACGGATAAAGGAGAATAAGGAGGTGGAAGGGAGAAAAAAAGAGAAGAAGAGGGGAAGGAAGTGAAGCAGAGAGAGAGAGAGAGAGAGAGAATATGGGCAATTGATTGAGTAAAAAGAAGAAAAGATGGGCCTGTAGCTTAAGAGAAGAACATAACTGAAATGCAGAAAAAAAATCAATATTTTGAAAAACGTTTATCTAAGGAAACAAAAGTTTTTGGATAGCTTCTGCTTGATACTTTCAATAAAATTTAAGAGAATATGGGCTTACAAAATTAAGAAATTAAATGTAAGATAAAACAACAGTGTTCACAGTATGATCCAGGTTACGTTTTGAAAACACTTCCCTTTCTCTCTTATCTCCAAGCAGAATCAATACCTCCTGTCCCTTTACCCCTAAAGCACCTTGTTCCCCCTGCTCAAGTCGGTCAAGTAGTACCTGCTGTGTTCTACTATGGTGGGTGAGTTCCTGGGATGTTGTGACCTTTTTGAAGGAAGGCCTGTACCTAGTGAAATTCCTCCTCTGGTCTGCCATGATAAGAGAGACTGGGCACCCAGCAGAAACACACTGAAAGCCCCCTTTTAGTACTAAAATGGCACCCAGAAACAGGATGCTCCTATCACTAGCAGAGAGAAAACATAGAGTGGAGATGGGGATGCAGCACAGCTTTGGTCTTTGCTCTATCCTGAGTGTCGTTGTTGAGATCTGGTGAGCCAGAGACAAAAGCACCTGGCCACAGGTACAAGGCAATGATTCCTCTCTTGGTGCTATCAGTCATCACCTATCTAACAATCTGTCGCACTAACCCTCCCTGGGGAGGGAGAGAGGGCTTTCCCAAGCCTATGGAGAGTACAAAGGGAAGCAGGGCTTCTTTGACATTGAGAGGTTTATTGTTCCAGTCCAACACTTGGAATGTCTCCTGTTTTCTCTGAATGAAGTTTCCCTGGGTGGCCTTGGGGAGTCCTCATCATGGCTGGTTTCTCACATGGCTGTTTAGATGAAGCTTTCAGAGTGCCTGCAAAATAGCAGTAGGATTCAGCAGGAGAATGTGCCAGGGGCTCTCAGCTGCAGAAAGAGCCATGTTCCAAAATCAGGAGCAGGGGCAAGGAGGGAGGCACAAGAAAAGCAGCCAGCATTTGCTTACCTTCTTAATGTGTCTCCTGGTCTGGCTGCTGATGTTTCAATTCCACATTAATGAGTCACTTTTTTCATATCCTCCTGCATTGTTCTAACCACTAGTAAGTAAACATACAGCCTTTGAACAATTGTTGAAAAAGTGCCACTTTTGGAGAATGTGATCAGGCCTTTCTCATGATCAATCCCATCCCTCCACCCTCATCCCTGATTATGCTATTGCCCAGCAGATGCCTTTGCAACCTCAGCAGATCTCTCTTTTTTGGTCCCCCTAAGAACTCATCTAAGTCTGGAAGAGGCCATGCCCGCTAGGACACAGTGCTGGCCTTTGGTGCTTATATACATCTTCCCTGCTTGACCCTCCTAAGGTCTGTTCACAGTGGATGCCTGGGGAGATGAGGAGAAAAGGTATGGGAAGGGTGAGGTGCAAAACTACAGAAAGCCTCTGGCGTGGATTTTCCTTGAATTTCTTTCTGTCTCCCACAGCCCACTGGGACACCTCAGAACCCCACTGGGATGCACACTTGGGCATCTCTCTGCATACCTGTGGGTGGCAGTGAACACATGAGTGTCTGGTTTATAAAGCCACCCCTGCTGATTCTGGCCCTGCTCCTCCACCTCTAAATGTGCAAAGCCCAATGTATCTATTGCTATTACCTTGATGGTTCTGGCTCAGGGTCTGTCATCAGGTTGCAATCAAAATGTTGACTGGGGCTGCAGCCATCTGAAGGCTTGACTGGGGCTGGAGGATCCACTTTCAAGGTGGCTTAGCCACATGGATAGTAAATTAACTCTGGTTATTTGTAGGCAGTTTCGGTTCCTCCCTACATGGGCCACTCCACAGTGCTGCTTGAGTCTCCTCACAGCATGGCAGCTGGCAAGTGAACCAAAGTAAGTGATCCCAGAGAGCACAAGGTGGAAGCTGCAGTGACTTTGCAACCTACCCTCAGAAGTCACACCCCATCATTTCCTCAATGTGCTATTGGTTGCATAGTAGCCCTATTCAGTGTGGAAGGAACTATGCAAGCGCAGGAATGACAGGAGATGAGAAACACTGGGGGCCATATTGGAGGCTGGCTACTAAGTGATACAGTTTGGATATTTGTCCCTGGTTAAAACTCTTGTTGAATTGTAATCCCCAGTGCTGGACATGGGGCCTGGTGGGAGGTATCTGGATCATGGGGGTGAATCCCTCATAGCTTGGTGCTGTCTTTGTGATAGTGAGTTCTTATGAGATCTAGTCATTTAAAAGTGTGTGGCACCTCCTCTCTCTTTCTCTTGCTCTGCTTCCATCATGTGATGTGCCTGCTCCCCCTTCACCTTTCACCATGATTGTAAGCTTCCTGAGGCCTCCCCAGAAGCCAAGCAGATGTTAGCACCACGCTTCCCGTACAGACTGCAGAATGTGAGCCCCAATAAACCTCTTTTCTTTATAAATTACTCAGTCTCAGGTTTTTCTTTATAGCAATGCAAGAATGGCCTAGTAAACTTAGGGTATGAGATACTTGCCTAGTGTAAGAATTTTTTGAGTAAACAATAGTTGCTAACACATATCCTGTATTTGCTATGTGCCTGTTGAAAGTGCTTACATGTGTTAATTTATTCAATCTTTCCAACAACCCTGTGAGGTAGGTATTACTATCCTCATTTTATATATGAGGAAACTGAGGTACCAAGAGTTTAAGTAAGTTTCCTAACATTATTTACTTAGTATATAGAAAACCCAGGACTGAAACTTAGGTAGACTGACTTTGGAAGCCACACTTGTAAGCCCTGTATATCCTGCCTTTTGGCCATATTAAACTCTGCCACCATGGCTTGGTTTGCAATTGTTTTGTGGGGGTGGGAAAGGAAATATCAAGGATAGAAGAGAGCCAAGGTCTTGTTTGCAACTGTGAATAGCACATGTAAGAGTCCAGTAAGATTATGATCTACATAATGACGCTTGTTGTACATCCCTCTAATGACAGCTGGCTCCCTGGCTCCCATCAATGTGCAGTAACATCCTCAGGATGACTTCTGACAGTGTGCATATGCCATGACCAGGCCGCTGGAACATCTTCACACCTCCCTGGAATAGAATGCAATTACATTTTCCCTTTAAATAAACTTTTCAAGCCAATCTATTAAATGGTTATCTGC
Organism: Homo sapiens; assembly: GCF_000001405.40. NCBI lineage: Eukaryota > Metazoa > Chordata > Mammalia > Primates > Hominidae > Homo > Homo sapiens. The sequence goes on along the minus strand of NC_000010.11, from coordinate 118,276,765 downwards.
TGTCTGCTCCAGGGAGTGCAGGCAGATGGAGAGCTGGGCTGGGGTAGACCAGTTGTAAATTCATACACACATACACACACACACACACACACACACACACACTTGAAGTCCTGCACGAGGTCACCTACAAGGTCAGGCCACCTCTTCCTGGGACCTTGCTCAGGTTTTGGTGTCTCAGAAGATGCTGCATTACCAACCTTTGAGGAGAAAACCAAATGGGCTTGTCACAAAGAAATACAAAGTGTGACTCAGAGCAGGGAGCAAGTGTGGAGGGAAGGGCCTGGAGAGGACAGTGAGTGGGAGAGCTGCCATTTGGGCTGGTCTGGCTTCAGAACCCTGCTTTGCTTTCTCTCCTTTTGGCTCAGGAGATGATTGCACATGTGGCTCACAGCTGACTCTTGCAGGATCTCAGATAAATGATGAGAAGACAGGTAACACCTGGGCAACTTTTTCTCATTCTGTGTGGATAGAGGTTGGGGCCAGATGGCCTCTCTCCTCCTCCCCCATTATTTATGGAAGGCTTCACTTACTTTCCAACAGGAAGAAGCAGGAAACACTGGGATTATGTGTTCAGGGACAGAAAACAGTGTGTACAAGCACGCGGGTTCTGGTAAGCCAATGAGTGTAGACATGGTTACTGCCCCCCAGTCGCCACTCTCTTCCAAAAGCCCTCGGCTTGGGTCTGATTAAGGACTCTTTGAAGGTCATCATAACAGATAACACTCCCACAGCATTTTCTCTGAGCCAGGCGCTCTTCTTAGGGCAACACACAGCAATCTTTTGAGGAAGGTGTGCTACTATTCCCATTTTACAGGTAAGGAAACTGAGGCACAGAGAGATTAAGAAACCTGCCCACGTGTATCCAGCTATGTAAGTGAAAGAACCCAACATGTGGATCTAGAGTCCATGCTGATAACCTCCACTCTCCAACACTCTGCAGAGCAGAAGGACCCTTGCGGTCATCTCACTCAGCGTTTCTCCAAGGCCACTCTCTTCTAAACCACCTTCATAATCTCTGCAATATCTGTAGTTCCACCTCTAATGTTATTTACTTAAATTTTTTCTTTTAATAATTCACTATGTTTACTTGAATTCATTTGTTTTAAAAGGAGTCTTGATATTCCTGCTAGAAATGAAAAATCAGCATTTGCCATAAATAGAAAGGAAAAGTCAAAACAAATTCAGTGAGAATAAGGCTATTAAATGTTTTCTAGATCCTGCTGCTCACCAATGTCCCAAAGCCCTGGGCTCCTAGAAGGAGGGATGAAAGAGAACAGAAAGGGGCATCGCACTTGCAGACTTGATTCCATGGTGTCCTGCGCTCTCTCTGGGACTTTGCAACTGCCTTGCTTGCCTCTGACGTTGTGAGGAAGCTGGGTGAGGCCAGTGCTCTCTTCTCATCACCAAGAAAACAGGCTCAGAGAGGGGAACTGCTATGCCCAAGAGCATGCTAGTGGCCAAGCCAAGACCAGTACTCAGGGCCCTGACTCCCAAGCCTTATTGTCCCCCACACCCATTTGTAGACATTTTCACACAGGCCTCACCTACAAGGTTACTCCTTGTAGGGTTAACTGGTCCCCTACATCTTGACTCTGGCTCGGCCACCTCAGCTTGCCCTTGGGATCCCACATTTCCAGAGTAATTATAAGCCCCTGCTGTCCCGGCTGTCACCACCCATTCTGCAGATAGCCCCCGGCCACGTGTGATGGGAGTGGGGCACTGACCTTGAAATCAGGACCTCTCGACACTGCAGAGGCTGCCTCTCACTGTGGCCTGAGGCAATTAGCTTCTTCCAATCTGCCAACCCATCTATAAATTGAGGCTGATTGCGCTTTTTCTGCATACTGCTGAGGGTTGGTGTTAGAATCCAGGTGAGGTCATCGATTTGAAAATGCTTGGGTAATAAACATGCCCTAAGAATGCAAGTTCTTATTCACTCTGACACTCAGTTATCTGGCATCCACAAGTGATGAGACCCATGAAGGAAGGAAAAAGGCATTTGGATAGACAAAGTAGATATATCCAAGTTGATCCATGCATTCCTGGGGCATCTTATCCTGCCACGTTGTGTGCCAGGTGCTGGCTGGGTGTAAGGAATACAACTAGGATCCCCTGTGGCCTCCCACTTGGAAAGATTCACAACATGTAAAACACAAATGCAGCGTATAAAAGTGACGTGCTTCTTCATGGTACACCCTAGCCAGACCCAAATCTAACAGGTTTGGTCATCTGTTTTTCTAAATCACATGACTTCACAGCTAACACATGAGGAGGAGGAAGAGGCTGTTTCTGGGGCAAGGCAAAACTGCCCTGCTAGAGAAGATGGCTGACTTGGAGGAAAGAGATAAGTAAACAAAGAGTCTGGACTTTGTGCATTGAAGTCTGGGGTCATTTAGTGGAGGGGCACAAAACTCCCACAAAAACTTGCAAACTTCATAGGCTCCGAGGTTTGCAGCTTTTCAGATTATAGTAACAAATAACCCATATTCATAACGATCTCCTGAATCGAGGGCTTTGCACTTGGTTTTCCCTCTGTCAGCCCGACTCCTCCCCTGCTTCAGGCCTGTACTCAAATGACCCCAATCTCAGTGAGGCCCATTCTGACCACCTTGTTCTATATTACACCCCACTGTGGCTCTAGGAGCACCTCTGTTTTTGTTTTGTTTTGTTTTTTCACAGCACTTGTTATCTTCTGACACACTATTGTTATCTATCTATCTATCTATCCATCATCCATCTATCCAGCTCTATCTCTCCTACCATCTGTCTGCCTATCACCCATCTCTCTATCCACCTATCATCTATTAATTTATCTATCCATCCATCCACCTATCTATGTGTCTATCTATGTATCTATGGATCTATCTATATCTATCATCTATCTATCTATCTATCTATCTATCTATCTATCTATCCATCCATCCATCCGTCTGCCTATTTATCCATCTATCTATGCTTTCATCCATCCATGTTTCTATCTACCCATCCATCTATTATTTATCCATCCATCTATCCATTCATCCACCCATGTATCTATCTATCTATCTTCCATCCATCCATTTATCCATCCATCTATCCATTCATCCACCCATGTATGTATGTATGTATGTATGTATGTATGTATGTGTCTATCTATCTATCTATCTATCATCTATTATCTATCATCTGTCATCTATCTATCTGTCATCTATCTATCTATCTATATCTATCTATCTATCTATCTATCTATCTATCTATCTATCTATCTATCTATCATCTATCTAATCATTTACTGTGGCTTTTGTGTGACTCCCTCACATTTTTGCTCCATGAGGGCGAGGATTTTTTTTTTTGTTTTTTAGTTTTTTTGTTTTTTTTTTGCCTGACAGAGCCCGTGGCCTGAGCATGACGTGAACTCTCTCATCTTTACACCTCTGCACCAAGCCAGGGTCTGGCACATGGAAGCCCCATTTCTTCCAGGCCTGGCCCCTTCTCAAGGATCTCTTGAGAGAATTTCCCACTGAAAAGCTTCTAGAAAAAACAGGATGAATTTGGTTTTTATTTTTTTTGTCATTTGTCCAATTTTCTTTGACTCTTTTTCTATTTCTTAGTGAATTCTTTACAAAGTCATTTACAAGATAGTCAGGATCCCTATGACATGAGTGACATAAAGAGGAAGAAAAGAGTTAGTATTGCAATTTACTCATCCATATGTATCTGTTTTAAAAAACTATAAAGGCAAAATTTAAAATTAGCAAACAAAAATGCCCCACATAACTTCAGCACCTTTTAGAAATACTGTTGCCATAGCAACTTGAGGCCGATCCTGGTGGTCACTTTGTGCCCAGTTCTATTGAAGCTGAAAATTACCATGGTCTTGTACGTATGCTCGGCCAGCACAGTAAAGACCAGGTTACAGAAAATTAAAACTTTTAGGTAGTGAAATTACTTTTTCGGGAAAAAAGGAAACCTCTCAAATCTAAGTGTTTTTCTTCTTTAAAAAAAAAAAAAGCATAATTTGTCGGACATTAAAATAACAAAAGGGCTTTGAGAAAGGATTATGGGTTTCTGATGTCTCACCACTAGAATAGATTTACTTTCTATCCGACTGATGTTGTAATCTTGCATTCTGAGGTAATGTTTTAGCTCTTTCTCTTCACATAAATAAAGATTTCCATGATAGCTCTTCATTCCTTTCTGGAGATTTCCTTTGGATTCCGCCCCCTCGGACTCTCAGACTTGTAAACTGTTTCACTGGGCCGGCGCACAAACTGGATGCAGAACTTGTCTCGGGCAGGGAACTCATTACCAGAGGTTTGTATGGCTACAAGCTTCAAATGAAAAAATGCTGAAAGTTTGGAGAGCTTGAATGGAGACGCTCGGCATCGGATGCTTTTCCTAACCAGGGGGAGGAGAAATTCAGTTTTTGAAATGGAGAGTTCAAAGTTCTGTTCTTAAACCAAAAGGCGCCTGGCCCTGGAATTTCTCTAAGCTCGAGGCTGCAGATGAATACTTTCTTGCGGGCAATTCCCATTTCAGAAAGAAAGCGCCTATGTTTACAACCCTGGCTTGCCTGCTAATCACATGCGCCTCTTTTCCCCCTTGGATCTCAGGCTGACTCGCCTGCAACTCTCTCCGGGCAGCATAGATTTAATTGGGGCTCAATCTCTTTAAAAATTCACATATATATTCCTTTCCATGTAAAGCAACTGCAGAAACTAGCTGGGCTTTGAATATCTTTTGAAGCCGAAACAACTGTGTGTAAATAAAGGGCTGTTATTTACCAACAGGGGAACAAAAAGCCCTGGGTACACCCTCAGCTCCCAGCTCGCGGAGGACTTCTCTCCCCAGCAACTTCATACTTATTAGCTTGATTGCCAACTTGGGTTTATTATTCACAAACTCACCCTGAGCTTGGCCTTTGAATGCAAAGAAAAAATGGTGTTTATGTTCCAGATTTTTTGGCTTTATTCTCATGACTGAAGTAAATGATGAAGTATTTTCTGCCTCAGCAGAAGCAGCAGGGAGGAAGTGCATGTTGTAATTACCTTAAACAAGCAGGCCATGGAGACGGCTTTTGGAACTGCGTGGAGGGGGCCCCAGAGGAGGTGGGGGACACCAGGCTGTTGGGTCTACACCCAGCCTTCTGTGTCTCTGCTCACTTGGACAGTAAAGGAGGGACTGCCTTGCAAAGGTGGCCTATGCCCAATTTAGTGACAGAAACACTTTCTCCAACCAGCAAAACACATCGTATTAATTGGGTGTTACTTGGGTTATTTTTAAAGAGAAATAAGATCCCAGCACTTTGGGAGGCTGAGAAGGGAGGATCACTTGAGGCCAGGAGTTCCAGACCAGCCTGGGCAACATAGCAAGACCCCCATCTCTACAAAAATTAAAAAATTAGCTGGCATGGTGGCCCATGCCTGTAGTCCCAGCTCAGGAGTTTGAGGCTGCAGTGAGCTATGATTTTGCCACTTCAGGCTAGGTGGCAGAGCAAAGCCCTGTCTCAAAAAAAAAAAAAAAAGAGAGAGAGAAGGAAAAAAAGGAAATGTTTAAAAGAAAATAATTTGTATTTGACCAACACAAAATGACAGGGGTAACTCCTCTAATTTTCCAAAAAAATTTCTATTACAAACTCATCACAGTAAACACAAATCTGAATCAAAAATATCTTTGGATAAATACTTGGATCAGAAAAAAATCAATCAGACAATTATCAAAAGTACAAGTAGTATTCAATGTTTGACCTCAACAATAATCTCAAATTCTGATTTGGAGTTTGGTTCCAATATCAACTTCCCCCATAGTCACTAAAAATAAATAAATCAACTATGTCTTCATTTTATTCTCAAAAGCATTTGCCCTTGGAACTTAGGCTTAAAAAAATATTTTTTACTAAACACAGCCTACAAAGCTTCTCTAGCAAATAACGATGGCTGGCTGGCGTTGTGCAGCCAGTGACGAGTACCGGAGACTTCGGCCATTGCTGTACTCCCCTCCCCTCCAGATGGTGCTGAACTTCGTACCCCAGTGCTCTCTCCTTGTTGTTTCTCCCCTTTGAGAGGGGTGGCAAATGTGTTTCTCTTAGTTCCTCCTCCACCAAGTGTGTGCGGTGTTCCTTCTACTACTAATTAATGTGAGAATAGAGAATCAAAGAGGGTATTCCTCCAAAGAATTGTTTTTGAAGGGTGACAAATTAATCCCCTCGGATATGCCTGGAGACAGGCAAGATATCTTCGGTTTTATTTAGCAAAATTCTGCAATTAGATGTGCAGAAGTTCCATTTTTAGTAAAGATTTTGTTGACAAATTTCATCCACTTCAGAACACACACACACACACACACACACACACACACACAGTGCCAGGGAACAGTTCTGGAAAGAATATATTTTTGGACAATTGAAAAATGACTGCACCAAGTTCTGCTTTTTGCCATGCCCCCCACTACCCTCTCCTACCCACCACCCCTAGCTGCCCTGGCTGCTGGGCCCCAAAGTGAGAAATGGGCTCAGGGACTCCTCAGGGTGAATGCTGCTTTAAAGACAGAATGCGGGCATCTTTTCCCTCATTTGAGACCTAAAATAACCCTGAGAGGTATTATTATTGCCCCCATTTCACAGATGAATAAAGTATGGCTCAGAGTAAACCACTATGGCACTTAAGTGGTTTACTCAAGTCACACGGAGAGTAAATGCTGGAGCCCGAATTCAAACACAGATGGTTTCAATCCAAATCTCAACCTCTTTCCACCGGTTCTCCTGACTTCGTGCAGATTTCATGGAAATGAGAATGAAAGTTGGACCTTGCAACTCAAAGATCAGTATATGGAATGGAAGATAATTACAGGTAATGCTTTAAAGTTAAATACCTCGTTTTTGCTTAATGCTCACAGAATTAGGACATTAGTTTCTCATAGATCAATGCCCTTCAATCAATTATGCTTTTAGAAATAAACCCTGGGAGTAAGCCATAATCAGGTGAGCTAAACATGCTAGCCACTGAGGTCTTTTTTCCCCACTTAAAGAAGGCAGCTTACTTAGGGCAATGTCATTGAAACTGGAACATCTTTGTGCCTTTCTTCCCACTTCACGTTGTGCCAACCGCCCCCTCCCCAACCTTCCTGCTACCGGTTCAGAAACTGGTGCCCATGGCATATAATTTGCTTTGTTTTTGCGCCAGTTCTTTAAATCACGATACTTTGGCCAGACTGCATCAAATCACATCAAGATGTGCTTTTTGTCTTGGAACCCTCAGGGGGAAGGGAGAGGAACCGACATCGCCTGGGCCTTCTGCACATCAGGCACTGTGTACTGAGTTAAGGTGCTCAATCTTCCCAACAGTGCTGGGTGGGAGGAATCGTGATTCCTATTTCATGGATGCACAAATCCAGTCTCCAGGAAGTTAAGAAATGAATGTGCTGAGGGCACAGAGTGAATGAATGCAGGACTGTCATACCCTTCCAGCCTTCCACACAGCCACCCTACCAGCAAATCAACAAGTGCATGCAATGAGGTGCTTGAACAAAATGTTCTCGAGAGAAGCTTGGCTGCTACAATCTTGGAAGACAGGCACTGTGAGCAGTAGTCACTAATCCCTTCGTCAAGCCTGTTTTTCAGGTGGGAAATCTGCAAAAAGGCAAGTGATATACCCAAGGTCTCTCTACATTTCCTTAGTAGAGAAGGCAGAATTCACGCAGTGGTCCCTTTTCTTTCATTCCATGCTCTTTACACGTAATACAGATTGAGCATCTCAGATTCAAAAATCCAAAATCCGAAATGCTCCAAACTTCAAAAGTGTCTGAGCCCTGACACAAGGGGAAAATTCCACATCTGACCTCATATGACAGGTCATGGTCAAAACTTTGTTTCATATACAAAATTATTTAATATATTTTATAAGATTACCTTTGGGCTATGTGTATAAGATGTATATGAAACATAAATGAATTTCGTGTTTAGACTTGGGTCCCATTCTCAAGATATCTCACTAGGTACATGCAAATGTTCTAAAATTCAAAAACAGTCTAAAATCTGAAACACTTCTGGTCCCAGGCATTTCAGTGAAGGGATACTCAATCTGTACCGTGTTTCTGTCAATATCATTTAAATTCATTACAGTCAGGTGGATTAAAGAATAACAAGACTATGGCTGAAAATGAGGGGTATCTATCCTATGAATCCAGCACCAGCAGAGGAAAAGGAAGATGTTTGCAGATCTTCACTTAACACTGAAGATTTAGTATCAGTTTCTCACGGATCAAAACATCAGTTCCTTCTTTTGTAACCAACAGTCCTGTTGAACACTGGCTGAGTCCCCACCTGCAGCCGCTAAAATTCTCTTAGGGCTTTATACATTTCTTTATGTCACATCGTGGGGTGTAATGCTCTAGTCTTCTGTTTTTTTAGTGTCTGTGTTTGAGCAACATGCAAGAGGAAGCTGACGGGGTACTTAGCCAAAGACATGACACTTTTCCAGGTCCAAGTTGTTCCAGGCTCAGCCAAGCCTGGACATCAGAGGATGACCGGAAATGGGACCAGAGCATTTATGTTGTCCAGTGGTTGCACTCTATCTTGTCGTGTTCAGTGAAAGGACAGTGATGTGTGGGAATGTGGGGCACCGCCTGGCAGTCCTGGCATCCATGCCTGGGGCATTTCTGCCCCAGTCAGGCCCCAGTTGGTTGCCTCTGACAGCCAGAATACAACTTGCAAGATTTGAGGTGATCCAGGTTTCTGTGTGATGCCCTTCCCTGTAAACCTTCTCAGATCCCCCTGGGGTCTCCAGAATTGCTACCTGGCCACACTCCAGTGTTTTGTGGCCTGGTCCTCTTGGGCTGTGTGAATACCAAATGTGATGATTAACAGCAAGAGCTCTGGATTCTGGAAAACCAGGTTTGATTCTTAGCCACTTAATTGCCTTGTGATCTTGGACAAGACACTTAACATTTCTGAATTTTAGCGTTCTCATCTGTAAAATGGAGATAATGAGACTACTTATCTGGCAAGGATTATGTGAGATCACATATATAAAGTACTCAGTGCCTGGCACATAGTAAGTGCTGAATAAATGCTAGATTATCATTTTTGTAAGCTGTTTATTTTGAATATATGGCTTAAAGAATATTAGGCTTAAAATTGTGTAAAGTGTACATGTTACAACATGGCGAACCTTGAAAACATTAGACTAAGTAAAACAAGTCAAACACAAAAGACCACATATTATATGCTTCCAGTCATATGAAATGTCTAGTACAGGCAAATCTATAGAGACAGAAAGCAGATGAAAGGTCTCCAGGGGCTGGGGGAGAGGAGAATGAGGAATGACTGCTTGATGCGTACAGGGTTTCCTTCTTGGGGGGTGAGGAACATTTCTGAAATGAGATAGAGGTGACGGTTGCACAACACTGTGAATGTCTTAAACGCTGTTGAATAGAATACTTTAAAATGGTTAAAATGGTAAATTGTATGTTATGTATATTTTGTCACAACTTTCAAAAATTGTGCAAAGCAGACCCACTTCATACATACATTTCTCTGATTCCCTCTTCTCTTCGAGATCACATTATTTTCCTTGAATTCATAGAGGCAGGATAAATTTCTGTATCACTTACTCGAAAGGTTAATGTATCAGAATACAAGGATTTTGAATTTTGAATGGTGCTTTATCCTTTATGCCCACATTAAACCATATTCCTCACCATCCTGTGAGGTGAGTAGCAAGTGACATTGTGCCTGTTTTGTAGATGAGAACCTTCAGGAGCAGAGAAGGTAAGATCAGTCGTGGTTGTTAGAAATGCTTTTTTTTTTTTTTTGAGACAGAGTCTCACCCTGTCACCCAGCCAGGTTGGAGTGCAGTGGCACTATCTTAGCTCACTGCAACCTCTGCCTCCTGGGCTCAAGCGATTCTCATGCCTCAGTCTCCCCAGTAGCTGGGATTACAAGTGCGTGCTGCTACGCTTGGCTAATTATTATATTTTCAGTAGAGATGGCGTTTCACCATGTTGGCCAGGCTGGTCTCGAACTCCTGGACTCAAGCAATCCACCCACCTCGGTGTCCCAGAGTGCTGGGATTATAGGCGTGAACCACTGCGCCTGGCCTGGATCAGTGCTTTTAACTTCATTTTACATGACACAGATTTCTTTATAGTGCATTTTATATTACATATATTACCCTGTTTCTATGTTATGTTGATTCCTGGCTGACTCACGGGAAGCAGAGATTGTAGCTGGGTAGAGGAGTTTGCATTTGGATTGGTGGCTTGCTTTGTTAAATGAAAATTACTGCCTTCACTAGGGTCCATTAGCACATCAAAATGGTGCTTGTTGAGTCAGGAAAAGTGATACATTATGCTTGCATTTATTCTTTGGTCCCCAAAGACTAATTGTTGGTTTGTGTTTTTAAACACCCTTTCAAGTGCTTAAAGCCCCTAATGAGTTAAATTAGCAAACCATTAGGCTTAAGAATAGTGGTGTCACTGTGGACACAGTGTTCCAATTATTGATGCCTGACACCAGGATGCCATGGTGAATGCAACACTACAAATCCCTCTATTTCTAATGCTACTGGACACTTGGCAAAGTGTTTACCCTGCATTGCTGTGTGGTCCATATGTCAATCCTTTGCCATTTTACAGATGAGGACACTTAGAAGCTTAGAGATGTGAAGTGGTGTGCCAACTCAGAGCTAGTAAGGGACATTTGCACGTAAGCTTTGAAACACCAGAGTCCCCACATTACCCTAGAGAACACCAGTTTTGCAGATGGCACTTGGTTTGGTTGTGGGCATACGCACACTTTTTGAATTTCTAATATAAACTGCCTGGGGCCCACCTCAATACTGGCTTGAAAGTGAGCTATCATGTTGCCTCTTAGAGATCGAACTTAGCTGCTAAGGACAATCTCTTCATGCAACTCAGGGACTCCAAGGAGACCATTATAAGGACCATAGGATGTTGTTAAAAGAGATGCCCCTAAAATCTGATGAGGTGCCCAGCTGCTGTCTTTGAATGGATGGAAACCCAACCCCATTGTGCAGGGATAATGCAGCTGCGACACTGGGAACATCCAGAGACACTCTCTAAGTGAAACTCTTCACAGGGCCCTAGCATACCTGTTTCAAGCTGATGTTACTAATCTTAATTATCACTATCATTTTAGCTTCCTTAATATTGGATGCTTAGCAGTTCAATTAAAACATTTTCTTAAAATACTTTAAATATGTATTTAAAACATCGAATCATCTCAACTGTCATATGAGGACAGTACTATTATTTTCCTGCCTTGCAGCTGAAGATGTTGAAGCTCAGTGCAGTCGAGTGGTTTTCCTGAAGTCAGAGTGGCCACTCCTCACACGGTCTCCCGGGGCACTTTGCCTGAGATGTCTCGGCTGGACCTCTCCTTTGGGTCGTTCGAGCTTTATTGCTTATCTTCATGATCTTGTGCAGTCAGGTGAGCCCCAGATGTATCAGATTCATCAGACCTTAGCAAGCCAGGACCAAAGCTTACCCGAGATGGCCAGCAAGAATGAGTCATAAGGAGGTTCAGGTCACTGACATGGCCTAAATCAACCACAAACAGCCCTTGTATTTTAGGACAGTGGGGAAAGGAGCCAGGAATCACTCAAAATCAAGGGCTTCTACTCTGTGGGACGTGTGTTTCTGTTGCCTTTCGTAAAATGAGTGGATCCTGTCTGAAGTTTTCTAACTAAAGTCTAGCTCCCCAAATTCAGCCTCAACACCACCTATCTGCTAGTGTAAGCAGCACACCGCTAATGGGAGCTGCTTGCTGCTAGGGGAATTTGACTTCTTCTTAATGTGGAATAATCACTATTACCTCTCAATTACTTAACAAATAGAGAAGCACAGGGCCACGTTATTTCAAAAGAGCCTCCTGAGAGTAGGGCTGGAGATCTCCAAATGTTACCCGGAATTAGCTAGGAGAGGGCAGGTGATCAGATCTTTTAATATCTACCCAGGGGAAAATGCACATATTATGTACTAATAACTCAGGCAGCGCCTTAACTATTCCTCACCCTCTCACTTTAAGCGTAGACCTGGGAAACACCCTGCTCCTTCTCTTCCTGCTAAGAAATAGTCAAATAGTAAGTAAGAGGATTCATCAGGTCCCTTCGGTTACTAGCAGTGGGGGTGGATGGGCTGTCTTCCTCTCAAACTTGGTAGACCCACTTCCTGGCTGGAAATCAAATAGCAGTTTGGTAGAGATGTAAAAAAATGAGAAGATGCTGACCTTCCCTCCACTATTGTCCTATGACCCTGCCAAATCCCCCTCTGTGAGAAACACCCAAAAATGATCAATAAAAAATAAATAAATAAATAAATAAATAAATAAAATGAGAAGAAAAAAAATCAGTAAATTAAGTAGTGGGGGTAAAAAAAAAAAAAAACCAAGTTAAATGGGTTGGTATTGTGCAGACAAAACCCACCACCCTGGGTTGTAAGCCATCTCCCTATTCCCTTTGGAACTATAGTGACTATCTTCTATTTGGGGGTTTCTCATAAGTCAATATTGTAAAAATTCTATGAAAAGCTGTTTTGGGTGAGTTAAACATAGTCCATTTTCTTGAAAAATACATTCTTTCCCAAGGCAATTTTTTTTAGCATCTTAAACCAGCATTGTTTCCTATGAGACAGTAGGAGCGAAAATAGAGCTTTAGGTTTATTTCCAAGATTTGATTAAATGTAATGTAGAATTGCAACTTTGAAAGGAGCTTCGGTTTTTCTGGTGGCATGAGAACTAAAATTAAATTTGAGTTTAGCTAAAAGTAAAAAAAAAAATAACTCAATGTGTAATGAGGATTAAATGTTAGGGACCAGTTTGCCCATGAGACTTTCGATTTCACTCTGTTCAGCATCTCTGAATGGTCGGAGCAGAAGGCATGCTTTACATTTACAGGAGCATGGAGACTTCAGGTATTCTGCTCACTAGCTTTGCGTGGGTCTTTATGCTGAGTGAATAACTGTGCATTTGTTGTAGAATCAAGGACTAAAGAAGTAAAGGGGAGAGGAGATTACCCTTTCAGAACCCCAATTCCCACTAAACCAAAGGTAAGCTCTTTGTAACTATTGATCAGGAAATAAATCCCCTTTTATTATTCCACAGATGCAGGAAAACCTTTTCTCCTTCTGCTATTTCCCAACTCTTTCTACAAATACATAGTTTATACTGACTTTGCATTTCTTCTTACAGACCTGCTAATTCTGAACATTTATGACCTCAACTGCTTAGTTCCACTCCCCGCCCCACCCCAGGAAAATGGCAAGTGGAAATACCCCAGCTGGTGAGTTAAACTTTGTCATCAAAAAATATTCCAAACAATTTACTATTTTCAATTCACCCAATAAGAAAAACAGGGCAATCTAGGTCAAGTCATTGCAGCCTCCAATATCTCACATTCGTCATCTAAAACAATGCTTTTAATTACATATGGGGAGTAGCGATGTAGGTACTTCAGATTTTTTTCTATTTGAATTTAGAGATTATGACTCTAGATGGGTTCTACACACTTTTTGAGGAAATATAATTTTTCTTATCAATGCTTTGCATAGCAGCACTCAACTTCGCTCAACTTACAATAAGTCTTTGTTGATGGTTGCTAGTGATCAACTACTGTAGGGGCTGGGGGATTGATTAGCACATATATGTTTTTGTTATTTTAGTAGAATATCCATATGCCATTGATAATGAATTAAGGTTAAATGACAATTTTTCTTTACAACCACTCTTGTCATATAGCCTGTGAACTGAAAACTGGATTAACCTTTAATTACCCTCAGTGATCTCTCAACCCCCAGACAACATTACCACTCCTACCAGTAGTATTTGCATATACAATTTAATGAGAGGAACATCTGTTTGCATATTTGGTATCATCAATATTATGCAGATGAATAGATATTCACAATGTGATAGGCATTTGTGCTAACATCTCATTTTCTTCCTTCATTTCTAGTCTTTCTTCCTCCACCCACTGATGCAGCTGAACTTGTATTAATTAGAATTAAGACTGTCTGGAGCCAGCAGTCTTATGCAGAATGCACAAATGCAATGTAATCTGTGTGCCTGCAAAGCCACATTTTTTTCAACTGGGGAAAAGATACAACTGCTGGGTCTTATAAAATGTACTCCGCATAGGCTTGCATGCAGTGTGTGTGTGTGTGCATACGGCCGTGCACTCTTTAAAGAAAACTATGTTTTCCACTCTTCACTTCAAATTTTTTAAACAATCCTTCATATGTCTATTTTTGGAAACACTTGCTTTCACACATAGCTTTCCCCTGATGGCTACATCAAATGCTTCCTACACAGAGATTGACAATTTCAGAGCTCTCACAACCCTTGAGAGTCAAGCCAATTGAACCTTTATTTTCCTCACTGAAGCCTGACTGGGTTAAACAAATTGCCCGCATTCGCCTAAGTGGTTAGTGGTCTGGGTCTGGGCATTTGCCTGAGTAGCCATGTCTGGGTCTGGGCCTCTGGACTCCAAGACTAGTGCTCTTTTGACTGAGCTGTGCTGCTTCTCTCTCTGAGTGAAGTTTGAAGACATTTACAGCAGCAAGTAAACTGATTTTATACAATTTCTTAGGAAATTTATGTGGTTACCAGTTAAAGCCATCATTTTAAAGGTGTACACATATGCATTGCACATACAAGATGCATACTATCTATACAATATTTATCACCAAACATTATATTTTGTGTACATGTGTTTTGATTCCTGCATATGCAAAGTTTTGACTTCTGCATTGGTTCAAAGATAATGACAGATTCCTTAGAGATTTTCAGGGCTTTAATTTCATGGTACATTTTTCAATACTTCTTTCAATATGAAAAAAGAGGGCTGCTTCTTTGTGCTGTATAAAGTAAAAAATTCTCAGTTCTAACTTAATTTCACCCCCTTCTGATCACAAGCCTTGAGCCAGGCACCACCACTTTTAGCACTTCCAGCTTCTCAGCATATGCCATGGAAATTATTTTATAGAGCTACTCCCCATGACTGTATTGTCTCATCAGAATGAAGAAAATTCTTGGCTTTCATTAGTGCATCTATCCTCATTAATTCAAACTAAATGGTGGTAGTGGTGAAGGGGCAGCCAGATTAACTAGCGAATACTTTGAACCATAGAAATTTTTTATGGGAATGTACTATTGTTACTTACGTGGATGTTCTATAATTAAAGCTGAGCCGTGACTCCAGAGGTCTTTAGGATACATGATTAAATCAATTGGTTTGTGATTTCATATCCATTATTTGTAGGCAAAGGTATTTTATGAAACTATTGGGAGCAATTTGTTCTCTGAGTATTTTCAACATCTCCTAATTTATACACGATTCATTTACATGATCTATAAAATAAAAAGCACTTCTTTAAAAAAAGAGGGAGCTAGCTCAAATAGCATCTGGGTTAGAATCATTTCCAAATAAGTAAGATTTTTACCATATTATCCAAGTAGAAATGAACATAATATGACAATTTGATTCAAAAAGACATTTGAACACCTGCTGTAGAAAGAGCACTGATCAAGGATTAGGTTTCTATCTGAAGTACACTTAATTTTTGCAATCACTTTAGATTCCGTCTCCTGCTACTGTCATGCAAGTAACATTTTAATATCAAATGAAAATGTGTCCCATCCAATTGTGACTATAAATTCTGTGTATGAAGCCTGACACACAGGAGGCATTCATTCGGTAACAGTAACTATTTGTTGGATGGATGGATGAGTGAATAGGTGGGTGGATGGATGGATGGGTGGGTGGGTGGGTTGTGGCAGCATGAGGCATCCTGACTCTCTTAGCCATTTCTAAAATCTCAAAGAATGCACTGCTGCCAATGACCTAAGTATAGATTCTAGTCCTAGGGCAAAATTTGCAAAGAGAAGTGTCACTCTAATTCATGGCTTCTAGCAGGAGTGGATCTATCCTGTATCTTGTGGAAATCCAATATGGGTTCCTGATCACTCTAGAATTGTCAGTAGACCTTGGGTAGTAAAGTTAAGAGTGTGCGTGTGTGTTGGGAAAATTCACAAAGAACTTATGGAAAAGTGAATTTAGTAGACAATTGGCAAGTACAAATTAGCTTCTCGCTTCATTGAGACATGTATGTTCTTATTGTTCTTTTCATTTTATATTAATTGACCTATATACATATTAATGTGACCTATAGGTATTGGTATTTTATTTATGGCTGTGTTCTAGGCTCTAGAAGCTATTGTATGTACTCTCAGGGGTGTTGACTTTCGGGTCATGAATGCATTCACTTCAAGAGAGGAGGGAGAAGATGTTAGAAGATGCAGGACCAGTTTCCCCTGTGGACAGAGGCCGTGGACGGCATGTCTGCTGACCCACTAGTTGGGACTGCTTTGGCTCTTGCTGAAATTGCATTTCACTTGTTTCTGACCTAATTAGGTCTGAACTCTTGGAACGTGGTCAAGCTTTTGCTTGCATGCGGGAGTGCAAACACAGATAGATGCCTTACTGAGATGGACAGGAAGAATCTCTGGGGCAGAACTTGGGCTTCCATGGGCCCATCAACTTTGGGGTGTTTGCACTGTCAACAATCCACTGGGATGAGAAGAAGATACTAGAACTTTTCTGAATATATTTTGGTCAAAACGGTCAGAAAAGGTACGAAATTAAAAGAAGCATGACTAGTACTTAATATATATAGCTTGAAATCAATACATGTATACAATTTAATCATGACTATTCATATACCAGGGATGATCAAATCATTTAGGGATGGGGATACATGATCAAAACAGTTTGACAACCTCTAGTCTATGGGAAGACGCACAGTGTTTTCCAGGGCAGCTGAGTAGAGCCCTTGCTCACCCTCCCAGAGCTGCTCCAGCTCCTTCCCACTCATTTTCCTGTATTCCTGGACAGTCTGGATATTCCAAACAGCTGCCAGCTCTCTGAATGTGCTCTGCTGTTGTGTGCCCTGGGGTCTTTTCACCTGCCATTTTCAACTTTGGATCTCTTTCCCTCTGCTTAGTAAACCTTTTTTTACTTTTGTAAACAGTTTACTGTACTTGCTGGACAACATGGATCTGTCAGCCCTATTACTCTCTCCTCATAACTCTGTTATTGCTTTACAAGTTTGTCACCCTTTTATTTTTGGAGCAGCTGAAGGATAAAGCTTGTTCTTTTACATTTGTGTATAAACGTCTGTAGAATGAACAAAAGAATGAAGTTAACAAACCTAGCCTTCATTGATGACTAGCTGTAGGGTTTACACCCTGAGATTTGTTTGGGTCACCAGGAGGGGTCGCTGTTGGCACTTCCTGTAATGGCCAGCGCCTGGCTGGTGGCTCTTTTCTGAGCAGTAGGTTCTCTCCCAATATAGCAGAGTCTAACTTATTACCTCCTTCCCTCACCCTTCCTCCACTCACTTTCTTGAAAAGGGGACAGAGGCTGAGCCTAGAAGACAGGACACAGCCTCTGACTTCATAATAAAACTTTGTGTGCGAGGGGTTCCCCAAGAGCCCCCAGGATGAACATGTTGCTGGATGGACTCACAAATGCTGCTGGGGAAATTGTTGATGCTACCTTGCTTCTTCTAGACCAGAGAGCTATTCTGGAACAAGCAACAGTACATAAAGAGGCTTTTGAAAATGTCAGTGGCTGAGAAACTGCAACCAGCAGCTATGAGCGGATTTTGAGGGGCATAAAACCACACAGCTCCTGAAAGCAGCTGGACGTTCCACTGGCAAGCTGGACAGAAAAGTGCACCAAACTAGGCGAGATCTTTTTATTAACCACAGTGTCAGAGAATGGCGAATACATGGCTATTTGACTGTAATTATGAAAGCACTGGTACAAATAAAAAAGGAGTACAGAATGTCTTAGTCCCATTCTTTAAGATTTCTGTTAATTTTTAAACTGTATTTTAATTTAAGGACATTTTTATACCTTAGTAATAAATTAACATTTCAAAAGTACTTTTACCTGCTGAGATGGTTCATTCCGCTAATATGGGTAACGCTGTGGACTCAAATAATTAGTGTAAATTGCCTTTGAATAACACAGAGCTGGGAACAACTTTAACTTGCTAGGGCTTAATGCCCCTTGCAGTACAGGATGAAGAGTCCTTAATGGGGCCTGGAAAAACAACTAATACCTACAAATCAAAGGAGAAAAGCCGTTTTTGATGCATTTGTCTGAGAGTGTGAGTTTTAAACTAAATTGTTAACACTTCCTCCCCGCTGAGGGTCATGGATTAGCTAGGCTGGGAGATTCTTTGAGAATCTTTCACACTGACCAGGGGAGGTGGGGGGTTCCAAATACAAGTGTTTTCTTAACCTTAATCCCTACCTCCCTGACCAGGACAGCTCTGCATTTCCCTCTAATTAGGTGAAGAATTAGGAGGTGGATAAATGTGTTCAGGGATGAGGATAAAGTGATTAGTTCACTCCAGACCATGATAGTGATTTCTAGGCGCTACTTAGTTCCTTTCAAGATAATAACTTTTCTCTTTTTTACAAAAACGTATTCAAGCAAACCTCAAACATGTATTTATAGGCAATGATAATTATCTCTGGGCAAGTTAGGGACAGCATATTGACAAACTATTTTTACTTTCTTCTGCATTTGTTTAATTTTCATAAGTTTTTTATCCCATAGAGGAATATCTAGAGCAATTTCCAATCTGAACCATGTATTGTAATTATTTGTGCAATCTGAACAAAATTTAATAACGTAACCCAAAAATGTATTCACATTTAAATGATCCTTTCAGTGACGAGGGGAAAAGACTTGTTGCTTAGTAGCTGTCTGAGATAAAACCATTTGACACATTTTCTGCATATGAATAGATTCTACTGTGTATGCATTTTTAAAAGGATCTTATAGATATTCCTTACTGACCTGTAATTTTAAATTTCAAGTTGATTAAAAGCAGTTACTGAATAGCTGTGAACTTGGTGATATTAGCAAACTTTAGCCAGGATGAATATCCCAGAACTGCCCTGACCTCTAAATCAGTTTCTACACAAAGAAACCCAGACAGATATCAGAAAGAACACGTTGTCTTTTGCGCTCAGACATCGGTTCCAGAATCGCAGGGAAGGTTTCCTCCGCTTTTGCCCTTTTAGCTCACTTGCATACCATGAACACATTGCTTGCTGGTCTTACCTAGTAAAGGTCTATGTGCTATGAACGCATAACTAAAATAACCTCAGGAAAAAGAAGAGTGATAACTACAAAAACAAAACATAATGTTCCTCCACCTCCTTTCCGAGGGCATTTGAAGGCCCAAGGCATTAGTCCTCTTGGTCCTTTTTGAGGGCTCATGTTTGGGAGTTTCAAAAGGCAGTGATCTAATTGTTAAATTTTGGAACAAGTTCTCCCAGTTTCATCCTTCTTGGACGTTCATCTCTGAGGATTTTAATGAGCCAGAGCAAGACAGAAGTGCAAACATGAAATGCGTCTCCAGGCTAAGTTGACCAGGATTAGACACTGCCATGGCCAGCCTCCTCCCTCTGGAAGGCACATCACATTATTATTATTTTAAAAATCAAACTTCTTTTTAGCTGAAGTAAGTTTCCTTTCTGCTCCTACAAATATCATGGCTGGTTTAAGGTTTGATGTCTGCTTAATGCCCAATTATGCTATACAAGACAGATCACACTACATTAGCCAGGATTATGTTGCCTCTTGATCTTATCAGCTTTGTTTCCTAAACTACAAAAAGATCTAACACAGTACTGGTTAGCAGTTTGGCTTAGACAATCTCTATCGTCATCCATCACTGTCACCAGTTAGCAGGAGGCATTAGGCACAAAGCTAAGAGACAGGATGCAGAGCTGACACTCTCTTCCCAGGCTAACACTCTAATTCCACATTTACGCCAGCTCTTCCTAGGCTCGCCCTTCCTTACTATGGAAGCTTTCTTTCCCTTGCTTATTTTTGGAAAAGGAAATCTATTCCCGTAAGTTGTTTGCTTGCTTGGTCTTAAATTCTTTGTAAGTATAGACAGGAGAGGGAGTAAACGCATAAGGAAAATTAAAATATATATTCCTCAGCTAAAATGAGGGTTGTAAAGTCAGAGATCTGAGGGAGAAGATGGAGACTAATGGATTGAATCTGACCGTTCCTACCTCTCAGGGCTGACTTGGGAAACTCCATGAACACAATGGGAATTCTCAGCGGCAAGGTACAGCTGGTCTAGCAACTTGTATTTAGCATTTTCTTTTCCATCATATGTGGGATGACTCCAAATGTGTCCATGTCTGCCTTAAACTCTGGTTGTTTTAAGTCATGCGGGATTACTCCCAATTTGTCCACATCTGCCTTAAACTCTGGTTGTTTTAAGTAGCACCAGGAGCAAGCCAGGACATCTGGGTTCTAACCCATTCTAAGTCAGAGCAGATACCATCTATACTGGGCACTTGTTTTAGTTCAGCAGCCTTCACGGGAAGCCTCACACAGAGACACGAAAGAGCGTGAGATTTCAAAACAGACTCCATTACCCCATTTGTGGTCAAAATCTGATAGAATCAAGAAATAGGAATCCCAGTAGGGATATCTATGTGTCAAGTGGTAAACTTGATAATCGTAAGAATACATTTAATGCAGCAGGAGAGAATACCAACCAGAAGATTAACATTTCTGTTATATAATTACAAGTTCAAGGAGTTCAGCCTCTTATCACTTTATAGTGAGCATAGGAAGTAGGAGTGATCCTCTTTAATTTGTAATTATTTAACTGCAATGTGAGGTCCAGCGGCCTTATTCTTACCCTTCTGGGCTGCAAGACATTGGTATGCAGAATCCATGCGAGAAGGCGCAGAACACTATCAGAAGAAGACATGTTTGATTATTCTTTAAAACCAACTAAGAGAAGTTAATCTCATTGAACTTCTTTTTATTCAACAAAAGAGTTGGATGTTTCCAAGTCTAATGTGACTATAATGTTCATTAAATGGACTTCTTTACACCTTTAAATGGATTAACTGCACATCTTTACAGTCTAATTATTATACACGTCATTCAAAAAAATCACAGATCTAATTCAGGGGATGATAAAGGCCTTTCTTTTGCGACTATGGAAGAGACATTGCAGTAAATGGATGTGATTTTTATCAGTGCCATATTTAAAAAAGGGCACATGTTGCTCCAAGGAGGTGGGAGGGAAGGACGGGACTGGATGTGCTGAATTTTTCTGCCCTGGTAATTTTATTTCAGAGATTTAGGATCTGACCATGCTGGTGCTTGCTCCTTCCGGGCTCGCTGTGCCAGGCACCTTAGAGGTTCCTCCCGCCTAAGCCTGCCCGGCTAATGACTTCAATCTGTCCAAGACAGCTCTTAGTCAGATAAGCGATAAATTATGGACAGCCCCCCTTCAGTCCCAGGCCTTTGGGGATCCTCTGAGTTCTTTTACCCAGACCTTTCTTGAAAACGAAAGACACTCTCTCACCACGCTTCAAGAACATACCAAATCAGTTTGTTTTTTTTTTTACAAATACATTTGCCATTATCTCTCTTTGGGCCTATACTTCTCTCTCTGTCTCTTTCTTTCTTTGCTGGGGGAGCATTACATTTGGCATGCGATGGCAGTTCGCTGTGTCCTGAGGATGTCAGAAGCCTTGCTTGGCTCAGGCATGTACAGATGCCCTAGAAGCTATTGAGAGATGCAAGGACATTTCTGTCTTTGGAGAAAGGAGCTCTTGAGGGGAGGACCCTGGAAGGCCCCCAAGTAATAATTCAGGCTTTTTCTGTTGGAAACTGAAGAAGGCACAGATTTGTCTTCATTCATTTCACTGATATTTGTTGAGAAGTTATTACAGGTCACATAGCATGTGTAGTCAACCAGATGCAGCCCAAAGTTGAGCAGACACAATTCCTACACTCAGGGAGCATTTGGTCTGAGAGACATTAACATAAAACTTTGTAAATTGAAGGAGGCTCCCAGTTTTCCATTAAGGAGGGGCTGAGAGTTGGCAGTCTAGTTAGAAGGCGTGTTTAGAGCTTGGAGTTTGTGCTTGCTCGGCAAACTTAAGCTATTTTTCCTGATGTTGAACCTACATGGGGTTGCTTTGGAGTGGTGAATGGGGACTTGAGGGAGGAAATGAAACACCCAGCCCGTCTCTGGACACTCCCTCGGAGCCAGTCAACAGTCCCCACAATCCCAGTCCTGGCTCCCCCAAGCGAGAGGCTAGACCACAGGCAGAAACATGAGGCGCCTCTGTCTTTGGAGTGTCCTCATGGCACCATGGAAGGCGTGCACATGGTGCCAGGCATGCACATGGAGCCAGGCAA
This sequence comes from Homo sapiens, assembly GCF_000001405.40. Taxonomy (NCBI): domain Eukaryota; kingdom Metazoa; phylum Chordata; class Mammalia; order Primates; family Hominidae; genus Homo; species Homo sapiens. Next base: position 118,254,509 of record NC_000010.11, on the reverse strand, counting down.
TGCTGTGTGGAAATGCCAGCACTGCCATTTCCTAGAAATGTGACCAACAACAAGTTACTCAACCTCTTTAGCCTCAGTTTCTTCATCTATAGATGGGGATAATTACATCCATCTTTCAATGTTCTTATGGGGACTTAGAAACAACAAATATATAAAGGGACTAGCACGATGCCTAATGCCTAATAAATAGTAAGTGCTTAATCCATTCTAGGCCCCTTGTCCTTCCCTATCAGTTTCCCTTTCACTGCCTGTCTCCCCTCCCCTCCCCAGTGTGCCATTCTTAATCCTCAGTCGTGTCCAATTAACTGGGACTAAGGTTTTACCTCATAAACAAAGTGTAACAGCTCAAAGCTTACCTGTACTAGTGGTCTTTGCCTTTTGGAAGGCAAATCCTAAAGCACTGAAAATCCTAAGGAGTAGTGCAGTGATGGCCAGTGGAGTCGGTATTTGGCACATGCGGACATCCCCTTGGCATGGGAAGCCACAGAACCACATGACCGTAGACTCTCTCAGCCAGAAGCCCCCTTTCAGGCTCCAGGGTCTCACTCTCAGCCTGGTGCCTGAAACTCCATCTCCAGCCTGCCTAGCATCTGTACTTCCAGTTCTGGATGATGCACAAGGCCTGGGTGGCAGTGGGCTAGCATGTGCTGTCCCTGTCTTCACCCGCCTTCTGGTCTCCTTCATTCCTTGAATTCCCCAGTGCATGGCAGCAACGGGCGAGGTTACTTTCAGAGACGCCTGTCTTGAGGCAGAAAACTCTTTCATAAATAATTTAAGGTCCATGTTGTACTAACATCAATTATCAGAATTAATTGCTCCTTAAAATGTAAAGAATTGTGCTACAAAGAGTCAACATTAGCTCGGGAACTGTAAGTCTCTTTCTCAAGTCTTCTGAAGGCTCACGAGGCAGGTACTGGGGTAAAGCAAACAGCAGCTCTTTGTGTGCTAGGTGCTATGTCCCCGTTTCCAAACTAATAAATACTGAATGAGTAAATAATTTTGTTTTCCCTCTGTGTTATAAAGATTCAGTCGTATTTGGCCAAGTAACTTCAGGGAATATCATTAAATACTTTTCAAATAGTGCTTTCTTTAAGCCATATTCTGCTCTTGGAAAATGTCTACAGATCCACTTAGAAAGCGGAGGTGGAAGGAGGCCTACGTGGGGTGTGGGCTCAGCTATAAAAGGCTCCTCAAGATTGAGACTTGCCACTCTAAGGAGAGAAACCAACGGTGGGAAGCGCCTATTGTTCATTCATTCACTCACCCACTCACTCATTTGTTTTCTTATTAATTCCAAATGGGCTAGGGAGTCAATGGTGTACAATGGAATATTAAAAAGAATTAAAATCTTACCCAAACAATAAATTTTGTAAATAATAAAAAGCCAGAAAAATTTAGTTATAAAGATCTGACTTCAGAATATTTAAGAATACAATGTTAATATTTCATTATCTCCGTATGCAGCATATACAGGGATATCATGTTTATAATATAAATGTGTTAATTATATATAAATAATATGCATGTTACATATGAGATGATGTTAATTCCAAAGGCATTAGCCATTAATATCATGTAGGAAGACATACATTATTACTTCAAGATTTTTCTCTACCAATGCACTCTGCGCTGATCCTATTTCCATCATAGAGTTATTTGATCTATGAGACAGGAAGAGTAGAACAGCCTCATTATTTTTTATATTAATTTTATCTGAGGCTTATCAGGTAATAGACAACAAGCATTTGTCTTGTTTGATTTGCACATAGTCAGAGACCTGACACTAGCTTCGGTGCTTGGGAGGGAAACAATCTTTGTTCAGAAAGTTATTTATTGGACAATTAACATGTGGAAACTATACCAAACAGAATGTGAAAATGGTAAGTTCACGTTGAATTTCCAAAGGGCGGAGGCTCATTCTTCTTGTAGCAAGACCGTGACAACTCTTGCTGATGGAATAAATGGGATCATTATATTTCAGTCTCCAAGTAATTATCAGAAATGAAGTTTTGTGAATCATTTCCTGATGGGGCCCCATCACCCTTCAGTCTTTTGTGTTTAATGGCATTTTGTTTTTGAAAACCTGGGCCTGAATTTAGCTCTTCCAAATGTTAGGGACTGTGTCCTGACTCCGCCCTATCTTGCTATGATGAATAGATATATCAGCTGGTTTTCCATCCTCCACCCAACATGTGATTTTATGTGTCCGAAGTGCTTGTGGCAGGTATGTAACGTTATAGCGAAGCCAGGTGTTCGACCATAATTGTTGGCTCGTTGGTGGATTTGATGGCTGACACATCCGTGGGGAGCGGGGGCTGGACAGTAATTTACTCACCACGGCCTCACCTGGCTGCCTGCTGAGACCCAGGGCTGGAGCATGGCTCTGTGCGGGCCATGGTCAGGAACCTGGGGCTTCCACGACCTTGCTCAGGCCTAAGCCAGAATGCCAGCTCCACATCTTCTCTGCCGGCAGTCTGGCTGCATGTGCTCGAGACTGGCTCTGAGGCCAAACAGAGAATACAACTTGGCTCCAAGGTTGCTTATGTGACTCATAGGCTCTCAAATACCCAGCTGTCTCCTGAACCTCCGGTTGATTATTCAAGATTTTTCTCTACTAAGGTATTCAACCACTGGCATCATAGATTTGCTTGACCTGTGATATAGGAAGCGTTAACTTCATTGTATTTTATGTTAATTCTGTCCTAGTCTTATCAAGTAATAGGCAACATGCTTTTTTTTGTACATATTCAGAGAACTGGCACCAGTTTTGGATGATCAGGAGGAAAAAGGATCTTTGTTCAGGTGCTTTCTAGTTGGACAATTAACATGTGGAAACCATACCAAACAGTGTGTGAAAATAGTAAGTTCACGTTGAATTTCCAAAGGGCGGAGGACTACCTGTTCCTTTTCTCACTGATCAGGAGGTTGTATTGTTTGGTTCAGTGATATCTTTAAATGGCCGATGTTCTTCCAGAGCACTGGGTGACCCTCCGGAGTGGCTGAGGCTTGGCAACCGCTAAAGATCCACTAAAGATCTCTTTTAGTGGGCAAAAGAGTGTAGACAGAGTACCAGGTCCATAAGGAAGTGGCTTGATAAAGTACTTTCATTAGATTGTGCCTTCTGTTGAGCTCTCTAAAACAAGGAGGGAAAAGCCTTGAATGTCTTTCTCATCTGAGTAATGATGTGAAAGTGCTTTTCAGGGCTTGGGGGTGAAGGTGGGAAATAATATTGAGTCCAAGTCCATGTAGTCATTGCACCTGGGCCGTCTGAACACCTTCCTTACCTGGGGAATTACAGTCCTAAATGTCTGTATGGATTGGGGCTATAATATTTCTGGGAAATATAATTTCACACTGTTTTGGACTTCTCACAACCTACTTTCTGAAAAATTCAGATTTGCATTAGTGTTGCAAATTTTAATCCATAATCAAAAGTGGTCACTACCAATACAGGAAGAATTTCCCAATACTCTTATATCAACAAAATACTTTCTACACCAAGCTGGACCCAGTGAAAGTACATGCCAAATTGGCATCTTAACATAGTTAAGTCTTGAATTCTCTTGCAAGTGATGGTTCTTTAGAAACATCCCCAAACCTCCTTTCCCTTCCTAAAGCTTGACAAGACACGGGCCTATCAACACCTGAATGGCTGACCTGAGCCGAGCCCTACCATCTTCATTTAACAGGTCATGTGATTCTGACCACAGCCCCCAAGTTGACACCTGTTGAAATAATATTGGAACCACTTTTGTAACTAATTGCAACCAAGATGTCAACTCAATTAATCTGACAATAGAAATACTCAGGAGAAGCTGCTCATGCCCAAGCTGCTGCTCCCAGTCAAGTCCGGGCTTGTTGTCTATTACCTGACAAGCCTAGGACCAAATTAACACTAAATATAAAGTAATTTAATTAACTCCTCCTATCCCAACAGGCAGGTCCCAGCACCCCGGGTGCCCCAGGCCTTCTAAAACGGAGGACTGTTGCACCCCCAGTGGGTAAACACTTAGATGGTGCTTTTATTACTTTATGTGAGTGATTTGCAACCAAAGATCTCCATGAAACTCCTTTGGCCACTAAAGCAAAAGCACAGCTTTTTAAAATCACCCTTAAAGACATGGTAATAAATTGCATGAAATTCACTCATAGGAAAACATAACTTTTAAGAGTCATTATCCTTCAAGGAATACATGCGCTTCCTGGACAGAGGGGAGAGAGAGGGTTGGGCAGAGTCGGGGGTGAAGAGAATGGAGAGAGAATCTGATTTAAAAGCAACAACAACAACAAGAGGGCAATCGAAAAGGCCCAAAAAATAAAGAAGCCATAATAGATATAAGAAAAAATACACTTTGTGGAATTGTCTTATTATAAAGATATTTCTTGAGCTGATATTTTGCAGGGACACAAAGGCATCTTTTATTTCTAAATTAAAAAAACAAAACAAAACAAACAAACAACAACAAAAAAGCACTGGCCCTTAACTTTCTCATCTTCAGTGAACTGAACATCAACCCATTTAATTATTCTTCCCATTTCCTCACTTTCCAAGATGAAACCATCATAAAGGACATAAAGCAACAGGTTGTAATCCTTATGGTTGCAAACCAAACTGTTCAGTCTGCAAAGGTAAAGTAGACAAGTGGAAAGGCTGCTGGGCAAATGAGACAGCTTATGGCTGTAAATGTTAGCAAGTGGAGTCCTTAACTTGTGAAGATTGCCCCTGAATGTCCTGGGGAGGATGTAAGCTTTTCACAGTCAGGTTTGTGGAGTGGGAGAACTGCCTGAGAACTTGTGCATGTTCTCTCCTGGGCCTCCTGGTGATGAGAGATGGCACAGGCTGAAGGCTGGCTGGGGCTTGGTTTGTGTGGTTGTGGGACAGAATTTTTCTCCATGTGAGGCCAATTAGATTAGACATCAAAATGATAAGGAGGTTGCAGCACATTTTCAAGTGTAGATGAAATAGGTACCTGGGTCAGGAAATACTAGGTCAATAAAAGCCTGCAGACATCATGAAAAGGCAGATCAGTGGGATGGACCAACACCGTGAAATGCTTTAATTTGCAGAAAGGAAATGAAAACTCTGGGAGAAGCCTGTAGCCAATGGAAGTGCCAGCCCAGGGTTCTCTGCTTGGTGATCTCGGGTGATCTTGGGTGTTCTGGGCACCAATTTCCTTGTCTCTTTCTTGAGGGAGTTGGAGTGGATGATCGAAATTTATCACAATTCCATTTAGTACTTGACAACTCAGCACTGAAGACAGCTTCAGCAGCTGCTTCACAGCCACAACTGCACATTAGAATTACGTAGGGACCTTTTAAATATCCCAGTGCCTAGGGTGCATCTGGACCAATTCAGTCAAGATCCCTCAGGGTGATCCCAACATGTTGCCAGGATCGAGGACCAACCAAGCTCTTGTTTTCCCCAGTAAAGAGGAACCAGGGACATTTCCCTGCCATCCTTGAGAAGATGGGGAGGGATCAAAGGACTTGTGCAATCTCTCACTCCATTTCCTGGAAAACAGCTCAGGACAAATTTAAATCAGTGACGGATAAGAAGTGGAGACAGCAAACATCACAAAGTCCTGCAGCTGCCCCCTTGGCTTGCTGGTGGACAGACCTGGAGAAAGCTGCGTGGGGCCCTCCCAAGCTGGTGTGTAAGGCATGGGTCATTGTGGAGCACCTAGAGCTTCTTGCTTCTTTGACTGGTGCTCCCAGCCTGCACTGAGACACAAGCAGTGCCTCCCAACCACGTGCTCTCTGCAAAGCAGCTATCATAGTGTACATAGGCCCTTGACCTCTCTCCAAGGGAATAGGGATGGGGGAGAAAACTGAGACCCATAAAAAATAGTCAGTGTGAAAAATAGATTAAGGGGTGCTCTTTTAGAAAACTGCCCTGGGTTGAAGAGTGTCCTCCCCCAAATTCACATCTTTCCCAGAATCTCAGAATGTGATCTTACTTGGAAATAGGGTTATTGCAGAGGCAATTGGTTAAGGTGAAGTCACACTGGAGGAGGGTGGGTCCGTCCTTCCTTCCTTCCTTCCTTCCTTCCTTCCCTCCCTCCCTCCCCCTTCCTTCCTTCCTTCCTTCCTTCCTTCCTTCCTTCCTTTCTCTTTCTTTTCTTTCTTTCCTCCCTCCCTCTCCCTCTCCCTCTCCCTCTCCCTCTCCCTCTCCCTCTCCCTCTCCCTCTCTCTCTCTTTCTTTCTTTCTTTCTTTCTTTCTTTCTTTCTTTCTTTCTTTCTTTCTTTCTTTCTTTCTTTCTTTCTTTCATCTTGCTTTGTTGCCCAGGCTGAGTATAATAGCATGATCTTGGCTCACTGCAACATCCACCTCCCAGGTTCAAGCAATTCTCCTGCTTCAGCCTCCCAAGTAGCTGGGATTACAGGCACATGCTATCACGCCTGGCTAATTTTTGTATTTTTAGTAGAGATGAGGTTTCACCATGTTGGCCAGGCTGGTTTCAAACTCCTCATCTCAAGAGATCTGCCCTCCTTAGCCTCCCAAGTGTTGGGATTATAGGCATGAGCCACCATGCCCAGCCAAGGGTGGGTCTTATAAGAAGAGATACAGACACACAGGGACAGTGCCATGTGTATTAGTCTGCTAGAGTGGCCATAACAAAACACCACAGACTGGGTGGCATGAACAACAGAGATTTATTTCCTCACCGTTCTGAGGGCTAGAAGTCTAAGATTAAGGTGCTGGCAGGTTTGGTTTCTCCTGAGGTCTCTCTCCTTGGCTTGCAGATGGCCAGCTTCTCACTGTGTCCTCCTGTGGTCACCTTCTGTCTGTTGTTTGTGTCCTAATCTCTTCCTACAAGGATACCAATCATATTGGATTAGGGTTCACCCTAACAACCCCGTTATAAATTAATTACCTCTTTAAAGGCCCTGTCTCCAAATGCAGCCACATTCTGAGGTATTAGGGTTTAGGACTTCAACACATGAATTGGGGACTAGGACGCAGTTCAGCCCATAGCACCATGTGACGATGAAGGCAGAGATTGGAGTGATGTGCCTGCAAGCCAGGCCTGCGCTTGTGAGCCCCTGACTCTCTGAAATCTGTCTCTGCAGCTCCAGCAGCTGCCTGGCATGGACAACCAGACGGGTGCTGGTTTATTCATTCATTCAAGTTACAAGTCGAATGAATGAATGAATGAAGGAATGAATTTAATGAATTCATTGAATGAATTGAATAAATGAATGAATGAATGAATTTAAACTGGGAAGTGATTTAAACTGGAAAGCAGCTCTCACAAGGCAATTTTGCACTCAGCTTTCACTCCTCCAGGTAGCTGCAAATCATGAGAACACAGCGTGTGCACAGTCCAGTGCCCGTCTGACAACACTGCTCGTAGGAGGACTCAGTTTAAGAAAGATTTCAAAATGTAGGAGAAGGGAGAGAAGGGGCAGAGTGCAGCAAGGGGGCTGCAGAGTGCAATTAGATCAGCGAACAGCAGGCAGCCTTTGTCCCCGGTGGGAAGCACCCAGCAAGGGACCGGTGGCAAGGAGCCGCTGAGAGGTGCCTGCTTTTTAAAGGGAAATGTAATTTGTAAACAATCAACATCTTAACAAGCTAAAAGCAATCAGCCCTGACTTCTAGCAGATTTACTGATGCTTCAGTGACTAAAATTCACAATGTTTTTCCCACCCAACTTTGTTAATTTGTGGCCCGTGTTCATTAGGACGATTCCCTGGGGATGGTTTCCAGCCCGGCTTCCAATGTAATGACGCCAAGCCAGGGTCCTGATCATTTCTCCAGCATGGGTGCCGGCCCAGGGCAGCCCAACCCTGTCTTTCTCCCTTTCTCACCGTGTAATAGGCTGGCCTGGTAACTAATAGGATAGGATATGTTTGTTTTGTTTGAAAATTCTAGCGTTTCAAAAATCACCCATCATTTATCACTCATCCGAGATGAGCAATTGTGGGTTGATGCTGGCTGGATGCTTTTCCTCTGAACCCCTCCTCTCTCTACCTCCTCCTACCTCCCACCCCCCGGGGGAAATCAAGAAAAACAAGATTCTACTTGTCCAGGCCCTCCGAGACTCCTCGGAATTGCTGGAATCGTCACAATAAGTGGTAGTAATAGAACCATATACAGGATTGTAAATACAAACTGCTGCATGGAGTGGCAAAAAATAATGAAGTAATTAGGTGAACTATTATCAGCACCTGTGACTGATGGGTACAAGCACGTTTCTGGCTTTATTCCATTGTTATTTGTCAGAAACAATGCAGATTCTGAAGTTGCCTAACTTATTGTCCTACGCCCAGCTTCCCTCTCCCGAGAGCCTCAGTCACCCCAGGTGGGTCGATGCCCGGGTCCAGCCTGCGGAAATGCACAGTGGGGAAATGAGAGTGCTACTTTGCAACCCATTAAGGGGTAATGCCATTTTAATTAGCAATTGATGTGAGCCTAAGAGGTGCTATTTCGTGCATCATTTCTAGGCTAAGCATGGGGCCCACGGACACACAGACCAAGCCGTGAGCCCATTTCGATGGGAGACAATTGAGGGGATGGGGACTTGCAAATAAGTCACCGTTGATTCTCAATGGAAGTGGCCAAACGCTGAGCCTGCATTCTTATACGGTGGATGGCCCTGTCTCCTCACCGAGATTTCTGAACGGAAGTGCCCACTTGCCAGAAATCATGATAATTGGATGATGATAATAATAAAACTTATCATATCAGTGTGCACCAGGCGCTGCTTTAGGCACGGCATTTGTACTTCCTCATCCATTCCTCACAACAACCCAGTGAGAGATACTCTCATCATCCCCAGTCGACAGATGGGGAAACCGAGGCACAGAAGTTAAGTGACTGGTCCTAGGTCACAGAGCTGGGTTTCCAACCCAGGCAGTTTGGTGTCAAAATGTACCCTTCTCATCTTCTGTTCACTGGTCCTGCTTGGTGTGTGCCTTCCAGAGCTATGGACCAAGGCATGTTGACACGGTGGCTGGAACAGGCTGAGCACCAAGAAGGGAAGTGAAGAAGAAGAAAAAGGGTTGTGCTAAAACAAAACAAAACAAAACAGAAAAACAAAAACAAGGCCAGAAGACGATCTCTCACAGGCTTACCCATGGAGTTGGGAGGATCCAGCGCCTTCCTGGAGCAGGTACAACCATTATGCACACGGAGGTATGGATCACAACTCCCATCATTCTCTAGAGAAATGCATGACGTGGACAGGGTAAATCCATTTGCTGAGAGCCACACACACACAGGCTTCTTCTAAGGTTCCTTCCACCCAAAACCTCTCAGGGCCCACACACTTTGACTGGCTGGTTCCTGAAGGATTTGCGTTTTAAACCAATAGAGTTGGTTGAATTGCTAGCAGGTGATTGTGTTTTGCAAGTTCCACTTCCCCCAGCAGCCTGGGTCTTTACTTCCCTCATCCAGTCATCATTTCCAGGCTGGACGCGGTGTCTCACGCCTGTAATCCCAGCACTTTGGGAGGCCGAGAGGGTTGGATCATGAGGTCAGGAGATCGAGACCATCTTGGCTAACACGGTGAAACCCCGTCTCTACTAAAAAAAAAAAAATTAGCCAGGGGTGGTGGCAGGCACCTGCAGTCCCAGCTACTTGGGAGGCTGAGGCAGGAGAATGGCGTGAACCTGGGAGGTGGAGCTTGCAGTGAGCCGAGATCGCGCCACTGCACTCCAGCCTGGGCGACAGAGCGAGACTCTGTCTCAAAAAAAGAAAAAAAAAAAAATTCCAACTTTGCTGGATGACCGAAGACAAGTTACCCAAACTCCTGCGACCTCAAATTTCTCATCTGTAAAATGGAAATAATGACCCCACCTGTGAGGATTAAACGAGTTAATGTTAACTGCTAATTATCATTATTTTAAACAAAAGGAGGATTGTCTGAGAAGCTAAGGAAGCTTAAGCTTCAGGGCCCTGTCTTGCAAGTTCGCTCCCTCAAGGCTCTGTATTCTGTATCAATAATTTTGTTTTCTTTTTCTTAAGGAGAGCATTGCTCCCCACCACCCCTCGGATTGTATAAGCTTCAGGCTCCTCAAACCTGGATCTACCCCATGGTGATTAAGGCAAGGAAGCACGTGGCTGGGCTAACCGCTACAGCTCTGCCTAGCTCAAACACGCAGAGCTTCTAGATAGTAGATCTGAAAACACGTGTGAAGGTCTCGGCTTTGTGAATAGGGGCACACACTTCTAAGAAGATGAGAAGCCATAGAAGACAGTATGTGCTAGATTCATTATAGGGTGACCAACTTGTCCCTGTTTGTCCGGGACTATACTAGTTTAAAAGCTGAAAGCACCATGTCTTGAAAATCTCTTCTGTTCTGGGCAAGCTGGGTCAGTTTATCACCATCCTTGTTGAGAAGCATGTCACTACTATTCACCACAGGGCTCCCGGCTAGCTGAGTGCTTGGCACGTGGTAGGTGCCCAGTAAATATTTGTTGAATGAATGGAGTGTAAACCAGCCATTGGTACCTCACGGGCTCAGAGGAGGACGAGTACACAGTGATCTAAGGTGGACAGGTAGATTTCCTGGAAATTTAACATGAAAAAATAAGCTTGTGATAGTGAAGTTGGATCAGAAAACCACCATTATTGAAAGGAAGGTTATGGAATGTGATGAGGGAATCACCCAAATGCAGGGGGGCTTCTTATACCCCAGGATCATTTCTGTTTACTTTTGTGTACCTGATAACAAACAGTATGTCTTCTATTAGAATTTCCACATCATCATTTTCTCAGCTTGGAAACAATGCCTGTGTTCAAGGCAGAACCCTGAATACAAGCTGAATCTGGTGTGTGTGTGTTTGGTGGGGGCGGGGTGGGGATAAATGGTGCCCCAGGCAGGTCGGCGGTGGGCTTTGGGCATGAGGGTGAGCTGCTCAGGACCCAATTCCACAGGCTGTGTAGACTCCAATTATCCGAGGACTTAGAGATCAAACAGCCCAACTGTGCCTCACAATAAAGGAGGAGGTCTTAATTTTACTTCACGCTACACCCTTCCAGCCAGATCTTGCAAAACAATGCATTGCATTTATGTCTTCCTGAGCCCCAAACCTCTCTGAAATTGTCTCAGGCTATCCCAGCAATATCGCTACAAAGTGGACAGAGGAGAGAGTTAGATGTTCTAAAGAATCATGTGATTTCTACTGGACTGGTCAGAATGTCACGGCAACCACAGATGGCTTGATCAAAATCTCACCCTTCTGCTTTGTTGAGGACAGAGCACTTTTACATGTTATTTATTTTTATTTTTAGGTATATTTGTAGTGACGACATGTTGGCTTGTGGGAAAATAGTTTGCATTAGTCCTCAGCTGAGCTTCCCATACGCACAGGGGACTCAATATATAGAAAACAAGAAAGCCCGGAAAATGCCAATGGCTAGAGACTGGAATTCTGCAAATTTTATTTTTCTCCACTCTCACAGTAAAGACAGGATTTGTAGTAAGGCACAATACTGCCAAAATTAGTCTGATTTTCTTTTTAACAATAACATCAGCTAATAGGTAAATATTCTAGAAAATGTAGTCATTTTGAACATTTGAGATTAAGAAAAGCAGAAAATCTGGAATATTTTTGTAGACATCTAGATATATAGGCAACGACAGAGACCCAAGACCGTAAATCCGGTTTATTTTTACATATTAGCATTAAAATATCTGTCTTGCTTTCAGACAATGAGTTTTTAAAAATTAAGAATAGTGCATCAAAATGATGAAAAATTTTAGGATTTTTTGATATGTAACTTAACCCACAGAAAACCAGATTATTCATCTTGCTACTTGTTTATAGCCCTTTTTAAAAAATGAATATTTCAGACACCTTAAATTGATAAATGTTTCTCTGAAAATAAATCGCTCTTTGATAAAGAGAGTGGAACATAAATGTTTGAGATGTAGCTGAAGCTCTATCACCATTTATGGATCACGATTATAGTTCAAAACGCAAAAGCTGGTATCTTTTGAGGTCGAGCATTTTATACTGAAAGCATATATTTATAATGGAAGTTAACCTTAACATGAAGAGGAAATGATGTTATAGGATTTTCTATTTTGGAACTAATAAGCTATATCATTTCTTATTTGATGGTCTTAAGAAGCAGTTAACATGACTTGAAAGCAACATTTTTCAAGTACTGTAAACATGCTACCATGGAAAACCAGAGAGGAAAAATTTTCCTGTCTGTGAGATTCCTAAACAACTTAATTTGAGTTGTTTACTCTCAAATACTGAATGTTCTTCCCACTGTTCCGCTGTAGTCCGACACAGTGTATTTAATGATTTTTTGTGAAATTTACAACCTAGTGACTTATCATCTTACTTTGAATTGTCTTGAAGATACTTAATGCTGATACTTAACACACACACACAAAAAAACCCCAAACTCTTAGAGTCCTCACTCTGTTTTGAACTAATTAACTTTACAGGAACAAACCTGGAGATACTTATTTTTTCCACTACTACTTTTGGATTTATTATTTCTTTTTATTATAGTAGTCCGAGGTTAGAAAGCTAAAAATTAAAATGGTTGATAATTGTGAAATATATTGTTATTCATGGCAAAATATCACGATTATGCATATGTGTAAGAATTAAGATGTCTTAGGAACTAGCACGGAGTGAGCTGGATGAAATGCGGCACCTGCCACAGAATCTTTCCCCTGTGCTTTTCGGTAATGCCAGGCAAGTCCTCCGGGTTGTAGAAGTCATGGCCAGGTCATGGATTTCCGCACACAGCGATGGCTTCTGTGGGACAAAAAGCAGTGAATATCACGCTACTTACCTTGCTTTATACCACAACCGTTGCAGGCAAGGGTGTCTCCGATGGCGTCTTGGTTTTGCTTACCTGTGTTCCAAAAGAAATCTTTTCCCTGACCAGTTAACTTCTTGGTTGTTCCTTAAGACACAGGGATTTTGGGAAAGACTGTGGCATGCTTTCCTCAGTGGTTCTTCTCAGTTTAATGCCTTAAAGATGGACAAATGTTCACTGGCTGCCCGATAGGCACTGAAATTCGGAGCAATCCAACTTGTTCCAAAAGCGTTTCCCACGGCATATGCACAGTTTCACGGATGGCCACTAGATGGCGTGTGACAACCATTTGTGTCAGCCACACGCAAAGGCTTCCCATTCATTCTCCATAAAGGTATCAAAGGCGTCCTCCAGCAATTCCTCCAAGACAACTTCACTATTACGTTGTTTTCATTTCGATCCTTAAATGGTACCGGTTTACGTTTTGGAAGTAGGGGGACATTTTCAGTGGACGAGCCTAAATCAGAATGTGTGCTGTTGTATTTACGCATCACCGTTAATAAACATTAGCACTTAAAGCTGAATTAAGGCACATCGTTAAATGTCAGTGTGTATCTACCCACTTATCTACGAATGTTTCAACAAACATCTATTAAGTGTCTACTACTATGTGCGAAATGTGACTCGTTCTTCTAAAATACTGAAAGGACGTTTTATTACCAGAAAGTAATACAAGTATCAGAAAATAAAGACATTTTACGTTGCACAGTTGGGTCATTGATATAATGTTAAAATTAAATACATTAGCTCTTTCTTAGCTGAGGTTTTGTTTTCTGTGGTTTCATTTACCTGTGGTCAGTTGTGGCCCCAAAAAATTAAATGGAAAATTTCAGAAATAATTCATAAGTTTTAAATTGCATGCCATTCTCAGTTGCATGCTGAAATCTCTCATCCTCTGTCCCACCTGGGAGGGGAATCTTCTCTTTGTCCAGCATATCCACACTGTCTAAGCTACCTTCCTGTCAGTCACACGGTAGCCATCTCAGTTATCACATAGACTGTCACCGTTTCCCAGTGCTTGTGTTCAAGTAACCCTCATTTTGTTATATAATGGCCTCAAAGCATGAGAGTAATGATGCTGGCAATTTGCATATGCCAAAAAAGAAGCCATAAAATGCATCCTTGAAGTGAAAAGGTGAAAGTTATCAGCTTAATAAGGAAAGAAAAAAATTGTATGCTGACATCTTTAAGATCTACAGTAAGAAGGAAACTTCTACCCACGAATTGTGATCAATTAGTTGTAAACACCACTGCACTTGGACCAGCTTACCCATGAATGGTAAGGAAAAAAAGAAATTCATGCATAGTATATGTAGGGTTTGGTACTATTGCAGTTTCAGGCATCCACTGGGGTCTTGGAAGAATGTATCCCCCATAGATAAGGGGGGAAGTTGTATGCTCCTGGAATTTCAGAAGCTTCTCCTTTTTTTTTTTTTTGAGACAGAGTTTCGCTCTTTTTGCCCAGGCTGGAGTGCAATGGCACGATCTTGGCTCACTGCAACCTCCGCCTCCCAGGTTCAAGAGATTCTCCTGCCTCAGCCCCCTGAGTAGCTGTGATTACAGGCATGTGCCACAAAGCCCGGCTATTTTTGTGTTTTTAATAGAGACGGGGTTTCTCCATGTTGGTCAGGCTGGTCTTGAACTCCTAACCTCAGGTGATCCGCCCACCTTGGCCTCCCAAAGTGCTGGGATTACAGGCGTGAGCCACTGCACCCGGCCCAGAAGCTTCTTTTCTTGATATAGAATAAATCTGAATGTCAGGGGGAAAAATCACATGAAACACCTTGCAAATTATCTTTCCCCTTATAGCAAAATATGATTCTCCTTGCCTTAAAGAATGTAAATTCCTATAAAGAAAATAAATTAATAAAACATACAAGTCCTATAGTGGAATCACTTTTTCTTTCATGTCCATTGTCACCGAGTATAGAAATGAGGTATTTTATTACATAATTTTTACAAATCCGTATTAAGACAAACCTTAATAGGAATGACTTTATCACAAAGTGTTCAGAAAGACATGAGAAAACATCCCCAAAAGTTAGTTCCATATCTGTGGAGAAAATGAAGCAATCTCTAAGATCATTTCCACTTTTAAAAGTCAGCGGTTTTAAAAAAACTAGTGGCATTTGAGTTATTTCACCCTTCTCAAAATAGGTGTGATATTTCTTCTAAGCCAATCTCTAACTGAAAGAAAAGAATGGTCTCATTTTTAGAATTACTGGCTGTTTGTTTGAACTGAAGAATTAGTTGCATTTCAAAATAAGGACATGCCTAATGAAATGATTAAAACATACAGAACATTAAATTATAAGCAGATGGGGGTGAAACCAAGGGAGGGGGGAGGTGAGTTTGCTGGAAACCTGAAGTCCAGGGAAGCTGACAGCTTTGGGTTTTCCTCAATAACACAGAAGATGATTGTTTAAGCAACAGAGGGTAAGAAAACAACCTTTGGAAGACAATCTCTCTCTCTCTCTCTCTCTCTCTCTCTCTCTCTCCTGTCTCTTTTTTGATAGGCAGCACCTTACAAGAAAAGCCAGAAAAGAAAACCCGTGTGTATTGTAAGAGTTTAAAGAGACAGCCACTCCAAAAGAAAATGGACATTCACATTGACGCCTGGAAAAGAACCAGGAGTCACCATGCAAATGTGTCATAGCAGCGAGAAGTCCTGTGAAAGCGAAGGAGATCAGCCAGGCTCCCGTGAGTCACGGTTCAGGATTCAGATCTTCATCTTCCTAAGACACTGATCTCACTGGTCCCAGTTATTCCTGAAACGCTGTCCCTCCTCCGTTTTCCCTGAAATTTATCAATTAAAGTACGGCTCTGTATAGGTAAAAGATAAGAGTTTGATGAGACAGAGTTTACAACAGCTAAAAAAGAAGCTTAGTGGATGGGAGTGGTTCACAGATGGTGCAAATTGTCTGCTAAGTGGCACTTTATGGATGGGCAGAATCCATGAGAGTTTTATCTTGAATTTCTATCAGGCTGCATTCAGCAGAAGCTGGTTCCCTGGAAATTGGCATTTTAAAAAAAATCTCTGTCGTGTGTCTATCTTTCCTGGATATACAATGGCAGTTTCGACCCATTCGAGCTGGCTTCCTGAACAGTGGCAGCGATTGTCTCTGAGTGTGGGTTAATGGATGTAGGTCTAGAGATAAAGGAAATAAACCCTCTAAGATGTTGTCTAATTTTTAAAAGGCATCTCGCCTTCCTCAGCTGTGTATCTTCTTTGTCTTAGATGTCTGCAAGGGAGAGGACAGCATCACTGCAGTGACTGTGGCTTGCACCCAGGGCCAGGGCCAGGCTCCAAGTGAGGGCGAGGGTCACCTTTAGAATGGAAATCGTTTCTTGCTTTAATAGCAGAAAGAACACCCTGGACATGAGTCGGTGTGTGTGCACACACGCACACAACACACACAGACACACACACATACACACACACAACACACATACACACACACACAACACACAGACACACACACAACACACACACACAACACACAGACACACACAACACGCACAGACACACACACACACAACACACATACACACACATACACACACAACACACACAGACACACACATACACACACAACACAGACACACACATATACACACAACACGCACAGACACACAGACACACACACACATACACACACACACACACATTCTTCCCATGAAGGAATTGTCTGCTCTCATTCTCTTTCAGGTAAGACCCCTCTCCCCATTCATCTAAGCTCCTCCGTGTGTCCACCGAACTATATCACATCAGCACTTCCACATCTGTCCTCATGGCACTGAGCACTTCTCTGGAAACTGACCAGTTATTGCAGAGCCTTGTTTCCCCAGCATCATCCTCCAAGAGAAGGTACAAGCTATTGATCTCGCTCTACCTCATGCCTAATTAAAATTCTCAGAGCCATCTCTTCCAGGTAGCAATGGCTATGTGTTCAGGAATTGAAGGATGGGTCTCCTTCCCAGATGATTTGCCCCATTTACCAGGCAGGTCGGGGTTCAATGGAATGCTTAGCTGCACCAATCACACTGGCAGATTAGGGAATAGTGTTGCTCCCTCCTACCTTCCCCACCCAATCACAATATGATCTTAAACTTTTCTCTTTAACCTTTAAGGTTCGTTGAATATGTCCTAATGTAAGCCTCTTTCAGTCTTTGGAAAGAAAATGGGCCATAAATATATACATTTAACACTTGTATATAAAAAAGTATAAGTAGCATCTACTGAAATTCCACCTTTAGGGATGCACTCTTTGGAGACTTGAAGGTATTCTCATCGCTTTATGAGAAAAGAACGTGCTTGGGGAGGTTATCACCCGAAACCTTTCTTTATGAGCTACTGACCAGAGTGGAAGCTGGGGGACCAGAGGCTGGAAGGGACAGGAAATTACTTAGCAGCCAATCAAAAGCAAAGCTGATCAAGGCGTTATGAGGAGATAAGACAGAACTGACCAAGGTGGGGCCTGGGGTGGGGAGAGTTGGAGATGGGGAGGAGTCAAAGGCACATGTGAGCCACTCTCTGTACCCATGTGACCCACACACTTTCCTGGTCTCTCCAGGATCCTACAGGAACAAAGGGATGCCTGTGGCTCTGCAACTGGATTGGAAGGAGCCAAAATTCTCCTGATTTGAGTTTCTGGTTCTGCTGCAGTCAGTCACACGTCCACAAAGACCTCAAATTTATGTCCTCTAAAAACTCATTGAGTAGTTGCCATCATCATCACGGTCTTCATCATGGTGGTAGAAGTTAACGGGAGCAAGTCACTCGCATTATGCCATTGAGACCTCCCCATCGCCCTGTGAAGTAAGCACCGTGTTCACCCCAAGCTCTGGTTGGAGCAGCAGTTGGAGCATAATAAGAGCTCCAGGAAGGGCAGTCACGGCGGCATTCTGTGCGCAGCACTTGCATGGGAACAGTCCCTTGAAAGGGAAAATAAAAAGCTCTATGGCCTTCTAGGTGCTAAGGAGTGATTAATCCACACTAGTCCATTGAGCACCTATTCCATGTCCTTGTGGAAAACACGGGGATGCTGGGTTTGTAGGCGAGGCTATACCTGGCATGCTATGTTGGGCATGTAAAGGTTTGCCAAGTCAGCTGATGGGGGTCTTGGAAGTGTGGATGGACTACCCCTTGCCCTTGAGAAGCTATCTTTGATGATGAGGGGAGGATTTGCAGCGTGGCACAAGGTATGAGGACGAGAAGCACAGAGCCTCTGCCCAGGACATCTGCCTTCCACACTCAGCTGCCAGCAGCGTTTCTCCACCTTCCCTGGCCCAAGGAGCACCTGAGGGAGGTGGATAAAGATGCAGACATCTGAGCCCTATCCCCAGATATGTCGCTTTGGTGTGTCTGGAGTAAGCCAGGGAATTTGCATTTCTACCAAGTTTCCCAGGCGATCCGGATGCTGGGGGCCCACAGACCTTCTGCTGAAGAACAAAGACCTAGAGGAGACAGAGATCCGAGTGGACCAGGGTGCTGTCGGCAGGGGCTGCCTAGAGGAGGGGGAGGTGTTGAGTGGGCCCTGACCTTTATCACAACTAGGACCATTTACCCCACTGGGGGCCCTGTACTTCTTCAGGACTGGGTGCCTAGAAGGGGAAGCACAGACAAAACCAACTCACGCATCCTACCTTGGGAACCCATGCTTGGGAAGATGAAACAAGCCTCAGATTAGCTCTGAGGCCCCCGGAGTGCAGCTCAGGGCCCTGAATAGCCAGGAGGAGGCTGAGGGGCGCCTTACTCAGCTTTGTGTCCAGCTGCCTGGATGGAAACAGCTGAACTTCAAAGGAAGCATGGGGTTTACCCAAGGGCAGCTTGGATGTGTGGGTGGGTGGGGCGCCAAGGGGAGCTGAGGAAAATACTGGAGGAGAGAGAGAGAGAGAGAGAGAGAGAGAGAGAGAGAGAGACTGAGATTCCGGGAGGAAATTAACAGCCTTGCATTTGGGTTTTATTTACGAGATGAGGTGGCTGTACTTGGGATTGTCTTTCACTTGTGTGTTTTAATCAGCACTGAATAGTAAACTCACCCTCATCATCTCTTGAATATCCATGCAGAGAAATTGTTTCATGGTAATTCCGTCTGAAATCCTTTCCTGCACGCATCCTTTAAGGACCACCATTAAAACTCCCTGGGAGCCAGAAGGTGAAGAACTTGGGGCATCCACGTCACACCCAGCGGATGCTTTTGTGAGTTTATTTTTTTCATGCGATG
Organism: Homo sapiens; assembly: GCF_000001405.40. Classification (NCBI taxonomy): domain Eukaryota; kingdom Metazoa; phylum Chordata; class Mammalia; order Primates; family Hominidae; genus Homo; species Homo sapiens. The sequence continues at coordinate 118,235,491 of NC_000010.11, read as the reverse complement.
CAGTGATTTTAGAGAGTTTGGCTAAAGGATGTTGAAAACTTCAAACAAACAAAAGCGAGCCACTCAGGATTTGGAAGACTGAACGGTTAAGAGCCTGAACCATGTTCTGTCTCAGGAAGACAAGGGAAGACAGACAGGGCCCCCTAGCAGTTTCACAATAGGTGAGAAGATGTTATCGAAGGAATCGCTTTCAATGGCTTAAGTTACAGGAGGGAAAACATGGGCTCAGAGCTTGAAGAAGTTAAAACAAAACAAAACAAAACAAAAACCAACAACAACAAAAATCAGGGATTGTGCAGAAAAAAAGAACTAGCAAATTAAGGGAACGAACTGCCAAAAAAAGTGGAATTTCCATCCCTGGAGCTATTTTGAGTGGGAGGAGGGACCTCTTTATTACAGGTTGTTCAGAGTAATGAACTCTATCCCACCACAATGCCTGGGAATGAACTAAATGACCCAGGCGAAGTTCCTTCCAGCCCAAACAACTCCATAATTATTGACCCAGGTGGCCAAGGGTTTGTCTCATAGGATGAAGAGTCCGTTTTCCACTGACTTGCAAAGGCTCTGTTGCCAACAGTGCTTTGTCATTGACTGGATCGTTTTCAAGTCATTCCGTTCAGCGAAATCTCCAATGGGGAGTCCGTAGAGTAACCTGCTAAGCACTTGCTGAGGACTCCGAGGCCTCAGTCCTTTCTGGCCAAATCTAATTCCCAGTCGCATTGCGCAGACTCAGGAAAGGTCCTAAGGTCTGCTGAAGAATTCTGCATAATTTCTCCCAGGAGAAATGGAAGTAGCAAATACCCTCCGTGTTTTCTCTTGCTAGAAATTTCCATCTATTTGGCTCTAAAGCTGGTGGCTGGAGTCCTCCCACCCCCCAAGGATTGTAGAGCAGAGCCTACCTCCAACCTGTTTTCAGTCACATGGATGTGAAATTACTCTGCCTTTTGCCTCTTTTCTCACCCACGGGCTTGGCATGCGGATATCCTGTCCTCAAAACACAGTCAGAAAAGACTCCCAACCCATTTTCCACTTCTACTTCTCCCTTCATCTTCTGGTCTCAGGAAGGTCATTTAAAAAGGGGTTTTAGAAAACAGTTTCATTGTTTTACGTCCTTAGGCAATACATACTTTTTAATAATAATTAAAAAAAATAAAAACACGAGCCTTAATTTTCTCAGGCTTTACCAGCTTGAGGGAGCAAATGGCCCCACGCTAATGAATAAACCACACAAGACCTTGCTCCTGTCCCACCTACATAATACCTGGGGCCCCTCAGTGTGCAGCTCCATCTGGGGGACCTCAGAGGGTTTTTGAATGAGCTCCCACAAACAGACACAGGCAGTCCACTCTGGCTCCTCTCCCCAGGGGTCACTCTGAAGGGGAAATTCATCACTGTCCTCCACGGGCAGGACTCATAGTGACAACATGGATTTCCAGGCTAGAGCGCTTATTCTAGATGGTTCCTAAGTGGCCAACCCAGAGGCTGCAGCAGAGCTGTGATTCTCGGGCTCCTCCAAATGCTGACAACACAGGTTCAAGTCCTGCTGACACATGGTGATACGGTTTGGCTGTGTCTCCACCCAAATCTCATCTTGAATTGTAACTCCCACAATTCCCACGTGTTGTGGGAAGCACCTGGTGGGAGGTGATTGAATTATGGGGGCGGGTCTTTCCTGCACTGTTCTGATAGTAAATGAGTCTCACGAGATCTGATGGTTTTAAAAATGGGAGTTTCCCTGCAGAAGCTCTCTTTTTGCCTGCCGCCATCCGTGTAAGATGTGACTTGTTCCTCCTTGCCTTCCGCCATGATTGTGAGTCCTTCCCAGCCATGTGGAACTGTAAGTCCATTAAACTTCTGTTTGTCATTTACCCAGTCTTGGATGTGTCTTTATCAGCAGTGTGAAAACGGACTAATACACAAGGGGAAGACCCCTGACCCTCAGCACCCATCTGTGAGACTCAGACACCAGTCATGGGGCTTAGCCAAGGTGCTAAAACTTGGGACAGATGAAGCCCTGCCCATTGTCTTCCCCTACCAAGGATCAAGAACAAAATTCCCTCCTGTTTTGCACTCTCAGTGACCCCATCCACCAGACAACCAGATATGAATTCAGTTGTGCTTCTTGCAGTCATTTTCCAACTCCAGAGACCGTCATACTTTTTCTTAAGTTATGCCTGTTGACCCAATAATTCTGTCTGAGTCATTTTTTTCTAGGGAAATATTCTGAGTACAGAAGAGCTAGTATACACAAAGATGTGTACAGAAGCATCATGTAGAACAGTGAGAAATCAGAAATCACCAAAATGTTCAACCATTAAATAATGGTTGGATAAATTATGGTCTATCCCTTCAAAGGAATAGTTCATGGCTGTGTGATGCCTTAGAATGATCTTTTTATATCTCTCAGTTATCTAGTTAATAAGCTTTGGTCTTATTAACAATTCTTTATATTAAATTATCTCTGTTTAAATAGCTGGAGTGACTTCTGTCACTCAGGTAAGATTGCAAATTTCCAACTGCAAATACCCCTGAACCCTCACCATGCTACTTCTTTTACTTCACAGAAAAAGTAGACGCCTTCAGCTGAGAATTACCCATTTCTCACAATCCACACATATAAATGTACCCACATCTGTTCTCTTCTCTCACATCCTTTTCTGTTTTACAATAATTAAAGCCGTCTCTCCTCCTGTTTAAAAGGCTGTCCTAACTGTGTGCTTTTGAGTCCCTCTTCCTCCTGTCCTCTGAGCAAATGCACACTATTGACTAATATCCATTTCCTCTCGTATATTCAACATTTTCTCAAATGGATCCTGTCTATTGGATTTTAAATATGTGCAAATCTCACGGAATAAAAATAATCCATCCTGAATTCCCACCCCCCAACCAGCTACCATCCCCTCTGAACAACCAAACCTCTTTAAGAGATGTCCCTTGGGAGGCTGAGGCGGGTGGATCACTGCCAGGAGGTCAGGAGTTCGAGACCAGCCTGGCCAACATAATGAAAACCTATCTCTATTAAAAATACAAAAAAATTAGCTGGGCATGGTGGCGGGTGCCTGTAATCTCAGCAACTCAGGAGGCTGAGGCAGGAGAATCGCTTGAACCCGGGAGGCGGAGGTTGCAGTGAGCTGAGATCACGCCACTGCACTCCAGCCTGGGCAACAAGAGCAAAAAACTCTGTCTCAAAAAAAGAAAAAAAAAGAGATATCCCAACTCATTGTCTCCATTTTTCCCCTTTCCACCTAGTCCTCGGTCTACTGCAATCCAGTTTCTGGTCTTAGCAGTCTGCTCATGCACCCATGGGTCACATGCAATGGTTATTTTGAGGGAAGTCTTCAGTGTTTCTGCCTCTCTGGCTGCCTCAGACACTGTGGCTTGTGTGGCACAGGCTATCTCTAGTCAGAGACACTTCCCACAGGTAGGATTTTACATTTACACCTGGGGTTGATGGGTTGATGTTGGTCTCCCCACAAGTTGTATGTTCCAAGCAATCAGGGCGTGTACCTACCTTGCTCTCTGCTTCAACTCTCAGGGCCTGTCTCTTTCTTAAGATAGGTAAGCATTTGTTGAATGAGTGAATTAATGAGTTTGAACTGGGGACCACTGCTCTCGGGATGTTACTCTCTCAATCCCTTTACACCAAGTTTGGGCCATAATCCTGGAAGATATCACTCCAAACTCCATAATCCCAAATATTGGAATCCTGAAATATCAAAATTCCAGAAATACAATTCAGAAAAATAAAAATTTCCTTAAAAGATGTTCATTTACATTTTTGAAGGGGGATTTATTTGAGAAAAATATAAAACATGACAATACTTTATACACCACTTTAAACAGTAAAATAGTCAATAATAACATATATATTTTTGCAAGCATAAATATTCGAGTGCTAAAGACAGTCACATGGATATAACAGTTGCGAGCAGATGAACCATATTCATAAAGGAATAGGTCAAAAGGAAAATGTAAAAACCCAATTGCACCCAGCTTTGTAACTGCAGTCATCTGAAATACCTTGACAACAACCTAAGTCTTTGACAAGATCAAAAACCGCAAGGAATCACTACCGCATATGCAGTCATCTAAAGAGATGAGACATGGAGAAATTTCATCTTTCACAAATGCAGATGTACAAAAAAGACAACTCTTCATTTGTTGAGGAAATTTCAGTGTTTTTGCGCACATACATAATGCTTACACACAAGGTCAGTATCATGATGATGCACTTTCATGGAGTCAAATTTGCAAAAATTGCATAAAGCAAAGTAGAACTCTAAAAGTCTTTATAGAGTTTATACCTCCAGTATTGGAAATAATGCCAGGATGAAATACATAGCATAATGAGTTATAAAAAAAAATACCAACAATTTAAAATAGTGGTGGGGGGGGGGGAGGGACAAGAAAATAACACAACCCCTTTCCCCAAAAACTAAAAAGAAAATTTGACATATGCAAAAGTGCATTACAGGGATAGGTTATGGGCAATTAATTTCAGAGGTAGTCCATAAAAACTGGCTGGTGTTCATGATCATTGACAATATTTTGAAGGCTTATATCTTGATGAATAGCTGCTTTTTCCTTTTTAGGGCATGGGTCCTCAGAAAATATGTTCCCATCCATTTTCTATGTAGCATTGCTCTTTTTGAAATTCTTCTGTGATTCGATATACACTGACATGAAACTTCCCTATTACATTTTCCCATTTTTTGTTCTATGCTTCTATGTTGTTTTGTATGTATGTATCTACGCATGTGGAAATCCATTCCCCATGTTCTTGTATACAGGCCACAGATCTGGCAGAAACGATACAGGTGATGGGACGGCAACACCATTGGGAAAGTCACTTCTTATCCTACCAAACACATAATTATTTTCCAACCAGTTAGTAACTTTGTTGTCTTCTTCAGGCAAATGCAGCTTTAGTTCATCAGACAGCTCCCAGAACTTCATCAGTTGGAAGGAATGCCAATGCAGATAAATGATGGCATGACATCCCTTTGTTGGTTGAAGCAGTCATAGAAGCCATATGGATTTAACAGAAGGGAACAGTAATTCTACTTCTGGATGTGAGGAGGGCGATAAAAGCTTCACTTCAATGTATCATAATCAGCTACATCAGAATTATTATCTTTCAATGCTTTGAAGTATTTTTATTTTTATGTATGTATGTATGTATGTATGTATTTATTTATTTATTTATTGAGACAAAGTCTCGCTCTGTCGCCCAGGCTGGAGTACAGCGGCGTGATCTCGGCTCACTGCAACCTCTGCCTCCCGGGTTCAAGTGATTCTCCTGCCTCAGCCTCCTGAGTAGCTGGGACCACTGGCGCGCACCACCATGCCTGGCTAATTTTTTTTTGTATTTTTAGTAGAGACGGGGTTTCACCCTGTTAGCCAGGATGGTCTCAATCTCCTGACCTTGTGAGCTGCCTGCCTCGGCCTTCCAAAGTGCTGGGATTACAGGCGTGAGCCACCACGCCCAGCCACTTTGAAGTATGTTTTTCCTCAGATTTTATTTCTATTTAGGGTAAATACTGCCTATAAATATAATTGATCATTATACCATAGAAGTCTTCATGTTCTTACAATAACATCTAAAGATTTAATAACTCAGAAGTGTTTATAGCAATCACAGCAGGCCATTGAGATGGGAGGTAAAGTAAAAAGAACAGAAGGGGTAGCAATATTTTGTGATTAATGTGTCCTAATAGCTAAAATATAATGACTCCCAGCAAGTCGTGGACACTCAAAGAACATCTGAAATGGAATATTATTATTAGTGTTTCGATCTCTTCTGTTTTCATGATTTCTTCTCTGATGCTTCTTTTCATTTTTGAAAGTTGTTGGGTTTTAATTGGTTTATTACTCAAATATCATTCTTTCGTCTTACAGCTTTATCAGCCCTTTCCTGTATTTTTAAAAATTAAACTTTTAATTTTGAGATAATTCTAGATTCAAATGAAATTGTAAAAAGTCATATAGATACCTTGTACCCTTCGCCCAATTCCCCTCAATGAGAACAGTTTGCAAAACTATAGTACCATTTCACAAAAAGGATATTGACATTGATAAAGTCAAGATACAGAACATTTTTAACACCGCAAGGGTCCCTCACGTTGCCCTTCTATAGCCACACCCATCTCCCTCCCATTCCACCACTCCTTAACCCTTGGGAACTACTCAACTGGTCTCTATTTTTATAATTTTGTCATCAAGAGTGTTACCCAAGGGAAATCATAGAATATGTAATCTCTTGGGACTGGATTTTTTCACTAAACACAATTCTCTGGCAATTCATCTGGATTGTTGTGTTTTATGAGTTCATTACTTTTTATTGCCAAGTAATAGTCCATGAAATGGATGAACCACAGTTACCTGTTGAAGAATATCTGGGTCGTTTTCAGTTTTTGGCTATTACAGATAAAACTACTATAAACATTCACTGACAGGTTTTAGTGTGAATCTAAGTTTTTATTTCTCTGGTGTAAATGCCCAGGAGTGCAATTGCTGAAGATGGTAGTGCATGTTTCCTTTTTTAAGAAACTGCCAAATGGTTTTTCAGAATGGTTGAATGGTTGTACCATTTAGCATTCCCATCAGCAATGTATGAGTGACCCAATTTCTCCACATCATGTCCAGCATTTGGTGTTGTTATATTTTAATTTTAGCATTTTCCATCTGTATGTCCTCTTCAGTGACATGTCTATTCATGCCTTTTGCCCATTTTCTATTTTGATTGCTAGCTTTCCCACTGTTGAGTTTTGAGATCACTTTATATATTCTAGATATTAGTCCTTTGTCAGATATGTGGTTTGCATATATTTTCTCCCACTCTGTAGCTTGTCTTTTATTCTTTGAACATGATCTTTTGCAGAGCAAACGTTTTTAATTTGATGAAGTATAATTTATCAAATTTTTCTTTTATGGAATGTGATTTTGGTGACAAATCTAATAACTTTACCTACCCTAAATTCTGAAGATTTTCTCAATTTTTTCCCTAAGAAAAAACCCCTCAAAATCCATTTTGATTTTTAGTTTTACATTTTTAATTTTTGAGGCAGGGTCTTGCTCTGTTGCCTAGGCTGGAGTGCAGTGGCATGATCACAGCCCACTGCAGCCTCAACCTTCTGGGCTCAAGCAATTCTCCCACCTCAGCCTCCTGAGTAGCTGGGACCATAGGTGTGCAGCACCACATACAGCTATTTTTTTTTTAGATTTTTTTGGGTGGGTAAAGGTGGTGTTTCCCTATGTTGTCCAGGCTGGTCTCAAACTTCTGGGCTCAAGAAATTCTCCCACCTTGGCCTCCCAAAATGTCAAGATTATAGGCATGAGCTGCCATGTCTGACCTGGTTTTATCTTTTATACTTAAGTTAGTGATCCATTTTGAGTTAACTTTTGGATGAGGTGTGAGGGTTAGCTCAAGATTACTTTCCCCCTATGGTTATCCAGTTGCTGTAGTACCCTTCATTGAAAAGGCTGTCTTTCATCCATTGAACTGGCTTTTTCACCTTTGTCAAAAATCAATTGAGTATATTTGTGTGGGCCCATTTCTTGGTTCTCCATACTATTCCATTGATTTATGCATCTATCCCTCTGCATATATGACAGTCTTGATTATGGTAGCTAGATAAACAGTCTTGATATCTAGTACATTGATTCTTCCAAATTATTTTTTCTCTTTCAAATTTGTTAGCTGTTGTAGCCCCTATGCCTTTCCATATAGATTTTAGAATAATCTTTTCTATATCTATAAAAGTCCTGCTGAGATTTTAATATGAATTATGATAAGCCTGCATATCAATTTGGGTAGAATTGGCATCTTTGTTATGGTGAGTCTTTCAATTCATGCATGGAATATGTTATACCATTTATTTAGACCTTTGATTTTTTTCATCAGCATTGTGTAGCTTTAAGTATACAAGCCCTGTACATGTATTTTTACATTAACAATTCAGTATTTTATTTTTTGAAATGGAAGTAAATGGCATTGTATTTTCAATTTTGCTGTTGTTCATTGCTGCTATATAGAACTATAATGGATTTTTCCATATTTATCTGGTATCGTGTAAACTTGCTGAACTCCTTTATTAGTTCTAGGAGTTTTTTTTTGTAGATTCCTTGAAATTTTCTATGTTGACAATTATGTCACCTGCAAATAGGGACCGTTTTATTTTATTTTTCCCAATTTGTGTGCCTTTTGTTTTTCTTTTCTTGCCTTATTCCACTGGCTAGCAATTCCAACACTATGTTGAATAAGAGCAGTGAAAGTGGACATCCTTGACTTGCATTCAGTCTTTCACCATTAAATATAATAGCTGTAAGTTTTTTTTACTGATGTTATTTATCAAGTTGAAGATGTCTCCTTGATTTCTATTTTTCTGAGATTTTTGTTTTTATCATTAATGGGTGTTGAATTTTGTGAAATGCTTTTACTGCCTCAACTAATATAATCAATTGATTTTTCTGTCATAATAAATTACATTGATTGACATTCAAATAGTGAACCTGCCTTGTGTCCTTGAAATTATTTCCATTTGATCATGGTGTATAATTCTTTTTACATGTTGCTGAATTCTATTTGTCAATATTTTATTAAGGATTTTTGCACCTCTACTCATGAAGAATATTAGTCTATAGTTTTCATTTTTTTGTACTGTCTTTGGTTTTGCTATAAGATTAATATTAGCTTTGTAAAATAAATTGGGAAGCATTTCATTCTTTTCTATTATTTAAAAGATATTGTGTAGAATTGATGTTAATACTTAAAACATTTGGCAGAATTTTCCAGTGAAACCATCTGGGTTGGAGATTTCTCTTTTGGGAATTTTAAAATTATGAGTTCAATTTCCTTAATAGTTACAGGGCTGTTTAAATTATCTATTTCATATTGGGCAAGTTGTAGTATGTTTGTTTTTTCAAGTCATTGGTCTGTTTCATCTGAATTGTGACATTTATGTATGCAATGTTGTTGCTGTATTCCTTTACTACCCTTTAGATGTTTTCAGGATCTGTAGAGCTATATTCCATGTTTCATTCCTGATACTGGTAATTTGTGTCTTCTCTTTCTCTTTGTCAACCTTGCTATAAGTTTGTCAGTTTTATTTATCTCTTAGAGAGTCAGCTCCTTGTCTCATTGATTTTTCTCTGTTGTTTTTCTGTTTTCAATTTCATTGATTTTTATTCTTGTCTTTGCTTGCTTTGGGTTTAGTTTGCTCTTCTTCTAGGTCCTTGAGATGGAAGCTTAGATTATTGATTTGAGACTCTTCTTTTTTTTTGAGATGGAGTCTCACTCTGTTGCCCAGGATGGAGTGCAGTGGTTGATACTATCTTGGCTCACTGCAACCTCCACCTCCTGGGTTCAAGCAATTCTCCTGTCTCAGCCTCCTGAGTAACTGGGACTACAGTTTCACGCCACTATGCCCAGCTAATTTTTGTATTTTTAATAGAGATGGTGTTTCACCATATTGGTCAGGCTGGTCTCGAACTCCTGACCTCGGGTGATCCATTTGCCTCAGCCTCCCAAAGTGTGATTTGAGACTCTTCTAAAGTAGTCATTTAGTACTAGAAATTTCCCTCTAAGTTCCACTTAATCTGTGTCCCACAAATTTTGATACAGTGTATTTTTCTGTCATTTAGTCCTATGTATTTGTTGACTTCCCGTAAGATATCCATTTTGACCCATGGATGATTTGGAAATGTGTACTTTGTTTCCATGTATTTAGAGATTTTTCTTCTCATTTCTCTGTTATTGATCTCTACTGGTCAGAGAACACCCTCTGTTTGACTTCAATCTTTTAAATTTGTTTGTTTTATGGTCCAGAATGTAGTCTATTTTGGCGTATGTTCCAATGGGCACTTGAAAAGAATGGGAATTCTGCTAATGTTTGGTGAAATGTTTTTTAAATATTTATTAGATCGTGACAGATGATGGTGTTGTTGAATTCTTCTATATCCTTGCTAATTTTCTGCCTAGTTGTTTTATAAATTATTGAGAGAGGTGTTAATGTCCAGTGAAAATTGTGGATTTGCCTAGTTCTCCTTTCAGTTCTATAAACTTTTACTTTACATATTGCAGCTCTATTGTTTGCTGCCTATGCATTTAGGATTACTATGTCTTTTTAGTAGATTGACTTTTTCATTGTTATACAATGTTGCTCTCTGTCACTGGTAATTTTCTTCACTCTGATTTTCTTTGATTAATATTTGCATAAGATATCTTTTTTCATCCTTTACTTTCAACTTACGTACTTTGTTATATTTGAAGTAAATTTCTTATGGACAAGATATACTTGGGTGATATTTTTAAATCTACTTTGCCAATGTCTGGGTCTTTTAATTGGTGTATGCACACCATTTACATTTAAAATTATTATTGGCTTATTAGGCATTACATTTGCCACTTTATTTTATTTCTGATTCTCCCACTGTTTTTCATTTTTGTTTTCTGTTTCCTGACCTCCTGTGTTTCACTTGAACATTTTTTTGGAATTCCATTTTGATTTATCTGAAGTGTTTTTAATATATCTCTTTTTATGGCTGTTTAAGTGGTCACTCCAGATATTATATTATATACACATAACTTATCAGTCTACCTGTGTGATCTTTTTACTAGTTTAAGTGATGTGTAGAAACATTATTTCCCTTTATGTCCATTTATCCTTCCCCGTATAATAAAATTGTGTTAAATATTTTCTTTAGTATATTTGGGACCACATTAGACAGTATTACAATTTTTGCTCCAATCATCAAACATAATTTAAAAGACTCAAAAAGAGAAATGAAGTCTCCCATATTTTTGCTTTTCATAATCTTTCCTTCTTGCTGATAGTCTAAGAGTCCTTTATCATTTTCTTTCTGTTTAGAAAACTTCTGTTAGCTATTCTTTTAGGGTAGGTCTGCTGGCAACAAATTCTCTTAGTTTTTCTCCATCTGAAAATGTTTTGATTTTCCCTTCATTCCTGAGGAATATTTTTTCTGGATATAGGATTCTGTGTTGACAGTTATTTTCTTTCAGCAGTTGATCAAGGTTATGCCACTTCCTTCTGGTCTCCGTGGTCTCTGTTAAGAATTTCATTACCACTAGCATTGTTTTCCTCCTATATGTAAGGTATTGTTTCTCTCTCATTGCTTTCAGGATTTTAAAATCTATCTTTAGTTTTAAGAAGTGTGACTATGATGTGTCTTGATGTAGATTTCTTTGGGGCCCTTCTGTTTTGAGTTCACTCTGTTTCTTGAACATAAAATTTATGTGTTTAGCCAAATTTGGGATGTTTTCAGTCAGTCACTCTTCCAGTACTTTTTTTTTTTTAACTTCATTCTCTTTTTCCTGTCTTTCTGGAATTCCAGTGGCACAAATATTAGATCTTTTATCAGTGTTCCATATGACTCTGAAGCTATGCTCATTTATTTTCTGTCTAATTTTTCTCCTTTGTTCAGGTCAGGTAATCCTATTGTTCTATCTTCAAATCCATTGATTCTTTCCTCTTTTCCCTCATTTTGCTTTTGTGCTTACCTATAGAGTTTTAAATTTGTTATTATATTTTTAGTTATGAAATTCCCATCTGGTTTTTCTTTATATTTATTTTGTATTGCTTGGCCAAGACTCTATTTTTTTATTCATTTCATGTTGTTCATAATTGCCCAGCAAAACATTCTCATCATGGCTGCTTTAAAATCTTAGTCAGATAATTTGAATATCTTTATCATCTCAGTGTAGGCATTTAATTGACTTTTTTCACTCAGTTTGAGATCATCCTGATTCTTGGAATGATGAACCATTTTGAAGAGAGGGCCTCACCTCCTATTGGTCAGGTAGGGGTGGAAATCCAGTTCCCTCTTGGCCTCTGTTGATACCCAACTTGGAGGGGAGAGGTTCCTTGTTAGGGCTAGTATGTGTGAGAGTTCTCATTCCTCATTAGGCCACTATTGACACCCCAGGGTGTGGTGGTCTCCAATTCCTGATTATTCAGGTCCCCTCTGATACCATTCCAATGGAGTCAGGGAATAGGGGCATTTCATTACTCTTAAGTGGGGGCTAAAGTTCAGGCTTCCCATATGGCCTTCACTGATTTCACATGGACATGATGGGGTTGGGGGTGGGGGAGCTCCTTATCACCTGGCAGGGATGAAAGTCCCAGCTACATAGCCATCTCTAACACCACTCCAGTGGGGATGGGGGTGGATTTTGGGTGTTTTCCTTGCAGCCTGGTGGGAATGGGCCCCATCCCCATCCATGACAGCAAAGGCCAAGTGGTAAACCTGGACTTCCACGTTTTCTGTGATGCTGTAGCGGAGTGATTGTTCACCAAAAGTGTTCTTTCTTGGTAGGCCACCCCTTACCTTGTCCGTTTGCTAGAGACAGCAGGTTTTTGCTAAGGCTTTTTTGTCTGTACCTATTTGCATTTCTAGGTTGCTGGCTTTTCCAGCATTCAGTCTGGGATACATGAATCAAAAAGAAAATCCATATAGCTCATCATTGTGTTGTTCGTCAGGTCTCCTGGCTCCTGGCCCATCTTCCTCCCTCCCCATCCACCTTTCAGAGCTTTCTGATATTTGTTTTGTATATAATGCTCAGGATTTTTAGTTGTATTTAGAAGAAAAAATAGGGAAAAGTACATCTGCTTCATTTTTCTAGAAGCTGAAGTTCCCACTTATCTTTATTTTTAAAGAAAATAAATATTTTACTTTCAATAATAATTTCAAAGATGCAGGTTGCACAGAAGTAAAACAAATACAGCCAAAATAAAGTGAACTTAGATGTGAGGGATGGAGATAAATACTCAGCAAATTCTTTTAAAGAGGTCTTCAATCGTTAAGACTGTTTAAAACCCTTACTAAATAAAAACAATGCTCCCTTATATTTAGAGTTCTTTATAGTTTCTTAAGTAATTCCTCATCTGTTATCCTATTTGATCCTACTAGGAATCTTGCAAAGGAGGTAAGGCAAATAACCTTATTCCAGTTTTACAGAAAGGGAAATGGTACTATAAAAATCAGAGTATAACATAGGCTCTACTAAAAATTTATACTGAGCAATTGCTATATTTGTTTTCCTACTGTGAAATAAATAATTGTCTTTTATTGAAAATATTGAAAACTAATATTTTCAGAAGGCTTTCTTCCCTATCATCTAAAAAGAGAATAATTTACCTGCTATCATGTTTCTAGGTTCCAACCATGAGAATACTAGTTTGGAATCAATGAGATGATGGGAATTTACGGCTTCTCCACCCGCTTCAAAAATATCACACTGTAATTCCTCCAACCCATGAATCATCTTTTGAAAGCCTTGAGTTATATTCTGAATCCTCATCTGGACCCAAGCTGGAGAAATGGCATCTTCTTTGAATTTCAGATTCCTTCTGTGCAATGGAGGCCAAGCCCTGCAGTGTTTTCCCTACCTGCCTTCACATGTGTAGCATGCTGAAACATGGGAACCATTTTGAGGAACATGTCATAATGAAATGAGATGATACCTCTTCTGACCTTAAATTACAGACAAAGTACTTCGTAGCTGAATTTTTCTCGGGCACAAAAAAGTCTCACATGATGGAAAAATTCCTTGGACCTGAATCTCAACCATCTGCCTGAATAGTTCCACAAGTGGCAGAAAGCATAGAGGAACTAACTAGTCATAGGGCTTTCTCTTGGAGATGCGGCAGTTTAGTTAGGTTGTTGTGCAGATTTAAGAGATCTGCAGTAGATACAGAATCTACTAAAGAGGAGAGTGAAGCAAATATGCATTAAAATAGGAGATATCTTTTATAAAATCATGGTAAGAAAGGAAATGTTTGAGAGTAAGGAATTGAAGCGTGGCAGAGTATGATCCTGAGTTAAGTGAAGTGCTCAGTAATGGTTCCCGAAATAACTGAAGCGGTAACATGTCTTTAGCACCCACTTAGCACCTCCTCATCTTCTCTTCACTAGGTCTAGCCTCCTCAACTGGATTGGAAGCTTCTTGAAGGCAGAGGATGAGTCTTCTTGACCCCAAAAGTTGCCTTATTCAGAGGTGATGGGCAACAGGTAATTCCTGAGAATGAATAGGAAAGCCAGACCTTGGCCTAGTTGGGGAAATGGTATGGGGAAATGCTCAACAGATCCAAGACATTATGGCATGGAGAAACCATTTCCCCACCGAAGTCAAGGTCTGGCTTTCCTGTTCATTCTCAGGAATTATCTGTTGCCCATCACCTCTGACTAAGGCAACTGCTGGGGTCAAGAAGACTCAGCCTCTGCCTTCAAGAAGCTTCCAATCCAGTTGAGGAGGCCATACCTAGAGATGAGAAGATGAGGAGTTACTAAGTGGGTGGTAAAGACATGCTACTGCTTCAGTTATTTTTGGACTCAGTTGGCCCTATGAAGTAGGCCAGAGATGTAGAAGGGGAAAGAGATTTCAGCCAAGGAGGAGAAAGGAGGAAAAGCCGGTGGGTCTCCACTTTATTTTGAGGGACAATGAATGGAAATGCCTCTAGGATCACCACTAATAAGAGGGCTTTAGAAGGACATGGTGAAAAAGAAGGCCCAAGAGAAAGGACAGGTGAGACCAGGACTTTAGTTGGCAAGGAGGGAGAGCTCCTAATGGTCAGTGGGGGAAGAAGTAACTCACAGAAGGAAGTATTTTAGAAAGATGAATCCTGCAACGGAGTATAGGATGGGTTGCAAAGAAGAGACTTGTACAAAGTGGTGACAGGTCATTTATTTAGAAAGAAATGTTTCCTTTTTGTTTAAACAACAAAACTTCATAGGGGAATAATTAATTTGCATCGTCTTGATTTGTTTACAATAAGTATGGTCAAATAAATGTCTAAAATCCAAACTCAGCCAAGTTCAAGTTTTCTCAACCCTGGGGATTTCCCTGATGTAATTGAAAAGCTATTATTCAACATCCTCTGAGCATCTTCTGAATCTCTGCACTGGATTATACTCATCATCTAATTTATGATGCAGGACTGAGAATAAAAATCTTTTTACTCATCAAAAGGAAAATATTTCCCAATTTTGAAAAGCTACATTTACCCAAAATTATAAAAATTTGCTTCATGTTTGTGTAAACATGATTCAGATCCTTTGGGGCATCAGCTGCCTATGCTTGATGGGAAAAGTTAAATAATTCAAATGGTAAAAACAAAACAAAACAAAACAAAAAAAACCCACATCCAACTGAAAAGTTTACGTAAGATTCTATTAGAAAAAGGTTGGTTAGTTTTGTCTTAGCATTCAGAACTAGGAATGCCCTTTGAGACCACATTTTACAAACTTTCACTTTATAGGAGAGGATGTTGAGGACTAGAGGGGTTTCAGGGCCTGTCACCTGTCTGATGAGTGGCCAGGCAGGACTGTGCTGGACACAGCCCACAACTTCCCTTTTGATGTTCCCTAGGATGCATGTTTATTCTAAATATCTTCCATCTCAAATGCATTACATATTTTCCAGGACAGAAGAGGAATATCTTTTTTCCTTCCTCCTGGAAATCTGATTTAACAAAGTTTTTTTTTTTTTTTTTTTTTTTTGAGACGGAGTCTCACTCTTTCGCCCAAGCTGGACTGCAGTGGCGCTATCCCGGCTTACGGCAAGCTCCGCCTCTTGGGTTCATGCCATTCTCCTGCCTCAGCCTCCCAAGTAGCTGGGATTACAGGCGCCCACCACCACTCCCGGCTAATTTTTTGTATTTTTTTAGTAGAGACGGGGTTTCACCGTGTTAGCCAGGATGGTCTCGATCTCCTGACCTCGTGATCTGCCTGCCTCGGCCTCCCAAAGTGCTGGGATTACAGGCGTGAGCCACCGCGCCCGGCCTAACAAAGTTTTTTGAGAGGCTACTGTGTGGGAAGAATCATGCTAAGTGCTGAAGAGGTAAGTGAGAAGGGCCCAGCTGCCCTGAAAACAGTGGAAAGGGGAGGAGACAAGTACAAAGCTCTTACCGTCCTAGGCAGAGAGTCAAATATGGGCGAAATGCTAACCCAGGCTGATGCATGCCCATAGCACCAGGTAGAGTTGCCCTGGGAAGAAGCAACTGATTACAAACCAGCATGAATCTGGGGCACTTTACACCTATAACTTTTGGGTTCAAGGTTTTTGAAACCACTGTTTGTTTGTTCTTGAAATGCAGGCCACATCACTCCCCACTGGCAGCCACACTGGCCTCTCGTGGTACCCAGTTTGGGTTACTCTGAAGAGTAAAGACACTGGTCGAGTCCCATCCCAGGCTTCACTACAGTGAGTCTCACATAGGACACATGCTCCATAGTTCAAGTCAAAATTAAGTGAAAAATCTAAATTAGGTGAAAAATGAAATCTAAATTAAGTGAAAAATCTCTCTAGCCATTTTCTTGTGATGCTTTTGTAGAAATTTAATTTTATTTCAATAAATGTTTGTCCTATTTCTTTGAGAAGGAAGATTAAGGCAACTAACAATGATTCAATGGGATCACCAAAGTTAAAAAGCAAGTGTATACCTTTCCTAGGGCTGCCATAACAAAATACCACAAACTGGGTGGCATAAGACAATGGAAATTTATTGTTTTCTAGTTCTGGAGGTGAAAGTTAGAGACCAAGACATCAGCACAGCCGAGCTCCCTCTGAAGGCTCTAGGGAAGAATCCTTGCTTGCCCCTTCTTAGTTTTTGAGGGTTCCTGGCATCTTTGGCATCCCTAGGCATGTGGCTGCCCCATTCCAATCTCTGCCTCCGTTGTCACAAGGCCTTCTCCCTGTGTCTCTCTGTGTGGCCTCTCCTAGTCATAGGGCCCACCCCAACTTGTATGACCTCATCGTATCTAATTCTATTTTCAAAGACCCATTCCCATCACATTCTGATGTTCCATGCGAACAAACATTTTGAGGGGGGATGGTATTCAGTTCACTACAGTAAACAAGAACATCAGGAACAGTACAAGGAAAAGAGCTTGCCAAATAAAACCGAGGGTGCGCCTGGGCACAGTGGCTCACGCCTGTAATCCCAGCACTTTGGGAGGCTGAGGCAGGCGGATCACTGGAAATCAGGAGTTTGAGACCAGCCTGGCCAACATGGTGAAACCCTGTCTCTACTAAAAATACAAAAATTAGCCAGACATGGTGCTGGGTGCCTGTAGTCCCAGGTACTTGGGAGACTGAGGCAGGAGAATTGCTTGAACCTGGGAGGCAGAAGTTGCAGTGAGCTGAGACCACACCACTGCACTCCAACCTAAGTGACAGAGTGAGACTGTCTAAATAAATAAATAAACTAATAAATAAATAAAAATAAAAATAAATTAAAAAAAAAACCCACAAAGGTGCTATGGTCTAAATGTGTCTTCCTGAAATTTATATGTTGAAACCTAATCACCAAAGTGACAGTATTAAAAGGTGGGGTCTTTGGAGGTAATAAGGTCATAAGGGCTGTACCCTGTGAATGGGACTAATGCTGTTATAAAAGAAGCCCCAGAGAACCTTGTCCCTTCCATCGTTCGAGGACACATAGAAAACACTGTCTATGAGGGACGGCCTCTCACCAGACACTGAATCTGCTATAGCCTTGATTTGGAACTTTCCAGACTCAAGAACTGTGAGCAATACATTTTTATTGTTCATAAATTACCCAGTCTAAGGTATTTATTGTAGCATGCTGAATGGACTATGACAAAGGAGAAGGTTGATACTCAAGATGCCTGCCACAGGGTATTCCACACACGATTAGAAGGTAGGCTGCAAATTTGTCACGGCAATTTCTTACATAGTAAAGTTGCTATGATTAAGAGCTCGGCCATTTGCTGACTTGCTTATGGTTTGAATCCTGGCTGATTTCACCAGTGTTATTTGGAGAGAATTACTTAACTTCCCTGTGCCTCAATTTCTTCATCTGTAAGATAGGAATAATGGCTGGGGGAATAAAATTAAATAATACATGCAAAGCACTTGCCACAAGTCAGTTCTTGCCATGGAAATGTTCGGTATGCAAGGTCTAGAAGGCAAAAAGTAAAGGAAGCTTCAAAGTTATGGTGTGGGAGGGAATTTCAAATGAATGATAAAATCTGGCTAGGGAGTTTAGAAAAGGCTTCGTGCGAGGAGTGGCCATTAGAACAATTTGTACACTTGGAGATGGGTGGGAAGATGCTTTTTCCAGCCGGTCTGGTTTTGGGGGAACAGGGACCAGTCTAGTTTGGCTGGAGCATAGAAAACAGAGAGGAAGTGTGTGGGACTAATTGGAAAGATGGGCAAAGCCCACCTGCGGACATCAGGGTGAAGAGGCTAACCCAATTGGCACAAGTGATCGTGTCCTCTGCCCAAGTTCTGACATCTGCATTGGCAATGGCTCTCCCAGGAAGAGGGACATTCCCTGGTCTCTGGAGAAGCCTAAACCAGCCTATGCCCTGCATCTCTGCACTGCTCCACTGCTGTTCCTCCTCCTGTCTGGTGGTTTTCAACCTGCTGTAAATTTTGTGGTTCTGTTTTGATGTATCTCACACCACTCCTCATTGGTAGAAACAGAACTGCCCACTGTTAGGGTTTTACACTTAACTCAGATGTTTTATTCCAAACTTGGAGTTTTACAATCTTGTACTGCATGTCTCTCCACCCCCTCACTTCTTTATCTATATCCAGGGTTATATATGTGACTCTGTGTCTGGTCCCCCGTGACCCCTGGATCATTTCCATGCTGTCTCTGGGATCCACAGGCATTCTAAATCTTATCCTGACCTAATTCGCCTCTTCCTTCTCTGCAGGGCACTGCAATGCGCTCACATAGTACTGCTCTGTATCAGAGATGTGGCAAGCTGCTCTCCCCCAGTCACAAACCATAAAATTAAGAAGGGCAAGACTCTCCTGATTAATTTCATTTGTCTGTCTTTAAACCCATTAAAGAAAATGCCTGTTTCAACCATTCTTTTGCAAGCATATTTGTAAATAATACTTAAAAAACACTTCATCTAATTATTCTTACCACAGCTGAATGCTAACAAATTGAAGATGAGATTTATGTTTAGACAGCTTTAAGGTACTAATTTTTTCACAACAATAGGCGCTGCAATTGACAAAATTAAAAAAGAAGATGTAGACCAACAAAAATTAATTTGCACCAGGCTTAATAGTTTCTCTAAGTAAATCAGCCTCTCCTCGGCTGCCTAAGAAAAGCCATAAAAATTTCTGAGAAGAATCTGGAGTTTAGGATTCCACACTAATTGCTTTCTCTCCCCTTTTACGTCACCTCCTTTTCTTGTTCATCTTGACTGCAAGGGGACACGCAGTTTCTATATTCAAAATGCCTTCGGCTCTGCTGGGGTAAGGAAGTCAGGGGGAGGAGGGGGCAGGCCAGGGAACCACATAAATAAATGGGAATTTCTACATGGACATGAGGATTTTCTTCTTCATTTTAAAAAAATGAGAATAAGGCACGAGTATAAATTCCAAAAAGAGCAATTTATTTAAGTCTATCATTTTTGGCAACACAATAGAACGCAGTTTGGGATGAACAGTCACAAATCACTCCCCTTCCCACTGTCTGTTTTCTCCACCATATGTTGTGGAGAATACAATTCACATGCTGAAGCTTCGCCTCCTCTCCATGTGAGAAAGCACATTGTGCTATCAGCGGCCTGGTCACTGAGCCAGTGTTTTTTGGAGTGGTGGGGTGGGAATAAAGAGAAAGTAAGGAATACAGCTAACCCTCCAGTCAAATATTTTTCTTTTTTCTTTTCTTTTTTTTCTCTGAGATGGAGTTTCGCTCTGTCACCCAGGCTGGAGTGCAGTGACGTGATCTTGGCTCACTGCATCCTCCACCTCCTGGGTTCAAGTGGTTCTCCTGCCTCAGCCTCCCAAGTAGCTGGGATTACAGGCGTGTGCCACCACACCTGCCTAATTTTTGTATTTTTAGTAGAGATGGGGTTTCACTGTGTAGGCCAGGCTGATCTCAAACTCGTGACCTCAGGTGATCTGCCTGCCTTGGCCTCCCAAAGTGCTGGGATTGCAGGTGTGAGCCACCATGCCCAGCCACCAGTCAGAATATTTTTCAAAACCCCAAGAACTTTAAAAATAGTTTACTTGGCAGCAATATGGACTGGCCTGAGCTGGACTGGGTACTTTCGATGATAACTTTCATCAACTCTCAGAACTTCTGAGCAGAAGACAACTTGAGGGGCCACCAAGCAAGCAGGTGGCTTTGATGACCTATCGATCTCTTTCTCAGTTTGCTGTTTTATACAGAGTGGTCGCTCTGCTTCCCCAGAACCAGTGAGATGTGAATCGGAGGTATTTACTTAGTAGAAAACGTAGGTTTTGATATTTGCCCATGCCCCCCATGGACTCTCCTGGTCCTTCCCTGATGGATTGAAATGAGAGAGCAGTCATTGGTGAGATAAATTAAAAGTAACTGCCTGGCATACCAACTATTGCAAACTCATTAGTACTTTGTTGTAACCTAACAAGCTGACACATCGACAAGGCATCTATACACCCAGAGACAAACTAAAGCTATACAAGATCCTTCAATACCAGTCTCTTCATCACGACAATGACTGTTGGACGTTCTCTGTGCCATAACTTTCATAACTCCACATCCATGTACAGGGCACAGATGGCCCTGATGAAACAAGGCTTTCTAGAGACATTCTAAGCTGACTCAGTATGAGGTCAAGTATTTTATGAAGCCCTGCTCTTTCAGATGTTTAAAGAGGAAAAAAAGAAAAAAACCCAACCCTTGTGTTTTCATTTACAGCATGACAATTTTGAAACACTATTTTAACAGTGTTCTAATCAATTACAAAATGAAAGTTAACCTTCATGCGACGTTATGAAAAGCAAGAAAAATCTTGGGAGTTTTGAGAATCACAGGTAAAAAAGGAGATTTGACTCCTTAAGTTGCGCATCAAACTTTTCGTCTTGTCTAAATTAAAGTGAACAGATGTGGAAAAAAATGAGTCAGGGTCTCCCCATATAATTCCAAATGAGCTTTCAGGTTCTGCTTCCTACGGCCAATTTTAGCTTAAGCTGCCTTATTGCCTAAAATCTGCAACTCGATACTAAAAGCTTGTCAAAATTAAGTGCGTGCTTTATAAGTTTACATTTTTACAGTCTAACTGTTTTTCTTTGATATTTGACAGGGACACAGGTTCCCATGTCATCTGGCCTTGAAGTACTTTTAGAACTTTCTCCTGGACCAATCTGAGGGAGCTCAAGGTTGTGGTGAGTTATGGGGCCTTTAAGTTGCCTGCCCAGCAGCCGGCCCTTGGGCCCACACTTGAGGGCTAACACCTGCTGGCTGGACAGAGCAATTAATTTTTTTAAAAATGCGGTAAGCTGCCAAAAATCAAAGCTAGAGGATAAAAATAAAATTTTACCTCTTGAGCTTCCAGGGGTGGCCTTTGATCTCTTCCAATGCTTGTGTGGCAGGAGGCATGGATCTTAAATTTTCCTGCAAAAGAAGCACCTTTGAAAGACACCAAACACCAAACGCTGACTGCTGACTGTCTCTATCCTCCGTCCTATCACTCTCACATAATTACACTGACACCTAACCGAGATAGTCCCTCACAGCAAAAAGACAAATCTACCAAATGTCCCCTTCTTTAAGAAAATTATCATTGGAAGCTCTTAAATTATACCACAGTCTATCCCTCATAAGATCAAATGTTATTTCTCTAAGAGGCGATAGTTGGGTTTTCCGGTTGATGATTATAATGTGGCATTCGTTTCAGAATGCCTGTACATTAAATAGATAACTGAACTTCAAAGAGCTAAATACCAATCATGGGCTGGGGCACGGCCACACATACAGCCTCCCTCCTTCTCCAAACTCTTTGGTAGCCAAGACAAGGTCACTGGTCAGGGTAATTTGCAGGAAAAGTCAATTTCTCAAGTACCGAAGCAGGTGTTGTGGCACTCTATGACAATTTACTGAATCTAAATTGAGGAAGTTGAAAAAAGCAAAGGTCATGATCCACAGGAAGAAAGGAGGAAAGAAAATCTCTTTGACTGTATTTTTAACTCCTTTCAACCAAGATGCACTCACCAACCGAGACAATGAACGCTAAAAATAAATAAACGAAAACCGGAGTAGCTCATTCCAATCAGCAACTTATCTGATTTCTTTCACTAAAGCAGGGGATTTCATGTTTGCTTGAATTCACAAGGAAATAAGCTCAATTTATAACAGCTAAAGAACAACTCTTCTGCTTGTGAGTGTTTGGGTAGCAAAAATCAAACCAAGATATCAGAACTTTCTGTCTTTAAATCAAATAATATATATTATATAATACATACTACTTATCATAGAGTATATAGCATAGTTATAGAATAATATATGATAAACATATAGTATATAACCCTGGATATTTTATTTGAAATCCACACATTCCCCATTTCCCCAAAACTAGGGATAGGGAACACAGTCAAAATGGAAAATACTTTCAAGAAGGGAAAAGAAACATGAACCTTACAATCCATAATGTTGTTGATGTGGCAAGGAGATAATGGGA
The DNA here is from genome assembly GCF_000001405.40 of Homo sapiens. Classification (NCBI taxonomy): domain Eukaryota; kingdom Metazoa; phylum Chordata; class Mammalia; order Primates; family Hominidae; genus Homo; species Homo sapiens. The sequence continues at coordinate 118,213,042 of NC_000010.11, read as the reverse complement.
TGTGGAATTAGAAGATTTGAACATGAGTTCTAGTTAATCACTAATTAGCTGTGTAATTAGAACAAATCATTTAATCTCTTCCAGTCTCCATTTTCTCATCTGTAAAACTGGAGGTTGTAAGGATTAGATAAACTAATATATGTGGAAGCATTTGGCAAATTAGAAATGTTTCATTATCACTGCCAACCCTTATGGCGTATTTTCCCGAAGGGTGAAATGCATATACCACTGGTATGCATGAGGTTGGGGTAGGCACTGAAAGTTTAAAAAAATGAGTCAGTGTGAAAAAAAGTTAAATAAATAATAGTACAGGTGGAAAAATATTGAAAGTAGCATGCAAAAGATTGACATTTGGGTGACTTCTCCAGATATAAATTCTTCCTGGGAGGAAGGGAAAAGAGATGGAACCACCAAACTCACTAAGGATGTCTCCAGTACAAAAAAAATTATTTTAAAATGTAGATAAATGGGTTACCTTTTAGTTAAACATTCAACCTAGAAAGAAAAAAATATATATGATTTGCTTGCATGCCAACTTCTCTTATTAAAAAAAAAAAACTCATGAAAACAACACTGTCCACATAATCCAAAACTGAGTTCTAGCTTGTAAGCTCAATATTTTCAAGCAATATTACATGCAATAAAATTGCATTTAATTGCTCTTCCAGAATAATCTGAATGTTCCCCCTTGGAATTTATGTCCTCTGTCTAACAAGGGAAGCTCATAGAGTGTTTTTGGTCAGAGTGTAATAGCCATAAGTTATCATAAATGTACACTAACCTCCTCATTTTATAGATAGGGAAACATAACTGGAGAAGGGCAGCCATTTGGTGACTCCCCATATGTTGCAGATCTGGAACTAGAACTGGCTTTGGGTCCATAGACTAAGTCCAGGGCCTCTCCTACTTCCTAAATGTCAAGTACTTAATGTCCAAGCAAAGTCAGGAGAAACATTTGACATTTAAATTCCCTCTGTTTATTTATTTATTTTTTTAATTTACTGGTGCTAGTGAAAATCCTGTGTCAAGCACAGAGGGCAACCTTAAAAAGCATTAAGCACTCAATACATTAAGAATTGAAATATATTACCTTCTTCCAGTCTCATATTCTTATTTGTTCTTAAATTTTATGGTTCTTCTATATTCTTAGTTTAGTTCTGAAGTTACTTTCCCTGTTTCTGTTATCTCCCCTTGAGTATAAAATATACTCTCATGAAGGTACTTCTTAATATTATCCAGGGTGTTTGTGAACCATCTACATTTATAGGAATATATATATTTTTTTCTTTTTGAGATGGAGTTTCACTCTTGTCGCCCAGGCTGGAGCGCAGTGGTGTGATCTCAGCTCACTGCAACCTCCGCCTCCCAGTTTCAAATGATTCTCCTGCGTCAGCCTCCCGAGTAGCTGGGATTACAGGTGCCCGCCACTATGCCTGGCTAATTTTTTGTGTTTTTAGTAGAGACGAGGTTTCGCCATGTTGGGCAGGCTGGTCTGGAACTCCTGACCTCAGGTGATCTGCCCACCTCGGCCTCCTAAAGTGCTGGGATTACAGGCGTGAGCCACCATGCATAGGAATATTTTAATATTTGGTATTGATAACTGAAAATTCAGCATACAAAAACACTTGTCTATAAGGAAAACAATATACATGTTGACACATATTATTACACTTGGAGTATTTAATGCAAAGGTAGTGTGCCTTTTTTTGTTGTTGTTGGTACTCCTTGTTTAGTGAAACATTTTCCAGCAGCCAGTCAAATAAATTGCTGGCAAATGAATAATATTTTAGCCATCAAGAGTCAATGATCATGTTGGCCTCCAGAAACCAAACTCCAAACATGTTGAGAGAAACATTCTCTGCCATGGCAGTCTCAAAACACCCTGGCATTTTACTGATACCTCTGGCACTATGCCTTCCAAAATCAGGCCAGCCCAGAGCCTCGCTTATTTTAAAGTTTCTTTTTTTTATCATTACATTTTAATTTTGAAATAATTTCAGGCATATGAAAAAGCTGCAAAAATAAGACAAAGAGCTTTCATATACCCTTCATCCAAATTTCCAAAATGTCCACATTTTACCACAGTAGCTTTAGCGTACTCTCCTTCTTTTAAAAGACTAATAGATCAATGGGTACATTTTTTTTCTTGAACCATCTGAGAATAAATTGTATGCATTATATCCTTTTACCCCTGAATATTTTAGTGTTGTAGTTCCCCCATATAAGGACATTGTCTTTCATAGCTGCAGTACAAAAATCAAAATCAGGAACTTGGAATCAATATAGCACTGTTACCTAATCTACAGACCTTATTCAGTTTTTCCCAATTGTCCCACTGATTTGGTTTGCAATACTTTTGATACTTCATGTCATCTTCTAAATGCATTGCTCTGCCCTATACATTGGGAATTCTGTAAGCCAGAAGCTCTTGTTCCCATACAAATAATTCAAATATTTTAAATTAATTAGTTATATAAATTGCTCAGATTGAAGGAATATTCATGTTTAAATTTGTATACCAGACATGTTAACACAACTTCTAGTGACTCACTATGAGTCACGTGATCATGCCCCCAGAGTGTGTTTCATGCTAACACTGTGAACTTGCCTGAGTGCTTGTGCTTTGTGGAGATGGGGTCCATAGCCATGGAAAGTTAACCATAGACCCTCACCTAAGTGCCCTGGAGAAATTCTCCCAGCATTAGTCTTGATAGCAGGCTTGATTTCCTCTTCTGGCTAATGGGTCACTTGAGATCTTCCCATCGCTTCATGATGTGAATTATATGAGATAAAGAAAGCATTAGGACAGGGGCTGGCTTATTAAGTGCCCAATCACTTATAGACATAATTGGTTTTATTAGTTGAATGAACTAACAGTCAAATACACTATGTTTTGCATGAAACAGGATAAAATTTATTTTCAATTTGATTTAAAGTAATTAGCACATTCATTTTCCACAGCTTTTCTAATCAAGCTAAATCCTAGGCCTCCTCATGGAAAAATAAATAAGCGCAATATTATCTTGAAATTTAAAAAGTTAAGACAACACATGAAAGTAACAACAGAGAATAGGGGTAGGAGCTGTATTATTTGTATATTGCCATGGATACTTTACTTACAATGCAATAGAACAACACATCCATACACTTTCTGTCAAATCATATTTCTAATCTTTGTCTAAAGTCTTAATATAGGAACATTTATTGGAGAAATGAAATAAAATTAGAAGGCTCCTTCTTTCCTTCTCTTTCTCCTTCCTTCCTTCTCTTTCTCTTTCTCTCTTTCTTTCCTCTTCCTTTCTTCTTCTCTCTTTCTCTTTCTTCTTGCTTGCTTTCCTCTCTTTCTCCTACCCCCCACCTCAGTCTTTCTTTCTGTCTCCCTCTCACTTACATGAAGGGACACATCTAGCTTAGGAATGTGGCACAGAGCTAATTAGCCAGGCAAATAAATAAATACAGTAGAATACACAAATAAAGGTGGCCACAACTGCAGGCACTCAGGTTGAGTGAGAGGGGCCCAGTCCTTCACAGGTCACACTGGCCTCTTTTCTACCACCACTGACTGTCCTGTAAGCACAGCTGACACCACTTCGCCTCCAGCAAGATCAGAGCACAGCGTCACAGAAACAGAGGCAGCATTGTCTTCATGTTCACACGGAAACACCGTCCAATGTGCTCTGATCAGCAGCTGCAACATGGCCTTCCCCATGGTGGCAGCTCCAGGGCCTCCCTGGAAAGCCATCTGCCTCATCCTCCAATGGCCACTTTTCTTCCATCAACCTGTCTTCCATAAAATGCCTTATCTTGGTTTTTTAAAACTCTTCAATCCCTCTGGGACTGTGAGAATTCTCACCTTCCCTATTTGTACAAATTGCCTTTAAATGAGAAGTTATTTGGCCTGTGGTGGGCACTGTCACCTGGAGCCAAAAGCTCAATGTGAGCTATGATTAATGAATTATAAAGCCAATTCACCGAGCCATTACATTAGTGGAGCACTGTTGTAAGCAGGAACTAATTCTATGTGGAAATAATCATTCAACCTGAGAAAGGCATTTCCTATCCATTAGAAAATACTACAAAGAGATAATACTTAAAAAAAAAATCCACATACTATTGGCCAAAACAAAAGATTATTCAACCTTTAAAAACAAATTTGAATTTTGGCTTAATTATAGGTTTTGCTCTTATAATAAAAGAAATGCTACTTGATTATTTGATTATAAGCAATTTAGTACATGACCAGTTCTTGAAAAAAAAATTTCTTTTAATTAAAATCCCTCAATTTGTGTTTTATTACCAAAAGCCTCCATAGGGGAAAAAATGTTTTTAAGACTATAACACAGGTTTAGGGAAAAATTTTGGTGATTATTGTTCATTTATTTTCCTTATTAAGCTAATTTAATTATCATTGAGACACAAACATTAGCTCCAGTACTGGGCTTCTCACATCTGTTAGTAAAGATTTGATTAGGGCTACACAAATGTGCTAGATTAAACTATCTAGTTGGTGAAATTCAAGCCACCTGGATATTTTAGCAACATCAATAAGAATAATTCTCTTTTTCAAAATCAGTAAATCCAAGCTATATTAAAAAGAATTAATTAATGAGTGCCAGATAGGCAAAACAAACATTTGACAATGAATCATATTATCAAAGGTTTTGAGGGAGATCCCTCTCAGCTTATGTTTAGATGTCAAATTATATTACCAAAACTAAACAATCTGTTAAGATGATGTCTTAATGCAATAAGTCTCTAGTGCCATACGGGGTTTTCTTGATTTTTTTTTAACTTCTTAAACATTGTTAGTGGAAAAAAAGATATGCTCTATTTACCAATGATAATCAAATCATAAGACATTTGCCCCCAAATGTTACCTTGGATATTTCCAAGAGCTGTTAGTCATTGAAATCCTATTTAAGATACTGTTAAAAGTTTAGTTAATGTATCACACATATGTCTTGATGTATGCTTCATAGGAGGGACTCAGTAAAGACACGGGTATTGAAATAATTAATATATAAACATTAGGGGTTTCATAAAATATATAAAGAATTCTAGAATTAGAAAGAACTCAAAAAATTATCCAGTCCAGGGCTGGCAAACTTACTCTGTAAATGGGCAGATAGTAAATAACCTAGGCTTTGTGAGCCTGATGGTCTCTGTAACAACTATTCAACTTTGCCCTTGTAGTCACAGACAAGAGTAAACTAATGGGCATGTTTGTGTTTCAATAAAACTTTATTTACAAAGGCAAGTAGCAGATGGAATTTGGCCCACCAGCAGTATATTGATAATCCCTCATGGAACCAAATTTCTGTATTTTAAAAACCGACACCTTCGGCCTCGTGTGGGATGGCAGCTTGCCCAAGGTTAAACAGCAAGTTAAGCAGGAAGTGGCAGAGTTGAAGTTGAATTTGACCCTTCCAGCTTCCAGGGAAGTGCTGGATTCATTGTAATGACACATGGATGGTCGGCTGTGTCCAGATGGAAAGTCTGCCTCAGTCTTAAAGCAGATCCGAAATGCTTCATGCGTTTGATGTCTATAGAATTGTGATGTGCGGATGGCTCCTCACATCTCCAGTGAATAAGTTGCTTTTCAGAGACCTAAGCAGAATCACAAATCATATTTTTTGGGAAAGGAACATGAACATCCTTACAGTTAACCAAGCATGAAAATGCTCGCCTGAAAAGCCACACATGGCTTGCTTCATTAAAGACCATTTCAGTCTTGAAAAACTGCATTTCTATTGAATATTTATAACAAATATGAATGAATAAAAAGAATTTAAAGTGGAAAAAACCCTATGTGTTGTGATTCCAAATTAAATCTTATTTTCATGGTTGACAGTGTTTTGTATTCCCCTGGTTTGCATGGTATAAAGAACCATCTTATTACAATGCCCTTTTCCAGCACCAAATCATAAGACTTTCTAGATTAACACTTGAGTCACCAACATTCATTTTCCAGTGGGGTTTTCCCCTTTCACATAGCTCATTCTTTTCATTTGGAAGGAAGCGGAAGAAATGAGTCCCTAAGCAATCCTAAATGGGGATGTGGGTCTGGGTCTTTCTCTGTGGATATCTGCATGGAAGGGCTTTGTAATCCTTGCCCTAAAACTGACAGTCCAGAAAGACATGATTGATGAAAGGGAACTGGATATTTGAGTCAAAATGGACCGTCATTAACTAACTGAACCAAGTAAATGAAATGGAGTTTCCAAGGGGCAGTGGGGCACATTCTTCTTGAAAACATGGGCCCAATGTTCAGGATGTGTTTTACTGAAGGGGGTGGGGGAGTGGTGGTAGCCATTACTTAATGGCTCCCAGCTTGCAAAGGTGAAATAGCCCATACTATATATGTAAATATATATATATATATATATACACACACTTATATGTATATATATAATCCACACACATATTTTTTTTCTTCAGCAGTTCTGTGTTGATGTTGATTTGCACATCTCTCACTGAACAGATGAGGGTACATCTTCTCCTGTGTCATGCATTTTCTGGCTCTGAAATCACAAAAATAATACTCATAGATGCAAATAAAATTATGCTACTGTAATTGTTTTCTAGTTTAGTTAGGTATTGTATATCAGCTTAGAAGTAAATTAAGCTGTATCTTTTCCTGCTTTATGTAATCAAACAAAAATGCACAAGATAAAAATCTTACATTTCTGTGAAATTATATTTTCATACATGGGCTTCTTTTTGATCAAAATGGTAGATTTTTAAAATAAATTGTATCATTTTTATAATACTTCATGTTAGAACTTAGCCCATATGTAATATCAAGTACAACTTTAGAATATAATAAAAATCCATATATTATTGAAATATTGGAGCATACAAATGTTTTTAAAATAAAAGTTCAACCTCTGCCCCGCCACCAGCCCCCACACAAAAAAGCTACCATATTGCTTTAGGTCATGGATAACAAAAGCATGAATGATTCAGATGAACACCTTTTGAACTTTTTTCACGAAGACTTGAGTGGTAAGATAACTTAAAGTCTTAACCATAATGCATGCAGGTGGCCCTTTCTCAGCTTGAAACATCTTGAAACAGTTTCCGTGCCTAGCAAGGAGGCTCTTGTGTCAGTGTGGCTTGCTCAAGAAGGATGGAAAGAGAGTATGCAAATGAGTGCATATTTATTGGTTCAGGAGTAAGACTTAGAGTTGAGCGGTGCAAAATCTCATTACCCTTTCTTAGAAGCTGGCCAGAGTTCATAAAGGGAATAAAAATGCGTTTTTCATTATGTTTTATTCACTGAAGGAATTTCTGTTTTTTTTGTTTGTTTGTTTTTTTGTAATAGATGATTAAAGAATACAGGACAGCATGTTATGCAAGAATAACAAAGACAAACAATTAGCAAGCTGTTGAGTTAGAGTGGATCTACTGTGGTGCATATATAATTGTAGGACTAAACAAACGCCTGTGCATTGTTAATGGGTGAACATATTGGCTGAGCTATCTGAGCTATTCCTGCTTATAAGATAGAACCTGAAGCAAGTGTATAAGACTTTGTAGTTTGTATTTTTATATTAGCCTTATTGTTTACTCCATGTTATGTTCTTACTTTTGTTTTTCTCCTCATTTATGTTATCTTGAAGTGTCTTATGTACCCTTAGAAGCTACTTTAGGTCCAATTTAGAGCTACACATATAGTTTGAATTTTACACAATTATGGAAATTTGAAGATGTTATCATTCACTGACGGGCACAAATTATTATAAGAAAAGCTGAAGTCATTAGCCCAAATAAAGGATTAGAATTAACAATGAAAGTGAACTTAGAGTATAATTAATGAATTCTCTAATTGCTCTTCCTGTGTTAGTTCATTAAGCCTGACTATTGAGTGGATATTCAGGCATCTGTCTCCAACATCTGTCATCTCATTGATTCCCGGGTTGACTCTGTTGAAGCCTGGGAGGAAGGGTTTGCCTTTCCTCCTTCACTGCTCTTTGCATTTCCCTCCAAAATCTGAACATGCTATGAAAATGAAAACCTTTCTCCAATATAATTGTCTGACAATGGGCAGAACCACTGTGAGAAAGGTTTAAGACTTCCATGGAAAGGTTGCAGATTATGCTCACTTCAACCTTTGCTGCCATCGATTGTGCATGGTTAACAGCAGAGCAGCCCTTGGCCATGTGTCACCTTTAGGCTCAGAGTTTTGCTGGTACTGAGATAGTATATGGGCAGATATCTGCTCAGATAGATGACATTCCCAACCCACAGACTCATTTGTTGGGAACAAGTTCACAGCCAGTGTGTGGGAGGCACCACACGACCCTCCCCAGCAGGAAGACTCACAATAGGTCTCACTGTGTTCAAAGACTGACAGCATAGAGGAGAAATGAGCTCATCCTTTTCTTGTCTGGTATTCTACTCCAACCTTTATTGGACTGGTGTTCTAGGTAACCCACTCACTAAAATTTGCAGGAGCAGAAAGATCTAGGTGGGGTGGAGGCACAGAAAGAGATAAAAAGTGAGTCACTATCTTGTAATCAACTTGTTAAGTTCCAGGACTTTGCATTAAAAAGGAACAGTTGCTTAGGCTATTATTAAAGGGAACAATAGCACTTTAGCTGCAGAGTAGCTGGCTAGCAAAAGCAATCCCAGGATAAGTTCAAAGCTGGAAATAATGTTGGTTGGGGGCAGCAGGCTGGGTTAAAACACTTTCTCTGCAGATACAGGTGGTGATTTACACACGCAGTTGAAATGAGTTCAGGATATAATATTATAAAGCTCACTGCTATTTTTAAAATAGGTTGGCTTCAGCTTGTACCTGCAGATACTTACATGTATACTTGTTCATACTTATATATACTTACATGTATACTTACATACAGATATACAGATACTTATATGTATACTTGTTCGTGACCATTAGTATTAACAACATATAACCTTTGGGATATTTCAGAGTTCCACACTTGACCTTACCCAAAAGATCTAGAAGTGATTGTTTTCAGAGTTCCAGTTGCATGGATTTATTAGAAAATGCTCTTCTGTATGGAAGATATGGCTTGCTGTTGTATTTCTCTTTTGCAGAAAAGCAAGTCCAACAAATCAGTGACATTATTATAGCCAGAAATTATCTATGGGGCTCCACTTCCCCAGGCTCTATTTCAAATTGGTGTGGGGCTATATGGAAGTTAGGGGGTGGAAAGACCATGGAATAATCAGGAGATTAAGTTTCCAGTCCAGGTTCTGCCACCAAACAGCTCCATAACCTCAGCAGGTCTCCTCCTTGTTCCGTCCTTGTGGAAGAAAGAGTTGAACTCACTGCTTTCTAAAGCTTCCTTCCAGGTCTTACTTGTTTGAACATTATGTTCTTTCCCCTCTGGAGAAACAAGGGTTATTCCCTGTGGGTGGTGGTCTGAGGAAATCACTCTCAGCGAGTAAACTGCCCTCTTCTCCCAGCAGTGGGAACCACAACTTCCTCTCAACTTAAGTTGATAGTGCTTTTGCATTTTAAAATTACTAAGATAAAAGATCATCAAGCAAGAGCCACCTGATCAATCAATTCATCCAGAAGGTCCTGGTTTATCATCTTATAAGTAAAGTACACTCATTGATTCATTGGTTTATTTGTTTATTCACTTATTCAACAAATATTTACTAAGTACTCGCTATGGGCCCGTCACTACAAAGAGGATAAAGCAAAGAACAGGACAGAGGAGTCCCTGTCCTTCTGAAGCTCATGATTGAGTGGAGGATGCTGATTTTAAAGCCTAAGTAATTACAATAGAGTGAAAGGAATAAAAATGTAAGTAGGTACAGAAAGCGGTGAGAATACTTAGCAGGGGAGTCCCAATCCAATCTAAGGGTCAGGGAAAGATGCTTCCCGAAGAGCTGGCATTTAAGCAGAGCCCTAAAGGATGAGGCATAGTTAGTGAGCTTAAGGGAGTCTTGGAGGGAGGGCAGAGAGCAAAAGTCATGTATCCATGCTCTGCAAATCACCTGACAGATGGAGGCACCTGCCTCAGGTGACAGGATCTTAATGGGCAGCTCAGGAGAGAAGGGAACCCTTTGAAACAGGAAAATATGTGAAGTCTGATTCTGCCCTTTGGAGGGACTGATGGATTCAAACAGGATGTAACACGCAGGTTCTTACTTACAAGCAGTAGAGCTTGACTCTAGAAGATATATGCACAGAAGGTACTTATATAAAAAGATATTGGGCAGGGCCTTTTACTTTCAATCAAACTGGAATAAGAGAGATTTATTTTATTCTCCTGAAAAAGCCAACAGAATATCTTCAAAACAGTTTTTGAGATACTGATTATCAAACAATGGAGAACACTGATCCCTGAGGGACAAGTTTATTAACGAGGTGACCCTAGGATTGCCCCAGCTTACTGCCTGGAGTGAGTTTCCAGGTGATGGTGCAGGACCAGACAACCTGGCAGACTCTCTGATTGAAGAGGTGGAACTGAGAATCTGGGGAGACCAAAGGAGCTGGAGTTCACAAGACAGGGTGCCAGGGAGGAGAGAAGGCACACAAGGAGAATTCCAGAAATCTGCCGAGGACGCCCTGCAAGTATTTAGCTGATGATTGCTCATTGCAGGTGTGTGAAGAAACTATCCAAACTCAGGTAAAAAACAACTGAAAGGATTAGAGGCAACAGCGTCCAGCATAACACAGGATCTGGAAAGTGGTGTGTTCCCACCAGCCACACTGGACAACTTCCTGGTTCATACGGCATTAGTTCATAGTGCATTGATAGTGGCGGGAAATTAATGTCTTTAGGCTGAGTACAGCTCTGCTACCACATAACAAATCTTAAAAGTAAGACCCAACAGTCCAAACTGTTTTCAAATAACTGAACTATGTCACAAAACAGCTCAAAAATATTTACAGGAATACAAAAATATCAAGCACCCAATAAGGAAACTTATACTGTCTGGCATTCAAGTAGAAATAACTAGGTATGCAGAAAAATGGGAAAATATGACCTGCAATGAAAAAAAATCAATCAAAAGCAACCTGGACTGACATAGATGTTACAAGTAGCAAACAAGAATACCCAATTATTGTATGTATTCCATATGTTTAAAAAATTAGGCAGAGACATACATGGAAGATATTTTTAAAATACTCAAATTGAGGTCCTAAAAAGAAAATCCACAATGTATGAGATGGCAAATACATTGTATGGGATTAACAGAAGATTAGAACTTGCAGAAGGAAAGATCAGTGAACTTGAAGATATACCCACAGAAACTTTCAAGATGAAGCACAGAAGGAAAAAAAATTTTAATGAAAACAGCATTAGTGAGCTGTGGGACTTTCGAGGCTTAATATAACTAGAACTAGAATTTTCAAAGAGCAGGAGGGATGGGGAAAAGAAAAAAAAATTTGAAGAAATAATGTCTGAAAAGTTTTCATGGAAACTGTAAATCCAGAGAGCCAAAAAGCTAGACATAAACACAAGCACATGAAACATGAAGAAAACCACACCCAGACACATCATAATCACATTGCTCAAAAGTAAAATTGTTTTAAAAACTTTTCTAAAAAGTAAAAAATTCTCAAAAGTAGTCACAGGAAAAATAAAATTATGCTGCATACAGAGGAATAAAGATATGGATTCTAACAGATTTCTTGTCAGAAACAATGTGAGAAGACAGTGGAGCAACATGTTTATAGAGCTGGAAAACAAATCTGTGAACCCAGAGTTCTGTACCATAAAAATACCTTCACAGACAAAGGTAAAATAAAGACTTCTTCAGAGTTTTCAGAAAATATAGATTTTCATCAAGGAATGAAAAGAAGAGGTTATGGTATCTACATAGTTAAATATTTTTTTTTCCTGGTTTTAAAATATTTTTAAACAATCATTGACTATTTAAACAAAAATAGTTACAATGTAGTATGGATTTGTAACATATGTGAAAGTAAAATTTGTAGCAATAGCCAAGGCCTAAGAAGGGAGAAACGGAAGCATCCAATAAAAAAAAATCTTATAACTTATGTGAAGTCATATAATATCACTTGAAGGAATAGTATAATAAATTAAATATATATACTGTAAACCCTAAATAAATTAAATATGTATAGTATAAACCCAATCATGAAGATGACAACAAAGAGTTATGGCTAAGAAATCAACAAAGGACATAAAAATTGAATAACAAAAAATATTCAATTAATCCAAGAGAAGACAGAAAAAAAGAGAGGAAAAGGGAGCAAATAACTGAAGGGATAAATAGAAAACAAATAGTGAGATGATAGACTTAAACATAACTATATCAATAAGCACATTAAATGTAAGTGATGGAAACACCTTAACTAAAAGCGGAAATGATAAGATGGGGTATGCTGCCTATAAGAAGCACACTTTATACATAAAGACACAAACAGGTTAAAAGTAAAAGGATGGACAATATATACCATGCCACACTAAACAAAAGAACGTTAAAGTGGCTATATTAATATTAGACAAGGTAGATTTCAGATCAAAGAATATTACCAGAAATAATGAAGGCCATTTTATAATTTTAAAAGGGTTAGTTTACTAAGGGACATAATGACTCTAAATATTTATGTACTCAATAACAGAGCTTCAAATTATATGAGCAAAACTGATGGTACTGGAAAGAGACATTTAAAAATCCAAAATGATAGCCACAGATTTGAATACACCTCTATTATTAATTGGTCAAAGAAGTAGACAGACAATCAATAAGAGTATAATATAGAATATCTAAATATTATCAACCAACTTGATTTAATTGGCATTTATGGAACACACCACCTAACAACAGCATAATACACATTATTTTTTAAGGACATAAATTATATTTACCAAGGACTATATTTTGGGCCACAGAAAGTGCTCAAAAAATCTAAAAGAATTCAAGTCGACACAAAGTATATTATTTGACCAAAATGAAATTAAATTAGAAAACAATGACAGAAAAATATTTGGCAAATCACCAAATATTTAGAAATAACATACTTCTAAATAAACCCCTGGTCAAAAAGAAATCAAAAAGGGAAATTAGAAAATAGTTTCAACTGAATGAAAATCTAAATACAACATATCAAACTTTGTGAGATGCTGTTAAATAGTACTAGAGATACAGTTATCATTAAATGCATACGTGAAAAAAGAAGAATCATCGCAAATAAATGACCTAATTTTTCACCTTGGAAAAGTAGCAAAAAAGAGCAAATAAAACACACAGTAAGAAGAAGTAAGAAATCATAAAGATCAGAGCAGAAACTAATAGAATAAAAACCAGAAAAACAGTAGAGAAAATTAATGAACCAAAAAATTAGTTATTTGAAGGTGTCAATAAGATTGAAAAATCTCTAGCTATGCTGATCAAGAAAAAAGTAGAAAACACAAATTACCAGTATTAGAAATGAGAGAGTTGGGTGATATCACTACAAAATCTACAGATGTTAAAAGAATAATAAGGAGATTTTATGAACAATTTTATGTCAATAAATTCAACAGCTTAGACAAAAGAAACAAATTCCTTGAAAGATACAAACTATTAAAACCCACTCACAAAGAAATAGATAACCTAAGTAGCCCTATGTCTAAATTGAATTTGTAGGTAAAAATCTTCCCACAAAGAAAACTCCAGGCCCAGGTGGCTTCACTGGAGAATTCTACATTAAAGAAATTAATAACAACAATGGTAAACAAAGTCTTCCAGAAAATTGAAAATGAGGGAATGCTTCCCAACTCATTCTATGAGACCAGTCTTACCCTGATAGCTAAACTAAACAAAGACATTATGAAAAAAGAGAACTGCAAACTAATACTGTTGTTAACATGGATGTAAACATTCTAAACAAATTTCAGCAAATTGAATCCAATAATATATTGAAAGGGGTAATACATCATGTCTATTATGTAAGGTTTTTTATGTAACATTAAAAAAGCAATCATAATTCACCAGACAAATAAACCCAAAACAAAGATCATTTGATGATCACAACACATGCAGAATCAGCATTTGACAAAATTATACAGCATTCCTGTTTCTTTCTCCATAAACATTCAATTCTCCTTAAACTAGGAATAAAAGGGAACTTCCTCACGCTGTTCAAAAGCATTTGCTGAAAACCTACAGCTAACATTATACTTAGTGGTCGAAAGACTGAATATTCTCCCTCCAAGAACAGGAATGAGAACAAGAATGTGTACTCTCCCGGCTTCTATTCAACATTTATTGGAATTTCTAACAAGTGTAATATGTCAATATATGATATAAAAGTCATCCAGATTGCAAAGAAGTAAAACTGTCTTTATTTGCAGAAGACATAATGATCTGAGCAGAAAATGTGATGAAACCTACCTAAACATTACTACAACTAATAAATGAGTTTAGTAAGCTTGCAGGATAAAAGATCAATATGCAAAAAATCAATTTTGAATATATATACACATATATATTTATATATCAATATAAACATACATGCATATGTTTATATATCAATATAAACATACATGCATATGTTTATATATCAATATAAACATACATGCATATGTTTATATATCAATATAAACATACATGCATATGTTTATATATCAATATAAACATACATGCATATATGTTTATATATCAATATAAACATACATGCATGTATGCTTATATATATCAATATCAACATACATGCATATATGTTTATATGTCAATATAAACATACATGCATGTATGCTTATATATATCAATATAAACATACATGCATGTATGCTTATATATATCAATATAAACATACATGCATGCATGCTTATATATATCAATATAAACATATATGCATATATATCAATATAAACATATATACATGTATATTTATATATCAATATAAACATATATACATGTATATTTATATATCAATATAAACATATATACATGTGTATTTATATATCAATATAAACATATATACATGTGTATTTATATATCAATATAAACATATATACATGTGTATTTATATATCAATATAAACATATATACATGTATATTTATATATCAATATAAACATATATACATGTATATTTATATATCAATATAAACATATATACATATATATTTATATATCAATATAAACATATATACACATATATTTATGTATCAATATAAACATATATACACATATTTATGTATCAATATAAATATATACACATATTTATGTATCAATATAAATATATACATATATTTATGTATCAATATAAATATATACACGTATATATTTATGTATCAATATAAATATATACACGTATATATTTATGTATCAATATAAATATATACACGTATATATTTATGTATCAATATAAATATATACACGTATATATTTATGTATCAATATAAATATATACACGTATATATTTATGTATCAATATAAATATATACACGTATATATTTATGTATCAATATAAATATATACACGTATATATTTATGTATCAATATAAATATATACACGTATATATTTATGTATCAATATAAATATATACACGTATATATTTATGTATCAATATAAATATATACACGTATATATTTATGTATCAATATAAATATATACACGTATATATTTATGTATCAATATAAATATATACACGTATATATTTATGTATCAATATAAATATATACACGTATATATTTATGTATCAATATAAATATATACATATATATTTCTATATCAATATCAAGATAAATATATACATATATCAATATATATATAAATATCAATATAAATATATATACATACACCCTAGCAACAAACAGGAATTAAAATTATAAAAACAATACCATTTATAATAGCATTAGATAACATGAAATACTTAGAGAGAGATCTGGCTGAAGATGTGTCCCTAACGAGAAGCCTGACTAATGCAGATGTGAAAGACCTGCATACTGAAAACTATGAAAACATGACTGAAAGATATTAAAAGAGACTTAAATAAATGGATATCATATGCTCATTAGTCAATAAGTGAAAGTATATTTTCACTTGTTTCCTTAGTTCATCTACAAATTCAATGCAATCCTAATCAAAATTCCAGCAGATGATTTTGTAGAAATTGACCAACTTATTCTAGAAGTTCATATAAAAACATGAAGGATCTGGAATAGCCAAAAGAGCTCTGAAAAAGAAAAACAACTTTGGACTACTAACACTGCCTGACTTAGGACATATAAAATTACAGTAGTTAAGACACAGTGGTATTGACATAAAGACTGAAAAAGAGACAAATAGAATAGAATAGTGTGCAGAGCTAGACCTTCACATATCCAGACTACTAATTTTCAACAAAAGTGCAAAGGCAATACTGTGACAAAAGGATAATTTCTTTTTTAAATGGATCAGAGCAATTGGATAAGTATTTGCAAAGATATGTAAAACTTTGAGAAAATAACACAGGAGAAAACTTTGTAATCTTGGGTTAGGCAAAAAATACTTACATACAATGCCAAGCTTAATTCAGAAAGGAGCCAATTGATAAATTGGACTTCATCAAAATTTAAAACTTCTGCTGTTCAAAAGACACTACCAAGAATATGGAAAAAAGAAGCCACGGACGGGAAGAAAACATTTTCAAATTACATATCTAATAAAGTACTTGTATACAGAATATATAAATAACCCTCAAAACTCAATAATTAAAAAAAGAAAAAATGGGCAAAAGATTTGAAGGATACTTCATTAAAAAAGAAATATAGTGATGAATAAGCACATGAAAAAAGGCTGACATCATTATACAATGGAAAAATGCAAATTAAAGCTGTGATGAGATACCGCTACAAATCTATCAAATTAAATTAATTAAAAGGCTGACTATACCCAATGTTAGTGAGGAGGTGAAGAAATTAGAACTCTCATACAATGGTATAATTGATGTGGAAAACAGTTTGCCAGTTTCTGAAAACATTAAATATCCACTTACTATATGATCCAGCCATTCCACTACTAGGTATCATTTATCCAAGAGCAACAAAAGCACATGTCCACAGGAAGACTTGTACATGACTTATACAATATGCTCATAGCATATTCATTTGCAATAGCAAAGATCTGGAAACAAAATGTCCATTAACAGGGGAATGAATAAATAAATTGGCAAAACCATACAATGGAATACTACTCAGCAATGAAAAAGAGAATGAACTATTGTTAGACACAACAACGTGATTGAATCCGAAATTAATAATGCTAGGTGAAAGAGTATCAACAAAATGAGAGTACACATTATATGATTTCACTAACATAAATTCTAGAAAAACTTAGTGTCAGAAAGCAGAACAGTGGTCACCTGGGGATGGGGAATGAACAAGTCAAAGAAAACTTTTGAGGGCGATGAATAAGTTCATTGTCTTGATTGTGTTGATGGTGTAGGTTCAACTTTGTCTAATTTTGCACTTTGTGTGCAATTTATTGTATTTTCATGAAGCTTTTAAAAAGCCAAACAAAAACTGGAAAAGTATATTTGCAACAGATATAAAAATTATATCTATAATAGATACAAAGTTAATATAAATTGACACAAAAACACTGATATTCTAACAGATAAACAGGCAAGGTCACACACAAATTTTAAAAATAATAAAAATATAGACTGGGTGAGGTGGCTCATGCATGTAATCCCAGCACTTTGAGAGGCCAAGGCGGGCAGATCACTTGAGGTCAAGCGTTTGAGACCAGCCTGGCCAACATGGTGAAACCCTGTCTCTACTGAAAATACAAAAATTAGCCAGGCATGGTGGCACCCGCACCGGTAATCCCAGTTACTTGGTCAGTCGAGGCAAGAGAATCGCTTGAACCTGGGAGGTGGAGGTTGCAGTGAGCTGAGATCACGCCACTGCACTCCAGCCTGGATGACAAAGTGAGACTCCACTTCAAAAATAAAAATAAAAATAAAAATAATAAAAATATGACCAGTATTTTAAATGAGAAAATGTTCATCCTCATGGAGAACTGAGAAAATGGAAATTAAAGCAACTCAAATATATCAATTTTTACTTTACAAATTAGGAAATATTAAATTTTTTTTTTAGAGACAGGGTCTCACTGTGTTGCCCAAGGTGGACAACCTACTGGTGCAGTAGCTATTCACCGGTGGTATCATGGCACACCATAGTCTTGACCTCCTGGCCTCAAGCCATTCTCCCACTTCAGTCTCCTGAGTAGCTGGGACTACAGGTTCATGGCTGGAAATATTTTTAAATGATAAAAACAATGTTCATTAAGGTATGATAAAATAGTCTCTCACATATTGCTAGTGAGCATATACATTTATATTATTCTTTTGGACAACAATTTGGCAATGTGGATTTCACATAACAAACAACCTGAGCCTTGAAAATGGACCTGATATTGATGCAGTAATTCTACGACTGGGAATCCATCCTAAGGAAAAAAGTTCCAAAAATGGAAATCCACCTTCTTTCCCACAAAGATATTCATGGCAATAATACTTTTAATAAGGTAGTCTTGGAAACAATGTAAAATTGAACCACAAGGGATCTTTATGTTATTGTTATATCAATTTCCTGAAAAATTATACAACCATATAAATTCTATTTATAAAGATTTCATAATAACTTGGAGAACTAGGGGAAAATATTATAATATTAAAAATAAAAAACAAAAAGTACACAAAATCACAGTATGATTACAACTGTTTTGTTAAGAAGTGTTTTTACAAGAAAAAACATGTTAAATAAAGATTACATTTGAATGCAGCAAGAAGTTGACAATAGTTTTCTTTGGGATTCTAAATGTATAGCTGAATTTGTTTTCCTTCTTTATGTTACTCTCACATTTCCAATTTTTATGTGGCTATTGAACTTTTGTATTAAGAGGAAAATAAATCTTTTTAAAAAAGAAGCAGAAAGTCTGACCAGTTCTTCACAGATTTTACAATTTGAGAATAAAAGCTTTAATTACATTTTTCTTCCTAGTTATTTGGAGACTGTTCAATATAGGCTGTTTCTACTCCCAAATTGATACTGGAAAGAATCGGTATTTATCTGTTTCCCATTTCCCGTTTTTTGTCATTTCTCATCTTTGTCACCAACCCTCTGTGTGACAAGGTATTTTGTTTGTTTGTTTTTTAATCTAAGTTTCTTCATCTTCTCAATGAGAGAATTGAACTGTTACATTCCTGCATCACATATTTCCAGAACATCTGCTCTGGGCAGGCCTTCAAGATGGGAGTAGGGGCAGCTGGAGAACCTATGAAGCTCCCAGTCCAAGATTCCCACTAGACAGCTCATGTGGAAAGCAGGTTTCTGAGAAGGGGTGATTTTCCATGGGCCATCCTCAGGGGATGAGACTGGCATCAGAGTAGAAAAAACGCACTCACCGAGAAGGGTGAAAATAGCTCACAGATCAGCAGGGTAAACGCACCCTGCTGGGCATGTCCACCTCTAAGCCAAAAGGACAAATAAGTTGGGAGGAAAAATTTTTTAAAGATCAGACAAAAACAAACTGTAGCATTTCTTAGAGTCCAGGTAACGTATCCACCAGCAGCTCAGAGATAAGCAAGAGTGTGGAGGTGCTTCCCTGGAGAAAGAGATGGCAGCGTGAGGGAATAGGTTAGGGAGACAAAAAGGCAAAGTGACAGTGAAATGTGTGTGTGTGTGGATTCACCCTAGATGCCAGGAACTTATAATGTGTTTATAACCAAGTTTACTTGGTCCCAAAGACTGGGGGTTTTATATTAGCCGAATGGGTCACAAGCTCTACTTTCATGGAAGGTTACATTGCTCCAGCAAACACCTTGACTTCAGAACACACCTTCCCTACTTCTACTCCTGCCTCTTTTCCATCCTGACTTGTGAATGTTGATGACTCCAGAGGAAGCTGACTGCTTCACACACTCATCAGGAAAAATGTGCTAGCTGCCTTTAGCCCGAATTAACATTATGCTTCTGATGTAAGCCTAAGAAAAGAGAATCTATTTTGACTTTCTTCTGTAAGCAAAAAGTGATCATTTGCTGATGGCTCCTTGTGCAATTCAAAAAGAAAATTATTAGATGTATGTAGGCAAGTACTGACTTGCAATGACAGTTTTTGCGAAGATGTAGAATGTATCAAGAATATATTGCTAGGAATTTTCTGTTTGTTTTCATTATCTAATGTGCACTAGGTTTGAGGGAGGTGAGTGTGTGTATATATGTGTTTCCATGTATGGAGAAAGTGCAAAGTTATTAACATTTTCATCTGCAGAAACTGATTGAAATTGTGTTCATTGACTCACAAGTAGGATCCATTACAGGGTGCTGGTTGACAATGTCTTCTGAAAAGCACATAATAAATGAGAAATTGTCATGCCCAAGGCAGCTGCAGCTGCTTCTTCTAGACAAGGGTTTTGATGGTCGGTTTTCAAGGGACCTGTCTTGAGTTGGAGGGCCCTCCAGGCTCCAGGGAAGGGTTTGATGATAGCCAATGGGTCACACTGTGGCTTATCACTTTCTCAGGAAAAGCTGTTCCCTTTTCTAAGTCCGCAAGGGACAAGATTATTGTGTAAGTGCTTCCAAGATGCTTTCATCTCGACTGTTTTTGTCTAAGGCTATTGGAAGGAGCTTTGCCAAGAAAAGCAAAGAATAAAATTGAAAGACACCCAGTGCTAACGTCCTAGGTTCCACAGGCATGGGTCTCAGGGACTGCAATTCTAAATGGGATGGCCTTCGAGAGGTCCTGGAGATGGGAGGAAACACATCAGAGAATGAGGCACAGCCAGGGGGACACTAAAGGGCCTCTGTGGCTACTTCTCTTGCCCAGGGCAGATCCTTCAGGCATGGGGGTTTTCCATTCTAGCCAGGAATGACAAATCCATCCAAAGGTTACATTTTCAGCCAGTGGAACAGTCGATTTTGTGCAAGTCCACAGGCTATGTGCATGTTGTTGACCACGCTGCCTCCCCTTAAGAGGCCCAATGCTTTCTCAATGTTCTTCTCTCCACTATAACGATGTCATGTGTTTCTCCGAGTCTGGTTTGCAGTCTCCCCGCTAGACCCTTTCCACTTACCCCTGTCTGTCCTTCACACTGGGACCAGGGGCACCTCTGTTTTGTATGAACAGACTCGCTTTTGTTGTTGACACATTCTTTGGACATCATTTTTCTATCCTTTATAAATTTCCATTCCAGCCAGGAGTGTCAGAATCTCTGCAGTGATAAATCCATCTAAAGGGTACATTCTGGCCAGGACCCACTGATGGCAAAATGGGTCAAGTGGGACATTTGTCTTCAGCATCTCTCTACCTCTCATCTGACAAACATCCTGTACCTGAGCTGCTTGTGGTATGCAAAGAACACCAAACACTTCTCTCTCTCCTTCCCCTTCTCCCATCAAAACCTATATATCCTGGGTACTAATCTCTCAGGGCCCTTTTAGGGGATGAAGTTAAAGGACAATAGCTTGTAAATAAGTGACACCTTCTCTACGGACACTTTGGTATTTAACAGGGGCTCTGAGTGCTTTGAGCTAAAATGGGAAGCAAAGTTGGCCTTTTAGGTTCTGAAGTAGATTAGAGTGGGGAAGAATTTTGGAACCATGGAAGGAGTGTAAGGGCCACTGCTTAGGATCCTTCATGTCATGCTTAGAGATGGATGTCCAGGAAACTACTGCCTTGAGAAATTCATGCTAAGTCCAGGACACTTAGCATAATATCTATTATGCTGAGAAAGCAGTGCAGCTTTTAAAAGTGGTTCAATAATTACTCTCAGACACAGAGTGTGTGTGCATGCGTGCATGTGTGTGTGCGTGTGTGTGTGTGTTAGCGTCACTATGCATGGTTATGCAGTTTGTGAACTGCAAAAGGGCTGCATGTAGGGGGGCACCATTCCTATGGCAAACATTAATGCATATCTCAGGTACGACAATCAACTGGCAGAGGCCATTTCTAATTGGGAGATGGGAAAGGTCAGTGCAGGTTTCAGTGAGAGACAGAGGCAGGTTCTAGCTCATCCCTCTTGGGCTCTCCCCTACTTCAAGGTCCTGATCATCTGCCCTATAACTTCAGGCTCAGCTGAAGAAGAAACTGCATCTTGAGTCTATTTCTCCCGCTCCTACGATTGCTTGCTCTACACCATCTTAATGGTCCTGTTCCTCTCACCGTGACTGAGACAGCCTGGCCTGAGACTGCCCACAGCTTCTCACCTCCTGCACTCCAGCCTTCCCGGCTCCTCTTTCTGTTCCTGGGAAATGCCACACACTGCCCCCTCCCACCCTAGAGCCTTTGCAATGCTGTGCCTTCAGACTACCCAGATCATATGAGAATATAACTTGACTCACACCCTTCAGCTACAAAAGAAAGAAAAAAGGGATGTCCCCAGTTTCTGATGAATAAAGTGTCAGACCCTTTTCCAGCCAAGACATGCCCAACATGCTTTGCCCCTTTCTAAGAGCATGTGGTTTCCTTTTCCTCTCCCCTATTGGACAGCTGGCTGAGGCTGTCACTGGGAGCTCCACCTTCTCTGAGCCACAAGGCCACCAGCTCCCTCGAAGCTTCACTCTTGGGAATTTGAACCTTGAGCAGAGGGACAAACAGCTGGATCCAACTAGAATTGCATCCTGGCCATGGCTGCCTGTGTCTGAGCTCGCAATTGGGGCAGAGCCTGCCCTCCAGCCTCCATGCTGCCTTAGTTCCTTCCTATTGGTGGGAACTTCCAAAATCCTTTCAATAAATTCCTCACTGCTGAAGCTACCCAGAATTGGCTATGGTCCTTGTTAATTATCAAAGAGTGTTCTTCATACCCTTGCCCTTCTTTTTCCTATTGCCAAATCTTACTCAACTCTCAAGATGATGTTGTGCAAATACTGCTGCCTCCACAAAGTCTTCCAGCATCTTTGCCCTCCCATCCCAGGCCAAAAGGAATGATCCTTCTTACTTTTTCTCTCCCACAGCCCTTTATCCTTCTCTGGCACTGTGTATCAGATAGTACCGTGTGTGAGCTCTGGATGAGGTCTTCGTTCATTTGTGGGTCCCAAAGGGCCCTTCACAGTGTCTTACACATGGTAGGTTCTCAGCAAAGCCTTGGTGGATGCATATTGAATTATTAACAGCTGGGGTGGCTGGGGCACATTATGTTCTCTCTGCTTCCTTGGCTAGCTCTGTGATTGTGTGAGTATCTCTTCTTGTTTCCTTTATTTTGAAGAAACGGAGGTATTCCTTGTTTACAAGTTTCAGAGAACTCTACCCAGTAGTATTATACTGGCTAGCTTTGATCTTGCAAACAGCTAAAAGAGTGATGATTTTAGGGGATAAAAATAAGCTGATGGCACAGAAATGTTACGGGCTCAATTGTACCCTGAAATGTAAATAGAGCTGGGTAAATGAGTTCTTATAATCTATGCCAGTTGGCAGTGGTCTTCCAGTTCACTTCCCACGCAGGTGAAGGCTCAGCATCTCACAGCTTCCCTTGCGTGTGTCTCTGTGATGCCAAGCACAGGGGCGAACAGCACCAGGCTGCTGAGGCTCTGGTGTTCAGTGCTCCAGGGCTCGGTGGAGCTGCTGAAAGAAAACAGCATCCATAGAGAATATGGGGGAGAAAGACAGAGAGAACAAAGCCTTTCCTGTTTCAGATTGAGAAGACATGTTTCAGGCAAATTGAGCAACCGAAAAGGCATATTTTCTTTCAGACTCTTTAAATTCTTACAGGAAAATTAGAGGAGACATGGAAAATTCAAAGCATGCCATGCCTCCATGAATTGAATCATGTTATCTGATTTGAAGACTGCAAGGTTATTAATACTTTTATTTATACTAGCTCATGAAATTAGTTGACTTTGGAATATATCTTTGTTAAAGTGAAGTGGAATGATGAGTGATCTGGGGACAGGCAGAACATCACCATGACTTTTGAACACATCACTTGGGTTTGTCTCATCTTGTCTAGTGCCTTGCATGTCACAGAACATTGAATTTGGAAGGAAACCTAAAAATTCTGTTATGTGTCAGAAACTATTTTATTGGGAAATTGGCCTTTTAAAAATTACAAACTTCACTTCCTTTCAAGGACATTTTAGCTTGGCGTTGGCTTTACTCATTCATATGTGTACTGCTACAAGAACATCTTGGGTATGGTAGAAAATAAATGCAATGTACACTTTTCCCCAACTTTCCATGACATATTGAAGAGCAATGACACAGTGTAAAGAAATTTAGATGAACTGTACTTCATGTCCTAGACCATTTCGGGAAAGACTATCCCAGAGTCTTCACAAAAACCTCAATAAGACATTGTTTTCAAGATGATATTGCCTGTTTGTGGTACTAAACTGATCTTTACTGAGAGTGCCTCTCATTGACCAACCCAATTAGAAACTTGAATTGTGATGATGGCACTTCAGGACCAGTAGGGCCCCTCCTGATCATCTTTCCTCATGGCTTCACATCGTCACTTGAATCTGCTCTTCTTCCAGTGTCTTCAGCTCAGTAAATGGCCTGCCTTTATCCCATTGCCAGCATGTGATCCTCAACGTTCACCTAACAAAACCCCCAGTCGAACTGTATCTTGCACCCATGTCTCCCTTCTCACTCTCATTCATAGTCCAAGCACCATCATCTCTACCCTAGACTATGGCCATGGCATCCCAGTTGCTGTCCTCATTTTTTTCTCTTCTTCCTCTTCCTTTCTCATCCATTCTACATACAGCAGCCTAGGCTATATTTTAAGACACCAGTCTTACTGTGTCTTACCCCTGCTTTTCACCCATCAGTGGATTCCTCTGTGATACTTTAGCATGGCCCCCAAGGCCCAGCATCTTCTGGCCCCTCTTTCGCTCTGTATCACATACCATGCATTCACTCTACCCATGCCTTAGCCATGCAAACTTTCGCTGTGTTCCTCAATGTGCCAAGACTCTGCCAATTCAGGACCTGCGTTTATGCTGTCCTTTCTACCTGGGACTATATAGATCCCGCTACTTTGCCTCAAGCCTCCAGCCCTCCACAAACTTTCCTGGATACCCCATTTTCAATCACTGATCTTACCTTAAATGCCGGTTCCTCAGAAATACCACCCTGAATACTGAGATTAGATTCCTTCTGTTAGATGTACCTAGAGGAGGGGCAGTAAACTTTTTCTATAAAGGGTCAGAGAAAAAATATGTTTGGCTTTGCTGGCCATACGGTCTCTGCAGCAACTACTCAACTCTGCAATTGTAGCAGAAAGCAGGCATAGACAATATGTACATGAATAAGCATGACTGTGTTCCAATAAAACTTTATTTACAAAACCAAGCAGTGGGCCAGATTGAGACCAGGAATCATAATTTGCCAATCCATGCCTAGAGCATCCTATCTCTTTGCATTGTACTATTTATAACAATAAGTAAGTAAGTAATTGTATTTGCATAATTATGGGTTAATGCCTGTCTTTGCTCCCCGGAGTTCTTTTTCATGAAGACAGATCAAAACTGCCTTGCAGCCTCCAGCAGGGACAGTAGACACCCAGATAAAACAGTGACTTAAGCCAAGCTAGTTTGCCCAGTCAGGCTTTATCCTAAGTCTTTAGCTTGAGCAATGGGAAAGGGGCCTTTATTCTTTCCTATAGAAGACAATAACTTGAGTGTATGGAAAAGCTGAGCTGCTGCAACGATCTTGGCATCAGTAGAAACTGAGAATGGAACCAGCACTGAGAAGTAGATCTGAGAAATTAAGAGAAACTAACTGGATTATTGCTATATCATTCAGGCCCCAGATCAAGCCCTATCTGACTTAATCTATCTAGTTCTTTTTTTTGAGACAGAGTCTCACTCTGTCTCCCAGGCTGGAGTGCGGTGGTGCGATGTCGGCTCACTGCAACCTCTGCCTCCTGGGTTCAAGTGATTCTCCTGCCTCAGACTCCCAATTAGCTGGGATTATAGTCACACACCACCACACCCAGCTAATTTTTGTATTTTTAGTAGAGATGAGGTTTTGCCATGTTGGCCAAACTGGTCTCGAACTCCTTACCTCAGGTGATCCACCCACCTTGGACTCCCAAAGTGCTGGGATTACAGATGTGAGCCACCATGCCTGGCCTTCTAGTTCTTGATTCTAAAGTTTCATGAGTCAACATATTCTCATTTTATTAAACACATTTTAATTAACATTTTCTGTGGCTTGCAGAAATATGCATAATATCTGATATTTTCTCATTTGTACAGTGGAGATAATAAAACATTAACTTGAAGGGCTGTTGTGAGCATTTAGAAATACACATAAAGATGCCTAACTGTATATTGCACACAGAAACCATTCATGTTTGTTAAATAAATGGGTAACTATTCTTATGAGCAAATACATATATTTTATGAAGCACTGTTTATCATAATATGCCTTTATCACACACCTTGCCCCATTTATGATTTTGATTATGGAAAGTTTTGACATTATTGTCAGTTGGTGAGCAATCAAACTGGAGCGATAATCTTAATATGTAGTACAAGGCACCATGAAAAGGAAATGCAAATTACAAAAATTGGTTTTAGCCACAATTTCAGGAATGTATACCGTATTTGTTTGTTTTCATGCTGCTGATAAAGACATACACGAGACTGGGTAATTTTTAAAGAAAAAGAGGTTTAATGGACTCACAGTTCCAAGTGGCTGGGTAGGCCTCCCAATCATGGCAGAAGATGAAAGGCATGTCTTACATGGTGGCAGGCAAGACAGAATGAGAATCAAGTGAAAGGGGAAACCCCTTATAAAACCATCAGATCTCGTGAGACTTATTCACTACCACGAGAACAGTATGGGGGAAACCGCTCCTATGATTCAATTATCTCCCACTGGGTCCCTCCCACAACATGTGGGAATTATGGGAGCTACTATTCAAGATGAAATTTGGGTGGGGACACAGCCAAACCATATCACATACCTTGTCTAAAAAGAGGCTCGCTGACCAAAGAAGATATTAAAATGGTGAGTAAGCATATTAGAAGGAGTCCAACATTATATGTCATTAGGAAGTTGCAAATTAAAATAACAATGAAGTATCTCATTGTTGCAAATTAAACTACACACCTTTGAACAAAGTCCCAAACACTGACAACATCAAATGCTGATGAGGATATGGAGCAGCAGGAATGCTCATTCATTGCTGATGGGAATGCAAAATGGATAGCCACTTATGCAGTTTGGCAATTTCTTACAAAACTAAACATGCCCTTACTATATGATCCATCTAGCATGCTCTTTGGCATTTACTCAAATGAAAACTTATGTCCATACAGAAACCTGCATATAGATGTTTATAGCAGCTTTCTCATAACTGCCAAAACTTGGAAGCAACCACATGTCCTTCAGTAGTTGGATGGATAAATAAACGGTGGTATGTCCAGACAATGGAATATTATTCAGCACTAAAAAGAAATGAGCTATCAAGCCATGAAGAGACAGGGAAGAAATGTAAATGCATTTACTAGTGAAATTAGCCAACACAAAAGGCCACATACTCTATGATTACAACTATATGACATCCTGGAAAAGGCAACACTATGGAAACACTAAAAAGATCAGTGCTTGCCAGAGGCTGGGGAAAGACAGAAATGAATAGGCAGAGCACAGATGATTTGTAGGGCAGTGACACCATTCTGTATGATACCATAATGGTGGGTACACATTATTTTACAATTGGTCAAAACCTATAGAATGTGCAATACTAAGAGTGCTCCCTAATGTAAACTATGGACTTTGGGTGATAATGATATATCAATGTAGGTTCATCACTTGTAACAGAGGGTACCAGTGTGGTGTGAGACAGCAATAGTTGGGGAGATATATGTGGAGGCAGAGAGTATAAGGGCCCTTTCTGTACTATCTGCTCAATTTTGCTGGAATCCTAAAACTTCTCTAAAAATAAAGCATATTAATTAAAACATAAAATGTATTTTAAAAAGAGGCTTGCCCATATCACGGTTCAAATAAGATGTATTTAATAATAAATTTTTTTCTAGGCACATCTCTTCAAAAAATTCTTCCCCCAAAGAGATTATTTCCGAAGAACCAGAAAAGAAAAAGAAGGAAAAAATAAAACAACCAAACCTCCACACATGCCTGAGGATTGAGCAAACTGTGTCTTTGGTACCAGGGTTTTAATGAGTTTGAAGAGAATAGAATTTGTTTGCTTTTGTCTTACAGCCCAGGTACATGAATAACCATTGACTGAAGCTTGCAGACATAGAAACAGTGAGAGTTCATCTGACTCAAGGAACAGTCATATGAATCAGTATGGAAGAAAGATGACAAGACCAAAGAAAAAAGCACCGCCTAAAATATAAACTGGAGCCAATTTTTCCCTATCCTAAGCCATTGACTGGCCCTTCAGTTAGAATCAATCCCTAAGTTCTTACCAGTACTGAAGAAGCCCTGTGTGAGCTGGTCCCAGGCTACCTCTCCAGTCTTCTTCCCCACCACTCCCTCCCTGCCACGCTGGCCTCCTGGTTGTTGCTGCTTCAGGGCCTTTGCACTTGCCTGGAAAGCTCTCCTCCTCTTGCATGACTTTCTGTCGCTTCATTCTAGTCTTTGGTCAAAAGTCACTTCCACAGAGAGCCCATCCTTGGTCACAAAACTTAAAATATAACCTCCTTCCAAACTCTCTATTCCTCTACACTGCTTGATATTTCTTCACAACATTAATCACTAGCTGATCCTATTCCATGTCGCTTTGTTCAATTGCCCCATGTCTGTCTTCCCCACATGTTTTGCATATGAGCTCCTGAGGACAACCTCAGCATCTGAGCTGGGCTCAACCTCAGCATCTTACCTCAGTATCCTCACCTCAGAATCTACAACAGTGCCTGATACATGGTAGCAACTCCATAAATATTTATTGATTGAATTTGGTGCAAACAATTTCTATGTGCCAACTTGGCAATCACATTAAGTTTATTGTTGGATTTTTTGACAATAAAAAGAAATAGCAGTTACTACAGACCTCCCTGGAACAGCTCACGTGTCTCCAATGACAGAGGCATAGGTGGCTGAGAGTGCAACCTACCTTATTTATTCCAGATCCAACTCAAACACTCATAATGTAAAGAATATCACATGCTTCCTTATGGCACTGAGACATACTTTTCAAGTGGATTAGCTTGTAAGAGTCAGATAATCCTCCTGGGTTGGATAAATAGATCTTATAGAAATTCCTGGGGCGCATGCTACATAAGGCCTTTCACTAAAATTAAATTAGCAACAAAATGAGCTTTACTTAGGGGTAAATTAATGTGTGTGTGTGTTTTTTTTAACAAGCTGTTTTAAATAATCACAATCTGAGAGGTAGGGCCTTTCTTAGACACACGTGGTGTTTCACATGCCTCATTGCAATCCCCGTGCCCTCACCCTAGGGAGTGAGGCAAGGAGAGGCAGGCTAGAGTTCTCCAAGGGGCATTAGCCATGTTTGCAAAGGAAAGCAGATTTGGGATTTATAAGAAAGAACCTAAGAATTGCAAGGTTTAGGAAAACGACTTGCTTAAGTTGGCATCTATAACAACATGAAACATGCACACCTCCCACCCCCTAACACACAGAAGCTGAGATTTTGATTATATCATATCTCAGCAGAGTTTGTCAATAGCTATCAGTGGGGCAGTGACCTTACCCAGGGCACATCCACAGAACAATACTAAAGTTTGCTTCTTTACTACAAAAATGTCGGTCCTGGTAAGGTCAGCCAAAGCACCTTCTTCTCCCTCAGGTGCAGTACTGTATCTACTCTTGACTGAATCACATAACTGTGCAAATATTTTACTTTCATATATCATCTGTAGCAAGTGTAATACTGAGATTTAAAGGTAAATAGCTGGAGAAATTGCAGTTGCATTGTCAGACTGACATTCCTATCATCGCAAATCAAATTTTGCTGTGTGCAGCCAAAAGCAAATAGTGGTTTTTAGACACAGCCTTTTTTATGGGCTCTTTCAGATCATATATACAAGGCTGTGGTTTTGGTCAACAAGTAATGAGGTAAAAATACATTTTGTAAGGATTATTCTCAGCTAAGGGGTTGAACTCTTCAATTTAGCATCACATTCTCTTCTCAACTAGAAGGAGTTAGAACTAAATTGGGGGGAATTAACATTCTCGTGGTGACTTAGGAAAAGGAAAAGAGTAGATTTAAATTGGAATCTTAAAGCATGGTTAGCTCCTGAAAGGAGGTGGTTTAACATGTCGTGTCTCTCATCTCAGCAGATGTCTCAACTGAAGTGTTCAGGCCTGGGCTGTCATTTTTCTGTGATGATGAGTGACATTTTCCAAATGTGAAGGTACTAATCAGGATGAAGAATCATTCATTGAATCAATTCATCCATCCATCCATCCATCCATCCATCCATCCATCCATCCAACCATCCGTCCATCCCTCCATCCATCCATCCATCCATCCACTCATCCATCCACCCACCCATCCATTCACCCATCCACTCATCCATCCATACATCCATCCATCTGTCATTTGAGACCAGCCTTGAGCCAACCTCTGTGCTAGAATTTGGGGATATAAAACATCCCCCCAACCAGTTATTTATGTAAGTATCAGGATAAATGACACATGGGCACTGATGAATATGAAGTAAATGTATTACACAGTTAACAGTAAAAGGATTCCCCGAGGAGAAAGGCTCAGGTCCAGTATGGAATGAAGCAAGAGCGAAGCCACATGGGCGATTTGAGGGTGTCACTAGGGTGGAGTTTCCTCAGCACTGTCTAGAGGCTGTGCTATTTGAAATCCACAGAGTGTCCAGGCATTTCTCTTATTGGGTCACACAGGTGATTGGGGAAGGGGCACACGCAGAGAGTGAACCTGGGGAGGTTGTCAGTGGCCAAATGCCAATCATGGAGTCAGCAGCTTTATTACACATGTTCAGGGTAATGTGATGTGGTGAGAGGTTAGGCCCAGGCCACATGCTTCATACTGAGCCAGGTACCAAGATGCTGGCAGCACATGAGCGGAGGGTGAGGGCAGGCTCAAGGTCATGTAGGCAATAAGGGCAGAGTAGCATTTGACACATGGCCCAGCTCTCTCCACAATCCCTGTTTTCCATATGTACTCAGTCCTGATGAATCCAGCTTATCATCTCGGTCTATCTGTCCAAGAAGAGCTAAAAGCATTGTATGTTGAGTTTCTTAGGCTCTGGCAACTTTGCAAACTTCAGAAGTTTGTAAGCAGGAAGTTTTGAATATTCTTCAATCTCCTTTCATATTCTATCCCATATAAATAAGGCTTTATTTTTACCCAACTCATACATGGATTCAGGAAGTAGCCAGGTCTTCCAGCCTGAAAAGAGATTTAGAAGGCCCTCAGCACTTCTAAAGGGAGTGATATGGGTGAGATAGTTATCTCTCCATTCCGTTCCGTTCCGTTCCATTCCATTCCATTCCATTCCATCCCATTCCATTCCATTCCATTCCATCCCATTCCATTCCACTCCACAAGGAGTGACTGAGTACCTAGTTGATTCCTGGCAGAGTGGAGGTTGCACTATGATTAAGACATATTTTCTGCTATCCATAGGGTAGGAAAGACATTCATCTATAGGGCATAAATACAGCATATGGTACAGATAACAACATATGAGTCTTGGTGCAAGACAGTCTGACTCCTACATCAGAAGGGAAAAGGCCAGACACTCATTTTCCCAGCCTCCCTTGAAACTATCAAGTGGCATATTGACCTAGACCCCAGTGGTCAGATTCAACCATCCTAGACTTTTCAACTCTTGGTTCAGACAACTAGGGACAACCAAGGATTCTTTCTGAGAGAGAAGAAGGTGAAGGCATGATGCACGTACCCACTGTAGTAATGACAATGATGTTAATGACAGCAATCAGGGCTAGGGGTTAGGTTGATGGTATAAGTGATGTCATCAAGTCTCCTAAATGAAGCAGTTCTGTGGCTTGAAATGAGGCACATAGATTACAGAGGCACATGTCATCACATATCTTGGTACATACATTAAACTGGGATGTAATAGTACATTCCAAAGATTTGAAGAACTGCCCTAAATCCCTTTTTTAAGTGACATTTAAAATCAGCTTTATTGAGATATAATTGGCATATAATACACCACACATACTTAAAGTGTACAATGGGACAGTTTGACATACATATGTACACCTGTGAAATGATCATTACAATTAAGATAAAGACAGACCTGTAAAAGTTTCTTCAGACCTTTGATCTTCTAGCAGATCAGCTGCATTTTCTAGAACTTTATATAAATTAAATCATACAGTGCAATGGACAGAGTGAATGTCTGTGTCCCTTCCAGATGCATTTGTTGAGATCTTAACCCCTAACAAGATGCTATTAGGACGTGGGGCTTTTGGAAGGTGAGTAATCTTGAGG
The DNA here is from genome assembly GCF_000001405.40 of Homo sapiens. NCBI lineage: Eukaryota > Metazoa > Chordata > Mammalia > Primates > Hominidae > Homo > Homo sapiens. Next base: position 118,180,729 of record NC_000010.11, on the reverse strand, counting down.
GTGGTCGCATGTTCTCACTCATAGGTGGGAATCGAACAATGAGAACACTTGGACACAGGGCGGGGAACATCACACACCGGGGCTTGTTGTGGGGTGGGGTGCTAGAGGAGGGAGAGCATTAGGAGGAATACCTGATGTAAATGACGAGTTGATGGGTGCAGCAAACCAACATGGCACATGTATACCTATGTAACTTATAAGTGGGAGCTAAGCATTGGGTACTTGTGGACATGTACCCCAGAACTTACAGTGTAATAATAAAAAAAAATCATGAGGGTGGAGTCCTTGTGAATGGGATTTTTACTGTTACAAAAGGGATCCAAGAGAGCTCTCTCACCCTCTTTTAGCCATGTGGGGACACAGCTAGAATATGGCTGGCTATGAATCAGGAAGCAGGTCCTCATCACACACTGAATCTTCAGGCACGTTGATCTTGGACTTTCCAGCCTCCAGAACTGTGAGAAATAAATTTCTGTTGTTTAAGCCACCGAATCCATGATATTCTATCATAGCACCTCCAACTGACTAAAAAATACAGTGTGTCTTCTTTATTTGTCTGGTTTTTTCAGTCAGCATTAATATTTCAAGATTTATCCATGCCATTGAGTGAATCACTAGTTCACTCCTTTTCATTGCTGAGTAGTATTCCTTTATATGAATATACCAGTTTGTTTACCCACTCACATGTTGATAGACACACTTGGGTTGTTTCCAGTTTTGGTTATTACAAATAAAGCTTCTATAAACATTTATGTATACACCTTTCTATGGACATATGCTTTCATTTCTCTTAGGTAAATAGGAATAGCTAAATCATATGGTAAATGTTTAATGTTTTCAGAAACTTGCAAACTGTTTTCCACATTGATAGTACCATTTTACATTCCCACCAGTAGTGTACAATCAGTCTTTACTTTAGCCATTGTAATAGGTGTACAGTGGCATCTCACTGTGATTTTAATTTGTATCTCACTAATGACTGTTAACACCAAACATATTTTTTTTTCAACTTTTATTTTAGATTCACGGGGTACATTTGCAAGTTTGTTACCTGGTTATATTGCATGATGCTGAGGTCTAGGGTACAAATGATGCCATCATCCAGGTACTGATCGTAGTACCAAATAGTTTTTCAGCCCTTGCCTCTATCCATCCCTCTCCCCTCCAGTAGTCCCCCATTTCTATTTTTGCCATTTTTATGTCCACAAGTGCCCAATGTTTAGCTCCTACTTATAAGTGAGAACATGCAGCATTTGGCTTTCTGTTCCTGCATTAATTTGCTTAGGATAACGGCCTCCAGCTGCATCCATATTGCTACAAAGGATATTATTTCATTCTTTTTATGGCTGTGTAGTATTCCATGGTATATATGTACCACATTTTCTTTAGCCAATCCATCACTAATGGGCACCTAAGTTCATTTCAGGTCTTTGCTACTGTGACTAGTGCTGCAATGAACATGTGAGTGCATGTGTCTTTTTGATAGAATGATTTGTTTTCTTTTAGCTGTATGTCCAGTAATGGGATTGCTGGGTCGAATTGTAGTTCTGTTTTAAGTTCTTTGAGCAATCTCCAAACTGCTTTCCACAGTAACTGAACTAGCTTACATTCCCACCAACAGTACATAAACATAATGTTGAACATCTTTTTATGTGTTTATTTGGGTATATGTATCTTCTTTTGTAAAATGTCTGTCCACATTGTTTTGCCCTTTTCAATTGGGTTGTTTATTTTCTTATTATACAGTTTTGAACACTTTTTATATATACACATGCCCTTTATCAGACATGGATTTTGCAAAGATATTCTCTGAGTCCATGGTTTGGGTTTTATTCTCTTAATAGTATTTTCTAACAGCAAGAGTTTTTAATTTTGATGAAGTCCCAATTTAATCATTGGGTTTTCTATGGATCATGCTTTTGATGCATATCTGAGAACTCTGCCTAACCCAGAGCCACAAGGGTTTTCTATTTTTAAGGAGTTTTATAGGTCAGATTTTAAATTTGCACCAATGATCCATTTTGAGTTAATTTTTTAGATGGTACAAAGGTATGCATCGAAGTTCATTTCTTTGCCTATGTATATCCAACTGTCCCACCACTTTTGGTGAAATAGATTCTTTCCACTAAATTGCCTTTGCACCATTATGAACACGCAGTTTTTCACATATGTGTGAGTCCATTTCTGGACTCTCTTCTGTTCTATTGATCTATCTTTATGCCAATACACATTCTCTTAATTGCTGTAGCTATATAGTAAGCCTTAAAACCTTTTTTTCCAAGCTGTTTCAGCTATTCTAGGTTCTTCATATTTCCATATAAATTTTAGAATAAGTTTGTCAATTTCTACCCCAAAAAGACTACTTGGATTTAAATTAGAATTACATTAAATCTACAGATTAACTTGCAGAGAATTGCATTCTTAAAATTGTTGAGTGTTTCAACCCGTAAGCACTCTGTATCTTTCCATTTATGTATGTCTTCCATAATTTCTCTCAGCAATATTTTGTAATTTTCCATGTCAGGTCTTTCACATCTTCTGTCAGATTTATTCTTATGTATTTCATAATGTTGATGCGATTATAAGTATTATTTTAATTTCCAGTTATTTGTGTCAAGTTGTTTTAATTATAATTGCTATTGTTTGAATTATATAATCTTCAAGTAATTATAGAAATACTATTAATTTCTCTATGTTGATCTTATGTCCCAAGGATTTACTAAAATCGCTTACTAGTTTAGTAGCTTTTTACAACATTCCATTGGATTTTCTACGTAGACGATAGTGACATCTGTGAATAAAGAGCATTTTACCCCTTTCTTTACAATCTGGATACTGTTTATTTCTTTTTCTTGTCTCATTTCATTGTCTAGAAGCTCCAGTAAAATGTTGATTAAAAGTGATGAGAGACAAAGTGATGAGCAGTAAGACATCTTTGTTTTATTCCTAATCATAGGGTGTGATGGCTAGTTTTATGTGTCAACTTGGCTGGGCTATGGTATCCAGTTAGTCAATCAAAGACTAATGTAGGTGTTGCTGTGAAGGTATTTTATAGATGTAGTTAACATCTGCAAGCAGTTGACTTTAAGTAAAGGAGATTATCTTTGATAATATGAGTGAGACTAATGCAATCCAAGTTGAAAGGTCTTAAAGAGAAAGACTGAAGTTTCCCGAACAAAGAAGAAATTCTGCCTCAAGAATGTAGTAGCATCAGCTTCTGCTTAAGAGTTTCCAGTCTGCTGGCCTGCCCTATTCAAACTTGCCAGTCCCCACAATCACATAAGCCAATTCCTTGAAATAAATCCCTGTAGATATATATCTACTATATATCCATCTGATATATAGATACCTATGTCTAGATACCTGGCTGTAGATATAGATAAAATAGATATAGATATCTCCGACTGGTTCTGTTTTTCTGGAGAACCCTAACTGATTCAGTCTTTCATCATTAAGTATAATATTAGTTGTAGGTTTTCTCAGATGCCTTTTAATCAGAGAAAATGCCCCCTGTTTCTAGTTAGCTTAGACTTCCTGAAAAGGAATAAATGTTGGATTTAGTCAAATGCTTTTACTGCATGTATTAAAATAATCAGATTGTTTTCTTTTCAAATTTGTCATATGGTGAATTATAGTGATTGATTTCCAATGTCAAACCAGTCTCACATGGTGATCATGATGTGATATATTTTTAATATATTGTTGGATTCAATTTGCTAAAATTTTGTTTAGAATTTTTGCATCTAAGTTTATGAAAGAGATTGGTCTGTAGTGTTCCTTTCTTATAGTGTCTTTGTTTCGGTTGGTATGAGAGTAATGCTGGTCTCATAGTTGGGAAGCATTACATCCTTTATAATATTCTTGAAGAATTTTTATAGCATTAGTATTATTTGTTCTTTAATACAGAATCCACGGTTGAAGGCATTCAAGCCTCAAGTTTTCCTTGAGGGAAGGTTTGTAGCTACAAATTCAATTTCTTTAGTAAGTGTAGGGCTAAACAGATTATCTAATTCTTCTTAAGTGAACTTTGATAGTTAATATTCTTCAAGGAATGTATTCACTTCATTTAAGCTGTGACATTTATTGGCATAAAATTCTTCATATTATTACCTTACTATCCTTTTACTATCTGTAGATTCTGTAGTGATGTCACCTCTCTCATTCCTGACATTGGTAGTTTGTGGTTTCTCTCTTTTTTTGCTGATCAGTCTGGCTACAGATTTTTCAATCTTATTGATCCTCTCAAATGACAAATATTTGTTTTATTAATCGTCTCAATATTTTTTTCTGTTTTTATTTCATTCATTTCCGCTCTGAGCTTCCTTATTTCCTTTCTTCTCATTATTATGGGTTTAATTTGCTCTTCCTTTTCTAGTTTCTTAGGTGGAATGTGAAGCCATTAATTTAAGACCTTTCTTTATTCTAATATAAGTATTTATGCTGTTAATTATTACAGTTTTTTTGGTTAATTTGCGTTTGTTAATTTGTGCTCTTAATTGTTATAGTTTTACAGTATTGTCTTTGTGTGCTTCAAGGAGGGTATAGTGGAGCTGGCTTTTACTAGTCCATAAAAGCTAATTCTGTCTCTTCTCAACTCTATGTTCAGTAATGTCTCATTGGTAGCTTGAAATTGATCCATGCTGGGAGTATTTACACCACACAAATTGGTAAACACTGCATATTGGGGCTTTTTGTTGTTTTTTGTTTGTGTTTTTCTTACAAGTCAGTTTACCAGCACACCATTGGGGTTAGTTCTTCTTCATAAATGTTTTCTTACATTATTGTTTACTATTCACATGTATCATACCATAAACTTTAGGATATTTTTATTTAAGATTTCTTAGCATTGTATTCAAGCTAAATTTAATTTGGAAAGAATTCACATCTTCCATGACATTCAATCTCCTCATTCTGATAAAATATTCATAACTATTGACATACCTCCTCAAAAATGGTTGATAGTTTTCTTTGTATGGGTCACCTAAATTTTATGGACTACACTAGTAATAGTATTCTAGACTGAGATTGTGATAAAGTTGCAAAATGATTGACTCAAAAAGAAATGAGAATGAGAAAAAATATATGAGGACGTTCCTTAGAAAGTTGGGTTCCACGCTCATCTTGTGCCGACAACACTGACTCATCTAAATTCAAAGGAGCAAATGAGAAGCAATGTCTGGGATGCTCATTCTCAAAAAACTGAACCAAGAGATAGAAAACTGGTCCTATGAGGTAAAAGCAAAGGATCTTGATGCTTTGTCCTAAAGAGGAGAAGGCTAACGTATAATCTGATAAAAAATACAGAGAGTGTTCTAAAAATATGCTAAGGAGTTTATCCAAGAATGAGCACTTGCTGGAAACAATGAAGAAGAAACTTACGCAATAGTTACAGTTGAATGGATGAACTATTCAGGTTCTGCTAATTCTGATGGGCTAAGAGTTCAATTCTCTTTGACTATGGTGAACAAACAAGAAGAAGCTAACTGACATCAAAGTAAAAGACTCAGTTCAGTGTAGGGAGAATTCCAACTCTCTTAATGCAAAAGCAAATGGAGAACCAACAGAAACAACCAACAAAACACTGGAAAGGGGGTTGAAGGAGGCTGGGTGCTCTCCAACTCTGTAGACTGTTTAGCAGTTCTCTTGAATAGCTCAGAACAGTGGCAGCAAACTGGAAGATGATGGTCTCCGTTTGGCAACAGACATATTTTATTCATCTGGCAAGGTAGCACTCGAAAACAAAATGACACCTGTATGTCTCAGGTGCCTGGGGAAGGGGTACATTCTCCTATTTGCCATACACCTGCTGTCTACTGATTAAAATATTTTGGCTACAAGGTCTGCTGTAGTCATTTCTATCACCTGGTTGGCTCTGGGGGCAGACACATTTGAAGCCTCTGGCTTAAGCAGTCAGTGCTCTGAATTTTATATACTAAATCCCAACTTCAGTCTTGAAATTATAAAATTCTAAACATAGGATTTTAAGCTGAAAGTTATTACCACACCTTGGATTTTTAGTCTTTTTTTGATACTTGCTAACATGGATTCATGCTCATAACAATGATTCAAAAGTAGTATTTAGCAGTAGGTAATGTTTTCTGGCCTCAGTTGGAAGTGGTAACATTTTCACCTTCAGAGATGAGTTTGCTAAGCCATTATTTCAGTTGATTATTCCATTAAGTATTGAATGATGAGGCCCATACATCAATAGTGAGTAAACATTAATTTACATATTCTTAAAATATATTTCTTTAAAAATTCCAAATAAATAAAACAAGATACTTAAAAATACATTTCCAGATAATAAAATAATCTTTGTTTTCTACATATGGAGAAGTCTGGAGCCATTTTGACCATCACATTAAGAAATGGATAAATCAGAGTTCTAAAAGTTCAACTATTTTGAAGGCAGAAAATGGACTTCTAAAAATCCATCCTGATTTAGTAAATCACAATTATTGAACTTCTGACCATGGTTTCTGATCTTTTGCATCCAAGAGTAATGCAAATGAAAAGAAAAATAGCGCAGAACTGAGAACAGCAACTCCCCAGAGGTCTGCGTCTGAGGTTCAATCTATTTGGCAGGTTTCTTGTCTCTCTTGCCCTTATCTTCTTAGCTTCAACTTGGAATGAGAAAGTAAGGAGAGAAGAGGCCTCATGAAGAGCAAATGTCACACCCTCAACATGGCTTTAATATTTACTATATTGAAAACAATATAAACTGAAGTTAAAGAAACTGTTTTATTTTCTTTAGATGGAACAGCAGAATTCCACACACAGTGTTTTGAAATCCAGAGCCTCCTAAATAAGAGTTTAAAGTTATTTCTTGGTACTCGTTTAAGGAGTTTTGGACAGGGTCATATTTTGAACATATGTATAAGACAGCATTCCATAATTGATTTATTAACATATGAGGTCATGTTTATGATTTCTTTCTGAAATATTTAAAAGCAAACTATAACTGTATAATCCTATAAAATCTATTCATCACAAACCTGCTTCAAAAGTTCATAAAAAGCACAAAAAGAGCCAGCATATTGTATTTAGTTACGGTTGAAGTTTGTACTCCAAAGGATAAATGAATACGATTTGTATTTGCTATGGATCAGGCTGTGTTTTATTCACATTGTATTACATCTCAGGAGAGAGTTTGCTAAATAAGTCCAAATGGCAGAGATTCAGAAATCCAGAAAAATGCAAACATCACATTTTTTTTTTCATGGTGGACAAGACAGGAATGATTAAGAAATCCTTTAGAAACTATTACATTTTCAAATGTTTTCAAAAGGCCACAGAATTCCTAAAAGCTAAATCTCTTCCCATTCCATTCATCTTTAACTACCCTGTCATTGCATGTGATCTTTAGAAAATATAATGTGCATACTTTGCTCTGCTAAACCCTTTTAATTTAGGTTTCATGCATCCTTTATATTCAGATACATTACTTGTCATACCCTGCTGATCCCAATGGTTACCAAAGAAAACTAAGACCCTATGTTAGCTCAAAGATAGGGCAGGACATTTCTCCAAAAAAAGTATGTGTTAATAGCATACTTCTTTTATTGAGGGTCCCTGGAAGAGGTGATATATTGAATCAAAGTTACTCTAAGTTGTAAACATTTTTAGATCTCTTTCTGAGAAAAGTTTTTTACTGGAGCAGATGGCAGAGATCTGGCACTTCTAAGAGCCCTTAGAAGGAGAAGGAGAAAATTTGTAGAGAATGGGGTAAAATATCAAGAAAGGAGAGGCTTGGGGTATCAAAAACAATCAGCCTATTTCACAGATTTCCTGAGATGACTTAGGAAAGTAAAGGAAGGTAAAGAATGTGACTTTATCTGAGCACAACTAAATGCAGGGATAGTGCTATTCTACAGCTGGTCCTGTTTAATACAATTGTAATCTTCAGAGGCTATCGTTTTATCTTGTTGATATGAAAGCATAATTTTTAAGTGGATAAAATCATGGCACTTGTGCAAAGATACACTTGTTAAAGGTTTTATTTAACTCATTAGTTAATGAGAGAACGAGTCAGATGTAACAGATACAGGAACGATCCTTTGAACAGGAACATAAAAAAGCAATCAAGAGTGCTGAAATAAATTTGCTAATGGACATAAAACTGGTCAATATCCACATGGTAATAATCAGTTGCATCTCTACCAGGGTAAAGATCATTTGTATCTGTATGGACAAGAATCACCGGCATCATTATTAGTTTCCTGCAATTTACAGAGCTGTAAAATAGCTCAAACACCACAAAAGGTATAGAACCCAAAAGAATCAGATAACCTAGCTAGAGGATCTGTTCAGACCAGATTTCTCAATCTCATTTTAGTCCAGATAATTTTTTTGGGGGGGCAGTGGAAGGCTGTCCTGTGCATTATAAGGTGTTTCACACCATCCCCACCTTCTATGCACGGATTCCAGGAGCAATCCAAAATGTGACAACGAAAAATGACTACAGAAATTGCCAAATGTCCCCTAGAAGGAAAATCATCCAGAGTTTGGACACTGGTTTAAATAATGCTCAGTATTCCATTGAAAGGACACTAATAAATTCTGCCCATTTCCAGTCTTCTGCAGTTTTTCCAGGCAGAATGAGATTCAGAAAAGTTAAGTACCTTGGCCAAGATTCCAGAGGTGGTGGAATGGACTTCAAAACTATTTCCAACTCCAGAGCATATTTATTTTCATTCCACCATTCTGAAAATAGGAATTGATGACATGTAGCTCCTTACATGAAATGTTCTCTTAGTACTTATAATGTAAATAATCGTGAATCTTCTTGCTCTTGCCTTTAGAACCATTTTTGCTTGGTGTCAGCATTAAGAGAAACACAAATCTAACTCTAAAGGGCTAGAAAACTAATATCTTCACTGAAGTCTCTTAAAAAATGGAGGAAATTAGAATTTCCTCGCAAAGTAAATAGCAAAACTTTAAAAAGCCCTTTGTAGGCATCTCCCTGCTGAAAGAAGCTCCACTTATCTTTGTAACTGCTCCCCTAATATCTCTTTGGACTCGCTGAAACTCCAGCTTGCTTCTCTCACATGCCCTAGTCCCATGTTCCACAGAGAACCTATGCCCTTACATAAATCAATCTGGTCTCTATTTTTCAATTCACCTTTCCATTCCTTACTTCGAAGGAATAAAAAAGGGTAAAACTATAGATTTTTACATTTTTGTATTTTTTTATCCTAATGCAAAAGTAAAAAATTCTCATTTTTAAATGAGAAGTCAGATAACATATCTGAATATCTCTCTAATGAAAGAATCTAGAAACAGTGACACTCCAGGACCAATAAGCCCTCCTCGCACCCAGGTCTTGTTCTCTAAGTACCAAGTCCCTAAGTAGCAAGATCTCCACTGAAAGAAACGAGGATTCTTTAGAGAAATATACTGGAGTAGAGAAGGAAGAGGATGAACCTAAAAGTGCTCAAAAAATAATGGGAACATGTAAAAAAAATACAGGAGCCAGCTAAAAATGTTTCTGTTGCAAAATTTGGGACAAATTGAGCAGCAGAAAGAATAATGACAGTTACGAATCACAGCACAAAGAATCCATGAGTCTATAGTGATGCTGAGAACAAAATGAAAACCAAAAACCTTGGGGTGCTAGAAGGAGCCGGGGAAGGGAAAGATTTTCTTTACCGAAGAATGCCAACTAATAATGTAGAAGGAATAATAGAGTGATACGATAGTACCTGCAGTTTGCCTGCATGATTTCAATTTAGAGAATTCCTCAGTTGGCTATACGTATATATTTACAAGTCTCTCTCTCTCAACCACCTATCTATGTAGCTGTGTACATTTGGATTTCATATAAGAATGTTTAGATTCCCCAGCTGAAATAAAATTTAAAATTATTATTATACAACTTATTTTTTGTATCTCCTTCATATGTTTGCCTAGATTTCACTGCCTAGGTTTAAATTTTATTTGTTTATTTATTTTTGAGACGGAGTCTTGCTCTGTCTCCAGGCTGGAGTGCAGTGGCGCGATCTCGGCTCATTGCAACCTCTGCCTCCCGCATTCAAGCAATTTCCCTGCTTCAGCCTCCCAAGTAGCTGGGATTACAGGCACGTGCCAACAGGTCTGGCTAATTTTTTGTATTTTAGTAGAGACGGGGTTTCACCATGTTGGCCAACGTGATCTCCTGACCTCGTGATCCACCCTCCTTGGCTTCCCAAAGTGCTGGGATTACAAATGTGAGCCACTGTGCCCAGCCTAAAATTTTTAATTGTTAAATTTGTTCAATTGTTGCCAGCCTTTAGCATATTATGTTGAAACAAATATTGCTATCCATAACTCTCTGTGTATATTTCTACTATTTCCTCCAGATAAATGCTGAGAAGTGGAATGGCTGACTCAAGAGACAGAAACAGTTTCAGAACTTTTGGTATAGATTTCCAGAAAAACCATGTACCAGTACTTCCCTCCAGCAGTGGGCTTGTATGACTGTGTTTTATGAATACTAGCAGTCATGCTAATTTCCATTTTCCAGGCCTCTGCACTATGCCCTGCAGTTTATCGACATCCCTCATATAGTCCTCCCAGCAACACCCTGCAAGGTTGCTAACATTTTTCCGTACAAACAAGGGACCTGAAGCTCTGAGGTTCAGTTACCCAGAGTCAGAAAGTAAGGAACAAGGCATGGTAGAATTTGAACTCATTTCACAGATCTCTAGAGCCTATGTTCTTTCCACTTGACCAAGCTACTTTCCACAATGTGCTGAAAATAGGGTTGCATTTCCTGTGACTTGATGTCTCTCCATGTTTAAATTTCACAAACTACAACCTGCCCTTTACTCAGGAGATGGCACAACCTGCTCTCTCATCCTATTTTCTTTCTTTTTCCTTTTCTTTTTTATTGAGATAGAATCTCACTGTGTCACCAGGCTGGAGTGCAGTGGCACGATCTCACCTGACTGCAACCTCCACCTCCCGGGTCCAAGCAATTTTTCTGCCTCAGCCTCCTGAGTAGCTAGGACTACAGGCGCATGCCACTATGTCCAGCCAGTTTTTAGTAGAGATGGGGTTTCATCATGTTGGCCAAGATGGTCTTGATCTCTTGATCTTGTGATCCCCCCGCCTCATCCTCCCAAAGTGCTGGGATTACAGGTGTGAGCCACCACCCCCGGCCTCTCATCCTATTTTCTTCAATACCTGGATTGGATCCCATTCCCTAGAAGGCTGGCTAAGACTAACACTGCCTCTCTGCCCCGAGGTGTCATTCAAGAGTATGTGAACAGGACACACACACACACCCCTGATACCTCCAAATCTAATCCAAAATTATAAGATTATTTCTCTCCATTCTACCTTTGTTATCTCTTTTTATCCACAGTGAGGACCTTGGTCCCCAAACACATTGGATTATTTACTTATATTCTCAGTCCTACATTACAATATTTTAGAATAATATCAATACTCCTTTCAAACAACAAGCCTATTGAGTCAAGCTGAATTCCTTGCACTTCTCTTATGTCCTTAACCTATATCCCATTAAGGGCAGACAGTCAGAGGAATATGCTCAAAACTCACGTAGATTCATTCCTTTTTTTTCCTTCTGTGTGGTTATGTTAACAATTTCATACACAAATGAATTTGTTTCCATTTGTATTAACATTTAGCTCCTCCTCATCCTTTCTAATTTTAAGTTTGAAAAACATAAACATGATTTAAAAGTCAAAACTATATACTGATAGAAATCTTACTTCCTCTCTTTCCCTTCCACTATGTTCCCACCCACCTCTTGAAACTAGCCAATTGGATTCACTTCTTGCTTAGGCTTCCTGCATTTCTTTTGGGGAAAAAGATCTTATTTCTCCTTCTGTCTTACACACAAATAACTATATATATATATATCACTATATATTTTTTTCCTGTTTCATCTTGCTGTTTTTTTAACTTAAAAATATATCCTGAAATTATCTATCAGTTCATAGAAACCTTCTTTCTTCTTTAATTTTTTTTAACATCTGCATACTGCTCCCCTGGGTGGCTGTATCATTGTTTATTGAACCATTCCCCTATGCATTGGCAGTAAGACTATTTCCAATAATTTGCTATTATAAATCACAACTTGGAATAACTTTCTGCATAATTTTTTATATTCCTAGAAGTATATCTTCAGAGTAAATTCCTATAAGTTGGATTTCTGGGCCAACAGGTAAATGCATATGTAGTTAGACATTGATGACTAGTAATGTATAAGAGTGTCAATTTCCTCAAAGCTTCATCAAGAGTATGTTGTCAAATTTTTAACATTTTGCCTATCAGATTCATAAGAATTTATATCTCCGTGCAATTTTAACTGAGATTTTTCTTATAGTAAGTGAAATTAAATGTCTTTTAATATATAAGGGTCAACTGTATACATACTTATATACATTGTGTATATGTATATACACTTGCATTTTGTGTGTGTGAATTCTCTATCTCTTTTGCCCATTTTCCTGTCAGGTTTTTTTTTTCCTCTTATAGTTTTTGAGTTTTTGAAAATATATAAGGGATATTAACTCTTTCTCTGTGATATATGTTGCAACTCTTTTATTCCAGTTTAACAATTGTGTTTTTACTTATATTCTTTTTTGACAATTTTTAAAAAATTCAATGTTTTCTTTGCTACATCTGGATTTTGAGTCATAATTGGAAAACTTCTCCCCATATCCAACTTATATAATGAAATTCACCTGTGTTTTATTCCAGTACATGTATGGTTTTATGTTTTACATTTAAATTTCTCACCCATTTGGAGTTTATTTTTGTGTATGGTGTGAGGGAAAAGAAGATTTTAAATTAATTTTGAGCTGGCTGGTTGCCTGGCTTGTGATTTCTTTTAGGAGCTTGCTAGAATGTAAGACATGAAACACAAGTGGCATGAGGACAGAGGGCATTAAGGTGGCAGCACTGAGAATTCTAAAGCACGGGAGGCATTGTCTTGCTGAAGGGGCTAACCGGTCCAGAGCATCACTGTTCAGAAGTCTCCGTCTTCATCAGCTCTGTCAAGGGACATTTGAGTCTAGCCAAGGACAGTTAGAGTTTCTGCAGGTGTTTGGAAAGAGGGGCCAGGGGAACCAAGTAGCAGAGACAAGCAGTAGAAATCCTTTCCTCTAGCAAGGGAGTAAAAGGCAGTGACAGAAAGTCAGGGAAGGAGGAAAAACTGAGCTGGTCCTGCATGACTTCAGAGGAGAGAGAATTTCCTCTAGCTGAGCTCAGACAGCCAAGAAAGAGGACCATTCATGGAAGCAGGGCCTGGTTCCTGCCAAGGGCCAAAGTGGTAAAGACTTAAGTCAGGCAGGACATGAAGAGTGTCATGGGATGATTACAAAGCCAAACAGGAGGAAGATGGGGCCGGGGTCATGGTGTGCCCCTGCCGAGATAGCTGATGTTAGTCTGAGCTCTATGCTCTGGATCCAAGGTTTGGATTTCACCCAGTATTTAAAGAGATCTGTGTTCTCCAAACTTGGGGGTGGGAAGAGAGAAAGATCAGCCATCTAAGGGAGTTTTATGGATAAGCCCCATGAGCATTCAAAAATGCATCGAACAGAACAAAACACAACTTACAAGGATTTAGAGAGATTTCTGACTCAGACCATGAAATCTGGCTCACAGAAACATCCGTGAGTCAGGGGCATTGCTCTTAGTAAGAAAGGACTAATTCTGCTAAGTGAATTATTGCTGACTATGAGACCAAAGGAAAGTTAGTATTTAATTTTAGTTCACATAATTGCTGCCGCTTTGCCCGTCTTCTCCTGCCCTTTTTGTGGCTGGTTCCTCTAACACCAGGAAGCAGAGATATTTAAGAGGACATAAATGGCTGGTGGCCCAACTGGGATTCAGAAGGATCCCTGATCCTATATCCACATTTTAAAAGTTGAAGCCAATATATTCTGATTGCAGATGCAGAGCCCACTGAGATGGAGGTCTGACCATATTCACTTAAAAAAACTGGGCCCACCAATTGTTTTTGACCTGGAAGTGGATCCGCCCAGTTCAAAGCCATGTTGTTCAAGGGTCTCCTGTATTTTTCACATTGAAATGATGTCCATCAATGCCAGGAGTTATTGTAATAGGTTTAGTTTAATTTATGATGATGTGTTGCTAGCCCCATGAGATATTGAGATAGTTTCTTACTGTGTCTTTCCCCCACAGGTATTCATTACCAAGAGTCGTCCCTCAGTGTCTATGGGGAATTGGTTCCAGGACTCCCCTGCAGATACCAAAATCCACATATGCCCAAGTTCCTGATATGAAATGGTGTAGTGTTTGCATATCACCTATGCACATACTTTAAGTATACTTAAATTATGCTCCTGTATACTTTAAATCATCTCTAGATAACTTATAATACCTAATACAATGTCAATGCCATGTAAATAGTTGTTATACTGTGTTGTTTAGGGAATCATGAAAGAAAAAAGTCTGTACATGACACCATCATCTTTTTAAAAAAATATTTTTGATCTGTGGTTGGTTGAATCCACTGACACAGAACCCACAGATATGGAGGGTCAGCTGTATAATTAACATGGTCCTCTGCTGGGATAAAAATGCATGTTGGGGTTTCTTAATAAATATAACAAAAATCAGTCTTGCTATCTAACCCGAAATTAGCAACCATAAGACATAGCGCTCTTTTCAATCAGCATAGCGCTCTTTTCAATCAATTCTCCGCTAACAGCTCCGTTTTGAATGCACTGCTCTGCGTTGCCCATCAAATGCAGGACTGGGATAACAGATGTTTATGGAACTGTTAAGGGATATTCCTCTATGTCCTTTATGCTCGATTCCAGTGGTCCCCAACCTTTTTGGCACCAGGGACCAGGTTCGTGGAAGACAGTTTTTCCACGGACAGGGGCGGGATGGGAGATGGTTTTGGGATGAAACTGTTACACCTCAGATCAGGCATTAGATTCTTGTAAGGAGCGTACAACCACAACCTAGATCCCTCAGATGCGCATTTCACAATAGGGTTCCAGCTCCTATGAGAATGGAATGCCGTGGCAGATCTGACGGGAGGCAGAGCTCAGGTAGTAATGCTCCCTGGCCTGCTGCTTACCTCTTGCTGTGTGGCCTGGTTCCTAACAGGCCAAGAACTAGTATGGGTCCGAGGCTAAGGGGTTGGGACCCCTGCTCTATCTTGATGGCAAGTCAGAGCCCTGGGCTATAATGTAGATGTGCTTTCACTAAACAGTCCTCCCAATCAACAACTTGTCTACCTTTTAAATCATTGAAATTAGAAGCATCAATATAAATAACATGTCTGGATTGTGCATAGAACTGCTTTTTGATGAAACTCATTACCCTATTAAGTGTTATTTGATGCAGATGTGTACTATACACTCTGTTTAAGATTGAGTACCAGCAAGTTTTTTTACCAGACAATGAGAGATATGTGTCTTGCTAGATTTTCCTTCTCATCTTGGCTATCAGGAAGCTCAGAACTAGATTTAGCATCCAACTAATATATGTATCTAGTTACTATCTCTAGTATAATTATTTCATCTTCTATATAATTTCTGATCTTGTTCAACTTTATTTTAGCTGTCTTGTTTACAGATTGTTATAACTCAAAAACATCGAGATAAAGAAGTGTCACAGATATGGTCAGGCAGAGACTTCAACCTGGTTGCTCCAGAAAATGGATGCTTTTTAGAACAATAAACCAGAGACAACTGGCTTCTCAAAGACTATCTCAAGCTAACCGAACTCATAAATGACCAATAATGCTAATACTGCTAATCATCTTGATAGTAATAGCTAACATTTATTGAATTTGTATTTTGTGAAATATACCTGCAAGCAGCCAAAGGTATGTTTCCTAGGACAATAGAGTTTCTCAGTCTTTTGGGGATTGTCCCAGGTTAACCAAATTTAGAAGAGACCAGCAATGAGTGCTAAAAAAATCATAATAAGTGTCACCCACTTTGAGAAATACGCCTACAGGCGAGCAGCTAAGACAATCGGTACAGAATAGTGGTTGAAAGCATAGGGTTTGGACTTGGTTCTGAGATCAAAACCCAGTTCTGTTACTTACTCAGTGTGTGACTTTGGATAAGTGACTTCACTGTTTGTGCCTGCCTCCTCATGTGTAAAAGGAAGATAATTAGATTGCCCACTTCTCAGGTTTGTGTGGACACAATGGATACAAGTCATTCAACACAGGGCCGAAAACAGAGGAGGGGCCTAACATGGCAGTTGTGCTGATGAGTGCACACGGAGGTGATGATGGCAGCTCTAGGAAAAAATCCCTGTGTGAAACCAAGTCCCAAGTTGCGATCAACAGGGTAATCCATGAGCCAGGATGGATGCAAAACCAAGGGAGGTAAAATATCTTCACAAAGTGTCCTCAGCTCTCCGAGCTTGAGAAACCTCCCCATTCCTAAGGAGGAATGGGGCGCTTCAGGCCAGTGGAAGAACGGAGCCTCCTAGGAACAAGTAAAATTCCTAGGGGGAGTGTGTCCATGACACTTCTTTATCTCAGTGTTTTTGAGTTATAACAATCTATCAACAAGACAGCCAAAAGAAAGCTGAGCAACATCAGAAGTATATAAAAGATGAAATAATTATTCCAGAGACAGTAATGAGATACATATTTTATTTATTTATTTATTTATTATTATCTTTTGAGACAGGGTCTCACTCTGTTGCCTAGACTGGAGTGCATGGCGTGATCTCGGCTCACTGCAGCCTCTGTCTCCCAGGCTCAAGTGATTCTCCTGCCTCAGCCTCCTCAATAGCTGGCATTACAGGCATGTGCCACTATCTCTTGGCTAATTTTTTTGTATTTTTAGTACAGCTGGGGTTTCACCATATTGGCCAGGCTGGTCTTGAACTCCTGACCTCAAATGATCCACCTGCTTCGGCCTCCCAAAGTGCTGGGATTACAGGCGTAAGCCACCACATCCGGCCAGTAATGAGATACATATTTTTAGTTGCATGCTAAATCTAGTTCTGAGCTTCCTGTTAGCCAAGGTGAAAAGGAAAATCCGGCAAGACACATACCTCTCATTGTCTGGTAAAAAGCAATTTATCAGTTCTTCAGGAGGGGTAAACTTGCTGGTATTCAATCTTAAACAGAGTGTATAGTACACATCTTCCTCAAATAGCACTTAACAGTGTAACGCATTTCATCAAAAAGCAGTTCTGTGCACAATCTAGACATGTTATTTATTTCCTCCTAGGGAGGAATGGGGAGCTTCAGGCCAGTGGACGAGGCCCATGGAGCACAGCACATGGGTTCCATCTGCCCCTGTTGCCTCTGCAGCTTTCCTTGGCTGCAAGGTAAGCACAGTCACCGCCAGCACAGTCCCAGTGGACTGAGTCACTCACCCCTCCAGGATCAGATGTCCTTTCACAGCACAGATTTCCTCTTGTCTGGGAAAGAGGTTCAGAAATGTTGGCTCCATAACTTTTCCCCGATCACGTTCAAAGACAAGAGTGTTGTCACATATCCTCAAGTATCATGCTTTCTTTTCTTTCTTTTTTTTTTTTCGTGAAAGCAAGTTTATTAAGAAAGTAAAGGAATAAAGAACGGCTACTCCATAGGCAGAGCATGGAGCAGTTTCAGGATGAAACCGTTCCACCTCGGATCAGGCATTAGATTCTTCTTGTAAGGAGCACACAACCTAGATCCCTGGGATGCGCGTTTCACAATAGGGTTCCAGCTCCTATGAGAATCAAATGCCATGGCTGATCTGATGGGAGGTGGAGGTCCCCAGAGTAGCCCCATGCCATATTTTAAAGAGAGATTATTATTTTATTATTTTATTTTTATTTTTATTTTTTGAGATGGAGTCTTACTCTTTCACCTGAGCTGGAGTGTAGTAGTGCGATCTCCACTCACTGCAACCTCTGTCCCCCAGGTTCAAGGGATTCTCCTGCCTCAGCCTCCTAAGTAGCTTGGATTACAGGCATGCACCACCACGCCTGGTTAATTTTTGTATTTTTAGTAGAGACGGAGTTTCGTCATGTTGGCCAGGCTGGTTTCGAACTCCTGACCTCAGATGATCCACCCGCCTTGGCCTCGCAAAGTGCTAGGATTACAGGCATGAGCCACCTTTCTCGGCCGGGAGGTGACGTTAAAAATCATTTTGATTTTATCCATTTAATGTCAATAAATAAACCTCCCTCCAACCAGTGTTTGTGTCACCTTATCTTTGCTTTCTGTCCAATCAGGTGCCTATGTATTTCTTGTTTTTTACTGTATAATACGTTGCTTCATATTCTTTCTTTTTACACTTGGAAATGGGCAGAGTGTTATTATTTTAAAACCCCCAATCAATGGTATTTGTAAAAACCTATATCAAAAGTTTCTAAACAATGAGTGCACTGGCCAAGGGAAAAAATAATTTTATTAATTTTAAAGCCTCACACCTACTTGATGGTGGGAAAACGCAGAAGAAAGAGCAGCTGGTTTTAAAATAATAACAACAGCGATGACATCCACAGTAATACTGTGTGATTTGTCTTTGCAAATCTAAGAGGAAAAGCCAAACTCCAAGAAACCATTTGGTTTAGTGCGGAAATAAGTCATAGGTTAATTTCTCCTTTCAGTGAAATACTATTCAAACTGAGTATTTATATTCTTCCCTTCACCAAAATGCAATTGAAAATGAACGTGAATCTTGTGGGAATTTAAGCATTGCATATTGTCTAGTTGACAGAGTCATTTATAAAAGTTGGGATATTTTATACCCCATCAGGGCTTAATTAGGGTTTATAAAGATCACTGGCAGTTGAAACAGAAATATTGTATTCTTCCTTTCCCCAATGACTTTCCCTTGTTCTTTTATGAGGGCCTTTAAAACTCATTTAAGTCTTGCAGAAGTTAATCAGAAAGATAGATACTAGCTATTCTCCAGGGGAATCTACTCCTCTGAGTTCTCCCCCTTTCCCCCAAATGCCTTGGGCTGCCATAGGCAGAGTTAGCTCCAAATTCTGTCCCTTCTCCTAATAGAGTTTTGAAAGGAAATTTTCTTAAACAAGAAGGTGATAGTAAAGACACACAAAGCTCAAGACATGTGCGCTCAGAGAATTTTAGCTGACTTAGGCCAAAGGATTAAAAAGTGAACTGTTTGGTAACTCCACACAGCGGAAAATGCTGACAAATGGTATCTCTGCACGGGAGATATTAACACTCTGACTGCGAGGGTGCAAAGTTGAACAGATGGCACTTCTAAATGCAAGACTCATATAATCTATTTCCACTAGTGTTTTTTGTAAACTTTTATTTTAAATTTGGTGCTAAGAACAACAAAAAAAAAGTGTGTTAATGGCACCATCCAGGGACAAACTTGCAGCAGCTTCTCTTTAAGAGCTCAATTCATGCACCTCTAATTTAGTCTGTGATTCTCATCCTCTTCCTGTTCTTAAGTTTTCCTGGGAACCAGCAAAGGTGAGACTTTGAGGGAACTAGGCTGTCTGGCCAGATAATAACTATACTAACGGTTGTACTAAAACAGGACCTCTGAGTCACTTTACGTCAAAATAAAAACCCGAATCATTCTCACTCTGGCCTGTCTGCGTTACTGTGTCTGCATATCCGCGCTGAGCATTTTATTGAGCTGCAACTATGGGCAAAAGGTGTGCAAAAATCTTACCATGGATTGTTTATTTTTTTTAAAGATAATGGGTTGACCAAGGCATTGTTTAATTGTCAAAGCAAACTGTCAAAACATGTTCATCTTAAGTTAGCTGTTAAGTCTTGGGTGAGACTATAAAATGAGAATATTTTAGAGTGTTTAGAACCTACAAATTCCATCCCTCTGGTTATATAATATAATTATTTAATAGTTGTTTTTGTCATGTTGCTCACAGAACAGGTATTTGGGGAGCTGCATTTTTATGTTGACAAATGTACATGTCTAATCTTCTCAACCAAACCTTAAGAGCCCTCAGAGCAGAGGCTACATACTGCCTTGCATCCCCACTTCACCAGTTACAAAGACTGTATTAAGCACTCACTAAATGTGTGTCAACTGAGCTCTCTAGCCAAGTTTAAAATGAAAGTGGAAAGATCACAGTCAGATAATATACAAATATAAAAACTGTTTAGGAAAGTGAGTGTTGAAGAAAATCACTTTGTTAAAAAAAAAAGCCTCATACTCAGTAAGCTCTGGGTCTCTTCCTGTTGGTACACTTGAGTGTCAGCTACAAGAACATCATCATTTCTACAGAAGAACTGGGTGACCCCATAGGAGTTCGGATGCACACATCACCATCACTACTCTGCCCCGTGCTGGCCACAGACAAGCATGGCATCATTCTGACCCTCAGGTGCAAGGCACAGAAACTGGCACTAGATAATTTAATGATTACCCTGCAAAGGGTATTGGGCAAATCAGAGTATCTCTGGGAGACCCAGAAAATGTGTTTGGAGGTCAGGCAGCCAAGAACAAGCTTCAGATGATGCTGCAGAACTTGTCTGGTAGACACTGATGTGGCTGTCACAGGGCACAGACGCCATGATTTGCACCACAATGCCACCACGCCAGTACTGGATGTTAGATGTCCTCCCCAGAACCACTGCCATGGCAACCTCTGGAGGTTAGATGCAGCTGTCGTTGCTGTTTCCAAATTGTAGCCCCTGGGTAGAACCTGCTTCTGTGCTGCACGAGCTTTCGTTTGTTTGTTTTGAGACGGGGTCTTGCTCTGAAGCCCAGGCTGGAGTGCAGTGTGGCACGATCATGGCTGACCACAGCCTCGACCACCCAGGCTCAAGCAATCCTCCTGCTTCAGCTTCCCGAGTAGCTGGGACCACAGGTATATGCCACCATGCCTGGCTATTTATTATTATTGTTATCATTATTATTATTCACAGAGACATGCTCTTGCTATGTGTCCCAGGCTGGTCTTGAGCTCCTGGGCTCAAGGAATTCTCCCACCTTGGGCTCCCAAACTACAGGGATTACAGGTGTAAGCCACCACATCAGGCCCGCACCAGCTTTTGATTGGAGACTGAGGGCTCCCTCTAGTCCTAATGGTGGAGATTAAGCCAAGTGTTGTGCCCTAAGTGCAAGAGAAGCTGGCAAACCAGTCTCTAGCATTTTTGGCCTCTACAAAAGGAAGGCTGTGTGTCATACGGGGCTTGCCTGCTTAAGGAGATGGTATTTTCCAGGGATAAGAAGAGGCTCAAATGCTGAGTAGATAACAATAATGACAAATGTTCACTGCAGTCACCATTTCATTAAATCTGGGGTTCTCTGCAGGGCTGACTTTGTTCTTCAACAACCCATCGCTGTTAGCCACCATTCATTCCCTCACTACCTTGATGCTTTGTAATATCTGCTTACCTACCTATGCACTCATTAGCCCATAAGCTCCCTGAGGGCAACAACCCTGTCCCTTCACTGCTGTATTCTCAAAGCCCACCCTAGTCCCTGACACAGGGTTAATAAATGTTCCACTGATTCATAAAAGTTTGTGTCCTTGGAAGCTGGGCTCTAGGCAAGTTACAAAGAAGGGGCATTGGGGCAGTGGGAATGCCTCTAATCTGTTAAAATTTTTAAGCACCGGCTTCAGAGTACCTGTGAACCACAAGGAACCCTACACAAATGTTTGTGCACGTGTGTATACGTGCATTTCTCTATGGAGAGAATCCGTTGATCACACCACTTTCTCAGAGGAAACAAGGGCCCCTAATACAGACAGCATCTATTTATGTTTGATGCGTGCTTAAAGGAATACAGGCTTGCTAGGAATACTTTGAAAACATAGCAAAATCCCACTGTAGGGTGTTTCTGTGGAACATAGCAGCATGTTCCTTTCTTTATTTACATTTTTAGAAAGATAAAAATGTCAGTATACTCATGTTTATCAAAGTATAAAAATGTGGAGTCAATACAAGAAAAACAGCTTAAAATGAAAGTTTGGATTCAACTTCCACTGTTAGCTGTGTATCTTGGATAACTGGTCAACCTCTCTAAACCTTGCCTTCTTTGTGGATAGATTAGGGGTGATTCTTACTTCTGAATATTGCTGGAAAGATTAAATGAGATGGTTTGAGTAAGTGTTTGGCAACGAGCTGGAGCTCAACACACAATATGTTTTCTCTCTATATCCAAAATTTCTGACAGCCAGACAGACAAGATTTCTAAGTTAAATTTATTCCAGCTTTAGAAAGATTTTACTGTATTGTTCTCTGTCTCTGATTTCAGTACTTGGGAATTTGACGTTGGGATTCAATTCTCCACTTTCAATGAGGCCTAAGAAACAGAGTGGCATGCCAATTGACAGAGGAAGAAGTGTGATTTGTCTTATGGCATCACTGAGATGTTGGCTACTGAAGGTCCTTAGAAAGCGAGTGTCCCTGGGGTTCCTGGCTGAATGTTAACAAAGAAACAACCTGGGCAGATCTGAAACACAAACTAGAAGGGCCAATGGGAGAAGCACTCTCCCCACCCCACTTCAGAGCAGAGGATCCTCAAATTCTCTCCTCCAGAGAGGTCCCTACCATCCCTTCTTGTACCTTCCTCCTGAACAGCCCCCAACCTCTTTCCCTTGACCCAAATGGTCAACAGGTTCAAGAACCAGCCAGGGTTTTATAAGAAAGAAGAAAAATTATCTATAGTTTTGCCAGCTCAAATCATGACATATTCAATACTTTTGAAAAGTACTTTCATCAGAAAAGAGAAATAATAAAATGGCTAAAGGAGACTTAAAGTGAATCGTTCCTGTATCCATGCGGTATAGTAGAGGTCTCTCTACCTGTCAAACTGAGCTCCTAAAAATCCATGTGAAAAGAAACAGAACTGATCATGGCTTCACCACGCCTGCAAGAAAGACCACTACCACCTTAGAGAGTAAGAGTAATTTATTCACAGTTACACAGCTTACTGGTGATGGAATCAGGCATCAAATCCCAGTGTTTGGCTCCCTGAGTTTAGCCACTATGCCATGCTGCCTTTGAGGCTCTAGAGTGAGCTTGGGATTCCCTAGAAAGAAGCTTCCCTTTGCTGGATGGTACCTATTGGAAAATCCCATCCTATCTGTTTGTTCCTCCATGATGGAACCCAGTGCTCAAGAAAAGAGTACTACAACCAGGAAACCTGAGTCTTCCTCTTGCCTAGGGCAGACCTCTCAAGTGTAGAAAGATTCCAAGGACACTCATCTGCCAGAGGGCCTCACCCATCGCCTGAATTCTGACTGGAAGACCAGTATCTGTGCCCTGCCAACCAAAAAGTTCTGGGTACAAAGTGGAAAGGAGAGTTTTGTGCTATGTGTAAGCTATCAGAAAAAAACCTATGAAGGCAGGATCGTTTATATTAACTAAGGAGATTAGGTTTTGAATTATTAAATTTGTTCATGTAACAGTTCTTAGGAAGTGATCCAAAACATAGCATACATATTATGATACAAGTGAGATGATCTGGAAAAGGGTTTTAGATGTTATTTTTCATCTTCAAAGAAAAAGTTACATTTCAAAATGTCTTTGAAGAAGACTTATTGTGGTTTTAAAAATCCAAGAATTTTTAGAGTTGGGAAGGTCCCTAATGCTTATCAACTTCAATGTTCCTCCCCACCCATATATCACCCCCACCTTATGATGCCTGAGTTTCTCCTATGCACTCCTTCTGTCTTCAAGCCAGTCAAGGAACAAGCATTATTGTCTCCATTTAAGAGTGTTTTAGAAATCTTAAGCCCCACCTCAGACCTACTGATTGAGAATCGGCATTCAATCAGGTCCCTAGGTAATTCATACATACATGAGAGCTAAAGCAGTGCACTGCTTCTCAGCCTTAATCACACATTTGAATCACCAGAGAAGCTTTCAGAAACTACTGAAGTATAAGCCCACCTTCAGTGATTATGGGTTAATCACGATAGGGTGCATCTGAGCAAGGGGAGTTTTACTTATTTATTTATATAATTGTTTTATTTATTATTTCAGATTCAGGGGTATGTGTGCAGGTTTATTACATGGGTATATTGTGTGATGCCAAGGTTTGGGCTCCTAATGATCCTGTTGCCCAAGCAGCAAACCCAGTACCCAATAGGTAGTTTTTCAACCCCTGCCCTCCTCCTACCCTCTCTCCTTTTGGAGTCTCCAGTTTCTATTGTTCCCATCTGTGTGTCCATGTGTACCCAATGCTTAGCTCCCATTTATCAATGAGAACATGAGGTATTTGGTTTTCTGCTTCTAAATTAATTTGCTTAGGATAATGGGCTTTGGCTGCATGCATGTTACTGCAAAGAACATACTTTCATTCTTTTTTATGGCTGCGTAGTATTCCATGCTGTAGATAGAGCACATTTTCTCTACCACCGCTGACGGGCCTCTGGACTGATTCCATGTCTTTGCTATTGTGAATGGTGCTGCAATAAACATATGAGTGCAGGTCTTTTTAAAACAATTTATTTTCCTTTGGGTGCATACCCAGTAATGGGATTGCTGAATCAAATGGTAATTCTTAGTTCTTTGTGAAATCTCCAAACTGCTTTTCACAGGGGCTGAGCTAATTTGCATTCCCACAAACAGTGTATAATCATTCCCTTTTCTCCACAACCTCACCAACATCTGTTATTTTCTGACTTTTTAGTAATAGCCATTCTTGCTAATGTGAGATGGTATCTTATTGTGGATTTGATTTTCATTTATCTAATAATTAGTGTTTTGAGCATTTCTTCATATATGTGTTGGCTGCTCATATGTCTTCTTTCGAGAAGTGTCTATTCATGTCATTTGCCTACTTTTAATGAGGTTTTTTTTTTCTTGTTGATTTAAGTTCCTTAAAGAGTCTGGATATGAGACCTTTGTTGGATGCATAGTTGCAAATATTTTCTCCTATTCTGTACGTTGTCAGTTCACTATGTTGATTGTTTCTTTTGCTGTGCATAAGCTCTTTATTTTAATTAAGTCCCATTTGTCTATTTTTAATTTTGTTGCATTTGCTTTTGGGGTTATCATAAATTCTTTGCCTAGGCCAATGTCTAGATAAGTATTTCATAGGTATACTTCTAGGATTATTATGGCTTGAGGTCTTACATTTAAGTCTTTAATCCATCTTGAGTTAATTCTTGTATATGGTGAGAGGTAAGGGTCCAATTTCATTCTTCTGTGTATGGTTAGCCAGTTTTCCCAGCACAATTTATTAAAAAGGGTATTATCCTTTTCCCATTGTTTATTTTTGTTAATTTTGTCGAAGATAAGTTGGTTGTAGGTGTGCGGCTTTATTTCTGGGTTCTCTACTTTGTTCCATTGGTCTATATGTCTATTTTTGTACCAGTACCATGCTGTTTTGGTTACTGTAGCCTTGTGGTATAATTTGAAGTCAGGCAATGTGATGCCTCGAGCTTTGTTCTTTTGCTTAGAATTGCCTTCATCTATTCGCTCTTTTTTGGTTCCATATGAATTTTAGAATAATTTTTTTCTAATTCTCTGAAAAATGGCATTGGTAATTTGACAGGAAAAGCATTGAATCTGTAGATTGCTTTGGGCAGTATGAACATTTTAATAATATTTATTCTTCCAACCCTAGAGCAGGGAATGCTTTTCCATTTGTGTTGTCTATGATTTCTTTCAATAGTCTCTTGTAGTTCTCCTCATAGTCGTGTTTAATCTCCTCGGTTAGATGTATTTCTAGGTACTTTTTTTGTATGGCTATTGTTAATGGGATTGAGTTCTTGATTTGGTTCTCAGCTTGAATGCTATTGGTGTATAGAAATACTACTGACTTTTACACATTCATTGTGTATCCTGAGACTTTGTTGAAGTCATTTATCAGGTCGAGGAGTCTTCTGAGAAAATCTTTATGGTTTTCTAGGTATAGGATCATATCGTCAGTGAAGAGAAATAATTTGACTTTCTCATTTCCTATTTGGATGCCTTTTATTTCTTTCTCTTCCCTGATTGCTCTGACTAGGACTTCTAGTACTACGTTGAATAGGAATGATGAGAGTGGACATCTTGTCTTATTCCAGCTTTTAGAGAGGAATGCTTCCAGCTTCTGCTTATTCAGTATGATTTTGGCTGTGGGTTTGTCATAAATGGCTCTTATTATTTTGAGGTATGTTTCTTTGATGCCTAGTTTGCTGAGTTCTTTTTTATCATTAAGAAACGTTGGATTTTATCAAATGTTCTTTCTGCTTCTATTGAGATGATCATAAGATTTTTGTTTTTAATTCTGTTTATGTGGTAAAACACATTTATTAATTTGCATATGTGGAACCATATTTGCATCCCAGGAATAAAGCCCACTTGATCATGGTGAATTAACTTTTTGATGTGCTGCTGGATTCAGTTTGCTAGCATTTTGCTGGGAATTTTTGCAACTATGTTCATCAGTGATATTGGCCTGTAGTTTCCTTTTTTTGTTGTGTCTTTGCCAGATTTTGGTATCAGGATGATACTGGTTTTGTAGAATATTGTAGGAAGGAGTGTCTTCTCCTCAATTTTTGAAATAATTTCAGTAGCACTAGTACCAGCTCTTCTTTGTATGTCTGGTAGAATTTGGCTGTAAATCCATCCTATTCAAGGCTTTTTTTTTTTTTTGGTTGGTATGTTTTTTAAAAAAATACTGATTCAATTTCATTACACATTATTGGCCTGTTCAGGATTTATGTTTCTTCTTAGTCCAATCCTGGGAGATGGTGTATTTCCAAGAATTCATCCAGTTCCTCTAGATTTTCTAGTTTGTTTGCATAGTGATGTTCATAGTAGTGTCTGAGGGTCTTTTATATTCCTGTGGGACTGGTTGTAATGTCACCTTTGTCATTTCTGACTGTGATTATTTGCATGTCTTCCTTTTTTCTTTGTTAATGTAGCTAGTAGTCTCTCAATTTTTTCTTTCAAAAAACCAAATTTTCATTTTGTTCATCTTTTGTATGATTGTTCTGAGACTCATTTTCACTTAGTTCTGCTCTGATTTTAGTTATTTCTTTTCTTTTGCTAGCTTTGGGTGTAATTTGTTCTTGTTTTTATAGTTCCTTTAGGTATGAGATTAGGTGGCTAATTTGAGATTGTTCTATCTTCTTGATGTGAACAGTTAGCACTATAAACTTTTAACACTGCTTTTGCTACATCCTAGAGGTTTTGGTATGTTGTATCTCTATTTTCATTTGTTCAAAATATTTTTTGATTTCTGTCTTAATTTCATTGTTTACCCAAAACTCATTCAGGAGTAGGTTGTTTAGTTTCCATGTATTTGTGTGGTTTTGATACTCTTGGTATTTATTTCCATTTTTATTGCAGTGTGGTCAGAGATGAGAGCAAGGGGAGTTTCAAATGCTTCCCAGGGGATTCTAATATGCAACAACATTTGAAAGCCTTTGCTTCTTTAGCATATTCAACAAGTGGTTGCCCTGACTTTTAAAAAATATATTCAGAGACTGTCAAAGCCACCTATCCCATTGTGATTGTAAAGTGCCACTTGATGCCAAATTTGAAAAACTGCCTCTATGTAATGTGTACACTCCTGGTGTTGTTTCTGTCCTTAGAGGCCTTATGGAAAATGCCAAATCCCTGCTGAGGTGACTAACTCATCTGACTTGCTCAGGACCTTCTTGACTTTAGTACTCAAGATCCCAAGTCCTAGAAAACCCCTCAGTCCTGGGCAAACTGAGATAGTTAGGATAACGTCACCCTTCCAGGTATTTTCTTCCACAGGCTAAGTATAAATGTTTTTCTTCATTGCATTCACTGTTCCTTAAATTTCTAGGGAAACACCTAGATCTGTTGTCCTGCAATACTGCGTCTATTAACACAACCTAGAATGGCATTGAACCCTTAGGTTACGAGGTCAGAAAGGAATTATGATCACAAAATAAACTGGCCTTTGCAGAGCTTCCTTTTTAAAAAATTGATTTTAAGAGATTCTTCTTTGAAAATTAACTATTACCTGCTGGGAGCAGTGGCTCACGCCTGTAATCACAGCACTTTGGGAGGCAGAGGCGGGCAGATCACCTGAGGTCAGGAGTTCAAGACCAGCCTGGTCAACATGGTGAAACCCCCTTTCTACTAAAAATACAAAATTAACTGGGTGTGATGGAGGGCGCCTGTAATCCCACCTACTTGGGAGGCTGAGACAGGATAATCACTTGAACCTGGGAGGCGGAGGTTGCAGTGAGCCGAGATTGTGCCACTGCACTAAAGCCTGGGCAAAAACAGCGAAATTCTGTCTCAAAAAAAAAAAAAAAGAAAGAAAGAGAAAAGAAAGAAAGAAAACAAAAAAAGGAAAATTAACTATTATCAAATCTCTTTTCTATAATATGTTTGTGTTATTTTCAGAAATTTTAGGTGCCAAATTCTATGCATATTCATCATTTTGTTTCCCTATCATCTTCCAATGCAATCATTGGCCATAATTAAATTACCAAGAAAGCACAATAAATTATAAAATGAACTTTTGAAACGAAAAATAATCAATTGCAGAAGTCTTCAAGGTAATTATCTTAGTTTAAATTAATCTTTAAAATAATCCTAATAAATGTGTTTATTGCAATGTTACTTGAGATTGTGAAGAAAATTGGAAATAATGTAAATGTACAATAGTAAGGGATAAGTAAGTTATGGACTAGTCACTTGATAAAGTGTTAGTCTACAATTTAAAAATATGATTATAATGACTATGTAGCAGCATAGAAATAATATTAAATGAAGCAAAACTAAATTAAGTAAAGCAAAATCCATTCTCGATCACATGTATTAAAATCACAATTTCATGTGGATGGAGATTTAAAGGAAACATTTTATGCCATATCACAGAGTGTGGTACAAGTGCTGCTGACTTTATCCTTTTTTAAAATTAGGTTTCTGTTAATGTCGTCAAACTAAAATAATGACAGAGAGGGAGGCTCTCAAAAAAAGTATATTTGGGAATATGCAGGGGATAATAATTTTGTAATTTTGAGACATGCATGTTATGGTGGATCACTGGCATATATGGAGAGGTTGGAGCAAGAGGAAACTTCTAAAGGTAAAGAGAAGAAATCCACATAAGGTGCTTTGAAACAAAGTTCATTGGTCACAGAAGCTCATTGCTGGAGTTGGTATTAGCTCACTGGTAGATAGCAGGGCGGCTTATCTGGAATGCTATAATCTTGAGGAATTTATGGTGGTAAGTTATGTCACATGGTACATGTAGGGCATGCAGGACATGTGGGGTTTGTGGAATGTGCAGGGATTTGTTGTGATAAGGAAAGTCTCAGGCATGCGTGTGAGGTGTGTGAACTGGGGATATGAATTGGGGTATGAGCCACATCAATGTTAAAGGAGAGCAGATGGAAATCTAGGCAGCCCCACTTCTGGCTCTAAGCATCAAGCAGGGCCCCTCACTGGGCAGGCTCCTTTGATGCCCACTTAACTCCATTTTGTTAGGGTTTTGACATAAGTGACTTCATTTTGGTACTGGCAACTTTCACAATATTATTAGTATGAGAGAAAAAATGTATGCTCCCAAGCCTTGGTAATTATTTTTAATTCATTTGATCTTGTTTAATGCAACATTTCTATCCAAGAAAGATGGCAGAGGGGAGTGATTGCGAGCATGCACTTAACAGCTAACACCAACATCTCTGTCTCTCAGCTTCCTCTTCTGGGAAATGGGGAAAATACAAGCTACCTCATAGTGTTGTGTTATACTATGTGTACACACACACACACACCCACACACACATACTATCCCTATTCTGAAAATTCAAAATTTGAAATGCTCCAAACCCAAAACCTTTTGAGCACCAACATAATGCTCAAAGGAAATGCTCACTGGAGCATTTTGGATTTCAGATTAGGGATGCTCAGCCAGTAAGTGTAATGCAAATATTCCCAAATCTAAACCAATCCAAAATCTGAAATACTTCAGGGTCCAAACATTTTGGATAAGGGACACTCAACTTGTGTATCTGTCTAATTGTAATAGATAGAGTAGCTATAGATATATAGATATAGGTATTGATAGATGTAGAGTGTGTGCATGATTGACTTCTCAGTGTGTCTATTGTTGTGTGAGTCTCTATGTGTATGAATGTGCACACACACCTGTCTAAAGTTATCCATGCACTTGTGGATGGGACTTGAGAATCATTTACCAAATCCTTTCCTTTTACCAAGGAGGACATTATGGCCCAGAACTAGAGTGTGATCTACATCAGATCATAGCATTAAAGCTGAGCAAATGGGAATCTGGGCAGCCCCACTCCTGACCCTGAGCACCAAGCAGGGCCCATCACTGGACAGCGGCCTAGTGGTTGGGAGGGTAGGCTCCACGCTGAGATTGCCCAGCCTTGAGTCTTGGCTTTTCTGCTCCAAGCAGGTGGCTAAGCCTCGCTACTCCTCCTTCTCTTCACATGAGGACTGAGAACAAGAATGCCCATCTCATGCTTACTGTGAATATAAAAAATGAGATAATGCATAGTGCCTAACAGATAATGAGAGCCAACGAATGTCTGTTGTGATCAGAAAGTTTCCAAGGGAATCCAACCCACCAATGTCTTACCAACTAGAGAAAAAGCAAAAAAAGTGTAGATTGTCCTTATGTTTAATCTCAAAGAAATGAAGAGCAGTAACACTTATTAAATGCCTCTTAATGTGTACATAACTTTACATGGGCAATCTCAGTTAATTCCTAAAACTAGGAAAGGTACAGTATTAGGCTAGGCAGGCACAGTATTATTATTCTCATTTTACAGATGAGGAAAATGAGCCTAAGAAAAATTAACTATTCAATGGAAATTTATAACAGAAGACATAAAAATAGTTAATGAACATGTAATTAAACCTACTAATAATCAATGAGCTGTATATAAATTACCAATGAGATAATACTTTTCATACACCTATTTTTTTCCTTATCATTTTTGAGTAAGATTACTCAAGCTTGTATGGCTGGAGTGAAGTGCTGGTAAGAAAGTAATCTTGTACAACTTTTCTGGAGAGCAATTTGGCAAGGTGATTCATGAGCTTGAAATTCATGTTCATGCCGTTTGGCACACTATTTGAACATATTAAAATCTATTTTAAGGAAATCATCCAAAATGTAAATAAAGATTGATGCAAAAAGATGTTCATCACAGTGTTATTTATAATAGCAAAAAAAGCAACCATGTAAATGACCAATGTCAGACTAAGGTTAAATATATTACACATAATGTACAATTATATTAATGTAACTGTTTAATATGATGTTTATGAAGGCCTGGAAAATGCTGATATAATGACATTAAGTGGAAAGCAAAGTACAAAATTATAAATGCAGTGTTACCTCAATCATATTTTAAAAATCAGGGAAAATTGAATGATAATATACTTACATATTATAGTTATTAAACTGAATGATTCCTTTCTTTCTGCTTCATACTTTTATCTTCATTCATTTAATGTGTATTAATTTAGAATTAGAAAAGGTGAAATGAATATTGTCTGAGACAACACATAATGCAGGACAGAGCCTAGATGTAAAGCAGCCCATCAGACTCTGAAGTTACATTTATTCTACCTCATCAGGGGCCACAAACTCAGAAGTTACATGGCCCATCAAGTAAGGTTAATGAGCCAAGAGAGTAGGCTGTCAGTATGACAGAAACAGATATTTTTCTCTCTGAGTAGTAAATTTGGGGTACTAATATCTTTTCCCAGAATGACACTTTACAGGTTATATTATGTAACATATAAGTAAAGTTAGAATAAGGTTGAGTTCTGTATATCTAGAAAGACAGATGCTTGGTAAAATTCTAGGGGAAAAAAGTGAACATTCTTGCAAAACTGTTCACAAGACTATAATTAAATGCCTAACCCAGCATAAAAATGTTATTCTCCTGGGAAAATCTCACCTTCTACTTAGGCACCTGCTTTCCCAATTTTTGTTTTGAGTTCTAATTAAGGAGTTAGAATGGATTCCTTTCCCCCAGTGTGTAACGACGAGGACCTAATGGGTAGGCAGCTTTTTCTGTAACAGGAGAATGTCTTTGTCTATTTTTCATAGTAAATCTCAATTCACTGGCAGAGCACTTTGCAAACATTTTGTACACTGCAGTATTTAGGTGTTTTCCAAGATTAATTGTTTGCTAATATCCCAAATTACCCTCTGTAGGTACAGGCGGTTGTTTTTCTTCCTTTGGCATAGTCCTTTTATTTTGACAAGAATGTGACAAAGGATTAATTGGACCCATTTATTCTTCAAATGTTTGACTCTCAGGGAATTTGCTAGTTCTACTTCTAATCAAGAGCTAAACTGGCAAGTGGGTAGTTAGCAAAGTTGGCTGCACATCTGCAAATATCAAATGTCTGTGAACAAGACTAAGAACTCTCTCTCTCCTTTCTGGTCAGATGGTTTCATTTAAGATCCAAAGGGTCAAGGGTCACAGCATGACCTCATCAAATTAGACCCAACTGAGAGAGGTGTTTAGCACAACAGAAAGGAAATAATCTGAAGGACATTAAATGCAAATGAAATTGCCATCTGCAAACTTCAAAAAACACCTGATCTAAAAAAATAAATCTCCTGCTTAAAGCTGAAACCCTGCCTCCTTTTCCCCTCCAGAGTGGACACAGAAGTTTGTTCTCATAGCTGCCTGACAATCACTCAACTTGCCAAAGTCCGTTTGCATTTAAAATCCCCTCCTGACTTTTGCAAGTTAAAAAAATTGACAATGATCTCCTCAAAACACGAAGAGGAAAGTTCAAGCATGGATATTACTCCTTTGCTTCTTGTGCTTGGCTGGCCAAATTGGTCACAGAAACCTGTGATTTCCAAAACTAGAAGCCAATCACTTTGGGGCAGGTTTGCATGAACATGGATGGGAAATTCCATGGTGTGGAGTTATGAGATGAAGGTCCCAAGGGTGACGGGAATTGTAGTTTCTGTTTTATTTATTCAGAATAAAAGTTTTTACATGCCAGGGACCGTGCCAGGCCCTGGAGATACACTGCTAAGCCCGCCAAACATGGTCCCTGTCCTTGAGGAACTCAAAGACAAATAAACAAGTAATTGCCTTAAAGTGAAATAAATGCTCAGAAAGTGTGGTGCACAACAGTGGTCACTCTGGAATACCCAGGCACCACTCATGTGGTCTTGTCCTGCCCAGATCCAACCCAGATAGAAAGGAGAACAAGGCAGGTGGTAGCACGTGGCAGTATCTGAACCCTTGCTCTTCTCTGGGGTGCTGGAGTAAGACCCTTAGGGGACACTGTTGTCGGATCCATCAACCCTGCGACCAGGCAAGAGTGGTACACTTCACCTATCTGACCCTTGTTTCCTTATCTGACTAAAAACAAAGGCTGCCAGGTAGAAGTGGAACTATTCTGTTGGTGTAAGGAGTTTCTAATAACATAAACTTCGGGCAGAATTCGACAAGCTACTTTCTGAGAGGGTGAGATTCTCCCTCACAGACTCTGTTCCAGAAAGGGGTGAAAAACCACTAGCTAGAGATACTGGTGGGCAAATAGGGGTGGAGGAGTTGATGACCTTTAAAGCAAGTTCCAGCTCCAGCATCACAGAAGACCAAGAGAGGTTTATTTTCAGTTGTAAATCTCTCTGATTCTATTCATTTGAGTGAAAAATCACAGTGAACATTTGGCTCACGTTATATTATTGAAAAACTCTCATTTGCCAAAAAATATCAGTTGGATGGTGCTTCTTGGAGTCATTCAAGGCTAAGACCCTGAGTAGCTTAAAGCAAGCATCCTCTTTGACAAAATTTAAGTTTCCTGAAAAGACTGTGTATAATAACTTCTTCAGATGGCCATCAATGCCCTTTACAGAACCTGTGATCAGTAAACCACTTGTGATCTTCATCAAGGTCTGTGCGATTTCTCCTGATGATGTATGGGGTTTGTCTTTGTGGCACTCTTGTTTGTGGCTCATGAATAATAGCTTGTGTCATACACAGCAGTGGAAACTGGGAGATTTTGCACACTCTGCCACTTGCTGTTTTATTTTAGGCAAGTTCCTTAAGGTTTCTGAGATTTAGCTTTATATTTATAAATGAGGACTGTAAGAAAATTACCTACAAGGATTTTATACACTGTAAAGAACTATGGAAATGAAAGGGGCTACCACTGTCGTTTAACTGTGTTGGACACCAGGTATCCCATGAATGATGATGAAGAAATGTTAGGAATGGAAACAGGGATCTTCCCGCATCATGACTCTTAGGGGTCTTTTTGTTGCCAACATGAACCGAGGAATGAACTATGGGCAAATATTACTTCAGAGATAATAATTAGTTTGCAGTTCTGCTTCCAGTTTTCCAAGACTGTATAGGAGGCAAGTAGAGATCATAGCTCATGAGAAAAAGTAAAATTTTAAAAAGTAAATTTATTATCCTGAATAGTATCTTGTTTATCCATTGACTAGGGTCCACATCCATTACATGCAAGAATTCCTTGCTCTGAACTTGTTAATTTATCCTGTGAAAGCATCTGGGAGTCAGGAAGAGAGGGGCCAGTAACTTCAGAGGATGTGAGAGGTGGCAGTGGGGTTGGGGCGTTCATTTGATGATGCAGAGTCAACAGTTTTGGGTACCTGGGATACTGGGCTTAGTGCAGCAGCTTTCTCTAAGACCCATGGAGACACAAGCAACTGTGCATGCTGTAGAGGCACATGGAACAGTGGAGTGGAAAGTGGAAGAGAGGGCAGTGGAGAGGAGCAGAGGGGAGTAGAAGGAGGTGCGGACTAAGAGCAAACTGGACCTGGTGGCTCCTGGTTCTACCATTGTCTGTTGGCAGCCAGGTTTCAGGAAGTCAAGGGGCTCAGTTCACTCATCAAAGCAAGAAAAGAACTGAACCATGTACCCTCGAAAATCTTGGCAATGATGTAGCAGAAATTTTGCAGGATTTGGCAGTGGAAAGTCCCATCTTGTAAAATATACCAGTAAAACCTATCTCATAGGGTTGTAGAGAGGATTAAATGAGAGAATCAAGACGGAAATCCTTAGTACAGTGCTACATCAGCGTCATCAACTGGTTTACGGCTCCAGAAGTGAAAGGAAAAGAATGAAGATGGAGAAAATATGCACTGAAGAAGATAAATAGTTTTTCTCCAGCAAAGATGAATCTGAAATATTAATGGCTAATGCTGGCTTCCCTGGAGCTAATGCACTATATTCAATATTTTTCACCACTGAGTATTTTTTAATGCATCAATAGGTAAGAGAAGCCAGACAGAAACATTTAGATCCTGGACAAACAATAAGGGAACTGGACATTCACGATGGTGTTTTGGCCTATGTGGATGGAATATGGAAATTCATCTTGTATTGCAGGGATCCAGAAACTTCTTGGACCCAGTGGTGATATAGGATAACTTCATCAACTTGGTGCTTGCTAAGAAAGGAGAAGGAGGATTTGGGCATGAGGCCTAACTGTCATCTTCTTGGGTTTGGAGATGATGACACCTCATCCATCTTGTGTCATTTCACAAAATGGCCAATCGCCTCCCTGCCTTGGAATTGGGTCAGGGAGCAGCCGTCCAAAGAGGCATTTGTTAACAGTGAAGAAGCAGTCAGCGCAGGTAGCAGGGGATTTATGCATTTGAGCCCAGGAACGCTGGCTGTGGGGGCGCACATCTGGCCACAAGATGCTCTCTGGCTGCCTTTTGGATGAAGAGGCTTGGTCAAAGGAGGTCATGGCAGGTTCACTTGGATTGCAAATG
Organism: Homo sapiens; assembly: GCF_000001405.40. Classification (NCBI taxonomy): domain Eukaryota; kingdom Metazoa; phylum Chordata; class Mammalia; order Primates; family Hominidae; genus Homo; species Homo sapiens. Next base: position 118,145,141 of record NC_000010.11, on the reverse strand, counting down.
GGGGGGCTACGGTGAAAGTAAACAAGCCGCTCTTCTGACTTCAAGCTTCTCCCGAACAAGGAGAAAAGAGGTGCGCTTGTGTGTATTTGCAAGATCACTGAACTATTTTTAAGCATTTGGAAACTCAAAGCTGACAAATCTCTCATCAGTCAATATTGAAAGTTTTGTGTGAGAACAATGACAATTAAAAAGCCACCCAAATCAAAAGAAAACTGTTCTAAAGTAATTACAAAAGGGGTTAAAGAAAAAAATACGTCCTTATGTGCTATTGGTTCTGCAAAGTAAGTCAACACTCTAGTCTACAGAATTCTTACACCATAACTTTTTCTGTTTTCCTCGACTAATTTTTAAAAATTATATTAATAAAAGATTTTCATGCATTTAATAAGGTTTCTTTCATTTGGTTTTATTCTTTCTGTTTTAAATTCAATATTATAAACTAGTAGTCAAGAGTATGAATAATAAAGACAGGAATTAAATTGATCACTCTGCAACTCTTCAAGTAGAAGGAAAGACATCCCCCAAAATGGTCAATGACTTGATTTGGGATTGAAGTTCCAAGGAAATCATTTATTTAATAAAATTTTTGCAGCAGTCACCAGTCTTAATGCCATATTAAAGAAGAAAAATGTGTTCAGCAACAAGACTGACTTTTTCCCATGTGCTTTAGGTTTTGAAAATACTGCTACGGAGATATCTTGATTTTGCATTCACTGGGCTTCACAGTTTGGGGACCCGTTTTTATATTCATTTTCTGGTGTAAAAAGTATACACCATGAGGGCCATATAAATCCACATGTGACTTCATTTTGACTTCTCATGGGGGACTCCCTCCAACCCCCATCCAGTGCCCCAGATAAAAAGACATGTCCTTGTTTCTTTTCTTCTAAGAACAAGATCTTTCCCTTCTAAAATTCCTTCCAAAGGTCTTAATTTCTAGCTTCTGACCCTGCTCGGGCCTTAAAACCCAAGGCCCCAGCTGTTAGGGCCTCTGTCTGGGTCCATGACCCTACAGCAGCCTCTCCACAGCTGGCAAACTTCTGCACTTGCTTTGCAAGTTTGCTATCAATTTCTGGCATGCAGAGATTTTCCTTTCTTTCTTTCAAGCTCAGCTATACATTTTTCAGTTTGTTAGATTGTTTTAATTTGTTTGCATTTTGCCCTGAATTTCAAGGGAATTGTAACAGACGGAGAGCTTCACATTGGCTCAGATCACTGAGTTGTTAAAACTAGAATCCCACAATAATGTTGATAAAATTCACTCTTCCAAAAGTTTCTTCAGATGGGTTTCTCATGAAATTGATTCTTATAATGTCACCTTATAATGCCATGTCTCTTTCTGTCACATGAATAATAATGTATTCTTGAAATTGGCCAGGCCTGATGGTGTCAGAGGAAGAATGTTGAAGAGGAGAAAGGGGTGAAGTATTACTCCTGCCCCTTCCTAGCCGTGTGACCTGGGACAAGCCACTGACCTCCATCTATTTGGTGGAGACAATAATGTAAGCTCCTCACAAATATGTGGGGGTATTAGAAAATTCAAAGACTGTTACTTCTTGTTTGGTTTTCACCAGTGGCCTTACCAGGGTTCCTGGCTAGGAAGCATGATGAGTCTAGAAGATCTACTAGTTTTGAGAACTGTAAAGATGAGAGTTATTCTGCAACATACAAGGAGTTTTTAGGGCAGAAAAAAAATCAATGTTCCCCTGGTATTTCTTGTACAGAAGTGTGGTTTTCTATGCTCACTATGAATTTGTGCAACACTTATCTCTCATGCCATGTAGGAATTAAGTCATCAAATGGAACCCCTATCCTAGGTCCACCCAGACAGATACCTGAATGCTCCATGCATAATTTCAGCCTGATTCATTTTCTTTTCTTTCTTTTTTCTTTCTTTCTCTCTCTTTTCTTTTTCTTTTCTTTTTTTTTTTTTTTGAGACAGGGTCTCACTCTGTCGCCCAGGCTGGCGTACAGTGGCACAATCTCGGCTCAATGCAACCTCTGCCTCCTGGGTTCAAGAGATTTTCCTGCCTCAGCCCCCTGAGTAGCTGGGATTACAGGTGTGCACCACCATGCCTGGCTAATTTTTGTATTTTTAGTAGAGATGGGGTTTCACCATGTTGACCAGGCTGGTCTCAAACTCCTGACTTCAAGTGATCTGTCCACCTCAGCCTCCAAAAGTGCTACGATTACAGGTGTGAGCCACCATGCCCAGCTCTGATGCATTTTCACTCCAAATAGTCCCCCTTGACCCTCCTTCATCAAGCTGGATGTGTGTTTGGAAGCAAAAACATTTTGTGTCAGAGTATAAAGCACATTGTTAATAAAGACAAAAGTACAATACAACCAAAGTGTAGGACCCAGAGTCAGAGCTTGGGATGCCAGAAAGAGTTGATCTCATCCACTTCCCCACACATGGAAGAGGAAGTGGGAACGTTTTCATACCATTGTTGTGTTTTCTTTTCTTAGGTGAACTTAAAAGAAAATGCCTTGGTTACCCAAGATTTTGGTCCAAGAGGAGAAAGTCTTCAGATACCTTCTAAGGAATCTTTCTATCTGGAAGAAGAGAAGTGTGTGAGAAGGGTTATCTTACTGAGAAAGACCCACTGGCTGGGCCATTCCAGGAGGGACAGTAGACCGCAGAAAAAGAAAGGGCCCATCCAGATTGCTGCGAATGCTTCAAATACATTCATGCTCTCAGAAAATATAGATAATTGTCATTTTCTTCTTCCATGCACTGTTTTATGTTTTCTAAATCTCCCAAAGTTAAACAAGTATTAAGAAAAACATTGAAATGGAGATAATGCAATAAGAACATAATCATTGTTGTCTATAATTCTAAACAACTCTTTAAAGAGACATTTGATTGAATGTCACTAAGTAAACATACAAATATGTAAACTTTCAAAATCTCTTATTAGGTCCTGAATGATAGATTTTCATCACAAAGATATATGAAATTTTTAAGCTCAAATAATTTATGTGTTTTAATTTAAGACATCTGCTTTTCATTTGACTAGTTTAAATACCTTCTGTACAATATTTAGATTCTTTATTTTTTTTACTCAGCATCATTTTTGTTTGACCATCCTTTCAGTTTGAGAAATTTTAAAAGTCCCAATACATTGAATACATAAATCATTTTTTAAAAAATACAAATTGACAACTCTGTCTTATCACACCACATTATTCCCCAAGCTGCAGGGTTAAGTTCTCAAAAGAGGTCATTCCTCATGTTCGTAAAATTGTTCTTGTCCTTGACAACAGAAGGAGAAAAGGAGACCAGTTCACAAAGTTACGTTTCCTTCCTTTGTGGCTCTTCGAGCATTTGCTCTACCTTTCCAGATTCAAGCACTTCTACTGAGGGCGATAACATTTAACCAACATGTGCAAGCCTCCACTAGGTACAAAGTGCTATTCTAGCTAACGTGGCGGATTATAAATAAGACACAGTTAAATCATCGAGGAGTTTATGATTTACTAAGGGAGACAGAGATGTAACTAATTCATCTGATTAAGGCAATATGTAGTAAGTGCCTTGATAAGGTGACAAAGAAAAATGGGATTGCAGTTCAAGAAAACATGAATTCTAAGTATGGAAGGAGGAGTGAAGGAGGGGGAAGTCATCCAGGCCAGGGTTTGAAGGGTAACTGGTAGGAGATGTGCACTCCAAAATGAAAGGCTATATAATGAGAAGAAAGAACTAAGCTGAGAGAGACAAGAAAATTTACAGCAGGTACAAGGAATGGCAAGAAGACTGTGTGGTTGGCTTGTGGAGGTAGGTTTAGGAAGGTTGCAGTGAAAGATAAAATTGGAAAGAAACTTTGAGTCAGACTCCGAAGAGACAGAAATAGCATATTAGAAGGTTTGAAGGTTTTTTTAGATGATGGCAGAAGATGGGCATTGAAGGTTTTTAAGCATGAAAATTACATGATCAGATCTGCACTTAAGGACAATAGCTCTGGCCAACAGTCAGGGAAATGCGTTAGAGGAAGAACACATCGGAGACCAGTTAAGAGGATATTGCAATGGTCCAAGTAAAACTTTAAAAATGACCTGAATTAAGACAGCAGTAGAGAACACAGGAGAAAAGGAATAGCTGTTTCAGAACCTTGAAGAAGATGGATGGATAACTTAGAGACCCATTAGATGCTAGAGAACGAGAGATCATAGCTGAACCCCAGCTTTTATACTTCAGGAACCAGAATGGTGGTTTAACTATCATCAACTTTAATAATTGGAATAACTGAGGCTACTAAGGAAAAGCTTCTAAATCTTGGAAATAAGCTTCAGAAATTACTGCATGCCTTTTTAATGTACTATTGGAGTATTGTGTCACAATATTGGACTCTAAGGAAATGTAACTTTGTTTGCCTTACTATTACTGTTGACTAGGACTCAGAATCAGTAAGGTTATGTTAATTTATAGACTTTTATAAGTTGCAAATGAATTTTGTATGGTACAGACACACAGGATTTCTGTCCAGTAGAAAATAGAAACCTAAAGGTAATGATTACATCGACCTGTGGGACATTAAACAATTTTACATCTGATTTAGCACTCTTAGGCCAGCATTCTTTTTTCATACCCTCTTAGAACCTGATTTGTCATTCTACTGGTTCCCTCATTAATGATTTGAATAAATACTTGACATATGCTCACTCTATACTATATATATTTTATTATAAATGTTTTTAACTTCTTGGTAATTATATATTGATAGGGCCTGAAACCAGTAATATGGAAATACCAATGCTTTCCTTGCAGTAGTAGGCAAATCAATATATTAAAAATTGTCCCAAAAGAGGATTTTAACAACCAGGAGACACTAAAGTATGTTTTGATTGAGAAGACAATGTATCCTAAATATTTAGTTGTCCAAAACCCTATACAAGGCTCACTAAAAATATTTCCCATTAGCACAATTTACTACCATCTGATAATATTGCAATGATGGTAGCTATGTCTTTGCCCACATTCTTAATTATTTAAATAGATAATTTATTTAATTAAATAATTATTTCTTAGATATTAAATATTATTTACTTAAATAATTAAGGACAGATTACCAGGATAGGATTGTCTATTCTAGGGATATGCACATTTTTCTAAGGCTTTTTATATGAACGATCTAATTCTACTGTAATCTATATTCCTACCAAATGGTGTATGTGAATATTCATATCCCTAAACAACTAGCATCAACTAGCATTATCTTTTCTTTGTTTAATCTATACCAATTGAATAACAGAATAATAGTTTTAAGATGTCTCAGCTGACAGAGAAAACCTCAGCCCCTCCAAGCCCGTTGTTTAAAAGCACGTAAAATATATCATCATAGAACGAATAAATGCATAACCAAGCCAGAAATTAGTCAAGGAAAGCACCTGGAAGCCAACTTCTCCAAATAGCAGCACTGAGTGAAAGCAGAAGCAGGGGAGCTCATGGGAATGGGAGATGGGCCTGGGTGGGGAGGGGCTCCAGAGTCCCCACCAGAAGGCAAGGGTAGGGTATAGTTCCCCATCATGCCCAGATATTGAATGATGCTGTGTGCATAAAGCCAGGAGAAAGAAAGAGTAGCCAGTTCCTTGTCAACTATGTGGGACTGTAAGTGGGAAAATGAGTCATCTCCAGGAACTAGAACAGGACTATACCACATACCAATGTGGTGTCAGACTCCATATACTCATTTGGTACAATAATTCAAAACTGAAAATTTAATTTAAAAAGTGACTCTAGAGCAACAAAGTCTATGGGTAGCTACAGAAATAAAAGCTAAACCACTGTGTGAGGATAATTTTACAAAATAGTAATGAGACTTCCAGGAAAACAACCACTACTGGCCGGGTGCAGTGGCTGACGCCTGTAATCCCAACACTTTGGAAGGCCGAGGTGGGCGGATCACCTGAGGTCAGGAGTTCAAGACCAGCCTTGCCAACCCCATCACTACAAAAATACAAAAATTAGCTGGGCATGGTGGTAGGTACCTGTAATCCCAGATACTCAGGAGACTGAGGTGGGAGAATCGCTTGAACCCAGGAGGTGGAGGTTGCAATAAGCCAAGATCATGCCACTGCACTCCAGCCTGGGTGACAGAGCGAGACTCCATCTCAAAAACAAACAAACAAACAAACACTACTAAAGATGATTTCACAACAGAAAATTACAAACCACATGGGGAAATAAACCACGATGGAGGAAGAGGAGACCACATAACCATGGGAATTATGCACTCCAAATACTGGATATAAAATAATAATTTGAAATAATCTTGAGACTATCCAAGGAGTTAAGGAAGTCAAAGAAGCCATAAGATATAAGCAGAGCACTATTGAGAGAGACAGAGAGAGACAGAGAGAGAGAGAGAGAGAGAGAGACAGAGAGTCAGAGACAGAGAGATAGAGAGAAGGCAGGTTTGAAAATAACCAAAAATGGGCCGGGCATGGGAGCTCACACCTGTAATCCCAGCACTTTGGGAGGCTGAGGCGGGTGGATCATGAGGTCAGGAATTCAAGACCAGCCTGGCCAAGATGGTGAAACCCCGTCTCTACTAAAAACACAAAAAATTAGCCAGGAGTGGTGGCAGGCATCTGTAATCACAGCTACTCGGGAGACTGAGGCAGAGAATTGCTTGAACCCAGGAGGGAGAGGTTGTAGTGAGCTGAAATCATGCCACTGCACTCCAGCCTGGGTGAAAGAGCGAGACTCTGTCTCAAAAAATAATAAATTAATTAAAAAAATAAATAATAAATAAATAAAAGTGAAAATAACCAAAGTGGAAATTTCAAAAACAAACCCATTCAATTTACAGGATAAATATTATATTAGCCACAGCTATACCAAAACTCATATCCAGAAAATTGATAGTGTAAAAACCAGTTATCTGATTATAAAGCAATTGAGTCATAAATCCAGTATAAAAAGATAGTTTCAAACATTGGAAATGAAAAAAAGGTCAATCATAAATCATCCATATATTATACAAAAAAAAGTCATAATGGAAATTATGAAATATTCAGATATAAATAATAGCAAAATTCTCCATATAAAAACAGGTGGGACACAACTTAAAGAAATGCTTAAGGTGAAATGTGTAGACTTAAGCATATTTATTGAAAAATAATAAAGGATGGGGATAAGCAGGAGCTATTTCATTTAAAAAGCCAAAAAAATAAAAAAACAAAAAGCAGAATTAATGAAATAGAACACCAAGGAAAAAGAATCAAGATTATCAACAAAAAAATTAGCTGCTTTAATAAATATTAATAAAATAGGCAAATATGTATAAAGATTGTTCAAAGCAAAAAGAAAGCACAAATAGTATTAAGAATCAAAAAAGTATGCACCTACAGATGGAGATATTTAAAATTATATGAAGATACTACAAAAATTATATGCCAACAAATTAGAAAGAAATAGATAAAATAAGTAATTTTCTTTAAGAATGCAAAGTATTTGAACATATCATACTCTACAAGCAAAATCCAAGGTACTCTATAGACAAATGATTAAAAGAAATAAGAGAGCTTAGTGGGGCTGTTGACTACAAGATCAAAATATACAAAAAAGTCACTTTTCAATATACAACAACTAACCAATTGGAATATGAAAAAGAACAAAATCATGGCATTTACAATGACAGTAAAATCTATAAGGAACCTGGGAATAAATGAAACAAAGATGTATAATAAGGTCACGGAGAAAAGGGGAGGCACCACTGAAGATTATAGAAAAGCTGTGATCAAGTGAAATCCATGTTAACAGATTCATAGACTCAATATTATAAAGATAACAATTTCTGATCTTCATCAAAACTCCAATGGGATATCTCAGTCCACTAGGGCAATCACTCCAAGTTCATTCAAAAAGTAAAGATCCAAGAATAATGAAGAAACTCCTAGAAGTGTAAGAGGGCGGGAGAGTGGGAATAATAAGAAGAAAAGATTTGTTATACTGAATATTAAGTCTACTGCAAGTTATAGTAAGTAAAACAGTTTGGAGGTGGTAGGGGACCTGTAAACAGATTGATAGATTGGAAAGCACAAAACAGAGCAGAGCATAAATGAGAACTTGGAATGTGACCAATGTGACATTGCAAACAGCAGGAAAATGATGGACTGTACAGTTAATAATGTTAGAGATAGCTGCATGTCTGTGTTATTAAAAATGATCTTTACCTCATGACATACACAAAAACTAAATTCAAGATAAAGAATGAACATAAAATTACAAAACTATACAAACCACAAATATAAAATATAGTCAAATGCCTTTAGAGTGGGAAAGCATTTCTTAATGACGAGTACAAAAAGCACAATATATTAAGAATAGGATAATAAATTTGGCCAAATCAAAAAATAAAACATCTACAAGACTAAAGACATCATAAACAAAGTTATAAGGCCAGCTTTTGACTAGGAAGTCTTTTCTATACATATGACAAGAAAATCCTTAGTGCTCAGAATAACCTACCAATCAACAAGAAAAAAACACCCTCCAGTAGAAAAAATGGCTTAATAATATGAACAGGCAATTCATGAAAGACGAAATTTAAATGGCCAAGAAACACTTAAAATTTTCCATTAACTCACTAGTAATTACAGAAATGCAAATTAAAATAATAATTAGACACCATTTCAGATTAGCAAAAATGTCAAAGTTTGACATATCTAAGCACTGGTGAGGATTTTGAGAAATACTGCTGATGTAAATTTAAAAAATCACTTTAGAGAGCAGTTTGTTAGCATCAGGCAAAACTCAAGAGGTCCATCCCCTAAGATCTTGCAACCCAATTTCGAGAGACACTCTTGCATATGCATACAAAGAATGTTCATTGCAGTATGTTTATCAGTAAAAGCTTAGAAATGACTAAATATTCACAAGTAATTAATAAATAAATTGTGGTATATTCATACATTGAAATAAAATCAAAACTAAAATAAATGAACTGTATCTAGATGCCCTGATATGGTTTAGCTGTGTCCCCACCCAAATCTCATTTTGAATTAAAATTCCCACAATTCCCAGGTGTCCTGGGAGGAACCCAGTGGGAGGTGATTGAATTATGGGGGCAGGTCTTTCCTGTGCTGTTCTCATGATAGTGAATGAGTCTCATGAGATCCAATAATTTTAAAAAGGGAAGTTTCCCTACACAAGCTCTTTTGTCTGCTGCCATGTGAGATGTGCCTTTCACCTTCTGCCATGATTATGAGGCCTCCCCAGCCGTGTGGAACTGTGAGTCCAATAAACCTCTTTCTTTTGTAAATTGCCCAGTCTTTGGTATGTCTTTATCAGCAGTATGAAAATGGACTAATACATGCTCCATTATGAATTTATCTCAAAAACAAAACAATAAGTAAAAAGAGGCAAGATCATATATTGTCAGATATAGTATGATAGCACTTATTTATGAAGTTTGGAAAACATCAAGCTGATACTCTACCTATCATGTTTTATATATAGCAGCTGTATAGTAATAATATTAAAACACAGACTCAAAGTATATGCACCAAGTTCTTTTTAATGGCTGTATCTCAGGAGCAAGGGACAAAGATGATAGACCTGAGAAGTTTTTGGTTTCATTTGTAATGTTCTTTTTCATACACACACATACAGAGTAAAAATGACAAAATGTTATTTCTGGGTGATAAATACATAGACATTTTTCACATTATGCTTTTTACATTTCTATTTTTTATTTTACATTAAAAATAAGCAAAATAGAATGTTGTTTTGATTGCACTTCTTTGCTTATTAGAAAGCTGAAAAGTTTTAAAATATGCTATCAGCCATTTCTACTTTTTCCAATGGAATTGTTTGTTAATATCCTTGGTCTCTCTTTTATTGGAGTTGTTTCAGGTTTTTTATTTTAACTCGATTGTAAATAATATTTTTTCTATTTTCGATATGGTAACCCTTTGGCTGTCATGCAGATTGAAAATATCTTTTCAGTTTATTGTTTGCTCTTACTTTTATTTAGGTTATTTATTGACTTTCGGAAACTTACAATTTTTATGTAATCACATCTATCAAACTTTTATTGTTTTCACAAGATCTTTCTAAACAGTCATCAAAATTCTCATCTCATGTTTTTATGACTTTAACATTTAAGTATCTGAAACATGATAAGCACTATATTGATATTTATTATTGGATAGAATCTTTAATATGGATAGAATTTAGTTTGATACATGTCATAAGGTAGAAAAAATAAATCTAAGTTTATTTTTTCAAACAACAGTTAGCAGTTCATTCAGCACCATTCATACCAATTTTTAAAATAGTGCTAATTTTTCACATGTACTATGTTCCACATACAGTCTCTTTCTGAGTTAGCTATTCTGTTTTATTTATCTGTCTTGCCTATTTTGGTACCACATTCCTAATTGTTGCAGCTTCACAGTATATTTTAACAGCCGGAAGGTCAACTTCCTCTTCTTTTTCTATCAGTTGTTTTTGTTTATTCTTAAGCATTTATTCTTCTAATGAATTTTAAATCAATATGTTAAGTCCTCCCACCCCAAATGCTGTTGGGATTTAATTGGAATTGCATTTTATTTATTGACTAACTTGAGAAGTGTCCTTATCTGTACAATCTTGCACCATCCCACCCAGGAACAAGGCATTGCTCTCCATCTATTGAGGTCTGTTTTAGGCCTCCCTTCAAGTTTGGTGGTTTTTCATCAAATAGATCCTGCATGAGTAAATATTTGTTTATATATATATATGTTTATATATATATATATATATACACAAAATATGAGCTTCTTTTATTATCCTTTCATAATAAATATTGCTAAATAAAGCAAAGCCATATTTATATTTGTTTTGCAATCAGGTCTCTTACTGAACTTAATTGTAATAGATTTTTCAGACTATTCTTTCAGAATTTATAAATGTGTCATTTATAAATGATGAAAATTGTTTCTAATGAACTCATTTTTAAAATTTTGTTTTAATGCACTAGCTAAAACATCCAGTGGCTATCTTTGTTTTCTCCCCTATTTTAATGGAAATGCCTCTACTATATATAGCACCATTAATATGATGATGGCTAGTGTTTCGGAAGAGTTATTAAGTATAACTATTGATTTTTGCCAGATTTTTTTTGGTATCTGTTGAGATGGCCACATGATGTTAATCCTTTGATCAACTGATCCACTCTATTATAGTCATGTATTTCTCAGTATTAAACCTATTATATATTCCTGGAATAAATTATACTTGATCATTTTTTAACATATTGCTGAAATTAAGGTTTTGATTTTCTTTACACCTCATAAGTTACTAGTATAGAACTTTTAATTTCAGGAGCTTATAAAAATTTTGATTGAAGCATTTGCTATTAATATTTTGATTTAATTGCATTGTAGCCAGAGGAGGTAGCCTATGCTACTTCTACTTTTAGAAATTTATTGATGTTTTCATTTAGGACAAATACAGAGTCAATATCTGTCAATGTTTTATGGGTGTACACACACACAAAACGGCATTCTTTTAGGTTAAAGTTCTACATATAGCTATTAAGTCAATCATATAATTACATTGTTCAGATCCCTAAATTATTATTTATATAAAATACTGAGAAAAAATATGTAAAACAGTTTCTCTACTAATATATTTATGTTCAATATTTCCTGTATTTAACAAGCTTTGTGTTATATCTTTTTATATATATACTTTAAGTTCTTTTTTCAAAAAAAGTACCCTCCTATTTAATGTTTTGTCTGTACTGAATTTTATTTTACATGACTCTTCTAGGTACTTTGGAGCTTTGGCATCCGTACAATCTAAATTAAGTTGCTCAGCCTCTTGCATGGGACTTGCAAAGAGGTGAGGAACAATGGACACAAAATTCCCACACATGCCTCTCTCCCGCTTCCACGCTTGTGATGGAACGGTGGTTCTCAAACTTCCACATGCATCAGAAGGCCCTGGAGGGCTTCTTACAACACAGATTGGGGGACCACCCCCAGAGTTTTTGATTCAGTAGATCTGCAGGGAGGCCTGAGAAACTGCCATTTTAACAAGTCCCCAGGTGATGCTGATGCTGGTCCCACGACCACACTTTAAGGACCGTTCTTATTTAGGAAAGGTCTAAGAAATCCTCGAGGTGACGAATCAGGGGTTAGGACTTCTTTGGAGAGAGTTGGTGGGGGTGCAGTTCACCCTCACCCCACGGAGAAGTGCTGCTCCTTCACTCAGAGGGTTGACTGGGACCCCTGTGTGCTTCCTGCCCAGGAAACACGAAGTCAAGAGCCTGTGGCTGAGGGTGCCTTTACCTGGCGGGACAGCCTGTGGTCAAAACTGTCAGGGGGACATCCTAAACCTCCAGACTTGGGCAGTGAACAGACATGGGCAGTGTGTTCCTGAGAGCCAGATGTGGACATGCAGAAAGGAGCTGGACTTGGGTCTTAGAGCAAGGTCGACTGAGGGACCAAAATGGCCCCAGCAGAGAGGGACAATTCCACAACCCAGGGAAGTTTTATTTGTGTTGTCTTTTTGTCTGTATGAACCATGATTTCTTTCTTTTTTTTTCCGAATAATTTGGAATACATATATAGAGCTTATTTTAAACATTATTAGCAGTTGTTTTAAAATTAAAAAAAACTTGACTGACCTCCTGTTTCTGGATTTTAATAATTAAACACTATCCATGGGTGTCCTCATTTTCCATCTTTATGCAGAATTAGGAAAGCAGCATATAATTAACTTCTTTTTTCTGCTCCAATCATTGTTTACAGTATATACATTTCCTTTCACAAATTATCACATTTGCATTTATTTGTAATTATATTCACAAAGTTATTTACTTTTAATGCAGTTAATTCATACCAATACTTTCTTATTTATGTGATTTATAAGTTCCTTTCTTAGATGTAGAACATCTTTAAGGTTCTCGGTTTGTTTGTTCCGGGAGGATTCTTCTGGGTTTGCTTTTGGTTTTTCAGGAAGGTTTCATAGATACATTAGGGACATCTGCACAAGAGGCCATCTATACCCTGGCGTTTGGTTTTACTTCTGTTTCTAAAGGGACTTGGCCCATCCTTTTACCATCAATTCTCTGTGCTTGAAATCTTTATTTTGAGTCATCTTGGTGAGCTAGATTTCATCATGAATTTTTTTTTTTTGAGATGGAGTCTCGCTCTGTCGCCCAGGCTGGAGTGCAGTGGCGCAATCTCGGCTCACTACAAGCTCCGCCTATCGGGTTCACGCCATTTTCCTGCCTCAGCCTCCTGAGTAGCTGGGACTACAGGCGCCCACCACCATGCCTGGCTAATTTTTTGTATTTTTAGTAGAGACGGGGTTCCTCTGCATTAGCCAGGATGGTCTCGATCTCCTGACCTCGTGATCCGCCCGCCTCGGCCTCCCAAAGTGCTGGGATTACAGGCGTGAGCCACCGCGCCCGGCTCATCATAAGTATTTTTTTAAGAGGGGCTCTGGGGTTCCAATATCTGCCTGTTTCCAGACAGTTTCGATGGGTGTAGTATTCATGGGTCTTTCTTGCGGTTGGATCATGCCGTACACCTTTCCATCTTCCTCTGGCAGTGAATCCTGCTGTGGCCAAGTCTGAGACTGGTTGGATTTCCCTCTGTGCCACTCCCACCCTGTGGAGAAGTTCTCCTTTCTTTATCTTTGAAATTAAGTAATTCATCCAGACAAATACAGATTCTCCATGATCTTCAAAGAGCTTTACTTTTATTAAATCTCTGAATGTTCTAGGCTCTGAACAGTACTATAGGTTGCAGAATCTCTCGCTTTTCCCCAACCACCTTCACATTCTGCTCTGCCTCCTACAAATTAGGGGAATCTGCCAAGATTTCCTCTGGCCTGCAGCACCTCTGAGAGGGAGTTGTGACTTGCAGCTTGCTTCTCTCTAGTCCCTCACTTTATGCCTAGCATAAGTTCCTTGAAGCTTGTAGCATTTCGACTGCACGTGTCTCTATCAGAATGAATGCAGGTTCCCCCACTGTTGCTTCCCTTTATGTTTTCTATTAGCTGACATGTTTGCTACAAACTTAAACTACAATATGAATATTCTAGCATAGCTCATTATTCTGTTGATGAGGTTTTCTAGACATTTTCTTCATTTCAATTTCTATTTACTCGCCATCTTTCAGACATTCCTAGTTCCAAATAAAAGTGAAAAAAAAAAGATTATGCAATTTGAATCTGCTTGCTATAAGAGAAGTTTTGCCCATTCATCTTATCTTTCACCCATTCATCCAACTGGGGGACACGCACTGTGCTAAACATTGGGAATAATAAGGTAAAACCCAAAACTTAGCTAAGGAAAAAGATAAATGCATTAAAAAATTAAAATACCACATGTTAAACTCTATCAGAGAATTTAAGAATTTTAATTTATTCTAAGAGCAGTGGGATTGTACTGGAAGGAGAGGTTCATTCTGTCTAGGGGAATCTGGGAGAAACGTGACATTTATTGAGTACTTATAATATACCAGATACTATATTAGCATTTTAATTTTATTATCACATTTAATCTTCAAATATGCCTACGAGACAAGTATTGTTACATCCTTTTTACAGCTGAGGAAACCAAGGTTTATTTAGGGGCAGTAAGTAATTTCAGCACAAATGGTTAATTGTAGAAAAGTCTTTGATTCCAGCTCCATCTGACTCCAAAGCCTGAGGTCTTTCCAATACAGAGATTGACTCATCTTGGAAGGTGAAGGGAGACTTTAGAGGGAACTCTGTGTGGGCACATGCACATGTGTATGTAAGCGGAGGTGTGGAGGTGAGTGGGCAAACCTGTGGTTTTTATGTGCTTGGTTATATTTGGTTTATGCTCATGTACAATTCAGAATTATGAATTTCATCTTATCTTAGAAATAAATGATGGGATCAACATTATTCCTTTAATGCATTGATCATTTACAAATTTTAGATCCACTCAGTGACCCTGGGAAAGAGGCTGGGTTTTATTTGTGTCTGAAAAGTTGACATACCTGGAATATGAAACCATGGCTAGTTTAGAAGACTGAATTCCAAATCCTGCAATTTAGAAGTATCCAGGATATCCCCTATTCTGGCCCCCAGATATTATAGGAATTGGTGGCCTGAGTGAGGAATGTTCACAGTCAGAATCCTGAGGAATGCAAGGTCCCCTTTTTTTTCAAAATGAACTACTTGAAATTAATTTCTATAAAAAGATTAACAACTTTAATTAAATCCCATATTTTAAGTCTTAGAATAATATTGTTTAAGAAATACTTAATCATTTTATTTTGTTGTGTTGGATTAGGTATTTAAAGACAGAAGACTCCAGGCTCCGATTAGCTGCTGCCAAAAATTAATTTAAGTAACCTAATTGACTACTTGCTTTAAGCTACATAGCCTTGGTGCTTAAATAATTTAATTCCTTGCAAAGGCAGGTATGAGCTTTATACCCTCTTATAAAACAATATTAGATCAATCTATTGCCAAATACTGAATATCTACCCAGTTAAGCTCTGCCCTAGCACTTGGTGTGCCCACAACACACATTGTCAGCTCTCACACAGGTGCTCCAGAAATGTTTGCTTCTGATTAGCGGAGGATACAAACAAAACCAAGACCCTGCCATGCCCTCAATAAGCTCATATTTGGGAGAAACAAGATCTGAAGGAGATATAAAAGGTAATATATAATTAAAAATTAAATGGATGACTCAGACCATGAATTCAGAGGAGAGCGAGCGAGACTGCTATCAATGTAAAGGTTGAGAGAGCTTCGTCGAAAAGAAACAAATGGATCAGGCTGTGTTTCTTGGCTTTGAAACAAGAGAGAAGGAAAGAATGGGAGGAGAGGGAAGTGAGAAAGTGGAAAGAAAAAATAATGTGCCATTTGGAGCTTAATACATACTCTCTTGTGCTGTTAGCTATTTTCTATATGCCTATGACTTGAATCTCCAACTGAAGGGAGGAATTGTACAGAACGGTGATGATGATGATGATGACAACGCTAACACTTACTGAGCTCTTACTATGACCTGTGGAGCCAGCCAAACACTTTACATATATTATCTCATCTGGTCTTCACAACAACTCTGAGAGGAAACATATACCAAATAAGCTCTAAGAGGTTCAGTAACCTCCTCTGATCACATACCTACAAAAACACAAAGCAGGAAGCCAAATCCAAGCCATCAGATTTCAGGGCTGGTAGTCTCACTGGCTGAGTGGTTCTTCTTTGAATTTCCTAAAGCTGTTAATATAGGGTCTTATACAAAAAGGTGCCTGGTGTATTTCCATCTGCTGATTTGCTGACTCACCAAAGTGAAGGATATTTGATGAAGAACAATACAGAGGGAAAGGAAAAGTCAGATAAGAATGGATTCTGGAGGGCTCTGAAAGCCAGGTCGAGGGATTAGAAAACAAGGAGTCTTCAGAGATGCTGCAGCTGAGTTTGGACAAAAGGCCACCTTTCAGGCCCTGGCTTTGTCATTGAATCGTCCTCTCTATAGATCACTCTTTGCCCCCATACAAAGGGAGCAGATCAAAAAAAATCTACTCTTGGTAAATAATAACAACAGCTCCTTTGGGTGGGGTGTCTCTTCCCAGTTTCCAAAGCGTTTCACTGCAGTGCCCTGAACAGGTTCCATCTCTGGCTTCTAACAGTCTGTTTTTTCCCCTAGATTCAATTTCTTGAAAAAGAGAGAAACTCTCCTACCTTTCTTTTTCTCTCATGGAATAATCTAATCACCCTCTGAGTTTACCTGAATAGTTGTTTTTTTCCCAAATAGTTTACAAGTTCGTGTTAATCATTTGGGTCACTTATTATTTCATTCAATATATATTTACTGAGGGCTTACTATGTGTCAGTTTAGAGACACAAAATTAAGCAAGAGAGACCCAGTGCTTGCTCTTGTTGAGTTCTTGGTCTAGCTGGGAATACAAGCATTAACCAAAGAATTACAATCTAGAGTGATGATTGTTTGGAAGCAGAAATGCAGGGGCACTGGGGTAGCTTATGATGGGAGGGGGACCAAGGAAGTTAGGAAGGAACTGGCTTCCTGCTGGAAGTGCCATTTAAATTAAACCATGGAGGAAAATTGAGACGTGAGTAAACTAAGGAGGTGTGTGTGTATGTGTGTGTGTGTGTGTGTGCCTGTGTGTGTGAGAGAGAGAGAGAGAGCGTGGTGAATGCAAGAGGAAGCTGTTTGAATGTTTGGAGGCAGAAGAAGTGACAGATGGAGGAAGGGGAAGGGAGGTTTTGTGTGTTTCAGGCAAGGAGAAAAGTCTGTACAAAGGCCCGAGCATGAGGTAGAGCCCCAGTGTGTTCAAAGGACTAAGAAAAGTCTAGTGATGGGGGCAGTAGGTGTGAGAGAGCAAAGGTGTGAGTGGTTTGAAAGTGTTTGAACAGGTTGGTGAGGCCAGCATCTACAGGGCTTATAAACCATGTAAAATGGGTTGGGCTTGATTTTCAGGTCATGGGAAGGCATTGAAGGGCTTCTGGCTGGGGTGACATGATCAAATTTGCAGTTTTTAGCATCCCTGACTATTTGAAAGGAGAATGGCTAGAGAAAGATGTGAATGAATGGAAACAATGGAGAGCAGGCAGGAGGCTGTTGCAACCATTCGTGGAAGAGACACTGGGGGCATAGGGGACAGAAAAAGTGGCTGGAGCCCAGGCAAGGTTAGGGTTAACAGGAAGTGGTGATAGATTATGCAGGAGAGGGGTCCCTGATATCTCCTAGATTTCTAGATCAAGGAACGGGCTCTTCACACTTTGCATGTCATCTCATTGCTTGTGTATCTTCCCATCTTCCTCCTGCACGCAGGAGAGAGCTACCCAGAAGCGTGCAGCAGGAAGATGGGCCATTTGCCTAAGAATTCATGCTTGCTGAAATATTAACTAGCTAGTAGTTTCCTCTGGTGATCCCTAAAAATTCTTATTTAGGAATTTATTATCCAGGAAATGAGAATATTCTGTACATTCCTTTCAAGGGACCCTCCATAAGGCAGAGACTTACTGAAAGCAAGCTTTATACATTCCTGGTGTCTTTCCACCCATTGAGATCAAAGTCCTCAAGAGTCATTGGTTTGGGTTATAATGATCATTCAGAGTTTAAGTAAAAATTAATGAAGCACACATTTTTATTCAATGTAAGGAAGGACTTTTCAAAAAGGAAATGAGCTGCCTCAGGGGCAAGCGCTGTTCACTCCTAAGGACTAAGCTCAAATATCACCTCCTAAGATGCCAGCCCAGAGTCCGCCAGGCAGAGTTCAACATTCCATTCTCCTTGCCCCTGCACATTGTTTATTCCTCCACCATCATGCTCACTTCCTCTTATTATATCTTATTACAAAAGAATGTGAATACAGTAAAGTTTTGGGAATTTACATACAGAAATAAGTAGCATTTCAATACCCCAATAACAATCTAGCAGAGGACCAAATTGAGAAGGCAATTCCAATTACATTAGCTACCAAAAAAATATATTTAACCAAGGAGGTGAAAGATCTCTCTAAGGAGAACTACAAAACACTGATGAGAAATTATAGATGACACAAACAAATGGAATAACATCCCGTGCCAAGAATTGGAAGAATCAATACAATTAAAATGACCATACTGCCCAAATAATTTACAGATTCAACACAATTCCTATCAAATTACCAATGTCATTTTTCACAGAATTAGAAAAAACTATTCTATAATTCATATTAAACCAAAAAAAAAAAACCCTAATAGCTAAAACAATCCTAAGCAAAAAGAGCAAAGCCAGAGGCATCACATTACCTGACTTCAAGTACACTACAAGGCCATAGTAACCCAAACAGCACAGTACTGGTGTAAAAATACATAGATCAATGGAACAGATGAGAGAACCCAGAAATAAAGCCACATATCTACAGCCAACTGATCTTAGACAAAGTCAACAAAAACGTACACTGGGGAAAGGACATCCTATGCAATACATGGTGCTGGGACAATTGGATAGCCATATGCAGAAGGATGAAACTGGACCCATACTTGTCACCATGTACAAAAATTGACTCAAAGTGGATTAAAGACTTAAAGGTAAGACCTGAAACTATAAAAATCCTAGAAGAAAACCCAGGAAAACTTGTTCTGGACATAGGCCTAGGCAAAGAATTTATGATCAAGTTCTCAAAAGCAAACACAACAAAAATAGACAAATTGAGACTTAATTAAACTAAAAACTTTTGCACAGCAAAAGAATCAGCAAGGTAAACAAACAACCTAAGGATGGGAAAAAATATTTGCAAACTACACATCTGACAAAGGGCTAATATTTAGAAACTACAAGAAATTCAAACAACTCAACAAGGAAAGAAAAACCAAATAACCCCAATACAAAGTGGGCAAAGGATATAAGCAGAGAGAAGATATACATCAGCCAAAAAACATATGGAAAAAATGCTCAACAGCACTAATTATCACAGAATACAAATTAAAGCAACAGTAAGATACCATCTTATACCAGTCAGAATGGCTATTATTAAAAATCAAAAAGCAACAGAGTTGGCAAGGATGTGGGGAAAAGAAAATGCTTGTACACTATTAGTGGGAATGGATAGAGTTCAACCTCTATGGAAAACAGTGTGGAGAATCCACAAAGAACAAAAAAAATAGAACTACTCTTTGATCCAGCAATCTCATAACTGGTATATACCCAAAGGGAAAGAAAACACTATATCAAAAAGTTATCTGCATTTGTATGTTTATCACAGCACTATTCACAATAGGAACATGGAATCAACCTAAGGTCAACCTAAGTGCCCATGAGTGCAGGACTGAATGAAGAAAATGTGGCATATATATATGAATACTATGCAGCCATAAAACAGAATGAAATCATGTCTTTTGTAGTGACATGGATGGAACTGGAGGCCCTTATCCTAAGTGAAACAACTCAAAACAGAAAATCAAGTACTGCATGTTCTCACTTACAAGAAGTGGGAGCTAAAGAGTGGGTACAAACGGACATACAGAGTAGAGTAATACACGTTGGAAACTACAAAAGACGGGAGGATGGGAGAGCAGCTGAGGGGTGGAAAAATAACCTGTTGGGTACGGTATTAGTCTGTTCTAACACTGCTATAAAGAACTACCTGAGACTGGGTAATTTATGAAGAAAAGAGGTTTAATTGACTCACAGTTCTACAGGCTTAACAGGAAGCATGACTGGGAGGCCTCAGGAAACTTACACTCAGGGGAAGAGGAAGCAAGCACCTTCTTCACATGACAGCAGGAGAGAGAGAGCAAAGGGGAAAGTGCCACACACTTTTAAACCACCAGATCTCATGAGAACTCACTCACTGTCACAAGAACAACAAGGGGGAAATCTGCCCCATGATCTACTCACCTCCCACCAGGCACTTCCTCCAATTCAACATGAGATTTGGGCAGGGACACAAATCCAAACTGTGTCAGGTACAGTGTTCACTATTCAGGTGATGGATGCACTAAACACCCAGACTTCACCACTATGCAATATATGCCTGGAAGATATCCACACTTGTACCCCCTAAATATATAATAATTAAAAAAAATGTTAAAAGACTGTGAATACCTATTTGTATCCACATTGTGCCCTGGCATATAGAATATTGTCAAATATTGACTCAAATATTTGACAATATATGAGTCAATATCACTCATATAGTCAAATATTGACTGTATGAGTGAATGAATGAATGAATGAGTGATGTTAGTTTAAAGACTGAGTGATTCCCACACAGCTGTGATGTGAAGAAATTCAAGTAACAGCTAAGGGGTTGGAATGATAAGACTTTCAGTATCTCTTTTATAGAAGCCAGCACCCTTCTTAGCCATGAGCAGCCTCCACTCTTACGTTGAAGCCCTCATCCCTTGTGATCATGAGCCAATGCCACAGAAACCTTCTCTGATCTTCTGGAACCTGAGCCTGAATCTTCCCACTTGCTGCCTCACTTGTAAAGCTTTCACTTCATAATCAGTTTTTATTACCAATTTGGATTTGACAATAAGGGCAGTCCTTTCTTCTCCTGCAGGTGGGTGCCAGGGACACTGTTTCACTCCTCTTTGCTCTGTACTTTTCAGTCAAGGACTGATTTCCCACACACACACCTAAGCCTGGTCTCAGCATACAGAACCCAGGTAAGAGCCCCGGCTCTCTTCTAAGAAAAGAGTTTAAATATGTTTCAGGTCACAGTCTCTGAGAGCTACATTAAAATGCATGTTGAAAATGTTTAATTAATAGTCAAGCCTCTAAGTCAAGTCAGTATGTTCCTTTACAAATGTTTTCCTACAAGTATTATAGGAAATTTCAGCAGAAGAAGCATTTTTGACATAACCAGGTGTATTAGTTTTCTGTGGTTGCTATAACAAATTATCACAAACTAGGTGGCTTAAAACAACAGAAATGTATTCTCTTACAGTTCTGGCGGCTTAAAATCTGAAATTCAGATGTTGGCTGGGCCATGTTCCCTCTGAAGGCTCTAGGGGAAAACCTGTTCTGTGCCTCTTCTGACTTCTGGTTCCAAGCATTCCTTAGCTTGTGGCTGCATCACTCCAATTTCTGTCTCCATGGTTGCGTCACCTCCTCCTCCCTCCATCTCAAAACTCCCTCTGCCTCTCTCCTATGAGGATACATTTGATTGCATTTAAGGTCTACCCAGATAATTCAGGATACATTCTGTCTCTCAAGATCTTTAACTTAATTACATTTTTTTTGGCCATACGTGGTAATACTCATGCTTCTGCCATTTAAGGTAACATTCGTAGGTTCCAGGGTTTAGGATATGGACATATCTTTTTGGGGGGGGGGGCACCATTCAGCCTACTACATCAGGTAACACTTATTTTACCCTATTCATTTTGGAGCATGTTAATGTTATTGTAAAGGCCACTGTATGTTAGCGCTTATGAGCCACTGAGAAAACAGGTGAAGAAGCTTGAGCCCAGGAAGGTTCAGGGACTTGCCAAAGGTTATACAATAGTACAGCTGGAACCAGAGCGAGCACTCCAGGCATCCAGTCCAGGGAACTTGAGGGTCATATGCAATAATCCCAGAAGCAATGGTATACATGTGTGCATGTAGTTCAGAAAAAATAATCCTTGCATCGTGTTTCTGTGGGTGACAGTGTGACCTTATGAGAGAAAAGCCACTGGAAACAAAACAAGTCTGAAGCTGTTTCACTTGTTATCATCCCTTCATCATTGGTGACAAATAAAAGAAAAATGGTCAGATATCCCACTCTATGGTACTTAAGAGTGATGTGAACAATTCCACAGAATAAATGTGTCCAGAGAAGCAGAGCTTTTTGTTTTCATAGAAAAGGGCATGGAGGGCTCTAGAAATAAACCAGCATAGGCTTGAATTATGGTTCCTCCACTCCAATGGTGGATCTCCAGTAAAGTGATGAACACCTTCTGCAAATGGAAAATATTCATCACGGTGCATTTCTCCAAGACTCAAATATAAAAAATGCATAAAGCACCAAGAACGATGACTGGCGTGTAGCAGGCCTTTGACCAGCAATGGCATCATCATCCCTATGTTGGTACATGGAAGGGGGAAAGTAAATCCTTTGTAAATAAGTTAGGTGTGCTTATCTGGAGAAAACAAGAAACCTAAGGCCAGATTTGGCAAAATATTTGGAAACTCATCTTAACAGACTATTTTCTTATTACCAAATCATAAAAATTTGGCTGGCTATTTTTAGAACTGAAATTATTTTAAAACTTCCTAGGTCTTAAGGACTCTTGGGCCATATTTGTTCTTCAAAAAAAATGTAACATGCTTATTTCAACAAAACTTCATTGAATGCTTAGCATGTGCAAAGAATTATACTCTGGGACTTATAAGTGCCAATTTTAAAATTATGTCGAGGGCAGAGAGCTATTCAACCAAATAAGCGAGAGTTGTAAGTGTGCCTAGATGTTCCATTTAAGGATAGAATAACTAACAAAATTGTCAAGCACATGACTTTTGTGGAAGTCATTGTTCCTGCTTTTGCCTGCCACAGAATAAGGGCAAGATCACTATATATTTAATAAAAATGCTGCAGGATCAGATGAGAATCTCAGGTTAAAGACTACTACATAACTTAACGTAGTGAAAAACAAATACAGCATGGTTTTTAAAACAAGGTAAGAAAATCAAAACAGCACAAAATTGGAAATCAATAGTTGAATTCATTTCAAAGGAGGCAATCTGAAACAGCAAAGAGCACAGCTTTGCAGTCAGGCATAGACAGGTTTGAGTCCTCTCTGTTGCTCCCTGGTAAGACTAAAGAAAAGTTACTTCTTCCTGGGCCTCATTCTCCTCATCAGTAAATGGAGATAAAAATGGCTGCTCCATAGGATTGTTGGGAAGATTAAAGTCGTGCTGAGGATTAGGCTTACTGAGTATCTGGTACAGAGTAAGTGCTCAATGAATGTTGTCAATTTATACAAATAAGAATTGGTAGCAAAGTTGCTTCATTAAAGGAAGCATCGCACCAATATTTGCGTCTAAAGAAAGAAAAGCATCTATCTTTATTATTTATATTGAGGTTTATTTTATGTTTCTATTTTATTTGTGTTAGTGCACATTGTTGACAGTTACAAGGATCTGTTTCAGTGTTTGTTTCATTTCTGTATTTATTTCCTACACACACAGAAGTATATATCCAGAAAGAGAGACTCACATGCTCACCTTTGCGCATGCCACAGCGGAATTTCCTATTAGCTCTTTGCACGAGAAACCAAACCCATCC
This sequence comes from Homo sapiens, assembly GCF_000001405.40. Lineage (NCBI taxonomy): Eukaryota > Metazoa > Chordata > Mammalia > Primates > Hominidae > Homo > Homo sapiens. The sequence continues at coordinate 118,121,429 of NC_000010.11, read as the reverse complement.
AAATGTTAGGTCGAAAATACCCTGATAGAGCTCTCCTCTGACATCCTTCCATTTTACACCCAAAAAGAAGTCAGCCTACATTGTTGTTTACTGTAAATAAACCCTGACAAAGAGTTCAGAATTGTCTTAGAAGAAAACATGGTTTTTTTTTTCTTTTCATAGTTTGGGTTTTGTGGAGGACAGCCTCAATGTTCAATGCAATAGCTTTAGCTATTTTTTTTTTTTTTGATAGAACTACATCCCCAAGTGTGAGTTAATCTTTACTTCCCCATGGTCCTTGGACAGAAATAGAATGAATAAATCAACAAACTTCATTTTGACCCATTCATTATAACTACCACTTGCACAAACACTTATATTAAGGTTACTCAAAAGGAAAAACCCAGTTAACTTGAGAAACAGCTCTATCCATTTTGTTTTTATAACTGGTACCTATTTAATAATAAGAATTAGTAGCTTATTTGTATTTGGGGGCAGAGATAAAGGGAGAAATGAGTGTGTTAGAGTAATAATGTAATGGGAAAGTTAAAAAAGTTACCCCAGGGCCTTTGCTTTGAATAAGAGAGGAATAAATTGCAGACTGCCTTCCTTCTACCTGTGGAGGTAGGTAGACTGGTCAAAAATTGCCTAAGAACACAAACTAGAGCAAATGAGATGGACAAGAAAATTATAAAACTTCTGTTAATGTTTTGCCTTGCTAAAGGTATGGGATCTTTTGTATAGGAAAACACTTTTCTGGGCTTTCTTTGGTGGTTAAAAGTTTAGAAGGAGACAGTTGATACAAAAGGCCCAGATTACATTACATAATAAAGCTTAAACAATGCAGCATGGAGATGCTTCTCAGAAGCTGGAAAGCAAAGAAGCTCTGGAGAGGTGATTTCTCTTATCTGGGAGGAGAGGAGAGGGAACACCCAGGCAACGTGGTGATTTTTCAAGCAGACCCCAAGAAGGAACATGACCAGGGAGACATTCCTAGGAACAGGATGGCATAGGGGCTTTTAAGAAACAATGATGACTGCAGTTTAATTTTAAGCTGTTTCTTGTGCATAGGATTGCAATCCCCTCTAATATTTTCAACCTCTATAAACATCTATTTCATGCATCACCCTTAAGTTTGTGGTGCTTCAGAGAATAAAGAAGAGACAGGGACCAAACTTGAGGTTAGGTGGGTAGAAAGAAGATAGCAACCAGAAGAAGCAAGGTGAGAATTCAATGGGAACAGGAATCTGGAGGGAAAACCTAGTGCATTGTGGTTCTATAGGATGCTCAAGAAATGTTCATTGAATGAATGAATGCATGCATGAATGAATCAACTCCTGGAAACTTTGCGACAGGAATGCTTGACTTCCAAGAGCCTGTAGGATGGGAAAGTATTGAGCCATTTATTTGGATATTAATAAAAAGAATGCTCTTAGAAGCTTGTAGTACTTGGGAACATCCAGGCTAAAAATGGCTAAGACCTAGATGTTGGGAAATCGTCAATAGGAAGTTGAGGATGATTTAAGTTTGAAGATGAGAAGGATGAGAAGTTGTGATGCCTGTTCTAGCAAACTGTGCTTTGTATTTCTGCATTTTGCGTACTTGTTTTTGGAAGGAAGATGAGAACAATTTTTCTTAGATTTTTTTTTAAAAACTCTTAATTACATTTAAAAGAGAGAGTCCCACTTCCATTAGTAAGGACAAATACTCGATGACATTTTATTCCTCTCAAACAAAAGTTGTCATCACAAAAAAAAGGTATCATGAGACATCTAAGATAAAGTAAACAGAGTCATTAAATCTCATAGCTTTGGAGTCACGAGAATTTGGTTGGGCATCTGTTTAAAGTCATAAGGGCATTCCATGAAACCATCTAAAAGGGGAGAACATGGAAAAAAACAGCTGATTTGTCAACCCAACTTCTTCATAATGACAGAATATATGAAGCTGCCATGTTTGTTCTGTATCCTAGAACTATGGTACTTGGCTAACCCCAGGCCACTGTCTCAACAGAATCATGGCATTATGTTCCTTGATTCAATGAACATGATATTCTCAAACTAGCAAACACTGTGTTCTCCACTAAAATTCCCTCAAAGTAAAACATATGCAGGGTGAGATGAATTAATGGCTGACAGTATTAACTATTAAATTCCTAGATTCAAACAATACAATTGCCTAATTTTTACCTAACAAAAGTAGGCAATTGTTGTTTTGCACTCAAAAACTCAGAAGAAAGAAAACAAGACTTCCTTTAGCACTGTAGTTTTCAACCAGGGGCAATTTTATCCACCAGGGGACATTTGGTAATAGGTAATATCTGGAGACAATTTTGGTTGTCATGCTTGAGGGATTGCTACTGGCATCTAGTGGGTAGAGGCCAGGGAAGATGCTAAACATTCTACTATGCACACAACAGCCCCCACAACAAAGAATTATCCCCCCCTTTATGTCAATATTGCTGAGGTTGAGAACCCTGCCTTAGCACTAAATGCCTGAGGTGCTTTCAGTCATTCTTCACTTAACAAGCAACATTTACTAAAGCTTACTGTGTGTCTGATGTGGCCCAGGTACTGTGAGTTCAGAGTCCTGCTCTTGAGAAACTCACAGTCTCCAAGGAGAAGCAGGTAAGAATGGAGGCAATTACAAAGAGGAAAATGTGTTAGTAATGGTATATCTGAATATTTTAGTAACACAGACCAGGGAGAGAGAAGTTGACAATGAGAAGTTGAGTGTTTTTAGGAATTGCATTGCTACCATTAATTAATTTATTTATACAACAAAACTTATTAAACAGCCAAAATGTGCCATGCTTAGTGCTATCTCGTCATAATATTGTTCTGTGAGTCCCTGACTTGTAATTTTAGAGGTGGAGGAAGCCAAGCTCTCTAAACACATTTGATTGGAAACTTTATGTTGATAGATACAAAGTGGTTTTCCTTGAACAAAAATAGCGTTATTAAAATGAATTTCCTGATCTCCTGGGTTCCTTGGATTGGCCTCAGCACTGCCCAGGATAGGGGCAGAAGATGAAATGGATGCCAGTAGGCAGAATGCCAGGTCTCCTATCCTCACCTCTGCCACCTCACTTCAACAAAGCAGCTCTGCTTCTTACCTGTTTGTCTATAATGAAGCACATTGAGAGATCTTTTTTTAAAAAATTTTCAAGTATTGGTTTAAGGAATTCACATTGCCACGTTGGAAATCAAGAATGACATTGATTTGAGTTTTAAGGACAATATATTATAGTGGGAAGGATATGACACAGGCCGGTGGGAAGGCTGAGTGCTAGTTTAACTCTGCTGCTGATGAGTTGAGTGACCTTGGGCAAGGAGTTTTATCTCTCCAGGCCTCAATTTCTTCATCTGCAAAAGGTAATGATTATTCTAGATCATTTCTGAGGTCGCTCTCAGCTGTAAGATTCTGTTATTTATGTAATTATTATGTAATTACTACACAGGGTCCACTATTGTGTAATTGTATGAAACAAGCAGACTGAGAAAGTGTTACACACACAAGGGTAAATAAAATCCTTGACCTGAAGGTTAGTTGGAGTGGTGATGGGAGTCCTTTCCAAAGAGAATGGGAACTTCCAATTTGAATCCATGCAGTAAGTTGGCATATAAAAAGTTAAGACTTCCCAGTCTACCAAGTTCAGGGTCTGAGAAACATCCTTGGATCTTTCATTGTTCTCATTAAACATCCAAATGAAGAAAGAATTCATTTCTCTCAAGGTTACATGTAAGAGCCTAGTTCCCCTTCTCCTTTACCTTGACAGGCTGCATGGCTTCATTAAGTAATACAACTCTGCTTGCAACTGCATTGACTTCAGCATATCAGATAAGCATGTTTCTAATAATGAGAAATATCATCCCTTTCATTAATTCTTTCATTCATTCAGCAAAGATGTATTGAACACTTGCTATGAGCCATATAGGTTGTGCTCTCTTATTCCTATTATCACCCCTTAAAGATGAAGATGGTTTAAAAATGCTGATCACTGGTCCTTCCTGCCATCTGTGTTGCCCAGAAGCATTCCATTTTCTGAAACCACAAGTCACTGAACCTTAGCATTGCAACTTTCCCAGCATTTTCCCTTTTTGTGTTTTATAACTCTATGAAGTCACATCTCCCCCAGGCTATTGGAACACAGAGCTCAGCTGAGCCTGAAATCTACTGAGAGAGAAGAAATTAGAAAAGGAGGAGGGGGGAAGTTAATGGCAAAAGCTATTCACATGGCACCACCCCCACAGGTCCAACAGGTTCTGTGATATCCTTACAAGCCTGGTTAGTGAGGCATGCCGCCTTGGGGAGGTACTGGGACAGCCAGTTTCTCTAAAGGCCCCGCCAGGCCAAACTTCCTGCAGAAAAACTCACTATCCATAAAACACATTTTGAGTAACACCAAAGTGCACGGTGACCCATAGCTTTCTTCTTCTGAACAAATTGTTTAAAGACCAAGATGTGTTGGGGGAGATACCGGGCACTGGAGAATTAGCAGCAGGTGCTATTTATAGAGCCACTGTGCTCGGCAGAGGTCCCTCTGCCCAGGGAAAGCCATTAATCTTCCCCAGCAAAAGAAAAAAGAAGTAATAAACTTAATAATGATTTAGAGGAAAGGAGGGAGAGAAAGCGCTGAGGCTAATACCAAGGTGGATCTAAGCCAAGAGATTAGTTTCTCTCAGTGGAAAACAACATGCACGCTCACGCGCACACACACAGACACACACACACGTGTGCGTGCGCACACACGCACTCTCAGTAATGCAGGCCTGGTTCCCTCCTGCCTCCCAAAAACGGATCACTGCTGCTCAGCCTCTTAAAAAAGCAGTTAAATGGCTTTTGTTTTTGGGAGGCTGACAGACAAATGTCTCTAAATAGCGCACTGCTGCAAGGAACACTCTAGACATGCCATGCTAAAGCAGAAAAGTGGAGGGATCCAAGGTTTATTAAACCTTGCAACACTATCACTAACTGCTATGACAGTGAATTACTTCCTGGGTGGTGCCCTTTATCAACAAAAAGTGTCAAGATATATTTTTAAAGCATTCATATTTTAGCATAGTTTAACTCGTGTTCTGGTGGGGAGCCTTAAGAGGTCATGAGGAACTTGAGAAAATGATTTCTGTTTTCATACATAAAAGAGGGTCCACCTGGTATATCAGCATTCAAATTCCTATTCAGTAAAAGGTATTTTGCATTAGGAAATTCTCTCTTTCTCTTAGGGTTCTCATGGATTGCAAACATAAACTATAAAGAGCAAAACGCGCAAAAAAATAACTTTTTTCCAGGAAAGATGCATGAAAATAAATATGCTTCCAAAGGAAGTGACTGTCGTCATTTGGGTCTTTAACGTTCTCGGAGAGTGCCAGTTAGCGGGAAGTATTTTCATTGCAAACAATTCTGCCTTTTTAAATGTTAAGTATCCTTTATTCCTGGACACCAACCAGAGACAATGGAAAGAAAGAAGACCTGGGCATCCAGGCAGAAAACAGGCCTTGTAACACAGCCAAAATGAATTTAGAATTCTTGTGTGATACAATGTTAAGGCAGGAGTGTTGAGTAGAAATGTGTAATGAACTCCAAGTGGCTGCCTTTCAGATCTCAAGAGCTGAAACTGACTTGACGCCGGAGACCGCTGCTTCCCCTGCTCAAGTATTCAAGTGACTATGGCACCCAGGAATAACAATGAGAACGGCACAAAGACCACCACTTCAGAATGGCGTTCATGGATGGAGATGGGCCAAGTGTGCAGGGCAACAGACCCCCAAAGCACTTTGTGTGTGACAACTTCAAATTTTTGATAGAACTAGATGTTGAAATAAAAATTAGGGATGGATGGCAATTGAATAAGTCTATGTCCCTTTGGGGAAGCTCTCAGGATGTGAGAACACTAGAGCTTTCACATTAATATCGCATAATGAGAAGAGCATATTACAGGGTTTTATTAAGTGAAATTTGTCTTATTGGACATAGAGTTGTCACTTTGTTGACTCAATTCTTAGCTGTATGAAAAATATCATCCAATAATTTATGATAATAATGCCTATCATCTCAATTACTGTTCATCATGACACACTTGTAAAGTAGATCTTGCAGGTATTATTATCCTTATTCTGCAACAGGAAAACTGCAGTGTAGAGAATTAAGTGCTCTGTGTGAACAGGGTAGTAGCAGAACCCATGCTGGACCATTTTACTTATCAATATGTCATAGCAAATTTAACGTGGAACACAAAGTCTCTAAATGACTCTGACAGTCTCTAAATATAGTTATGGTGTCACTGGGCCAACTGGTTGGAACACAATGCTAATAAGGCAAAGATAATAGGAACTGTAGGCTGAACTGTAAAAAGGAAAAACTAATCTTGCTCCATTTCATGGCCACAGACCACATCCTAACTCCACTGAGTTACTTCACAAATATATACTCAGGAGTAAAAGTATTTGAGATAGGCCAAGAAGAAAGATAGGCTAGCAAAGACTCCTTATCAAAAATGGGGGAAAGATTAAAAAATCAAGATAATTTTAGATTATTTATAGGTCAATGATGAATTTTCATAATGGATGATATCACATCACCGTAAGGTAGCAAACGTATAACTATATTTGAACCTTTCTACCCATATAAGAGGACAGAACACCACATCAAGAATACAGTCACCACCTGCTACCACCCAGATTTTGTACTTCACACATCCACCAACTTACAGTTACTCTGGTTCTTTGCACTGTCACTACCCAAAGGATGGAATTCACATAAGGCAGAACTGTCTTTGTTCTCACGTAAGGTAGTTTAGAACTTTCTCCTTCTAAGAGTTTCAACAATGACAGGAACCCATGACCTAATTTTACAGTTAACATTATAGTGAGACTCCATCTATTTCTAGTTCACAGTGCCATTGACATCCTGTTCCATTTTTCTTTGACAGTTCTTTTATTTTCTGTGTAATGACCAATGCCTCTAATTTGCATTTTCCTGTTTTTGAAAATACCCTTTAAAAAACTTGCTTAGTAAAAAGAAACGTTCCAGAAACTAGTTAATGATGGGCAGAAGCATTTCCACGTTTACCTCCTCTGATAAAAAACGATGTTTCTAAACACATTTTTAAGGGCTATCAATTAACAAGCCACACCCAACTTCCATCATGTGGATTTTGTTTGGTTGGGTTGTGTTTTGTGGGCTCCTTTGACCTGAAGATGATTCTGAGCAATATGCATTTCACCTACTCAGTTCTGTGTGATGCCGGATTCTATTAGCAGAAGAAAGAAAAAGTGGAGAGGGATGAAATGGTAATACACTTTGGATACGAGAATTATATGGAATTACAGAACAGCTTTATTCTAGAAGAAAACCACAATGACGGTTCAAAATAACAACATAATGTATGAAACTTTGACAACTAATTTTTAAAATGTTCTATCTCTTCCTGGAGTATAAAATTAGCTACAGACAGTGAGCAGATTAGCCTCTATAGTTTTTAGTACTAAGTTACTTAACTGCTATGTGATATTGTGTCAATAAGGTTTTGTGACCATATAAAATGAATAATGTTTTGCATAAAAGTTTTCTCATTTACTTTTCAGAGTTTCCATCATTGAATTCAGAACAAAAAGTACTTCCTATGATTTGTTTTTGGGTCATTTCTGTGGATATTGGGGGAATCACTAGGCTGGCCATGAACATATGACAATTAAAAACACAATATAGGTACTACACTAAGAAGAATTCAACCTATACGAAAGAAAACAAGCTATTAAAAATCTGGATTCCATGTTAAAAGAATGGCTGAAACTAATGACATTTAATTATTGGTTTAATCTCACCGATTTTGCCATTCTCACGTATACATATCAACATTTGTTTTAGGTGAAAATAAGCAAGATTGCACATGACCATTCAATACTATAGTTAAGATTTGTTCCACGGAAGGATTTTTAAAATAAAATCAGTGAAAAATACTATCAAAAAATGCTTATGCTGAAGATATTCTGTCTTTCTTAAAGCAGGGGAAAGTCCATGATGTAGATTTTTTTTTTTTTTTTGAGACAGAGTCTCTGTCGCCCAGGCTGGAGTGCAATGGTGCGATCTCAGCTCACTGCAAACTCCGCCTCCTCGATTCAAGCGATTCTCCTGTCTCAGCCTCCAGAGTAGCTGAGATTACAGGTGCCCACCACCACACCCAGCAAATTTTTGTATTTTTAGTAGAGACAGGGTTTCACCATGTTGATCAGGCTGGTCTTGAACTCCTGACCTCAGGTGATCCACTGGCCTCGGCTTCCCAAAGTGCTGGGATTACAGGTGTGAGCCACCATGCCTGGCCAATGTAGATGGTTTTTGAATATTCATCTCTGGGTTGTTGTTGAGAGTTTGACATTACAAAGATGAACACCCTGCATGGAAAATGCAGCAACCTCAACGCACACACCTGACCAGGTTGTCAGTCCACCCACGCCAACGAAGGCTGAGATTGCATCAAGGAAGCCAAGTCCTCTACACAGTATGGCTACTGGGAAGTTATGAAACAGTTCATTTGGCAAAGAAGTGGCCCAGGTTATTCCACTTTGCAATCCTGGCCAGCAGTCCCAACCAGAGGAGCAGGCACAGCTGCATGCAGACTGGCAGCACCAGCATTCTTTACGATTTGCCCCCAGTCAAATGAGTGAGCGCCTGTTTGGAAGGCTGATTAATCAGTAATTCAAGGAGATCAAAATCACAAAATTAAAAGACAGAGTTCAATCATATCATGTAATAGAAGGAATGTCCTAATGGCTATGGTGCCCAACACAGGATATAAAGCGAGTGTAAAAGGCAAGATGACCCCTCCTCCACAAACCTGGAGGAAGTGACTTAGTCATTTTATGCCAAAGCCCAGAAGGTTCTCTACTCCAAATCTCCAAACAATAATAGTTTACCAAGTCTTCCCTGGCTGGTGCTGCCGAGTAAGGCTGTCATGCCAGCAAACTGCTAGGATTTACTTTTTTTAAGAATTGCCAGCCAGACATGTCAAAATGCACACAGAGCCTCCTAGCAGGGACACTTCAGATTTCTAATTTGGCAATGATCTCCACTCTTTCCTGACACTGACAGCTGATGCCTGAAAACAGGACTGCTCCGCAAAGGCTGCCCGGTTCAGTGAAAGTGAAGAAGCACACCTTCACACAGTCTCTCCCACAGGGGCGGTCCTCAGTTTGAGGACAGCCAAATTGAATAATCATAAAGACAGGGTACCAACTGGTCTCCATCCCATCTGAGGGCCTTCAGCTGCAGTGTTTCTTTGAAATCCATGTGAGGATCACTGTTTGGCAGAGGCCTCTCTGCTCACACCCTCTGGAAGCTGCGTCCTTTGGCCAGGACTCGGTGAAGCAATTTAGGCAACTGCTTTGTTCCCAAGCAGCTTTCAAAGGATGGGAGTTGGATCCTGAACCTTTTTTGCCATATATTTATGTCTGGCTAGTGAAGATTCTTTCATGACTCTATTGGAACAGACATGATCGCAACAATTCTGAACTTGACTTGATGAATCATGCAGAATATTCAACTTGAGTTTTCTTATATGCTCCCCTGAACAATACTACATCCCTCATAGACTCAAAGACCTCAAAATTTCCCAGTGATGTTACAGGAAGCACTTTTTAAAAATATGTTTTGCTCACAACTATATTCTACTGAGATGCACCACAGGTGTCTTTGCTCTGATGACTTCGTACCTATTTTGAATGAGAAACTAGATAAAGAAAGCCTATGAGGAATTACTAGATAATTCTACGTCCAGAAAAACATATTTGTTTTCTCTACCTTTAAGACGTTATTTTCTCCAATTTTTTTTTCTTTAGCAGGGTTGTATTATCCTTTATAATTTCCAGGGAATGTAGAGAACTCCAAGGACATTCCAAAAATTATTATTATTATTATTATTATTTTTGAGATGGAGTCCTGCTCTATTGCCCAGGTTGGAGTGCAGTGGCACGATCTCGGCTCACTGCAAGCTCGCCTCCTGGGTTCACACCATTCTCCTGCCTCAACCTCCTGAATAGCTGGGACTACAGGCGCCCGCCACCACACCAGGCTAATTTTTATTTTTTGTATTTTTAGTAGAGGGGGTTTCACTGTGTTAGCCAGGATGGTCTCGATCTCCTGACCTTGTGATCCACCCGCCTTTGCCTCTCAAAGTGTTGGGATTACAGGCGTGAGCCACCACGCCTGGCTAAAAATTGTTATTATTACTACATCCAGATGAGGAAACTGAGGACCTTTTTGTTAAAGGAAGCACAGCCTGCCATTAGCAGAGCTGGGGTGAGATCATGTGAAAATCCATCAGTTTATTATTAAAACCCAGTATAATGTGAGTCTGTCCTCATTGTGATGAGACCAGAGCCCAGCATCCTATCAACCTGACCCAAAAGTGAGAATTTGGTTGGTGGGTAAGAATTTTAGGGCAATTATTTCATAGAAAAACCATAGCCATACACTTCTACAGAAATAGCAAACTCTTCTGCCGGAACATCTCCCTATACTAGATGCTTTGATCTGGCATTTCTCATCTTTATCACTTCCTTAACTCAGTTGCTTTCAATTTCTTTTTGAGATAAGTGACTTTGGTAGTTGGACAATGGTAGATGGTAAGAAAATCAGGAATTAACTAAATAAGTCCAGAAACTGCAGTCCTCAAAATCTATACACACATATACATATTAATTAAAAACCAACTCAGTATTTAAAAAAATCTGTGTAGTTTCTTAGTAATTGAAACATAACACAAATGAATACACAGCACTCAGCACAGTGTCTTGCACATATTAGTGCTCAGGAAGTAGTTTTAATGAATCTCATTTTAAAGTATAGGATCTTTGCAAGTCTACATGGTGTGTGCATTTGGGGTATTTGGTAACAGCAACGAAAGAGCACATCTTTCTCTGAACAGAACTGTAGTCGCTCATGCTGATGTTCCTTTGCTTCTATTAGGTTGGTACAAAAGTAATTACAGTTTTTGCCATTACTTTTGCACCAACCTAATAATTTCATACCATGTCTTTTGCTCATCCCTAGCTAACAAGATCTGCTAGATGCTGTTTGTAAATTTTCATGAAATGAATATAATATTTAAGAAAACTGAGCAATAACATTTTAATGTAAATATTATACATATACTATGTAATAATAATATAAAACAGAAAGTCATGTTGCAAAAGAGAAAAGCAATGGAACTTATGTTGACTTTAGAGCTGGGTTAAAAGCCACCCTTAGAACCACAATCTGATGATCCTACATTTCCGAATCACTTTGGGGTTCACAGATGTTTCATGATCGTTGGCCTTTAAGGGCGCTTAGTTGTTTCAGCAATGGGAGCCCTGCTGACCCACAGCAGATCCCCTGGGTAGGAGGGGTAAGATTTTTCTGGTCAGAGGAGTTTTGTTCAAAATGGAAAATCCCCTGAGATACACTGATAGGAAATTTTAATATTTTTTAACGATTAGCTTATACAAGTGCTTAAAGTGAAAGCAGGTAGTCCTCAATGCTCCAATATATTGACTGAATTTCTTAATGGAAAAAAAGGAAGAAAAAAATTCCTAATTGTCTCCTGCTAACTGACAAAGCAGTAGCATATGCTGAATGATCAATTTCTTTGCAGTATTGTTGCTGAGGTAGAATTGCCTCTGTCTTTAAAACAGAATACGCATCAGCGAAATCATAAACAGGTCACTCATAGCAAGTCAAAGAGGATTGACTCTAGGGGAGTCTTTTTAAATGACCTTATTTCAAATACTCAGCTTTTATTGACATCTTAGTGTTCTCTCAGCAGACAGAGTAGCTCCTTGAATTGAAAGCCTGCAACTGTTTTTGTGACGGAACTATTGATTTTTTCCTTCTGATATAACTTCACATGTCAGACTGAGTTTCACACCCCATATCCATCAATACCAAATAATTTTTAGAGACCCCCTATAGGAGTCATCTGTAGGCCACATATGTATATAAATATATGTCACAGGTTTTTTTATTCCTAAGACTACACAATAACAAGGAGCATGTCATAATAAAGTTAATGTATTTATTTGATACAAAGTTTGCCTCTTTTATACCAGGTGACGTTCCTTCCATGCTGAAAATACCAGGAACTGCCAATCCCATGGGAAGAATGGACATGGGGACGTGAATTTCTCATTTGATTTTTTTTAATTGCATGTTCAGAGAATTTATTATTCCATTTTTTAATTAAAGAAGAGCCTTGCTATCAAAATGCTCTCCCACACATCCTTTTGCGTTAGGTAGCACGAACACAGTTTGAGATGGAAACAGGCTGCCCAATGTACTTATTAAGGAACTTTCCTGGCGAACCACTGAAAAATATCCTCAAGTGTGACCATCACATCTGCATCAAGTTATGAAAAAAGTAAGGCTTGTTAACCTGCTGTTTGGAAACCAGAACACTTTTATCAGTTCATATAATTGCTAACCCCTTATTCACTGCTCAACGCTGGAGAGTTCTTTACCTCCTAAGATCCCACTAATTGCTGACAGATTTGATTTCTCCCTGACAGCAGGAGTCCTGTTTCTGGCCTTTACATCAAGTAATTGCTTTATTTTTCTCCCTCTGCTCTAAAAAACGGAATTCCCTTCTCCCCTGCTTGAACCCCTTTAATGGCTTCTTTCTCTGTTATTAAATCCTTGCCATTTAAATCACATTTAGCGATGTTTTGAATAACTGATTCCAATTACTAAGGCTCTTACCAAGAAGCAGCTGAAAACGCAAGTCATTACTTGCCCACAGACAAGCGGCTACATCTTGCAGCCAAGTCTCTGGTGAACTGTATTGTATTTCTCCTCAGTACGGGGCAATTTATACTCACAGAAGGCTGATGTCCAGCAAATATACAGCCGCCGGAGCTGTCTGACACTATCATTTGTGCATAATGGATATTAGATTTTATAGTTATTTTATAAATAGCCTCGTTCCTTAAAGAAACCATTCCCTTCTTCCCGTAGCGGCCGAGAGAGGCCACGTGGAACAACAGCAGAGATGAGTAGTGACCGCCCCATGACCCACCGTTAGGGTGCTCTTCAAAGTCTAATAAAAGCCACGGCTGGGCCCAAACAAACAGAGCGATGGAGCTGCCGCCTCTGCCAGGGACAGCACTCCGCATTGTCAGAATTTGCTTTGACAGTCCAGTTTGTTTTCCCTTGACGTTGTGGAGTTTGGAAAAAAAAAAAAAAATCCCTGCCATCTTGTCTTCCCTCTCTTCCCATGATGTTGAATGTTGCAGTCCTTTTTTTATTTTTTATTTACTTGGCAAAGGGATGTATCTGATAAATTTCATGACGCAACCATATTTCTCCTATCATTTCAGGATTTAAGGCATTGCGTGGATCCTATTTCTCAATCCTATTGGCTGTAAGATGACCAAAAACTGTACATTTTGGTAAATTTCATCTGACACAGTGGTTTGGCCTCACTAAAATGATGCATTTTCTGCCCCATTTGCATTGATGAAATATGATTTTCTTGGGCATATTTAATGCAGAAGAGCCTCTGTTACCCAGGGTATGTTAGTAGGTATGGCATAATTTATACCTCTTCAGAATTTTTATTTTAAACATTGAATAACCAATTAATTGTATAAACACATGTATAATGTGTTGGGTTTCAGTGGTACATCAGGTAATCATGACACAGCCTGGCTATCATGGTTACCAGGCAGATCTAACTTAATGAACTGGCAAATGTGAAGGCAGAGCTCACCCTCCTAATTTGATTAACCAACCGTATGTCTCAGCTATGACTGGGGCTAAGGAAGGTTATCACTAATTTCCAACTTGAGGTTATCAGCAAAATTGAAATGTTTCTCAATTCTATGTATGACACACAAATGTGAAAAGAGTTTTGTGTGTGGGGCCGTATTCAGGAAGTTTAATGCATGACACCACTATCAAAATAAATTGTTCATGTGACAATTATCTCATATATTGTGCTACATTGTTCTCTACTTTTGTGGGGGTTCAACTGGGGTATAAGTAAATTCTGTACAAAATAGAGTGATGACTTTTCTTCCTAAATCCATGGAGATTTTGGTTTTCATCTTTTCATTAAAGTAGGCAGTTTAAGAAAGACTTTTGAAACTTATTATTCTATTATTTGATCATCTTCAAAACAGTGACAAAAACCACAAATGTCTAGAAGGATGTACATGAGGTGTCAGAATGACTCACGCTGCTTGCCATGTGCCCATGGAGATTCAGGAGAGGCACAGGCACAAAGAAAGAGAGAGAAGCAGCAAATTCACCTGGGATTTTGCATTTTCCATTTCTAAACATTGCCTCTTCAATTATTTATGTTTGATATTTGTGAAAAGTGCTACCTTGGATGGCCCAGAAACCTGAGTCTTATGTTTGTCTGTGGAGAAGGATGCCAGAGCAGTGGCACTGCCCATTCTGGAGTCTGGATTATTAATGTGTTTCTAACCTAAAGGCCAGTACCTCATTCCTTCACTACCAGGGTGGTGCTTTTTCATCCACAGAGACAAGAAACTTGTTATGATTCTGAGACTGAGTACATATAGCAGAGATGGCCCAGCCTTTCTCAGCATCTATTATAAATAGGTAGCCCTCCATTTCTACCCAACACCGTGCCTATCTTACCCCTCCTAGGCTCTTTGTTGAGAAGTCCATTTGCCAAGGGACTAACAAAACCTCAGAGCTTCTCTTAGGAAGGGTCCCAAAGGAGCACCCCAGGGCAAACAGTGTACTGGAAGGGTCGCCAAGACCAAGCAGCTTTCGGGCTTTAAATGCAAACTCATTTTATCAGACAGCTAGGGGGCAGGGGAGAGTCTTATTAGAGCTGTTTCAGTAGCGAGGAAAACAAGATAAATCAGCCAGGCCTTTACAGTGACAAAACTGTAATGTAGATGAATGGTCACTACAGTGCTTCAGGGCTCAGAATTTGGAGCCAGAAGGCATATATTTGAAATCTGCTATTTATCAGCTATGTAAACTTGGGCAGGTTACTTAATATCTCTCCCTCTATGTCCTAATCTCTAATAGGGATAACTATAATAGCATCTACTTCATAAGATGGAGGATTACATGAATTAAGCTTGGAGAACACTTAGAACATGCTCCTGACATGCTATAAAATCACCAAAAGTACAGCTTTCATGAGTCCACAACAGCACTGCCTCTCCCTGACCATTTCCCCTCCCTGAGTGATATTCCCTTCTCCTTATCTGCTAGTACCACTCAGAGTCCTCCTGTGTTTGCTTTCTTTTTCCTTTCCCATCAAAACTCATGCTCCAAAGCTTTATTTAGTTTAAGGGAGAAAATGTTAGTATCTTGGGTCATTCTTACCAAAGATATTTGTGCATTAATAGGGATATAAAACTAGGACAAATGAAATATAAATGGTGGCCTCTTAGATGGCAGCCAAGAGGTTTGTGGATATAGAGAGATAGAATGGGGTCTTCCCAGAGTTCTGAATTTATGCTATTCAGGGGGCTGCCTCCTCCATGTGTTGAAGGTTACCCTGACTGTAGTACACTCCTTGTGAACAGAGAAAGATGTTTATCTACTACTTTATTTTACAGAACAACCCCAACAGTCCACAGTGCTATTTGATCTGCCTGTCCTGCACTTAGAAAACCCTTTGAGAATGAGATTAAATGGGTGAACTGCTTTCTGGGCATGGAATCAGACTATCTCTCCATTGGTTGAAAAGATGTGACAGCATTCAGATCCCACTCAATGGAACTCTTGACAAGGGTAAAGGACAATTTGCAAAACGCTTTCACTTGCATTTCATTACTACAATTTTACAAATGTTTCAGCTTTCCATGTGACAAAGTTTCATTTTGATCCTGAATATCTCCACAGAGTAGTATAAACAAGGATGGAGGAACTTGTACCTCTTTTCAAAAGACAAGAGGATTTTGATGTAAGTGACATTTTGATGTGTTTAGTCTAGGAGAGGTGCTATGGCCATGAAAGAGCCAGTAACCCACTGTTGTTCCTGAGGACAAGTGAGCCATCCTTCAGATCTTGGGGAAAGTGACCTGGACTAAGATTCAGGAGCCTTGGCTTCACAGTGATGAACTGGGTGGCCTTTGCAAGTCCTTTCCTTCTGCTCTGAGTCTCCTTAGTCATAAAGAGTTGAACTAAGTGATCTTCACAAGTCCCTTCCATCTTCAACATTTAATGTTTTGAAATTAGTCAGTCTTCCGTTTCCGGGGATCTAGTTTTGGGTTGCTTAGCCTATTTATTTATGTCTAGGTAT
Source organism: Homo sapiens (assembly GCF_000001405.40). Classification (NCBI taxonomy): domain Eukaryota; kingdom Metazoa; phylum Chordata; class Mammalia; order Primates; family Hominidae; genus Homo; species Homo sapiens. Next base: position 118,105,186 of record NC_000010.11, on the reverse strand, counting down.
TCAGCTAGACAGAGAAACACACTATTATTTAACACATAATATACAGATATTAAAGATACAAAGTATAATATTATTAAAGAGTATGTTAAATACTCCAAATAATTCTATCAGGCTGTGTGTGTGTATACAGTGTACATATTCAGCCACAGTTATTCACTCTAAACTAGCTCTACTAAGACCATCCTTGTTTCTCTAGAGCTAGCCTTAGTAAAATACTTAAAGAGTATACGAGGGGAATTCCGAGCTTATCAGAGCAAAGTGCCTCAGAGGTACAATGTTTCCCTAAACATTTGTAGCAGTTTACAAGGAGACAAAACTGATGAGACTACTACATCTTTACCTTGGAGTTCTCCAAGGAGGCAATTCTTTGTAGCCTTCGTCTTTCAAACAAGCTTTAGATCTTATCAGGAAGATACTTCTTTTTCTTCAACAGTAATATTTTTTTGACTTGAATTTAAAGATAAACCAGATGTATAATATAGCATTCATTATTATTATAATATTGCCTATTATATTTAATATAAATAATAACAATATAGCATTAGTATGGACCAAAATAGTTGGGCTCTTGAGTGTTTGAAAGTTCTTTATAATCTGGTAAAACTATCATGAAATTCACTTAGAGCATTTTATTTAACAGACCACATCTGTGCCCTTAATGAATAGTAATTAAAACTCACAGCAGCATTCCCATTCGGTGATGAAGAGTTATTATACACACTCTCTAAAACAGGTAGGCTTTAGACCATGTAGTCTGCCCTTCTATGTGGATGTCAAACGCAGGAGGAAATGAAGACTTAATTTGAATTTTTCCATTTTTAGAGGACTAGGTACTTTTTTCCAAGTAAGTGTTAAGTCTGAGGATCAAAATTCTGATTTGATCATTTTCAGTATAGCATGGAGTGGTGGATAAGTACCAGTGGTAGATTCTAGTCCTGGTTCTTTAACTAAATGGTTGTACGATTGGCCTCTGGTAGGACATCTGCCCTCTTAACCTCGGTTCCTCATCTGCAGGACAGGATGGATTAAATCCTGACCAAGATCATGTTTGGCTCTAATAAGCAGTGAATTTCTCCCACCTCAATACTCCTGGCCTCAGCCCCAGGGGCCAGTGGCATTTGCTTGTAGGTTCTGAGCCTCTCATCCTCGCGTATCTTGCCTGGCCTGTGGCTCCTGACTCTTCAACGGACAATGGATCTTCAACTGCCTCTGTCATCAGTGTGTTCTGGGCCCAATCTGCTGTCAATCAGCAGCTCTGACCTACAACTTGCAATGAATTTCTTGGCTATGGTGAGACTTCATGGGTCTGAACACTTTTCATCTTCCTGGTCCTTTCTTTAGTTCCCTTGGTCCCTGGTCCTGCCCCTGCAGGATGTTGCTATTCCCCAAGATGACCATGATTCTCTCTGCAAGGTGCATCTTGTTCAGCTTCCTCCAGACATTGACTTTGAAACAAGGACTCTAATGCAAGTAGTTTATTTGGGAGGTGAAGGAAACAGGAAAAGGGAAGTAGAAAAAACAGACAGGGAGGTAATTTAACCAAAACATGGAGCATTATCAAGCAGGCTACCATGACCATGGTGAATACCTGGACCTTAATGCCAAAGGGAACTCTGGAAGCCAATGGAGAGCATGTGCTCAGCATTACGGCCCTGACGGGTGAGGGAGCTGGGGTATTTATGCACCAACTCACATCATCATCCAGTGAAAGAGAGGGTTTTTAATTCTCAGGCACTTCCTACCCACCCATGCTTAGACAGAGTGGATTCTGCCCACCAGAGAAGACCCTCAGGTAGAGAGGTGCCAGGGTTGGTGACAAAGAGCATGAAGGCCAGCGGTGAGATAGAAGGGATATGTGCAGGCTCCCCCAGCACACCTGGGGTCAGATAGAGCACCTGGGAGGCCATCACTTTAAGGATTCTAACCATCATGTAAAAGAACTCAGTGATGAAAGCCATCTGTCAGACTCTTCTGCACCAGCCCATGTACCAGCTTGGCCACCCTTCCTTTCCTCCCAGTGTCTCTCATTCCTTTAGCTATCTTTCCTTCTTGTGACCTTGCTCTTCCAGCTCCCAAATTATCACCTCTTTTCTCAGCGGATGACCAGCCTTTGTCCCAGAGCTGAGTTTTCTGCTCCAAATATCTGGTATTTCACTGCCATTTCTGTTTTGGTTCTCTCTGAACTGTCCTATGAAAAATCCAGTGACGAGTCAGGAATGGGAACATTCCAATATTTCTCTGACTTTTCCTAGTTTGGCCTCAGATAGGAGTAAGGTCAAAGGGGTCTGATCATGTAATACCTCTTATTTATAGGGCACTTTACAGTTTATAAAGGAATCTCATGGAACCTTATTAAAAGGGCATGGAGGTTAGAATCAAAGGCATTGCACTTGCATCTTGGTTCTTTCAGGTACTAACTCTGCCCAGTGATGTTAGACAAGTCATTTCTCCATGTTGAGTTGCTTTCCTTGTCTATAAAATTGTAATAATCATGGTGATACCTGTTGTTCTCACTTCCCAGAGGTTGTTGCCAGGTACAGCATGGCCACGGGCCCCGGAGAACCATCCAGAACTCACTCTATACCTCAGTTTTCTGATTTTTCGCAATTTTAGTGTTCACAGCAGCCTTGGGAGAAGGTAAGTGAGATTGTTTTCATTGTTTTAAGGAAGCAGAGAAGCTCTTCTGAGTCAACTGCCAGAATCTGTAGTTCTCAAATGCATGCAAAGAATTATTGTAGCTTCACATCAAATCATATTTAAAAGACATTTGTAATGTTACATTCTTGAAGAGAAAAGCAAATGCATGACATTCTTTGAATAAGTACAGTCACAAATCTGAGATCTTGGAACAACTGAGAGAGTATGATACTTGAGTCGTTTAGAAAAAGTTTTACTCTCCCTCTTAAAATTAGCCACATAGTTAACAGTATCAGTCATTTGAGATTCTAAAAAGTATTAATAGGGCTGGCTGAGAAAGCAAGAACTATGTACTTATCTGTTATTGCCCTTTTTAAAAAAAAAATCTCTCCAGTGATTTTTAATTTCCTAGATAGGGGGCAGTCAGCCTTTTGAAGAAACTCATTTATTTCAGCATCACTCTGAGTTCCTAATGTAAACGTCTTTGGGGGCTGATTTGGAGGAAGCAGGACAAGATATACGAGACATTTCCACTATTGCCTGGAGGCAATTTGCATCTCTTAAAGATGAAGAGGCAGAGGTTAAACATAAGCTGAAACTCATCATGACTTATATACCATGAGATTTTTTTTATATATCATTTCACACAAATCCATTTTTAAAAGTTGAATATGTGATTTTTAAAGTCAAATATCTGCAAAGGAAATTGGACTGACCCGAAACCGCCTTCAGTGTTTAATGGTAAAGGATGTTGTGAAATCTGAAGCAATTTTGTTTTCCATGCACACACTCTTTTTTAGGAAGAAAATCTTTCTTTGCTCCACATTCCTCTTTGTGCCCACAGAAATGCTTGATTTGGTTTGGTATGAGTCAAACAAACTATTCTCATCACAAGTGGAGCAAAGAAAAAAAAAGAGCTTTTCATTCAAGTTATGGGTTCTGGAAAAAATTGTGTAAAAGCAGGCTATGTAACCGTAGTTGTTGGCCACTCTTCTGTGAGCTATCTGTAGAATAGTTATTTTTTCCTGCACCCAACAGAAAATAAAGGGGCACAAAAAATTCAGCCTATTACAGTTTAGGGAATATAGAAAAGTGCTTATAGAACTCCTTTTTTTTTCCCTATCCTATGAATGTTCATGCATGTCTACGGAGAATTCTTTCTCTTCTCTTTCCATGCTTCCCCCAAGATTGTGCTCTGTCAGCCTAGTAGGTTTAATAGGTGAACTACAAGACAGGAACAAGACAGCATTAGATATGGTTATATCTAACACTGAATTTCATGTGATGGCATGCACTACCTATTAAATCACATCTATCACTTGTGCTGTGATTTGGTTAGCACATTGTATAGGAATAATTATGATTCTTAGATCATAGTATTTAAAGGTGGATGTTTAGTAAGAAGGAAGTTAAGATGAGCCAAAGATAGGAATGGCATGATTAGCTATTCCCTGTACTGCAGAAAGCTTCTTAGCAAATGAAAATAAAAATACCATCAATGATCACAGGGAAATCAAACTAAAACCTCCACAAATCCTCCTAGAGGTTGTTAAATCCAATCATCCAGGATAACAATTTGGAGAGAATGGAATAACTTCTCCATGCACTAGGACACAATTTTGGTCAACTCTGAAGCTCTTTAAAATATCGAGTGTAAAGGCAAAGCTGGGATATGAAAATGAGAGCTGAAATAGGCCTGAAAAATCAAAGGAGATTGGAACACTAGGGAAGAATCTCATGGTTTCATTGATGGTGGAGTCAGCAGGCCAAGGGAGCTTCGTGAGTTCCAGAAAATGACTTGGGAAAATCTCTTAGGGTCCTAAATCCAGGAAGAAATGGAAAATGCCATTCTGTCTGCCCACCTGCCTCCAAGCAAGACCACACTAAAACTTTTTTAAAATCCCGTGGAGTATCCACATTGCAATTTAGTAGCATTGTTGTGTAAGAAACCTTGAGAAAAATTTTCCCTTCCAATAAACCAACATTGATCTAAAAAGAATTAGTTAACAGCTCTAAAATCATCACTGATTCTCAGATGGGAGTTGAACAATGAAAACACATGGACACAGGGAGGGGAACATCACACACTAGGGTTTGTCGGGGGTGGGGAGTAGGTGAGGGATAGCATTAGGAGAAAAACCTAATGTAGATGATGGGTGCAGCAAACCACCATGGCACATGTATACCTATGTAACAAACCTGCACATTCTGCACATGTATCCCAGAACTTAAAGTATAATAAAATAAATAAATAAATAATAAAACATTGTACAGAAGAGCCGGGCACCATCATCTGCAATGCCTTTGGAAATGAGTTGTGGATGTTTTGTCATACTGGTTTGAGATCTTGTTGGTAGAAAACACTAACCAACAAGTAAATGTCAAAAGATGAAAAAAGTTTTCCACTATGTTCTGTTTTCATTAAAAAAAATACATTTAATAAGTTGCTAAAGGAGAACAGGATGGCCATGTTAGAACACTGCCAAACTTATAAACTTCAACAGTCCCACATACTGAGATGAACAGAAAAATGCATTTCACAAGAAATAAAATACATTTTTCATCTTCTGGATTTGTTGAAGAAGAAGAAGAAAAAAAACCCACATCTGTCCCAAATTTCTTTGAAGAAACTGAATGCCATTCAGTTTTCCTAAGCCAACAGGCTTACCCTTTCTACTGGGTTACCGTAGATGGCTTTGTAAAAATAACTTTAATGCTATAATCCAACAAAATCAAGGAGACAAATTGAAAAATCTTCGTCTCTACTAACATCTTGGGAATGGAAATAACATTTTTCTTAGACGTAGGAAGAACATCAATATAAGTAATTAAATATTTATAGGGTTGTTCACCAAAGGGTTGCATACCATAAATACAGCATTTTATGCCTTTATAGTATCATTTTAAAAATGGGGATAATCACAGCCATTTCATAGTTCTTATGAAGATCATGTAAATTAGTGTGTATAGCTATACAAATATAAGGTGCATTTATTGTTATTCAATTTTATATTAGATTATGGCAGCATAAAGAAATGAGTAACAGCATGGACTCCCGAACAATAGGTTCAAATCTTTGCTGTTTCAAATCTTTGCTGTTTCTCACTGTTCAAATCTTTGCTGTTTCTCACTGTTTAACCTTGGGGAGGTTTCTTAACCTGCTTGTGCCTCTGTTTGCTCATTTGTAAAATCGGGATAATAAGAAAATCTATCTCATCTGGTTGTTATAAGAATTAACTGAGTTAATATGGGTAAGCACTTAGTGCCTGGCATGTAGTAAGCATGTTATAAATTATTTCTCGTTCTACTATTGTTGCTTCTGCTTCTGCTGCTGTTGTTATTGTTGGTGTTGTTTGTGTCATTGTTCCATTCTAACTGTCTCCCTGGGGACAGGCTGCAGCAACCTAAGTGGCCAAGGTTATCGACGAGGGTGTCTGAAAGTAAATCCCAGGGCTCACATTCTCCGGATTTCTAAGTTGGAGATTAAATGAATGGGACTGCGTTTATCAAGTCCAAAGGGGAGAGGAAAAGAAGGACTATGATTTGAGTCCAGGAAGCTCAGGGAAGCCCATGGGAAGGCCCAGTCTGGAAGTGATTCCTTACCATGCGGACCAGCAGTGCTTGTGCTTTGTACCTGGTTCCTAAGGCTGCTGTCCAGGGGGTGCCCTGAGGACCTAAGGGCAAGACACTGGGAACAGATAAAGGCCATCACTTGACCTCCTTCTGAAGGATTTGCTGCTACAAAATAGCAAATATTGAAAATGTTTTAAAGTGGCTCCCTAAAATGGCAAGGAAGTCAGAATTTAGTGTTCAGATAAATAATGCTTTTTGTGGGTGTAGATATAGCAGTCTTTCCAGATAAGATACACCTTCTGGTCTACCAAGAGACTATGTCGGTGAAGCTAAGAGTGCTGATTCAGTAGAGAGTCTCCAAACCATATTCATGAAGGACTGGATCTGTGTCTGCTTAGCTAATTCAGTAAATGCCGTAGAAAAATCTAAGTAAAATCATTGAAGACATCAGTAAAACAAAGGGGCAGTTGGCTTTATGTAGACAAGAGGTCTGAAGTGTTGATTTTCAACCACTAGCTGTTTTCTGCATGGATAAAAGAGAATATACTTTTCTTGTGCCTGAATATAGGCCTTTTCTTCTTTTAGGAGAAGATCACTTGAAACTTAGTGGTACTGCTTATTTTTACTTTTAGTTTACTTTTCTTCTGAGAAAAAGAGTTACGGAGAAATTTCCCTTGGATAGTGTCTCTCAAACTTTAGCCAGCTTTAGAAATGTCCAGTGTACTTGTTTAAAAATGCCGATTTCTGGGCCTCACACTATGAATGAATCAACATCTTTGACCTGTGGGGGAAAAGCAAAAAGGTACATAAAAACATTAGGATGAGAAATGTCTTTCAGAAAAATTAATGATATGTGGACTACACCTCTTCATTTACAAAGTTAGAAAAGGAGTCGTGGTGAAATATGTGTCAGATTTTTTGATATAACTATCTCCAAATCTAGTTCCAAAATTTCACTCCATATGTCTTTTTTGTTTATTACATTTTATTATGTTTTTGATTATATGTTTTGTTTTTCGTATAATATAGACTTAATTTGTTTCTAAAGAAGGGCATAGTTTTATGGTAGGCAGTTTGTTTGGAATTAATCCACATATAAATAAAGGAATAAATGACTAGGAAAAAATTACAAGAAGTATGAGTGGAAAAACATTAACTGGAGACACGACGTTCCCTCCTTTTTTAATATGTATGTTTTACATAACAGGAAATCCCCCGGTTTATTTTTAAAAGTATGTAACATACATGCTTAAAGAAATAACCATAATCTGCTCTTTCATGAGAATACAGATAAGACCTACTGAAATTCCTAAATACTACATTTTCTGGAAAGCTTCCAGCAATCACAAAGATGGCCTAGTATGAACAAAACTAACATCATCAGAGAAGAGCTACCATGATCTTTAAATTCATAATCCCCATGTATTCTATGACGTGAGGTGAATCTTCTGAAGAGTAGGATATTCCCTGAATTAAAATGGCCCTTCTCTTCTACTTTCTTTTTTTTTGTCTTTTTTTTCCTTTATTATTATTATTATACTTTAAGTTTTAGGGTACATGTGCACTTCTACTTTCAATAAATAAATCCAACCTGATGTTTGCACAAGGATGATAGTTTCTGTGCACCCAGGCACTCTTCTTTATATTTTTGGCACCTGTTCTCTCTCCCTCTAGTTTATATCCGAGTTTTAAGGACGGTCTCCCTCCCTTTCCTTCCCTATTATTCCCCAGCCATTAAACACTTATCAGCTCTCTGTCTGACTGAGGAAATCTGAGCATGGTTACATTCAGAATTACTTACGTTTTTGTTTATATGATCAAAATGGATGTAAATGTGCTCTATTCTGCAAAGAAAATTGAATACTTGGATGATATGGTTAACTAGAAATGATACTAATATGTCGTTTTGTTTGAAAACAGAGCCAGGTTAACTGTTATTGTATAAAAAAGTCATTATTCTTCTTACAAAAAAATCCATAAGAGAAGTCTTTCCAGATATCATATATATTACATTCTAAACAAGGCATATTAGTAGCACTATTACCCAAGAAACAATGAGAGCCACAATCTGATTGATGCAGAGGACATTTACTTAGATACATCTAAAAGCAGAGATGGACAGAGAGGAGCAATTATTGGAATGAATATCTGTGTCTTTATTGATCCAATACATTCATAAGAAGGCTAATCAATGAATTAGTAAACCTCATGTCATCTGAGGTCATGATTTCTATTTACACTGTTCATAGATTTCAGACTATATAGCAAGGAAAAAAACTTTCAGGAGGTCTAGGTTCTAATTCTGACTTTATGAACAATTAGTTCTATAGTATTGGGCAACTAATTAAGTTCTGTTGGATTCAGTTTCCCCTTTGCAAAATAAATGGATTGTACTAAAGAACCCTAAAATCACCTCTGGTATTAGTACTTTAAAATAAGCATGAGTGTTTCTGTGCGTGTGTGTGTGTGTGTGCATAAAACTAAGACATCCTCATTTCTTTCTATACAAAAATTCCATATAAATGCCTTTTCTCCATGCCTAACAATAAAACTAACAATAAGTAGCTGAGTAACCAATGACATTTTCAACTTGTCCATTTGAATTATAAACAAAACACTATGCAGATCTCATTGTTTCAGAGAAGCCTTCAGTTTGTAGGGTATAGGAATGGAACAGCAGAAAAAGTGAGGTATCCATCTCTCAGTCAAACCAAAGCTATCAACAAAATTAGGTTGACATAAATGATAAAGATCTTGGAGCTGCCTGTTAAAAAAGCTCTGGCTGGAAGAAGTGGGAGCTGTGTGCTTTCCCCGGAAGGTCCTTTGCAACAAAAATGGACTGTTTACCTTGAAAAATTACTTGTATACTTCCAAAGTCATTTATATAACCAAGTGAAAATATAAAGAAATGCTCTAGCTACAGAAAGAAACTAAATGAATAATGGAGGCAATTTTCCAGATATGGGGTCAGGGGAACAGAAATGCTGGATGTTTGACTCACTGAGATTGGCATTCAAACTGAGTGATCCATATACTCAATTCCTTATTGCAAAAAGAAGATCCTTGTGTTCTTTAGTGCCTTAGAGAAAGTAAAGAGAACCATGCCAGCCAAGAAGCACTTTAAAGTGCAATAAATGTTCCTTTTGAACTAAATGTACGTAAGAACTTGTGTGGTGGACACAGATATGCTACTGCTATAATAATTTCTGTTAAATGCCCTAAAAATGATGCAATATCCTTCTTACTATTGCAGAAATGCTAAAAGTTTATCCATCATCCTTGTTATTTTCTTTTTTCTATAACCTCTAACTCAACTAGGCTGCTGAAGGCCTCAGGAGCTTCCACTCCAATGTGTCCATTGGAAGGTACCAGATTAGCCCTAGGATTAATGAACTCTAGTCAACACCCATATGTACTTCCCTCCTTGAGAGGTGTGGTCAATATCCTCAGGCACCTTCAAGAATTAATTGATCTATTACTAGTTAGATAGGGAAGCATCATGTAAAGGGAGGGATGAGGGAAGAGGGAGGGCAGTTTGGAAGCACTGCCTTCATCAGAGGCATCGCCATGCAAGTAGGCAGTCATGTCCTCCTCCAAGACGACCAATAAGTTCTCAAACTCAAGAAGCGCCACCCAGCCTAGCAGTGCATAGAGTCTTGCTTGTATCCAGTGAGGGAGCTGGAGGCAATGTGTTCCATTTATTACATAAATGTAGCTCTGCGGGGCACGTAAGCTGACTTTGTACGTCTGAACCACACTGAAGCTGAGATAGTCCCTGAGCAAAAATAAACACAACTAGGGGCTTCTGGAAAATAGCTTAGAAGTTAGAGAAGCTTGGATTTTCTCTTTTATTTTAAAAACAACTGCCTTTAAAAAAAATTTATATTATCCTTATTAAAGTCCAATAATTAGTATCCTAAGAAACTGTTAGCACAGGCAATATGAAGAGAGGAAAAGTTTGGTTGTTTAGGGAAATATTAGTTAATCTGGGTGCTATAGGTAAAAGATACACTAAGTAGTAGGCTACTTTGTCCGATTTATTCATTCTATATTATCTTTTCAGTCAGAAAGTGGAAAGAGTTGTTTTAGAAGCCTTGCCATCTTTGTTTTTGGTCATTGGACAACAGTCTTGGTATGTGCCAGATACAATTTCTCCAGGTTTTATTCTACTCGCTTTTGTTTGAAAACATTCAGACAGTGAACTGTTATACAATGAAGTGTATCAAAAGTTCTGAATAAAAAGTAGTTCTGTAAGCAAATTATTCAACATGGGACAACTAATCCTTGCCCTTGACACATAACCTGAAAATGCTTGTCTTCCGCCCTTTGCTTAAGCTGTTTCTTCCACCCAGACTGCCCTTTTGATGATATTCATGGCTGCATAAACAAATCACATTATTAATTCTATCATTTATTCATTCAACAAATATTTATTGAAAGTATACTATGTGCAAGGTACAGTTCTAGATGGTGGGCAATGAACAAGACATAAAAATCCCTACCCTCATGGAGCTTCTATTCTATTGGAAAGAGATGAATAATATCAACTTTAAATGGCAGTAGCTAGATAAGCCTAGGTGAGAGGAAGTCTGTGTTATTCTTCCCCTGTTGAAGATCCATCTCTGCCATCACGTCCTCTCCCCTTCCTCTCCTGACCTCCCATTTTCATTGACCCATTGCACCAGCACTAGGTAGCTAAGGAAGGGGGTGGCCTGGAAACCCCAGGACAGGAAGCAAGAGAAGGAAGACATGGTTAGCTTGTGCATGGACAAAGCTAGCTGAACCCTATATGTAACAGTTCCCCCAGAGCAGTGGCTGGAGTAAGAAGTGGGGCCCAGATTATTTGAAGTAATGTACAAAATATATCTGATAAAGCTACAGAAGACAGTGTTTTAAGGAACAGGAACAATCAATTGCATCCAATGCTGCTAATAAGACGAGGACCATCAGCAACATTGGAGGTCATGGCGACCTCGACAAGAATAGTTCTGTAGTGATGGGAGCCGAAGGCTGATTCATCCACCTAGTCTCACTCCTTCTCCAAATGACTATGAAAATATAAAACACAAGATAGTAACCCCATCAGCTTCTGCCACATAACCTTCAAATCTATCTTGGCAATCATCCTTTGTTTTTCCTTTTAGTTTCAAGGGATGTGGCAGTTTCCTTCATACGGATCTAAGGGCTATCCTGCTCTCTCCCAGCTTCTCAGAATCTTCAGCCTCTTCAGTATTCACTTTTCCACCTAGGTATTCAATACGTCCTTCTCTTTTGAGTTTTTCCCATCCCAAAGCCACCAGAGAGCCTGACACAGACTGCCTTCCCAATTTATGAAACAAAGATGTGGAATCCACGAGCACAGGAAGCATTTCAACATGCTCAGGTCTTCCCCAGCTCCACGTTCCCTTCCAGCTAACACTTTATTTCCCATCCCCTTCTTACCTTGAAAGAACTTCCAACTTCACTGTTTCTATATTCTTACCTCTTCCTGTCACCTCCTTGCTGTCTGTCCTCTACCTCCACCATCACACTGAAACTGCTCTTGCCAAACTCATCAATGATGTTGTTGCTGCTCCACCCAAAGAATCTTTCCTTCCTTCTCTTTCTAGATCTCTTTGTGGCACAAGACTCCTTTGACCATTTCCTTCTTCCTGACACACTTTTTCCATTTGCTTCTTTGACATTGAGTTCTCCTGGCTTCTGTCCTTCTTCTCTGCCCTCCTTTTCTCACTTCTTTGAAGCCTCTTCTTCCTCTGCTCATGCATCAAGGGCTGGTGTTTCTATCCCTGGCCTTCTTTACTCCTGACTCTGTGGCTTTCCTCTGGTGCACTCATTCCCTCTCCTGGCTTTCATTACCTGTCCACATGCTGATGATGCCCAAAACCATATTGCCAGCCCAGCCCTCTCCAAGGCCTAGTGGATATTTGCACTTACAGGTCTGGAACACTCCCTTTTTTGAGACAGGGTCTCACTCTGTTGCCCAGGCTTCTGGAGTGCAGTGGTGCAATCATGGCTCACTGCAGCCTGGACCTCCCAAGCTCTGGTGATCCTCTCACCTCAGCTTCCCAAGTAACTAGGACTACAATCGTGTGCCATGACACCCAGCTAATTTTTAAATTTTTTGTAAAGATGGGATTTTGCCATGTTGCCAACGCTAGGCTCAAGTGATCTGTCTGCTTTGGCCTCCCAAAGTGCTGGGATTACAGGCAAGAGCCACCACACCTAGCCTGGACCACTCCTTGAATTCAGCTTGACCCAAATTGAACTTGAAACTTTGCCCACCTCCTCTCGGCAGACCTACTTGTCCTGCTGAGCTCCTAAGTAATAAGGCAATCCATAAACAAATCTTGTCAACTATAACCTCTCAATTGCTCTAGGACCTATTCAGTCCTTCCTAAGTATACAAGCAGATTATATTCTGTGGTCCTGTGCCAGTACATTTACAGTAGTTGTTGGAGCTAGCATCCATTTTGATTGGCCAGTGACCCTAGAGCACTGATTACTCAGTATTATTAATATCACCCCTGTTTACCACCTCTTTCTCAGTAAAGGCTGCCACCAGGTATTGCTTGGAATGGAGCAACACACCCTATGCTACTTACCTTTAGTCACTAATCCATTCACTACTCATCAGCCAGAGTCATGTTTCTGAAATGCGAATTTGTTTATATCTTTGTCCTACATAAAACCTATTGGTGGCTCCTTATATTCTAGATATCTAAAAAACTCTCTTCCTATTTTTTTTTTTTTTTTGGACTGGCTGCTGGCTAAATGGGGACTCAGCCTTCAGGTCTCAATTCAGATGTCAGTTCTCCTGAAATGTTTTCTTGTTCCCTCCCCACCCAAATCTTGGCTGCTCCTGTTTTCTCTCATAGCATGCTGTACTCCTTGATTGAGACGTCCTTTCTGGCACTCTCTCCTACTTTACTGCATATTCTATCTGTAATCCATGCTGCTAAGCCTTTCAGCCCCACCATTCCAATGACACCACACATGTAAAGGCCACCATATTATCACACCCAGTGATGAGTCTACTATTCTCATGTTCCTGGACTTCTCAGCAACATCTGACACTGTTGGTCACAACTTCTGCCTTGAAATGCTGTGGCTTCCAGGACCACAGTGCTGTCTTAATTTTCTTCCTGCCTCCTTTTTAGGCAGGAAGACCTTTTACAAGACCTCTGGACTTACTATTCCAGTAGGGGATTGAGTTGGTGGCCCCCAAATGATATGTTCATGCCCTAACCCTAACGCCATGCATAAAGTTAATATGACCATTAACTTACTTGGAAAAAATGTCTTAGCAGGTGTAATTAAGTTAGGGATCTCTAGATTAATCATCCTAGTTTATCCAGGTGGGCCCTAAATCTAATGACAAATGTCCTTAAAAGAAACAGGAGAAGACATAGACACAAAAGAGAAGGCCATGTAAAGATGGAGGCAGAGATTAGAGCCATGTTGCTACAAACTAAGGAATGTCCGGAGCCACTAGAAGCTGAAAGAGGCAAGGACGGATTCTCCCCTAGAGCCTCCAGAGGGAGCGTGGCCCTGATGACACCTGGACTTCTGGCTCCTAGAACTGTGAGAGAATAAATTTCTATTGTTTTAATCTACCAAGGTCAGAGTAATTTGTTACATTAGCCCTAGGAAACCAATATAATGCTCAAACGGAATTCTTAATTTCCTCTCCCAAGCCATTTTCTTCCTGGTCTTCCTCATATCAGTCAAGTGTGCAAAAATCCACAAGTTCTTCAGGCCTAAAACCATAGGATTTATTCTTGGTTCCTCTCTTTTTCTCCCACTTCACATCCCATGCATCAGCTTTATCCTCTCTATTTAAAAAAGTTACCCAAATCCTGATTACTCCTCACTGAATCCACCATTACTACACAAGTTCAAGCTACTCCTCATCTTTCTTGTAGACTGTTGCTTCAACATGCTAAGTAGTTTTCCTGCTTCTTCCATTCTTAACAATTCCAGCCAACTCTTAAACTCAGATCCCATCACAATTCTGATTAAAATCTTCCAGTAGCTTCCCAAGTTCTTGGACTATGGACTCAGGGCCCAAAAGATCTAGCCCCAGCCACTGTCCAGCTTCCCCTCCACTACTTCCCTTATGGTGACCTCTTGGGCTGCCTATCTGTTCCTCAACATCCCCACGCTCCTCCCTCTCACTGGCACTTCCCATGACATCTGGGTCTTCTGTGGCCAACTTCTCTCATCAGTTAGATCTTTCCCTTCCAGAGCCTTTCCCTAGCCATCCAATCTAAAATAGCCTTCCATGTCTTTTCATCATCTACCCTGCTAAACCAATTTACTTTCTTTGCAGCATTAATGATCTAAAATTGCATTATTATGTATTTACTTGCTTGTTGATTATCTTCCCTACTAGAATGTAAGCTCTGTGAGAGAAAGTGCTTTGCCTATTCATCAAACAACCCCCAGAGTCTGGAACAAAGCTTGTCATGCAGTAGACCCTCAATATATATTGTTTGAGTGATCAGATGAATGCATTTTAACTGCCTGCTTACCCTCTCCTTCACTGTTGTGTATTCAGTGCTTACCATAGTACCTGACTATGTATATGTGATAAACCAATGGGCATATGAATGAGTGAGTATTTTCTTGATCACTCCAGCTGAAAGCAATCTCTCCTACCTCTGAACGTATACACGCTATTGCTTTAATGTTGACACATGATTGTGCCTTCACATTAACTCATTTCTCTATGCCATCTCTCTTTCTCACTATAAACTCCTTTAGCTCAAGGTCATGATCTCTCTCATCTTTATTTCCCACACGACATATTTTGCCACATGTTACAGAGAGCAGCACTTCAATGGATATTTGGTGATTGACTGACTGAATGAATAAATACATGAATGATCACAAAGGACACAGTCTGGCAACTTGTAAACTTCCACTTGCTTAAGACTGTTCAATCCATTCCTACTTGTCCCAGATTCTCTATAGCTCTCCACCAAATCCACCACTTGATATATCAGAGGATCAGAAAAACTTTACTTCTTCCCTCTGAGCAGTGAATACAAGAGGCAGCATGTAGCAAAACACTCATGATACCCATGGGTCTATTGGACTCTTTTTTGGCCACTAACTCACTTAATTTGGTGTAGTTTAGCACATTACAAGATTGTTCAAGAGTACTATAAATGATGTCAGACACCATCAGAAACCACTTCAGAAAATCATTGCCTGTAGCTGGATCAAACGGTGAACACCTGGAAACTAGCAATGCTAGGAAAACAGAATAAATCATGTTTTCTACTCTACCTCTTAGAGATTTACACCTTTTTGCCCTAAAGGATGTCCATATTTTTAAAACTTTTAGGCTACTATAATATGTGTATAAGTCATTTGTACAATAATAAAACATTTGGGTACCTGATTGAAGAGGAATTATTCTGGCTTCTCTCACTTCTCTGCAATTATTCTGAGCAACTTTCAAGTCATTTTATTTATTCTGGTCATTTATTCAGGTTATTTTAATGTGGTACTACTTTCAACAAGTTAAACAAAGACAGCCATATGTATCCAAATAAATAGATAATAATAGTGACATTTGAATGTTCAATGGATTATTGAACTTAGAGTATTTTTAAATGACTTTAAAAAGCAATATGGTAGTATTTAACTGCTTTAAGCACACTAGTTTAAGCAAAATGCAGAGCTCAGAACAATAATACTTTTCTTTTTTTTCTATCTCAGAGCAAGTTGTAAAAACAGGTTGATAAGACAGTTCTTGTGTGAATGATAGTTAATGCACCCCAATTTTAATCCAATCATTTCTTTCTTTGAGTGTTCAGTCGCTCACTAATGCCTACTTTGTGCCTCACAAAATGGTAAATGTGGTCAAAATGACTCCACCAGGAAAAGATAACTTAAACTAAATTATGAATAGATTCAGCCACTGGGCAACAGTGTGTGTCTCCACAGCAGCAACCCTTGTCAAAGAGACAGCAAAGCTGAGCTTCCTTAAAGTAGTGTGGGAAAAAGAAAGGAGATGTGGGAAAAATTAAGACTTTTGGTGGGGGGTCATTTTTATAGCTTGAACGTGGTTTATCTGAAATTTTGTGAACTTGATATGCTATTGTGTTCTGGGCTGCAGAGTTCAAAAAGAGATGGTTTGTTTGAAATTATGGCACCAAAATGTGTTTCTACTTAGGATTTTACAAAACAAATGCTTTGGAGATTCAGAGAAGGGGGCAGCATGGAAAGAAATAACTTTCCAATTTTATTTTAACATTAGTTCTTGGCACCCAGAGTAATTTGGTCCCAGTACACTATGACAATCACATCTGTCAAGCCCCTCTTGGATTTATCTCAGACTTGAATGGAACACACAAAAATGCCCAGAAGGATTTTGTTCTTCTAGAAAATGAACCTGCTTCGCTTTGAGGACCCTTCTTAAAAGACTGTTACTTCATTCAGCTGTTCCTAGACTGAAAATATTATGAACCATACCCTGGGCTTCCATGTTCAAAAAATGTAAAATCACAGAATTAATCAACTGAACAAAAATGTCTCCAAGTAGACAGTTTTGTCTCAAGATTTTTTTTCTGCTATATTGAATGGCCTGCAATATAGTGGATAAAGAAACTGTGTGTGTGAGTGTGAGTGTGTATGTGTGTTTCTGTGTGTGTGTGTGTGGTGCGTGTGTATTGGGGGCTGCTTTGTTGTGGCTGTTTCCCCCTTCCTTCTTTGGACCTGAATGAGCTAGGAATGCCTTACTGGAGTTAGTTGTTCTCAGCCGTTTCCTCTGCCTCCACACCATGCAAAGTCAGAGGGAGCTGGGAAGGGAATAGAGACCTGTCAGAATGTGTCAGTGGGGAGGTGAGCAGGGAACATGCGCACTTTGAAAAAGTCAGTTCTGGCAAGAATTCACCCTTATCCTTTTCAGGATCACTCCCTTACACCGGTAAACTTTTAAAAAGCTGAAAGATAAACCTACAAACAGAAGGTCTTTTTAGAGATATATTTCCTAAACTTGTCATTCACATACGATCTTCATGATTTTAGACATATTCAAGGATCACCACCTATGAGTTATTTAATCCTTGTTAGCAAATTTGACTCTTAAAAAAATCTAAATTTATTTATTTTGTTAAGGGGAAGTTTCTTTCACTATCATACATAGATGTGCTGGTTACATATATATTTATATATTTATCTTAAAAGTACATTTATATATTATGTATATATTATATATTATGAAATGTGAATATATAATGTATGTATATTATATGTATGATTATATTTATATATAATACATATTTTTCTGAAACAGTATGTATGAAGTGTATACAGATATATTTATTTTTATTTTTTATTTTTATTTTATTTTTGAGATGGAGTCTTGCTCCATTGCCCAGGCTGGAACCCAGTGGCGTGATCTCAGCTCACTGCAACCTCTGCCTCCCAGGTTCAAGTGATTCTCCCACCCCAGCCTCATGAGTAGCTGGGATTACATGCATCAGCCACCACACCCGGCTTATTTTTGTATTTTTAGTAGAGACGGGGTTTCACCATGTTGGCCAGGCTGGTTTCGAACTCCTGACCTCAGGTGATCCGCCCACCTCGGCCTCCCAAAGTTCTGGGATTATAGGCGTGAGTCACCACGCCTGGCCTGTTTTTTTATTTTTTGAGACAGAGTCTCGCCCTGTCATCTAGGCCGGAGTGCAGTGGCACAACCTCAGGTCACTGCAACCTCTGCCTCCTGGTTCAAGTGATTCTCTTGCTTCAGCCTCCCGAGTAGCTGGGATTACAGGCATGAGCCACTGCTCCCGGCTGAGATACATTTATATCTAGAAAAATATTTGCCACCTAAAAGCCACTCACTTTTGGAAACATTGGTTTGAAGTATCCCATAGTTGAATGATTTTGCAAACAAAGATGAAAGGCTCAGACATTGACATGGCACAAACCCACTTATCAGGAGTATATATAGCTGATGCTGCCTTTCTTTCCTTGGTGACTCTCTTCTCTTTTTCTGTTCCCTTCTGCTTTAAATTATTCCAGCATCCCTTCCCACTGTCATGTTTTCCTCTCCTTCAACCCCTTACCTTGACACACTCCACAGAGACTATATATAACCTTTGTTTTCCAACAAAGCAGGGATAATACATTCATGTCTCCCAGGGAGAGTAAGCAGTCAGTTCTACAAAAGCGTGGTTTCACTGTGAGAAAGGGACCCCGATGTCCCCACATCCTACCTAAATTCACATTCCTCCGTGAAACTGCATGTTAATTACATGAGGTCACCAAAATATTGGAGGCATGAGATCCTATTCTAAAAGTAAAGACTCTAACATAGTAACTGAAATAATGAATTGAGGCACAGTTTTTATTAAACAATGATAGGAGATACACCTGTTAACAAAAAAAAATAAAAGAAATTCTAAGACTATATTTTATGACTGGGTGATCTAATTTGAATATATGTCCCTGCCAAATCTCATGGTGAATTGTAATCCCCAGTGTTGGAGCTGGGGCCTTGTGGGAGGTGTTTGGGTCATGGAGATGAATCCCTCGTGGCTTGGTGCTGTTCTCATGATAGTGAAAGAGTTCTCACAAGATCTGGTTGTTTAAGTGTATGGTTCCTTCCCCTGCTCCCAACACACACACACACACACACACACACACACACACACACACACACTCTTTCTCGCTCCTGCTTTTGCTGTGTGACATGCCTGCTCCTGCTTTGCCTTTTTCCATGAGTAAAAGTTCCCTGAGGCCTCTGTAGAAGCTGAGCAGATGCGGGGCCATGCTTGTATAGCCTGCAGAAATGTGAGCCAATTAAACCTCTATTCTTTATAAATTATCCAGTCTCAAGTATTTCTTTATAGGAATGCAAGAATGGTCTAATACAGAAAGTTGGTACCAAGGAATGAGGAATTGCTATAAAGATATCTGAAAATGTGAATGTGACTTTGGAACTGGGTAACAGGTAGAGGTTTGGAGGAGTTTGGAGGGCTCAGAAAAAGACAAAAAGATGAAATAAAGTTTGGAATTTCTTAGAGACTGGTTAAATGATTGTAACCAAAATGCTGATGGTGATATGGACAGTGAAGTTCAGGCTGATAAGGTCTCACATGAAAATGAGGAACTTATTGGGAACCGGAGCAAAGGTCACCTGTGTTATGTCTTAGAAAAGAACTTGGTTGCATTCTATTCATGCCTTTGGGATCTGTGGAAGTTTGAACTTCAGAGTGATGATTTAGGCTATCTGGCCAAAGACATTTCTAAGCAACAAAGCATTCAAGATATGACATGGTTGCTTCTAACAGCATACATTCAGGTGTGGAAGCAAAGAAATGACTTAAAGTTGGAACTTATATTTAAACAGGAGTAAGAGCATAAAAGTTTGGAAAATTTGCAGCCTGGTCATGTGGCAAAGAAAGAAAGAGCTTTTTTAGGAGATGAATTCAAGGAGACTGTGGAGCAACCACTTTTTAGGAGATTTGCACAAGTAAAAAGTAGCCATGTGCTAATAGCCAAGACAATGGAGAAAAGACCTCAAAGGCATTTCAGAGATCTTGGAGGCAGCCCCTCTCATCACAGGACCAGAGACCTAGGAAGACTGAATAGTTTCATGGTCCAGGCCCAGGGACACCCTCCCCACTCACACCTGCACCCCTACCCAACCCCCTCACCCTCCCCCCAGCTTCACACTATTCTGCACAACGTTGGGACAATGTTCCCCACATCCTGGCCACTCTGGCTCCATCCTCAGCTCAAAGGGCCCCTGATATAGATTAGGCTGCTGTTTCAGAGGGTGTAAGCCATAAGCTTTGGCAGCTTCCATGCGATGTTAAGCTTGTAGGCATGCAGAATGCAACAGTGAAGGAGGCTTGGCAGCCTCCATCTAGATTTCAGAGGATGTATGAAAAACCCTGGGCACCCAAGCAAAAGCTTGTTGCAGGGTTAAAGCCCTCACAGAGAACCTCTACTAGGGCAATGCAGTGGGGAAACGTGTGGTTGGAAGCTCCACACAGTCCCCACTGGGGCACTGCCTAGTTAAGCTGCGGGAAGGAGGCCACCATCCTCCAGACACCAAAATGGTAGATCTACTAGCAGCTTGCAGTCTGTGCCTGGAAAAGTTGCTGGCACTCAACAACCTATGAGAGTTGTTTTGGGGGCTGAACTCTGCAAAGCCATGGTACAGAGGTGCCCAAGCCCTTGGAGCCTACCTCTTGCACCAGTATGCCCTGGATGTGGCACATGAAGTCAAAGGGGATTATTTTGGAGCTTTAAGATTTAATGACTGCCCTGCTGGGTTTCAAAATTGCATGGGGCCGGTAGCCCCTCTCTTTTGACCAATTTCTCTTTTTTGGAATGAGAATGTTTACCTAATGCCTATGCCCCCATTGTATCTCGGAAGTAAATAACTTGTTTTAATTTTACAGGCTCATACATGGAAGGAACTCATTTCCAGATGAGACTTTGGATTGGGGACTTGGGATTTTTGATTGAGTTGATTCTAGAATGAGTTAAGACTTTGAGGGACTGTTGGAAAGGCATGACTATATTTTGCAATGTGAGAAGGACATGAGGTTAGCAGGGCCAGGGGCAGAAAAATATAGTTTGAATGTCCCCATCAAATCTCATGTTGAACTGTAATCCCCCGTATTGAAGGTGGGGCCTGGCGGGAGGTGTTTAGGTCATGTGGGCAGACCCCTCAATGGCTTGGTAGTGTCCTCATGATAGTGAGTAAGTTCTCATGAGATCTGGTTGTTTAAAAGTATGGTACCTCTCTCTCAACTCTCTCTCTTGCTCCTGCTTTTGCCATGTGATGTGCTTGTTCCCACTTTGCCTTCCACCATGAGTTAAAGCTCCCTGAGGCCTTCCTGGAAGTCAAGCAGATGCTGGGAGCCAAGCTTGTACACATTGCAGAACCATAAGTCAATTAAACCTCTTTCTTTATAAATTGCCTAGCCTCAGGTATTTGTTTATAGCACTGCAAGAATGGTCTAATACACTGGGCAACTGCTCAGCCCCCCATTTCATTTAATTTGAGATAGAAAATGATGGCTGGATTTAGAAATCCAGGTACAAATGCAGAAAAAGAAAAAGAAAGGAGTATCATTTATTCCGTGTTTTTTCTTAATTCAGTTAGAAATGGTTATACGATAGAAAACAGAAACTTTTTGTTTTGATTGTATTTTTAAAATGAATATTTGAGCCAAAAGATATGTCAAAAGCAAACAGTTTTAAAGTACTTAATACTTTTAAACTTAACATTACTTTCTGCTTGGCAGGTTCACTGACACTTTGATGATTTGATGCATAATACAGAAGGTTTTAGTAGGATACAAGGATCTTATTTTATGTAAGACCTAAATAAAATATTCTGCTCATGACAAAAATTGTAATTCAATCAAAAGACAACTGATCCTACCCACTCTGGTCTTATGTTTCCCCATTTGTAAAAGGAGTGGGTCCAATGAGAGGGTCTTCAAGCCCCCCTTCTAACTCTAAAAATTTATAATTCTGAGGTCCTGCATTTCCCAAAGATATAAAATGCTTGATCTTGGTGTTGATCAGATAACCAAAGAAGCAAACACGGCCTAGTGCAGTGGCTCAGGCCAGACGTGGTGGCTCACGCCTGTAATCCCAGCACTTTGAGAGGACGAGGCAGGCGGATCACTTGAGGTCGGGAGTTCAAGACCAGGCTGACCAACATGGAGAAACCCTGTCTCTACTGAAAAAACAAAATTAGCCAGACGTGGTGGCACATGCCTGTAATCCCAGCTACTCGGGAGGCTGAGGCAGCAGAATTGCTTGAACCCAGGAGGCAGAGGTTGCAGTGAGCCGAGATGGCGCCATTGCACTCCCGCCTGGGCAACAAGAGTGAAACTCTGTCAAAAAAAAAAAAAAAAAAAAGAAGAAGAAAACACAAGTTAAAATATTAGAAAAATTATATACTTCTGAGTTTATTAACCAAACACACTAAATATTTGTGTATTCACAATTTCCCTATCTTAAAATTATCTAAAAGTCCAACATCCAGCCTGGTTAAGTGTCATTTTTTATATTTGTAATTAAAAACAAAACAACTACTCAATGTTATCATGTACCAAAATTGCATGTCAGGAACAAAACATTAGTGAGTTGAATTGCAGTCATCGTATATGTCATATTTCAGTGCTTGATTCTAGTCTGAGACAGAGACATATATGGCTCCATATCTCTTTAAAATTTTTAAAAAATTGCACGTCTGTCTTTTTCTGATTTGATGTAAGGCTTTAATGTTGATATGCTATTTTATAGGCTCCTTAAACTAAAAAAACTAGTGTAGATAAAAAACAAACTATATGTCTAAGAAATTTACCCTGAACAAAGGCTGAGAGGGAAAAAAACCTTCATTATTTTAGCTGAAAAATGGCAGATTAGTTCATTGAGTTTTAACCAAGACTTAAACCCAGCATAAGTTTGGGGTGGGATAAGGTCAGTAGGTACGGGTGTTGGGGGGGCGCCTACAAGAGCCCCTTATGGCCCAGCTGAGGTCTCATACTTCTTTACTTTTGAGATTATTTCTAAAAGAGATTAAATATTCTGTTATTCTATTTATTTTGTGCTACACGCAATAATTTATAAAATATCATTTGAAATACACTAACATTTAGGAAATCTGATTTTGCAATTTGTTCATTTTTTTAATGTATTCAGAAGCCTTGAGAAATGTAGCGGACTTGATGACTTGATTGTGGCTTCATTATTGGTTTCTAGAGCTGCTTATTGGTTACTGACAGAATCTAAGCTCCATGAAACATGGGATGTTTGTCTATTTCACTCATTGCTGTGTCCCCAGTGCCCAGAACAGTCCCTGGCACACAGCAGGCACTCAAACAAAATTTGGCTAATAAATAAAGGACATTAGTATATTTGTGATTTCTGTTTGCAAAATGTCCATTCTCGAGTGAGAGAGAGGACTTTGGGGAAGCCTGCAGGAATTAATTGATAAATAATGTAATATTTCAATCTTTCTATGGGATAGCCCTCAAATTGTGTTCTGATCCATTCTTTAAAACAAGAAAAAGTGAATAAGCAAATACCCAATAAAAGCAGGCAGCAGTAATAGATAATACAAACGAGGATGCAATTTTTAGTTACTTTTCAAACTCTCTCTCTCTCTCTCTCTCTCTCACTTCAGGCTGTTTATATTGGTCAGAAGAGAATTGGATGGATGGATGGATGGATGGATGGATGGATGGATGGATGGACAAATAGGTAAGACTGGGAAAGACTGACTGCTTTATCTCCCCTTTAGAAACTTGATAATTATAGCAATAATAGCTAATACAGGGCATACATGGTGCTTATCTTGTGTCAGGCTCTGTTCTAAGGGCTTTATATATACGATATATATCAATGGAAGTAATTCTCACAACTACTCTGAGAGATATGCCCTATTTCTGACTCCATTTTGCAGATGAGGAAATTGAGGTGCAGAGATATTGACTTGCCCAAGATCACACATTTAGTCAGTGGTGGAATCAAAAGTTAGATCACAGTGGGGTCTCTGGAGTCCACACTCCTAACCACTTTGGTGTAGTGCCTCTAAGACTCAGTAAAGAAACATCTCTACCTCTCTTTAACCCACTGTTCCCAAAATTATTTGACCACAATGTACCAGTCAATATCTTTAGAACATAATCTGGCAAACGCAGAAGCATGATATTTGTTTGGTACCTTACAAGTCAAAATGTTTGACCTTGTAAATAGGGAAATGAGTTATAATCAGAAATGTTCTCCTAATTTTAGGAAAGAGTTAGCATGAATTGAGTTTGAATTCTCAGCTTCCACATGCCATATAACTCACCTATGAAACAACAGAAGGAGGCAAGATATTCTTTGCCATTTCTTAAAAATGAAACAACTTCTTTGATTGATATTCGTGAGTTGCAAACCAAACAAAACTATGTAAAAAAGTGCATAGCTGGCAAAATGGCATGACAAATGATACCACGAAGTTCATGAGGAAAGAAAGCTAAGAAACGTTCCATTCTCCAAAGTAATTGAAACCTAGGCTTTACCATTCACTCATGAACCATTCCAGCTGAGAGGTTCTTCTCACAGCCACCAGCAGACCCTGAGTGAACCCTGGTGCAAAATCTAACGTAGAACACTGCTGTGTTGTGCATGCCTGCATAGGCCCTCAGGAAGGGGAAATAGGTTTGGCTAGGTAAGGATATATTTCTTAGGGAATAGGAAAGACAAGCTTGCCCCTCTCAAAGGCACACAATCCAGGTCTGCCATACAGAAGAGGGAGCTTTGAGCATCTTTATTTTAGCTGCATTGTGAATTCCTGCTCCCATCCACCAATATCAAGTTTAAGGTGGGGAAGGGTGTCAGGTGGGAATGACAGAAGGGCAAGACCCACAGGTAGAAAAAGAAGCTGCCAAGTCACTCCATTCTCACCCCTTGTCACCTGGGGTGGACATCAATGGCAGCTTTGTCTTAAACAAGAGCTTTGGTCAAGCAAAGGCCTTTTGCAATACGCCGACAGCTTTGGTTTAGTTTTACCACTAATCAGTGCTGAATGGAACGTGGATTCAATACACTCTCAAAAGGAAAGCGCTTGGTAAGCTGAGGCTTTCTGGGTTTTCTCTGGAACTTTTTTATTAAAATTCTGATTATTGCTGGGTCTACAAATCAGATAGTAAAAGAATCCAGAATATATGGCCATGCTTCATAATGCATAGCATATGAACTAACTTGCAAACCATGCTCTTTTAAATAATGAGTAGAGGAAAACTGGCTTTTAATTATTTTACTGCTAAGCTCTAAAGTTTATTTTACTAAATATAACTTTTAATGTTATTAATTAACATAACTTTTGAACAAAGGAAATATCCTATGTTGATGACTGTAAAGAATCACACGCATATCCATTCTCATAGTCTTCCAAAGTTAAAGGTACAGTATGAGATACATCATTCAAATACATAATGGAATCCTTGAGTGGTTCAATGGATGGCTTGAATTAATAAAAACATAGGGAAATTATTCTTTAAAACCATGAATTCACAACTACAAAGCCTATTTTTGCTTTGCTATTATTAATACAATAAGAGGTTTGACTTTGACCCTGAAATCACAAACGTGGAAAACATTAACAGTATTATATTGACATGTCTGAGCCTCTCTTTTTCTGTATTAAACTGAGGCTTCTGATAAGTTTGAAGGAGTCCCTATGGCACCAAATAAAACTAAACAATTTATACAGCCTAAGATCAAGGAGGTCTAGTGAACCAAAAGATCCCAGCTCCCTGATAAAAGGAAGTCTATTTGAAACCACTGGCAATTATTAACGTTTTAAAACTATAATTTAAGAAATCATTCTTGTTAAAAATAAATATTAACCTTTTGGAAAATCTAACCTTTCTAATAATCTATATAACAGGCTTTTCAAAAACATTTCAGATTCATGTTGATAAAAATGTGTTCATATTATTAACCTAGCCTTTTTCCCTCAACCATGATACATTTAAACTAAGAATGAATTAGAAGGCTGCAATTGTCTTTAATGTAATAGCATATCTATTATAATAAATTGTCTTTTGGAATGTTATGGCTTTTCCCCAGAAGTATTTAATTTTTTTTTTTTTTTTTTTTTTTTTTTTTTTTTTTTGAGACGGAGTCTCGCTCTGTAGCCCAGGCTGGCTCTGTAGCCCAGGCTGGAGTGCAACGGCGCGATCTCGGCTCACTGCAAGCTCCGCCTCCCGGGTTCCCGCCATTCTCCTGCCTCAGCCTCCGGAGTAGCTGGGACTACAGGCGCCCGCCACCACACCTGGCTAATTTTTTGTATTTTTAGTAGAGACGGGGTTTCACCGTGTTAGCCAAGATGGTCTTGATCTCCTGACCTCGTGATCCGCCCGCCTCGGCCTCCCGAAGTGCTGGGATTACAGGCGTGAGCCACCGCGCCCGACCTCATAAGTATTTAATTCTTAAGATTGGGTTTTGGTAACAAAATAAGATGGGATTTTTGTCTTCCAGATCATCACTTAATCTCCTCTGGGGTAACAGAGCAGCAGTTTGTTATAACCTGTGAGTTCTGCAGGGTTACTCTGTACATCCCTACCAGGGAAACTGCTGTGGTGTCACAGATTACAGTGGAAGACACATGCTGCCTTTCTCTTGTTTTCAATCTAAATAGGCCAGTAGCCATGAGCCATGCTTGAGATGGAACATACTCCAGAGATAAGCATATAACAAAGTGGAGTAGCTAGGAAGCAATTGTCACTCGTTGTGATACTTCAAATCAGTATTCAAGACTAGCTTACCCCAAGTGGGATAACAGGCCTTTTGTAGCCTGAAAAGAATGTGCATGAATCTGAGTGCCTATAAATATTGTTGCCTACAGCTTGGTGGTTCTTTGGACGTCATGTTTTCTTTGACTTTCTATTGAAATTACCACTTTGGTAAAGCTTGCAGGATAAACCTTATTTCCAAAAATAGTTTTTGTCAGAGAAATAAAGCAAAAAAAAAAAAATTGTGAATCTTAAGAGGTCATTCCTTTTAATCCTGGTTAAGTATAAGCAATTTAGAATATTTAAATGTAGTGATATTTACAAATTGTTAGAATGGGCATTAATCCTCTTTAATCTTTAGCGACATTACGGAGGCAGTGCTCTATTAAGAGAAGGAAAGTACTGAGACCATTTTTTAGCTGAAAATGTCAGTCAGTGAAATTGAGCTGTGTCCTCAAAACAACAAAATGCAGTTTAAATTGATCTTCAGACTCTCAAAAATGATGTCTTCATTTCAAATATATATATGGTTACAATAATTAATGTGTTCTATTGATTTGCTTGACAACTATTAATATACCCCATGTTACCAGGATAATCTGAGTCCTTTTGAAACTCCTTAAATGGAAGTATTTTTGAATATCATGAGCTGTAGTTGATGCCAATTTTTGGTCCTATAGAGTAGCTTAGTATTCCCAAAAGACTGTTTCTCAATTTGTTTTTGGTTTAAACAATTGGTGTTTAATTTAACTAAGGAAAACCTTAAACTTAAGATTCAGTTGTGGCAACACAGAATGAAATGGGATTTTTGTCTTCCAGATAAATAGTCATTAAGTTCAGCTCACAAATCTCTTTAGTCTGTATATAAGTATAGCAAATGTTAATAATTATTTTTAAGTGCGCTTTGAATAATGTTTGGTCTCATTAATTAAACACTTTCAAATATTTAAACTTTGTTTCTAAATTTAATATATTCTATATTTTAAGTACTTCAATTATCTAAATTATAGAAATTACAGCAGATATTTAAGAAGCTGTTTTATATCTTGTACATTAAACCTGATGACACTGAAGTTCTTTTAAATGGTCCAATATTGTATATGAGCTTAGTAACATTTCAGTTTAAAATCTCAAGTCTAAATAAAGTGATAAACCATCCCTAACTGAGGGAGATGTCTGGTATACAGAGCTTTCTATTTTAAAATGAAGACAATTCTGAGCAAATCAGGAGAAATTGGTCGCCCTAAGTCAAAATCACACAATTACAAATTTTCAACTGAAGTCATAAGACTGTCATTCCAAGAAGACAAATTTGTAAAATAAGAAATATGAACAGCTTTCTTCTTAACCACCAAATATTATTACTTTCATTTTAATTATTGCAATCCTTCCTACACTTAATTTTAAATCTCCCCAGAGCTAAAAGATTCTTTCCCACTAAAGGAAACCTGTTACCATGCCATGTAATTTAGGTCACATGTGCATAGAGATTTTGGCCCACATAGGCACTAGACTTGTTAAAGACCCTGATGAGTTTCACTGAACTTTGTTTCATGGTTGAAATGTCATGGACTTCAAAATATGAAGGTGAGCTCAACATCACTAATCATTAGGGAAACGCGAGTCAAAACCACAGTGATATATCACTTCATACCGATTAAAAGGGCTACTATTAAAAAAAACAGAAAATGTTGGCAAGAATGTAGAGAAATTGGAACCCTATGCACTGTTGGTGGGAATGCAAAATAGTGCAGCTGCTATGGAAAATAGTATAGCAGTCCCTCAGAAAATATAATTACCATATGATCCAACAATTCCACTTCTGGGAATATACCCAAAAGAATGGAATTAGCTGGGTGTGGTGTCACATGCCTGAAGTCCTAGCTACTCAGGAGGCTGAGGGAGGAGGATCACTTGAGCCCAAGAGTTTCAGGCTGTGAAGTGCTAGGATTGCACCCCTGCACTCCAGGCTGGGAAACAGAGAGAGACCCTGTCTCTGAAAAAAAAAGAAAAAGAAGAGGAAAGCCGAATCTCCAAGAGACATTTGTACAGCCATGTTCATAGCAATATTGTTCACAATAGCCAAAAGGTAGAAGCAATTTATGTGTCCACTGATGGATGAATGGATAAGCAAAATGTAGGATATACATTCAATGGCCTTAAAAAGGAAGGAAATTCTGATACATACTACAACATAAGTGAACTTTGAGACGTTATGGTAAGTGAAACATCATTCACAAAAAGACAAATACTGCATGATTCCACTAATGTGAAGTACCTAGAGGAGTCAAATTCATAGAGACAGAAAGCAAAATGGTGGTTGCCAGGGGCTGGGGATGCAGGGGAATGTGGAGTTTTTTTTTAATGGGTACCGAGTTTTAGAGTTTTAAGATGAAGAGTTCTGGAGAATGGTTGTACAACAGTGTGAGTGTACTTAACACTACTCAACACTACACTTAAAAATGGTTAATATGGGCTGGGTGCAATGGCTCATGCCTGTAATTCCAGCACTTTGGGAGGCCGAGGCAGGGAGATCACCTGAGGTCAGGAGTTCAAGACCAGCCTGGTCAACATGGTGAAACACGTCTCTACTAAAAATACAAAAATTAGCCAGGTGTGGTGGCGTGCACCTGTAGTCCCAGGTACTTGGGCAGGTGAAGCAGGAGAAGTGCTTGAGCCCAGGAGGTGGAGGTTGTGGAGAACCAAGATGGTGCCAATGCACTCCAGTCTGGGTGATAAAGCCAGACTCCATCTCCAAAAAAAAAAAAAATGCTTAATATGGCAAAACTTATGTGGCATGTAGTTTATCACAATTACAATAATTTAAAAAATCAAAAAGTTTGGTAACAACAAGTATTGATGAGGATATGTAGAAATTAGAACTGTCTCATACATTGCTGGTGGGAAGGTAAAATGGTGCAGCCACTTTGAAAAATAGTTCAGTCATTCCTTAAATGATTAGATGTAGAGTCATCATATGACCTAGCAATTCCACTACTAGGTATATACCCAAGAGAAATGAACACATATGTTCACGTAGAAACTTACACATGAATGTTTATAACAGTATTATTCAGAATATTCAAAAGGTGGAAACAACCCAAATGCTTGTCAATACGCAAATGGATAAACAAAATGTGGCATACAATGGAATATTATTTGACTCTAAAAACTCATGAACAAACTTCTGGTTTCTGGTTCTAACCTGAACCTGATTCCCAGGTTCTAACCAGAAACTGGTTTCCAGGTTCTAACAGTGGAGATAGAGAAAAAACCCCTCATGCTTCTGGCAGGGGGAGGAGAAAAGGAACTGTTTTGGAGTATGCAGAGCACTCTGTTCTTCTTAATAAGACCTGCCCTGAAAAGAAACTATTTTACCAGAGCCTAACCAACCTAGGTGTAGAGAAATGCCCAACTCCAGCCCCCTCTATGGCACTATGGCGGGGGAAGTTTGGCAGGGTTACTGGGAAGCATTTGTGAAGTTCACAGCCCAGGGACCCAGGCTCACTAAAAGACCAATGCTGAATCATACATGGTACTATAGAATGCTTTCTCTCCCCTCCACACCATACTATCACATTACTAAAGGCCTATTTACTGCAGTTCCTTGTACCCAGTACATTATCTCTAGCTTTCAAAAATTGCAAGGCATACTAAAAGACAAAAAACAAAACAAAACAAAACAAAAACATAGTTTGAAGGGAAAGAGCAAACATCAAAACCAGACTCAAATATGGCAAGAATGTCAGAATTATCAGCCTGGAAATTTAAGACAATTATGATTAATATACTAAGGGCTCTAATGGAAAAAGTAGACAACACACAAGAATATGTGGATAACGTAATCAGAGAGACGGAAGTTCTAGGAAAGAATAAAAAAGAAATGATACAGAGCAAAATACTGTGACAGAAGTGAAGAATGCTTTTGATGGGCTCATTAGTAGACCGGACATGGCTAAGCAGAGTCTCTGAGCTTGAGGATGTGTCAATAGAAACTTTCAAAATTGAAGAGCAAAGGCAAAGAAGACTGAAAAAAATGGAATAGAATATCAAAGGATGGTAGGACAACTATCAATGTAACATGTGCATGATGTGCATGACGGGAATAGCAGAAGGAGAAGAAAGGAAGGAACGGAAGAAATATTTGAGGCAATAATGACTGTGAATTTCCTTAAATTAATGTCGGACACCAAACTACAGATCCAGGGAGTTCCAAGTACACCAGGCAGAATACATGCCAAAAAGAATACACCTAGGCATATCATATTGAAACTGCAGAAAGCCAAAGATAAATAAATCTTAAAAGAAGCCAGAAGAAAAATGAAGTATTGATATGTGCTACAACATAGATGAACCTTGAAAACGCACTTAGTGAAATAAGTTAGTTACACAAGACCACATATTATATGACTTCATTCATTTGAAGGTCCGGAGCAGGAAAGTTTATAGAGACAGAAAGTAGATTAGTGGTGACTTACGGCTGGGGGGAGAAAGATGCAGTGATAGGGGACTGGTAGCTATAGGGTATAGGATTTCTTTTTGAGGTGAAAATGTTCTAAAACTGACTGTAGTGATGATAGCATATATCTGTGAATATACTAACAACCACTAAATTGTATATTTCAAATGGATGAATTATATGGTAAGAGAACTATATATCAAAAAGGCTATTAAGTTTTTTAATGTGAAAGTAGTTGGTCTCAGAGTTCACATTGCCTAGTTCTTTGTCTACCCACAGAGGCCTGTAACTCTTACCCAGTTTGAACCCTTGCTTGAATTTTGCGTTTCTTTGACTTTTAGGATGTGTCGAATTCTAAAGACCTTTGGCTCTGATGAAGGCCTTAGATTTGCAAATGTATTTTCTATCTGACCTGATGAAATCTTGCATTCTTTTATAGTCTTAGGACCACCCAGCCCTTAGGGATATTTAAAATGATATCCAAAGAATTCTGGAGACCTCTTCTAGCTTGTCATCACCACATGCAAGACCTTTCTACTGCCAATTGTGATACTGGTGAGGGTATGACTATTCCTAGCATGTTTTTCTATGGCTGAATAATTTATAAATAATAAAAAGTCTCTGAATCACCAATTTGCCAAATTTATAAAATTTACTAAAATTACTTGAAATTTGATGATTTTGCCTAGCATAAAGTTTATGTAAATTAATCACGGGGATGATGATTTATCAGAGATGTTTTTTATAGCTTAACAGGAGAGTTAAATTTGTCAAAAGCTAGAGATCATAAAACTATTCAGTCTTACGAATAATATTTAATATTCAGAAAAGGAACCAAAATTTTCAGCAATTCATAATAAATCAGTACATAGATACAGGTAACTGCAGGATTTATGACTTTTAATTTACACAGGAAATTTGTAGTTCATACTGTTATGAACTGAACTGTGTCTCCACCAAATCTGTATGTTGACGCTCCAATCCCCAAGGTGACTGTATTTGAAGACAGGGCCTTTAAGAAGGTAATTAAGGTTAGATGAGCTCAAAAGGATGGGGGGCTCTAATTTACTAGAACTGGAATCCTTACAAGATGTTGAAGACACATCAGAAATGCTCACACAGAGAGGAAAGACCACGTAAGGAGACAGAGAAAGCAGACCATTCACAAGGCTGCATGGGAGGTGTCACCAGGAACCAACCCTGCTGGCACCTTGAACTTGGACTTCCAGCCTCCAGGAACTACAAGAAAATAAATTGTTGTTTGAGCCACCCAGTCTGTAGTATTCTCTTATGGCATCCTAAGCAGACTAATACACTACCAATTTTTCAAAATGATTTTTATGCCATTTTCTGTTTCAACAGACAAAGAGTCTGTTGAAAATGCTAAAGAAGCATTTTTTAAGATTATTTCACCAATTTCCCAAGTGGTATAGCAACTTCAACTTATTGTTTTTAATAAGTTAGAGGCCAGAATTTAATTTGCAATATGGTAGCTCCTGTATCTTTCTAGTTATTTTACATTTGTGTCTTTATTCATCTTATTGCATTCCTCAGGGATTTGCAACAATTTTACTCTTTCTTGCATAATTCTTTATGGCTAATGTATTTCAAATTTGAAGTTCTATTTACAGTAGGTATGGTAATCCCTTCTCAGAATCTTCATTTCACTGCTGCATGTAGAACATGCTATCAAGAAGACATAGCCCCGGTTAGAAAGCAAGATTTCAGCAAATTGTGTGGCTGAACTGTTCAATAGTTATCAAAGTGTTGGTTTTAGTTCAGCTTTAGTTCTGCTGTATTCTTTTCACTCTAGTCATTTGTAGTGGACTTGTCAGTTCAGTAAAATGTTAAGTTCATGTGCATTTACTATTTGAGACATTGGGCACTTCTCAAATGTTTAAAATGTGTACAAATGTTCATATTGAATTGGGTTGATTAATTGGTAAATTAAGAAAGTGCAGAAGGCTGGACTAAAAATATGTTGGAAAAAAACCCATCCCATTGTTTATATATCATAAGACATTCAATACATTTGTAGTTGAAAATATTTACTTTAAAATTTTTGATTTCCCAAAGTCAGAGTATGATAAAACCTGTGATAGTCTAGCTTGGCTAACCACTGGGCTGCAGAAAACTGAAGCTCAATGAAAGCTTCAAGAAAAGAGTCCCTATGAGTGTTGCAACTATCTCATGCATCATCGTTACTGATTATATTAGACAACATTAATGGAAGCAATGTGATTTTCAGCAAATTACTCATTCAACAAATGGATTTTCCAGCAAGTTGATTTTCTCCTCTCCCTTTTTGAATATATGTGTGCCACAAATACGCATCCATACAGAAGTTTTAGCAGTAAGGTAAATTCATTCAGAAACTGAGTTTTTTACAACATGTTATTTCCATAGTTGAAACAGAGGAAACAACCTCTCTATCAACTAAGATGATACATTTGCCATCTGAAGAGACAACTATCAAGTTTGCAAAGTTTTTACGCTTAACTGAGGTTACTAGTGACAAATTTAATCTCATTGGAAATCTTTTTGGTGTTCTATCCTAACTAGAAAGATGGCTTTATTCAGCTGGACATTTTAAAGCACTTAAGAAAACGGCTACTTGACATTTAACATTTTTCCCTCTTGAAAACAAATTTATCTTTATAAGAGTTTGAAGTGATAAATATACTGAATGTAAATGAATACTTCACATGGTTATCCACCCTGCTCCATTAATGTGTAATAAATAGATGTTTTAAATATTTGCTCCTAAAGGTCTCTTCTTGAACTTAAGCATAAGTTATCTAAACAGTTGAAAAAAGATTTATAATTATGAAGAGGCCTATATGTCAAGGAAAGTTTTATGATATGTTCTATAATAAATTAGCAATAAATGGATACAGGTGACTGTGGAATTTATGACCTTTAATGCTTTAATACTGCACTAAAGAAAAACTAATTATTAAGGTCCTAAAGGGTAATAAAAGAATACCATATACAAATTGTCAAATTAAGCCATTAGTGCTAGGTATTTGAGGTGGGTGCTTTTTATTGTGGCTCAGCTGGAGAGGTAGATGCAAATAAATGCAAGAAAACTCAATGCTATTGAGTAGTAGAAAAGTAACAACAGTCAGGTTTTCCAGCTGAAACTAAAGGATTCCTTCTCCATTTTTTTTTCTGCTGCTTAAAAATAATCATTCAGCACTTTAGTGAAGTGCTATTTTTACTGCAAAAAAGAATAATTTTATTAGATTCTCACTTGGCATTTGAGTATTTTCTCCCAAGTGCCCATGAAGATGCTTGAATACAAGAGGTCCCAGCAAAAGTTATGTGACAAAAAAATCAAATTTAAGTTACTTGCAGGTTTTAGAACTGTCCTTTCTGTAAGAAATTGCAATTAAAGCACTAGTTGTAGTGAGGCATCTCCACTTTCATCTTTAGTTTTTCATAAGAAAAAAAAAAGAACTCACCCGTTTATTCCTAATTTGAACCTCACCAGGAGGTAGATGAGTTTATTTCCTAGAGGGAAGAGGCTATTGTGAAAGTCAGCCTCTGAAGTGATCTTCCAGTTTCCAGTCTTTCACCCTTCTAATCCATTCTCCACACTAACTCCAGAATGGTCTTTATTGTCTTTATTTTTAGGGGAAAAATGTGATTATATCACATCCCTACTTAAAATCTTTTGATGGTCTCCAACTGCTTAGCCCCAACTCCTTGGCAAGGCGTTTGTTGCCCTTTGTGATCCAGCTCCCACCTATCTCTCCAGCCACATTCCCTCCCATAACCCTCTGTTCTGATGCAGGAGACCACTGGCCATGCTTGCAGGGCATGCTCCTGACTCCCAGTGTTTATAGCCTTTGTTTCTGCTGCTTAAACGCCCTTTCTCCTGATTCTCCCTTTTCTTCCAAGGAACAGCTCAGATGTCACTTCATGTGTAAAAATTGTCCTGTCGCAATCAGTTGCTTTCTCAATGCTTCTGTAGCACTGCATCCCTTTCCTTACATGTGGTTCATTGTGTAGGTCTCTGTCTTGTTACTCAATTGAAAATCGTGGATGGCAGGGATTTCATTTTCCATCTTTTCATTCCTAGCTTCTAAGTTTATAGAGACATAATAGTGCCCAGTAAAGGTTTATTGGATAAAAAAGCTGGGGAAAGGGTATTAAAAGGGGGAAAGGTGATGGGAGATGGACTGTGAGCCTGAGAGATGGGTTGGTAAACCTTTCTTCCTCTTAGGTGGCCAGGCAGTCAGCATCATCACCAGAATCTTCAAATGTTAGAGTGGCTCTCTGTGGCTCAAAGCCTGCCTTCCACCTCTCAGAAAATCCCATCCACCACCTTCCGAGTTTAAATGAATATGTTTACGATGACTCTATTTGAATAAAATAAATGATTTAAAACATACAATGTAAAGAGGTACCTCAGCGAGTTTCTCTGTGGTGATGGAACAGCTCTGTATCAAATAATGATGATGGCTACATGAATCTGTCCACCTGGTTCTCTCCCACCCACTACTAGTCACATGCAAGAGACAGGAAGCTTTCCAACAGTTGGATATGCTACAAGCAGATCTTACCTACGATGGTTTAAAGAGGATAATTGTATCGAGTGAAAGATTAGACTAGCTCAGTGATTTTTAAAACATATAGACTCTGCTAGTACAATACGAAGATTTCAGATGTCTGCTGCAAAATGAGAAAAGAGGACAACAGAGTAAACTAGTCATTTTAAAGTTGATCTATCAATTTTAAGAAAAGATCAATCTTTTATCCTGACATTATGTCCTCTGAATTTTGTTTGTGCATGTTGAACTTCATTTATAAACCCTATTTTTGTTTTGCACTGCATTTTATGAAATAATGATGATAGTAAATGATTGTCTAAATTTACTTAGCAACATTTAAAACTGGCAATTCTAAGGCCCCTCCCCATTGTTTCTTATAATTCCACCAATTTCTGAAATCCAAAATCCATATTAAAGCATATTAACTATGCTTTAAAAATTCTAATAATTTTTCATTCACTTAGTCATCTATCCAGGGCCTATTATTTGCAAAGCACAGTCCTCAGCAGTATGGGATTCTGCCTTCTAATAACAGAAGATAAGACAGGTACAGAGTATGAAGCAAAGTAGAAAGTGAAAAGTGCTGTGTGAAGTTTGGAAAATGAGCTGGAAATTTATTCAGATACCTGCAAACATGGGTAAAGCTGGAAATGGTGAGGACCAAGATGTCAAGTGGCATGGGAGTCACTGGCTAGACCTTTCTATAGAAAAGAAGCCTCATATCAAAACTGACAAGAACGGAGGCTGGGAAAAGGCAATGATTATTAAGCTTGAAATAAACATGCACTATACTCAAGCAACTGCAAAGGGACACAGCCAGGAACCAGAATACATGTCTCAGGGGAGTCTGCAGAGCACGAAGGAAATAAAGTCATTTATCTTTGAGCAGTTTAGCAATCAAACTTTTTACCATGCTGAATCTGAAAAACTACTGAGTCTGACCAAATAATTATTTGATAATACATTTTTTAAAGCTGAATCCTTAGTCAATACCCTAAAAAAAAAAGTAGTACCTCATTGTATGGATTACATAAATGATGAGCAAAAGGAAAAAGTGAAGAAAGGGAAAGAACGACAATGTGAAATAAAAGACAATCACAGAAGTGACCACAGCAAATAGGGGGAAGGGGGAAGGCAGAGAAAGGATGGTGATGGAAGACTCAGAAATTCCTCCTGAACAGAAGGTTTTGTTTTCTCACTTTATATATATATTTATATATATATATATATATATATATATATATATATATATATATACACACATACATATACACACACACACATATATATATAAATACATATCTATATATAAATACATATATATTTATTATACTTTAAGTTCTACGGTACATGTGCACAATGTGTAGGTTTGTTACATATGTATACATGTGCCATGTTGGTGAGCTGCACCCATTAACTCATCATTTACATTAGGTATAGCTCCTAATGCTATCCCTCCCCCTCCCCCCACCCCACAACAGGCCCCAGTGTGTGATGTTCCCCTTCCTGTGTCCAAGTGTTCTTACTGTTCAATTCCCACCTATGAGTGAGAACATGTGGTGTTTGTTTTTTGTCCTTGCGATAGTTTGCTGAGAATGATGGTTTCCAGGTTCATCCATGTCCCTACAAAGGACATGAACTCATCATTTTTTATGGCTGCATAGTATTCCATGGTGTATATGTGCCACATTTTCTTAATCCAGTCTGTCATTGTTGGACATTTGGGTTGGTTCCAAGTCTTTGCTATTGTGAGTAGTGCTGCAGTAAACATATGTGTGCATGTGTCTTTATAGCAGCATGATTTATATTCCTTTGGGTATATACCCAGTAATGGGATGGCTGGGTCAAATGGTATTTCTAGTTCTAGATCCCTGAGGAATCACCACACTGTCTTCCACAATGGTTGAACTAGTTTACAGTCCCACCAACAGTGTAAAAGTGTTCCTATTTCTCCACATCCTCTCCAGCACCTGTTGTTTCCTGACTTTTTAATGATTGCCATTCTAACTGGTATGAGATGGTATCTCATTGTGGTTTTGATTTGCATTTCTCTGATGGCCAGTGATGATGAGCATTTTTTCATGTGTCTGTTGGCTGCATATATGTCTTCTTTTGAGAAGTGTCTGTTCATATCCTTTGCCCACTTGTTGATGGGGTTGTTTGTTTTTTTCTTGTAAATTTGTTTGAGTTCTTTGTAGATTCTTGATATTAGCCCTTTGTCAGATGAGTAGATTGCAAAAATTTTCTCCCGTTCTGTAGGTTGCCTGTTCACTCTGATGGTAGTTTCTTTTGCTGTGCAGAAGCTCTTTAGTTTAATTAGATCCCATTTGTCAATTTTGGCTTTTGCTGCCATTGCTTTTGGTGTTTTAGACATGAAGTCCTTGCTCATGCCTATGTCCTGAATGGTATTGCCTAGGTTTTCTTCTAGGGTTTTTATGGTTTTAGGTCTAACATTTAAGTCTTTAATCCATCTTGAATTAATTTTTGCATAAGGTGTAAGGAAGGGATCCAGTTTCAGCTTTCTACATATGGCTAGCCAGTTTTCCCAGCACCATTTGTTAAATAGGGAATCCTTTCCCCATTTCTTCTTTTTGTCTTTCTTCACAGAATTGGAAAAACTACTTTAAAGTTCATATGGAACCAAAAAAGAGCCCGCATTGCCAAGTCAATCCTAAGCCAAAAGAACAAAGCTGGAGGCATCACGCTACCTGACTTCAAACTATACTACAAGGCTACAGTAACCAAAACAGCATGGTACTGGTACCAAAACAGAGATACAGACCAATGGAACAGAACAGAGCCCTCAGAAATAATACCACACATCTACAACTATCTGATCTTTGTTTTCTCACTTTTTAAAGTCACTTAGATCTTCATTTATGAAACATATAAGTAACTGTGTGTTTAAAAGCTCTAGAGTAGATGCTGTATTTGTTTCAGTGTCTGCACAGGTAAAATACCAATAACCAGACTCATAATTAATTATGCTAGGTGTTTTATGCAATATAGTTCTAGGAGTTTTAAAGCTTGATCTAATAGTTTTCCCCAGTTTCTAATGATTTTCTCTATTACAGTAATAATATAATAGTAAAATATTGAGACTACATTTTAAGAGCTAGAAAAACATGAGCATTTTCTGTATCATATAGTATTATATGTATTACTCCATAGCACATTTTTCTAACATGATTATAGTGCCAAAGAACTAATACTTCAATCTCTAGTCCATACTATTTTTGTTCCTAATGATGTCTATGTATATTTCAAATGTGGGTGCTATATTAGTTATCTATTGCTGTGTAACAAACTACTGCAGACTTAGCAGCTAAAACAATACACATTTACTACCTTAAAGCATCTGTGGTTCAGGGGTCTGTGCATAGCTTATCTGGATCCTCTGTTAAGAGTTTCACAAGGCTACAATCAAGGTATTGGCTAAGCTGCATTCTTATCTGGAGATCCGACTGAGGAAAAATCTGCTTCCAAGCTCCTTCAGATTGTTGGCAAAATTCATCCCCTTGTGGTTGCAGGACTGAGGCCCTCAGGTTGTAGAGGCCACCCACTGTTCCCTACCACATGGACCTCTCCATGGGCAGCTCATACCATTCCAGCTTATTTCTTCATGAGCAGCATGAGAGTGAGAGCTAGTGAGTTGGAGCCTTATATAATGTGATGTAATCATGGGAATGACAGCCCATCACCACTGTTGTGTCCTAATAGTTAGAAACAAGTCACAGGACCTGCCCACACTCAAAGGGAGGGAGTTATACAAGGGAGTGGACACCAAAAAGCAGAGTTCATTGGGGGTCACTTTAGGGTCTGTGTGCCACAGGTGCTAAAGTAAACTTTTCATATTTGGGGTACCTTTTCATATGCCAAAAATAGACATAATTTCCTCTAAATATATGAAGATAAAACTTAGACATAATTTTGGCCAAGCACAGTGGCTTATGCCTATAATTTGAGCACTTTGGGAAGCTGAGGTGTGAGGATCACTTGAGGCCAGGAGTTTGAGAGCAGCCTGGGCAACATAGTGAGACCTTGTCTCTACTAAAAATACAAAAATGAGCCAGCATGGTGGTGTGTGTTTGTAGTCCCAGCTACTCTGGAGGCTGAGGTGGGAGGATGGCTTGAGCCCAGGAGTTCAAGCTGAAAGTGAGTTGTGATGGCACCACTGCACTCCAGCCTAGGTGACAGAGTGAGACCCTATCTCTAAAAAAAAAAAAGAAGGATATAATTTAAGAGATGAAGGTGATAATGCGAAATAGCATTCTAAAGGGAGGGAAACATTTAAAATAAAGAGAAAAAAGTTATAAGTACTTTTTGTCAACTCAGAATAAAATAAATAAAATTCAAGCTTATGTTTTAAAATTATTTAAATAATAATTAATGTGGAACTGAATAAGTAAAATGAAAACTAATTAAATAATTTGTGAACTGAACGAATAGTTAGCTGGCTGCTTTATTGAAATTTTAAGTGCTAGCAATATTGTTACACGCTAAAACAGGATTCAGAAATAAAGCTCAAAAAAAAGCAACAGACTGGAAGAAAATATCTGCCACATATTTAACAGAGACTTAATATCCAAAATACGTAAAAAGTATCAACAAGTCACCAAAGAAAAAACAAACAACCCCAAAGAAAAATGTATAAAAAATGGAATAGGCAATTCAGGAAAAAACATAATTAGTAAATAAAGAAATAAACACACAATTGACCATATAATTAAGTAAATAAATATTAGAACAATAATGAAATATAAATCTCCACTTCCACAGCTAGAAAGATAAAACAAAAATGTTTATAATGTCAGGAGCTTTCAAGGATGTGAGAAAATAGGTATGCTTATATATTTAATGAAAAGATAAATAAGCTTTTTGGAAGGCAATTTAGTAAAACCTATAACACTTTAAAAAGGCTTACTATTTGACTCAGCAATTCCATTTCTGGGAAGCTATCCCAGAGAAACACTGTCACTTTTTTAAAAGTAATATACAAGAATATTCATTGTAGCACTTTTATAACAGTGAAACCCTGAAAATAAATGTAGTAAAATAGGAAACTGAAATATGACATAACCACGCTATGAAATTCTATGTAGCCAGTTTAAAAAAAACAAAAAAGGTGACGTGTTTAAAAAGAGCTCATGGCATATTGAGTGAAAAACAGGCTGAAGCACAACAGATAAATTATGATCTTATTTATGTAAACAATATATGTACAGGTTTGTAAACATATGTGTGAAATCCATAGAAAAGACTGAAAGAATGCACATCCAACTCTTGACTATCATTTCTTTGGCAAGACATAGGAGGGAGTCAGAGAGACTGTCATGCTGTGTGTGTGTGACTTGATTTGTTTGGCTCATGTGTGCTGAGAATGCACAATGAGAATAGAAATAAATGAAGTGGTATCATCTTTGTCTTT
Source organism: Homo sapiens (assembly GCF_000001405.40). Classification (NCBI taxonomy): domain Eukaryota; kingdom Metazoa; phylum Chordata; class Mammalia; order Primates; family Hominidae; genus Homo; species Homo sapiens. The sequence continues at coordinate 118,064,260 of NC_000010.11, read as the reverse complement.
GCCATTCTAAATGGAAAAAGCACTTGAAAAATAAAAAAATTAACAAGTATTTTTAAAAAATCAACCACCTAAATTACTTTGTGCCCTTCCTTTCAACTAACTAACTGAGCTAATTTTCTGGCTTATGATAAATGTAAAAAAACATTCAAAATTAACAAGAAACTTCTCTCTCTCTCTATCTATCAATCAATCATCAATCTAACAATTCTCTAACCCTGCTATTTATACACCCTATTTGTTCTTGATAGTTTATGCTAGTTCATTCTGGTCCTAAAATGTTTACCTTTTCCCTCTCAGAAGGTTTATTTTCCAAAATTCATGACATAACAAGAAATAGAAGACCTACGTCAATATAGCTGAGGATTTTAGCATCATCTGGAAAACCTTTCTAGCCTATGTTCAGCTTCGCCATATAAAAGTTGCCAGTAGCTCTATTTTCTTAGCAAAATGATAACAAGCTGTAAAGGGTTTACCACACAATTCTGATTTATTTTGTCACAGTGAAGGACTTTTTAATGCTATCTTGTGTCACTTTTTGCTGATATGAGTGTTACAGTAGTCAGTGCATTTTATTATAATACAAGTTTTATGGAAAGCAGCAAGTATCTTTTTTTTAAAAAAAAAGGTTAATCATACTTCTTTTACATCAAAAAAGCAAACAAAAGAGCTTAAAAATTTAACCAAAAATTAAAAGCATATGGTATGGGGTCTTTGCATTGGATTGGGTAAATGTATATATAAATTATACTTCGACCTGAAGGGTCTCCTTGCCCATTTTTATTTTATGATTACCTCAAGTCAATGTGGTGCTGTGTAAAAGCTCACCTATGCTGTAGTCATTCCATAAACTCCATGAAATAAAACACATCTTTCTGGCTCAATGAAGTTCAGAAAGCTTGGGTCTTCACTCCTATAAATGTATCATATTCCATTTACTGGCTAATAAAGTCTCCAAGAACAAGATTGCCGTTCTTTTCACAACTTGATCCTTTACAAATTTACAAATGTAATGCTTTAACCTACTTGAACTCAACTCTGGTTTACTGAGGAAGATGGAACCAAGGGAGGGTGTCTGTTCCCAGTTAGCAGGGCTCCAGCAGCCAGACCAGGAGGGGCAGCGTCATGCTTGAGGGGTGTGCCTGGCCTCTGCTAGAGGTTTGTGTAGCCTGAGTTAATGAGGTTAACGAACCAAGGTCAAAACAAGAAGACAAAAGGAGAAAGTGGGCACTGAGAAGGCACAAAACAGGGACCTGGTACCAGAAGGCTAGGTCACGAGGTAAGGGCGAGATCTGTTATCAGGCTGGAAGCCAACTCCCTGAAAACCAAACAGAGATAAGAGCTGAAGGACAGGTAACATTCTTTAGACACTAGGTGTTTGTTCTTTCTTAGGCATCAAATGGTTAGAGGAAATTTCTCTGCAGAGCTTCTGTATTTAAACATTCTTAGCCATCCCACCTGAGGAGGTTGTGACAGTCAAGTGGCCTAGAGGTTCTGCAATAACAAGTTCTTGCTCACTCAAAGCCCATTCAGGGAAATTCATTTTAATTTATTTCCTTAAAGGATATAGTTTAGACATAGAAGCTCCAAAGGTGGTATAAATATGTAAGGAAAAACTATAACAACTTTGTAGGCAGTAACTTGAATGTGACGTTGAATAAAAGTTTTTTTAATCAAACAATAAAATGTTTTGTCTACATAACTCAGAGCGTTCTGAACTAGGAAAAGCAAAATAAGTTTGTGTAGGAAGGAGAGGGTGGGTGGAGAAAAGACTAAAGAAAAGAGAAGACTTAAGAGGTAGTAGGGAGGAGGGGTGAGGGGTCCCCTCTGAGCAGCAGGGCTGCACACTTCACTCACAAGGTAGAAGAATCTATTCCCATTGCAGGCTCAAAGGTTTGAAAATTATCCTCGTGCAAAGCTGGATATTTTATGAATGTCCTGGATGTTTGACATTGAGTCTATTAACTTAGTCGAATGGATAAAGTTGTTTGCTAAATAATTCAGAGAATTGCTTTAGTTTCAGTGACAACCACAAAAATACCAAGCATACATGATCTAGGTAATTTCAAATCAAGGCATTTGTGCCTAGAGTAATTGCCTCGTTTTCCATTTCACTCTGCTAGTTGATCTTCACTGGAAGCATAGAACAGATGGCTTTTCGAGTCTGAAATGTGTATATCCCTTTTGTATCGACGTATTTACCAGGGACGACACACTGACTACTAGTGGTTAAAGCCACCTCTACCTGCTTCTCTGCCTTCCCAAAGAAAACACAGACCATGATCCCCACCCAACTGGTGACAGTAGAGTCTGTCACTGTTTCCTGAATCGTCTAAACCACTGAAAGCACTCAGTGACCACTGGCCACCTGTGCTCAGTTCCACCATCTTAAAACAATTTAGAATCTTATTGAAAGCGAATCATTTTAATCAAAATGGTGGTAGCTCTGGCTCTCCTTAGATGAATGTGGGAACCTAAGGAAATAACATTGTGTAAGGTCCCCACTTGCTAATATTTTTATCCAACTGAAAAATCAAGTTACATGACCCTTTGTGGTAGCGCTAAAGAATAAGAGAAGGGCAGTCTGAAGGTGGCCTGTGGAGGTCAGGAAGGTTATAGAGAACGTTCTCAGGAAAACAAATGCCCTCCACCTTTCTCCACTTCTATTCCATACCCTGTGATATAAGAGATGAATTTTTTTTTTAAATAAAAACATATATGAGGACAATCTCCACTATTTCCTGAGTCACTGTCTTTGTTTTTACGGTCAGGGGATTGAAACAACCATCTTTAACACATAGAACTGAAATGCCAATTGTTCTGTTTCTGTAGTCTTATCTTTATTTCTGATGCAGTTGAGACACTGCTATATACATACACACACACACACACACACACACACACACACACACATACATATAAATATGAAAATAAGAGAAAAACTTCACAGTGAAAAACGTGTTTGCAGTGGTAATATGCTTGCCTGAACATTTTGGGAAATATTTGCTTATTCTTCACAACAAATATTTGGCAGAGCAACTGTGCCTTAAATAGTAGCTAAAATTCTGTAGTGGAGACATTGTTACTGGAGGACTGGCAAATATTCAGTCCAGTTAAATGGAGTATTTGGGCCTCTACTCTGTGCTTAGCATTTCTAAGTGCTGGGAGATACAAAAGAAGTGTAAGAAGCACTTCCAGCTTTTCTCAATATTTTTGAAAAGAAGAGACAAAGAACTATGGAAGAGAGTATGTAATTAAGTACCAACATGCTTCATGCCAAGGGCATGTTTTTGTTTTAAGCCCTTAACAGAAAAATAAATTGTATCAAAGCTCTGCTAAGAAAAAAGGTTAAGTTTTCCTTGGAGTAGTGGGTGTGGGGGGAGATGAGAAGGGAAGACTTTAAAGTTAGATCGTACCAACACAGGTAATCAACGGGGCAGCAAATATCTCATCCAGATTATCCTTACACAGAGCTGAGTTTGAATTCTGACTCCTCCACTCATTCATTTTGTGATCTTGGACAATTTTTTAACTTCTTTGAGCTTCCAATTCCAAATAAAGGTAATAATGTAATTTATTTATCTCAAAGCCTCAGTGAAGTGGGGGTATAAATGTAAAAGAGCTTTATTTTTGTCCAATCACCACTTTTAGCACTGATTTGGGCAAATCTGCTGTTCTCATTTGAGAGCTAAAATTCTTATCATTTCTTGTCCCTGTGTTAAAACAGTACTGAGATCAGGAATAATTCTCTCTCCCTGTGTTCAACAATACTGAGACCAAGCAAAATAACATGGCTGCTTGATCTAGAAGAGGACTGTTCTGAAAGAGAGTACTATAAACCAGTTCTAGAAGGTGAGCTGTCAACTAAACAGTTTACAGATTAAGACTAGCAACTTCCTCAGAGGATTCACTTCAAGCCCCTAACCTTGCTTTAAACTGATCAAAGCTATTATGTCACACTGCCCAAGCTCATCCAGTTACTCCCACCCCTGCCTTGCAATATCTACCTTAAAACAACCAACCAAGGTCCCAGCACCTTTTCCTCATTCCCTCACTTTAAGGTACCACTAAGACTCTGCAGATCTAATAAACTTCTTTTCACTTGATCTACAGATTTTTCTGTTTTTTCTTTAAGAGGGTTTATGGTAGACACATCCCTTAACAATATCTTCAACAGGTTTCATAATATTCTGAGCACACTGGAATTAAAACACATACATATCTGTTCAGGCTTACAAAGTTCAATTTATATCCTCTCGAAAGCACTCGCCCAATCTTACTTCACCCTCGATGGGTGGCTCAAGGAACTTGGAATGGGGAGGTAGCGTGGTCTTCTCTTTAAATGGGAGTGGGACAGGAGGTGGAGGGGATATTTGGTTTGAGATGACCCTACTTCCTTTGGAGACCTAACACTTCCAGGGAAAAGGGATCTTCTTGGGTAACTGGTTACTTAATTGTCAGCAGTGTGGAGGGCTGCTTTTTCATTTGGCTGCTCTGGCTGGTTCCATATGTTCTTAGGTCATAGTGAGCATCATGCTGGCCTCTCCATCACTGATGGCTCACTCCTTTTTTTTTTTTTTTTTGAGATGAAGTGTTGCCCTGTCGCCCAGGCTGAAGTGCAGTGGCATGATCTTGGCTAACTGCAACCTCCCCCTCCCAGGATCAAGTGATTCTTCTCCTTCAGTCTCCTAAGTAGCTGGGATTACAGGCACCCGCCCCATGCCCAGCTAATTTTTCTATTTTTTTTTTTTTTTTTTTTTTAGTAGAGATGGGTTTCACCATGTTGGCCAGGCTGATCTCAAACTCCTGACCTCAAGTGATCCGCCTGCCTGGGCCTCCCAAAGTGCTGGGATTACAGATGGCCACCACGCTCAACCTGATGTCTCACTCCTAAGGGATCACCCTCTCCATCAGTTCTTGCCTCTGAAACCTTTTCTTGGTGCAATGTTGCCCCACTCTGCCCCCTCTTATAAACTCTGTGCTCCTTTCTATGGAGCCACAGGAACTACTGAGGAAATGAGACTAATAACGGAACATTGTAGTGAGAATTAAACACACTACTAATATATGTGGCACACAGGCAATAACTAGTAATCTTCTGTCTTCCCTATTACATGCAATGCACTATGTTAGTGATGGTACCTTTGTAGTTAGGAATGAAAATATGAGTATTTTTTTTAAGTATATAAGAAAAGGTTCACAAACATTTATACTTTAAAACCAAAATCTAACGTACTATGATTTCATTAAACTACAAACAAATGTGGATTTACCATCAAGTCTTTTAAAATTCTAGTCAAGACCAATAAGGAACAAAACATTGATGCCACAGTGACAATTCATTTTGACTGTTTTTGTTGTTGTTGCTTCTACTTTTTGTTGTTGCTGTTGTTGTTTCTTCTTAATAATAAAATAATTTTTAATTCAGCATCTGAAAAGTAGATGCTTCATTATTGATGAAACTAGGCTCCATTCAAGGTGTGAAATTAATATGTACCCACACAAAAGTGGGACATTTCTCTTAACATTTTCCGTGACATGTCTTAAAGACTATTGCCATTTAGGGAGATTCAAAAGAGCAGAGTGAGAAATATTTATAGCATATGAGTGTAATAAAAAAAGTTTAGTCATGAACTACCAATACACCAAACTGGCAGGACAGAGTTTACATTAGATCACAGGAATGAATATCAAAAATACAGGCATTATCTTTGAAAAAACAACCAGCAGTGAAAAATTTATTTATAACATAAACCAGACACTCCAAAATAATTTGTGGTTTACTTAATTCTTACTGTTCATCCTATATTCTTTTGAATAAGCTGAAGGAAGGCACCCAAGTAACTACCTCAGCTGTTTTTGATTTTGATTCTGAATTTTCCATGAGATGAAAACTCTAGTCTATGTAACAAAAAAAGATGGCATGTCATTTTTTTAAGTTAGATTTTTTCCCTCAGTGTAGATACATATTAAAAAGAAATGTATTACAATAAATTACTATATTTCCAAATTTTCTCATTATTTTTGGGCAAACAATAATTGCATACAAATTCTGAGTAAAGGAATATCACATTGCATCTTATGTGTTCTGCAATATGCACTCATAGAAAATCATTATAGTAACAAAACCAGCTGCATGTAATAGAAAGCAAATGATTTACAATGTTACTGTGAGAAACTACTTTATTTCATATTATCATAAAAAGAACAGAGCTGAATGTTTGCATGACAAACAGAAAAACCCAGAAATTCCAAATGCAACTCAGTTTTTTTAATTTAAATAGGTATTAATGTGGAAGGTGATTTGAAAAGCCTTCCACTCCAGAGAATATTAGCAATTATAATTTACAAAGTCATTATTAGTCCAACAATTTAAAGAAAAAAATCTACAAACATTAATATAGAAAAAATGGAGTGATATGTGCTTCTATCATACAGCATCTGTGTTATAAGAGCTTATACTTAGTGATTTTGAACACTATATTTCATTTAAACTGAGTAGAATGTATTTTTGTTCTTAAATGAAGATTGACCCTGAAATTTGAACCACATCAGAAGCTTTCAATGACTATGTTTTAATATGTTTTATATGTCAGTCATCACATCTGCCTACCACAGCTCCATTCACGTGAACTGGTCCCGCCCACATCCCTAAGTAAAGGGAAATCCTATGCAGATCTCAGAGCCCTAGCTCTCTCCCTCCACCCAACCACAGGTCACGGAGCCAGAGCTGCTATGATATGTCCTGCCTCAAGAAAAGCTGATGCTTCCTCTCAACCATGGAAGTTAAGGCTAAAAGCTGTAAGTCAGTGCCACAAGAAATCCTGGCAAGAAGAAGGAGCATTACGAGGAGGAAGCAGAACAGGAGTAGGCAGGGGCTGGGAGGGAGAGCCAAAATACAGAGCACTAGGTGACAGTGAGGAGATGGAGACATAGGGAGAAGGAGCGAGGCACGTCAGGAGTGGATTACCTGTATAAGCCGTGAATTCCTGCTGCCAAGACCCCTCAAACTCCCGCTAAACTCCAGGACACCTAGGCCAGGACTGACTCCTAGGCTTAAATATCCATGAAATTCCATACCTCTAATTTGCTCCACATATATCAATATAACAAAACCATTCTAAACAAATTAACTGGTATGAGTCTCAGGTTCCTGCAGCCAAAGAATATATAAATTATATACATACATATAAAATTCAACATATTAACTATATATGCCTATAACATAATTAGTATATATTGTTTGTGATTATGTTATATATTTATGAATTATATTTATAATAGTACACAATGTATACCACAATGTATTTATGTTTCTAAGAAGTTTACAATACTAAACATAGAAATTACATATAGTATGTTAATATTACATATTATGTGTATAAAATTGTAGGTTACTATATATATCACAAAACCAGAGAAAAGTTCCAAGACTCAAATATTTATGCCTGAAGTCCCAGCTTCAAATCCCTTGTTACAGCTAGTAAACTAAGAGTGCTCTTTAGCGATCATGCTTTTTGGAGAAGCAGCTCATTCAAGTTATCTAATAAATTTTATAGTGGATGCACTGAATGAATAGAAAATATATTTTAAATATAATTGAAAAAAATACATTAAATAAGCATAGTAAGCCAGCTTTGGGGTTAAGTCTTTACTACTTATCACCATGAATCATAATGACACTAAACTATAATATACAAAATATTACAATAGAACAGGCCATCAATCCAAACCTTGGAGTTCTCCTAAGATGTCCTGCTTTATAAATGTAAACACTCATTTTACCTAATCCATAAAAAAATAAGCAACAAACTGTGTGAGGTGCTGCTAATTGGCCAAATAAGATATGGACTGTGACAATGTGTAGCCGTAGAGGGGTGACGACAAAAATCTGATTGATGTATGTTCGAGAGAAAAAGAGCAGAAAGAGAAAGTAAATATGAACAAGTTTTTCATTCAATAAGTTTTGCTCTAAAAAGAAACAGAAAGGTAGCTGGAGGAGGTACAGGGGTGTATGTGCAAGTTAAGTTTTTTTTTTAATATGAGAAATACTAGATAATATTTGTATGTTGATGACATTGATCCAGTAGAGAAGAAAACAACTGAGGATACAGGAGGGAGAAAGGATAATGGCAGATGCAAAATCCTTGAGAAGACAAGAAGAGATGAAGTCCATTACCTGAGTCCTCAGATGGGAACAAAGATGGGTGATCTATTGTAACAGGAGAGGAGAGGTAGGGCAAGTAGTGGGGCACCTTCATGAACTATATTTTTATTAGTTCATCTCAAATTTGCATTAATTTTACAAGCTGCTACACCACAAAATCAATGTCTACTGCAGTGAGAATCAACCAAGATCCTGTATCTCTTCCCTGTATGTTGTTGGTAGGTCACCCAACCAAAATGCTCTTAATTTTTAAGACCAAGTTCACTAAGGACATCACTTCAGCTTTATGTTAATGCATTTGGAATATTTAGTCCTAATGTACCACCACAAGCTAATCATATAGGGGACCCAAGACCATCTCATCACGTCATAGAAGGCTCCTCAAACCCTTGGGCTCTGGCCATGACCTCACTTTGCTTACAATGTATGTAGCAGGTACAGTATTTCAGTCCATATACTCAGATGATAGGCAAGAACTGTAACTCTATTTCCCTGTTACTCAACATAATCTCTATTTTGATTCCCCTAGTTCTACTCTTGTCAAAATGTATCCAGAAAATGTCATATCTGCATAAATTCAGGTTTTTAAACTCAGGTAAAATTTCCATCTCCCTATCCTTCTCCCTGAGACCAAAACTAAGTTCTTAACGCTGGACTGAAATTGAGGCCCCAGGGAGAAGCCCAGGAAGGTCTATGGCTGTCAGCATTGACTCCTATTAGCAAGTCATATGAAGTAATAGGTGTAGGTCCTATCATGGCCAGTCCCTGGTTCTTTATCCATGTATATTCTGAATTTTCCCAATCCCGACCTGGAGGACCCTAGTTTATCAGCCCTCTCTCAGTCACTTTCTCACCTTTCAGGGGGAAATGAAATTTTTAGAGGTTCTCAGGTACCTCTCGGATGGAAGGAGGCTCAGGGAGTTGCCTGTAACAAGACCGTCTTGGCCTTGAGTCCCCCTGCTCTGCTATTCTACTGCTACTGTTGCTGCTCCAAGCCAATGTGGTGCATGGGATTAGGGAGCTCTAGGAGTTTGCTTACTTTCAAGGTCCTTCTTGAGAAACAAGATGCAAGTGACAATTACTTTTAGATGCCAAAATTTATCTGGATGGTCTATCATCCATTTGCCCAGCTCCCATGCTCAACAAGTGGGGAGGCGAGTGGAAAGGTCTTGGAGACATTCCACCTGTCCAACTATCTTGATCTTCTTTACAAGCTCCCTATTCTTCACTTCGTCCAGTGAAATCCTTGTATAGTGTAGGTCTTTCATTAATTGCATTCTTCCCCAATTTTTTCTTTACTGCATAAATTTTGGCTTTTGTTATATCTTCCCCTATTGTCTACTTTGAAATGGAAAAGCGGAGAAGTGACTCTGTTGCATGCCTTGGCCTCACTTCTCTGGAGCAGTTAGTCTAGCTCTCCTAGCTACTGCCTGAAACTAGGCGGAAGGTCATAAGGAGGCCAGCAATTACTAGGAATAAGAACAACATAAGTTATTATCAAGATATTATCAACCTTGCAACCACATGAGCTTGTTAAGGCATGTTTTTCCAAGAAGGCACTAGGTTTGCCATTGCACAATACATTTAAATTTAGTCTGTTTTATTAATACAGTATATTGTCCTGTAATAATCAATTTGACTCATCACATAATTTATCTGCATATATTTATCTTCTTAACTATCAAATTTTTATTTATCCTTCACATGTTCCTTAGCTTATAAAGTTGAGTTGGATTTAACATAATTTGAATGATGGTAAATTAGAATTCTCTTGCTTTTAAATGTTCCACTGTTATTTTAAGCAACCTTTGATGCTAGAAGAAAAAAGTGTGCATGCTAATAGGTATACATTTAATAGATACAAGACTAAAACCATAATAAAATTTCATATTTGTAAAATTCTTTACAGTTTACAGAACGATTCTACGTGCATTATTGTGTTTTATTCTCTAGCAAGTGTCTACTGTAGGTTGAGTTAGTGTGTAAGTCCTGATCTCCCGAATGAAAACTCAACATTTTTCCACAAGGAACAGACTATTAGCATTTTGACATTTGGTTATGAAGGCAGAAGAGTTCAGTGATATCCTAGGTCACCCTTTGTCCGTGCATAAAGTTTATTACTATATTTCAATTTCTCTGCAGTTTATGGAGGCCAAACACCACAGTATATGTTGCTGCTCATCGAGTATGTCATGCGGCACAAAATAGATCAATTATCTTTTGCTTGTCTCTGAGCTTTCACTGAAGCGGTGTTAGGACCTGGCATCATGTCAAGGATGCTCTGATAATGCTTAAAGCCAACTGAAGTACAAGAGTTGTCCAAAGGATATGAAGGATCTGTTTCTCAAGTGTCCTGATGTGAACAATGCCTAAAGAGAGTTCTCCCACAACCTCATCTCCTTTGTAACAGGATAGGAAAAAAAGTGGTAATGTGTGTATTGGCTGTTGCTTTATCTCTTTCAAATTAAATGAGATTGAGATGTTAATGAATGCAGTGTAAGGCATGTCATCAGCAAATGTCAGCTATTATTATTATTAAAATTGAGATAACAGAGTTAACATTAGAGTAGCAAATGGAAGTTAGAAAATATTGGTTAGCACCAAGGTGATAATATTGGGAGGCAGGGCCCCTGGCAGAGCCCTCTTGACTGGGATTAGCACTTTTATAAAAGAGACCCCAGAGAGCTGGCTCATTCCTTCTACCCTTGAGGACACAGTGCAAAGACTGTCATCTAGGAGGAAGAGGGCCCTCACTAGACAACCATTCTGCTGGTACTTTGGTCTTTGACTTCCCATCTCCAGACTTGTGAGAAATACATTTCTGTTGGAAGGAAGGAAGGAAGGAAGGAAGGAAAAGGAGGAGAAGGAGAAGGAGAAGAAGGAGGAGAAGGAGAAGAAGGGGAAGGGGAAGGGGAAGGGAAGGGAGGGGAAAGGGGAAAAGGGGAGGGGAAAGGAGGAGAGGGAGAGGAAAGGGAAGGAGAGTATGGATACACTGGTTAGCAGAATGTTTGTTGTAAGATTCACAGGACGTTATATTTTTGTTTTTAAATTTATCATAATTCTCTCTGAAGTGAAAATCTAGAATATTAAAATACTACCTGGTACATGATCTACTACATAAATTTCCAATTTTGCTACGTATAGGTATATAATGTAAGGAGTTATTTTTCTTCAACTCAAGGATCTGATTCATTTTTATAAAGTTGTTAAAATGATACCTAGAAAGTCATTATTGAATTTTAAAAGAAGGTTTGAAATACTATTAAGGGCTTATTCTATGTTACTTTTGTTTAGAAAAAGAGTATCCAATAACATTGAGTTTGGCTTGAAACAAAAATAACTCAGGGTCTCCATTGCTGGGTTACAGGGGCACCTGCCACAGCTCAGGATCCTTAATTATTTGGTGAGGAACAGTCCAGACCAATTGCTGTGTAGCCTTTGCCTTCAGATAGGAGGAAAGTAAGTACTTGGAAAAGAAGGGACACATCATCAAGCCAACAGCAACAAGCATCTTTTGAGCACTTCCTATGTGTCAGGCCCTCTCTGTACTTTTACCTGATTCCCCTATTTAATCTTCCCAACAACCCACTTTGCAGATGAGGAAACCTAAATTTGGAAGGTTTACACAATTTGCCCAAGGTCACACTGTTATTAGTGCCCGGGGACAAAAATCTACCACAGGGTGAATACTCAACAGTGTTCAGTGTCTCCATCCAAGGAACTTTGCAGCAAATCTTGTTTCAGAAAGCGTTACAAGCCCTTGATTCCTGAGGTGCCTAATTCAGAAGACTTCACTTTTACAAAGCTAGCTTGCTCAATTTTTTTTTCCAATGTCCAAGTGTAGACAGAAAGGAAAATGAAGACCATCAAAATTATAAAGGTGATCTGGGCAAAACCTACCTTAGAAATTCATGCAACACACTTCTTACTCGGAATAGGGTTCTTTGAAAAACTTCCTTAATTTTCCTGTGTTAAAAGAACATAGTTATGGGCACAAATTGCACAATCCATATACCTTCTCATCTTGCATAAACTTGATAAAAAAAACAGTAAAATGCATTTTCTCATTGATTTGAATCTATTGGGAAGCCATTCTGGATAACCCAAGATCCAAGTTTGGAGAGAGAAGAAATGTAAAATTCACTGTTTTCTGGAAGAGGACTTTAAGTTGCTCAAGGTCATATACAACATTAGTTTTTTAAGCCAGAAGATTTCTGTCCACTATACTACATAATTCCTGAAATGAGGTATCTCCTTTAGGTATACATTGCTAAGCAACATCTTATGCTCAGTTTTGGCTGTACAGATCAGCCATGATCATTCCAATAACCAGAAAATGATTATAATACATACTGGCAACAACCTATAGGTGCACTGAAGGTGACCTAACCCAGAATGTGTAAAAGATAAGCATACAGTTCTAAGCCCAAAGTGCTTTTATGATCAGATATCCAGATGGACTAAAACATTGTTCAGGTCAGTTGAAAGTTGCTTTAGGAGAAATGTTTAAAATCTGGCCCTGGAACAAGAAGAGTTGGATCTATCCTTCAAAATGTCATTTTCCCCCAGGCTTTATATCAAACACACAAAATATAACAAATAAAACAAAACACAACAAAAGCCCTTTACTTTTTTTAACATAGATCAAATAAGTAGAAAGGCAGAGAACAGTCGATCTCACATGGGGGAAAAAACCACCACCACAAAATGTTTTTGCCATCCGCCCACCGGTTTAATGCTCTCTAAATGAATGTATTTCCAGAAATATTATCCCAGAAATTTTATGGATTCCAGGCCGTCCTAGAAATATTATAATTTGAATACCCCGTTCTTTGTTTAAAAAATATCCCTGTCTTGGATTTTAATTGAACATAAAAAATTTAGCAGATGTTTACAAAGTACAAATATGATAAGTTTATATAACTCTGCTAATCATTGCCTTCAGGAATAATCAAAACTCTCCAGCCCTTATTAACCCGCACCTAAATCTGTAGAAGCAGCAATGTTCTGGAAGATTTCAGAAAGACTCATGATGATGAGACAATTGAAATTTGAAGACAAATACCAAAGTAGTCACAAAATCTTCTTCCAATAGCAATAATCTCTGCTTCTCAGTAAATATAACAAAAGGAGTTTGAGAATTCTGGATTTGGAAGGAGTCCCTGAGGCACAGACAGAATATGGCTTGCCAGGTCTATAACTCCTTAGTTTGTAGAACCAGGATTAGAATTCAAGTCTAATACTCAGGCCCATGGGTGTTCCATACTCTCATTCACAAACTCCCAATAATTTCATCATCAATTACCAAAACAAATCCCTGCATATGTGCATAGGAGATATATAGATGTTTATGCAGCATTGTTTATGATAATTGAAAAAGTGGAAATAACTTAAATGTCCTTTGGAAGGAGAAAAGATCAAATGGGGCTTATTCATCTCACCCAATGCCATATACCAGTTAAAGTTAATCAATTCGTGTTCTATGCATTAATATGCATTTTGTTGTAGGAATAAAAATTATACAATGGAATACTATGATACTATGAAAAGGAAATTGAAAGATGTTCCCATACAAAACCTTCTTATATGCAAATGTGTATTTTGCTCCGTAAATTCTTACCAATCTCAGCATATTTTCACAGTTCAAAAAAGCTACAAATAATACAGATAGAAGTTATAAACTTATTACTACAATTAAAAAGTTCAAGGCTGCTCAAAACCACTTGCACATACATGCAATTTCTTCCAAATCTTGAGCTGTTGGTGTCAATTGCCTCATGCAGAGCCTATTAATAAAACTTATATTCACTTGCTTTCTGTGATCATTAATTACCTTCATTTGGGAGACAGAGCTGTCAGGAAATCTTAAAAAATAATTTTTTTCTCCTGAATTAGAGAATTCTTTATTAATATGTTACATAAAAAGGAAATCTGCTTTAGTATATTGACCAAATTCAGTTAGATAATTATAATGCAATTTGCTTCTTTGCGTTGTGGATATACTATGTAGAATCTTTAAATGTTAGAGGATCCTTTGGTGGCTGCTATAAAAGTCTCATTTTACAAGACAGCCCAAAGAAGAAAAATGACTTCCCTAAAGAGATGTAGCTAGTAATAGGCAGCCCTGGGATTAAGACCCAGGCTGCTGACTAGAGCTCTTTACACTACATACCATGTTACTTCTTGGGCATCACAAAATGTATCCACACACTGCCCAATCCCAGAAGAGAAATTGATCAGTCCAGCGATGAAAACAAAACAAAACAATCCCCAAAAATCCCCAAATGCCAGTTCATTGCCATAATAATTTCAAGTCAATTTGCCAAATACTCTTTCACTTTTCAACCGATTACAAGGAGATTGATCTATCTATCTATCTATCTATCTATCTATCTATCTATCTATCTATCATCTATCTATGTATCTCCAATATAACTCTGGGGCTTTGTCATATGTACATATATATGAATTTTACATACCTTTCAGTTGTGTATATATTTGAGGTGTGGTGTGTGTCTGAAGTCTAAAGACTATAATGATACCTTGGGGAAGTTTCTTGTTGTCCTTATGTTTCTGAATCTCCATCTGGAAAATAATTAATATCCATTACATAATGTACATGGGAGCATTAACACGCTTGACCCAGTGGGCTATTTAAACATGAGAGCATTATAATTGTTCTGCAACAGATTTGCAAGATGTGATTTTAGAGATGCCTTTGTCCAAAGGGAAAATCTCCCCCAATGTCTGGAATAGGTCTCCTTATGGGACTTATTCTTTATGGGACTGAAAGGGGCAACATGTAGTAAATATTTTCATCTGTGAAATCCTCTACTCATGGGGAATAAATATTGACTATTTTAACTTTCTGGTCAAAGCATTCTTATTCATTGCTGTAGGCATTGTTAACAGTTTAAAATTAGAATGTTCAGCATTTTCCTTCTAAAATATATTATTTTCCCAAGACTTTGATTTTGGAATTGTACCATACATTTCCGGATGTATCATTAGTCATAGGATAATTTTTTAAAAAGTGACTCTCTTCAATTCTGGTATGTTGTCCTTACACACGCAATCCTTTCCTTTTTAAATTGTTGTCCATGTATATCTTAGAATTAGTCAAAAGAATTTTTAAAACTGTAAAACAATAAACATTTTGGGAGAAGCACTTTGATCCCAGATCTTATGTAATTGTCATTATTTTTCACTATAAGCCAACCATATCTTTGACTCCACTGTCATATTTTTATTCTCTTAATATAATCAAAAAAGGAAAACATTCTATAGGAAGTCATTTCCTTATTATAATGCAATCCCAGATTCTATTTAGCTCATTTGGTTTGTTTGTTTATTTGCTTTCCCCGGGGGCAAAAATATGTTATTTTCTTATTCTGGCTTAAAAAATTTTAAGTCATAATTTCTGATTTCACCAGTAAAACTAAACAATTTTGGCTCTAGCCAGCTGTTGGGAAAACTCAAAAGAAATTTAGGTGCTACAGAAAGAGAGGTTAGTAATTCCAATTGTTCAGCTCTTGCCTTTAGAGTATTCTCTGAGTTGTGTTGGAGTATGTTATTGAGTTGCTGTGAACTACTGCTGCCAACTTCTACCCTAGAGATGGCTATATTTCAGAGATGAGTGAAATTATATTTGTAAACAAGTTTATAATCATTAATAAAGCTTACCAATTTAAGCTCTTCAGAAATACACATCCACTATTATAATTTTCTATTGTTTAATTACAACCTTTAATAGAGACATGAAGACTTTTAAAATGTATAAGAACTCTAAACTTAATTAAATTTGATTTCATGATGTTTATTTGGTTTTTGTAAGTTTCAGGTGTCAAATTATTTCTCCTTAGAGATCCTGGTGAAATTCCACCATTGACTGTTCCAACGTACTGTTTAAAAATCCCTAAGAATATTTTTCTTTAAAGTTGACAACTGTGCACTCTGGGATCCAGATGCTATATTCGCAGTACGATGATTTTGTTCTGTTTTCCACACATGGCCTTTTCATACACTGTCTCCCAGGGATGAAAAATTCTGCCTTGAATGAGAAGTTTTAAACCTTGCTTGAAAATAATAAACACGATACTTTACATGTTTATGGCCATTTAAGTTAAAAAAACGTGCATTTACATGTATCATATTGTTTTACTCTCAAAATTAGTCTTGTAAAGGGAAAAAAGGCATTAAGTAATTCAGTAAATTGTCTGCTGCATGCTAGCCACTATGAAGGGACTGCATGATAGACAAGGCAGTCCCAAAACTTAGAATTTCCTTGGGAAGGTAAGACACGAACAGAATTAACAGCAATGGGGTGGTACATAAGCGTCTCTTCCAATTGAGAAATAGAGGGGCAAAAGGAGATTTATGTGCCGCATTGTGCTAGGAAAGGCACATGTATTATCCCCTGAAACTCGAAACCCGTGTTTGGGGCATGGTCTCCACATGATTTGCACAGTCCACCACAGTGTGAGTCCCCACGGGGGTCCTTTTGACGTCGAGCCCATAGAGTCGTGATGGAGTCTTAGACATGAGGTAGAACTGGCTTTTTTACTCGTGAAAACACTGAGGCTCATGGAGGTGAAATGACTCGGCCAAGGTCACACACACTGATAGCGGCAGAGGCGCGGCCGGAACCAGGTCTTCTGATGCCAGCCCAGTGCCTCCCTACATCTCTACTCCCTGTGGAAACTATTTGCTTCCCTATCGCCCTTCGTCTGGGTGGGGGATGTCATTTTCAGTCAATTTACGGACTTTTCAAAAAGAGAAGGGTGGATAGGAGATTGGAGAAAAGTTTCCTTTCGGTCAGTGAAGAGGCCTGATTCGTTCCAACACCATTTATGGACCTGCTCCTGCCAGGCACTGGGCATCCAGGACACAGCGAACACAGATCCCCTGCCCTCAAAGACGCCCTAGTTAGGGGCGTCTCCGGGTCTTTGATGACCTCCTCTCACGAGCGGTCCCCAGCCCTCCCCAGGGCTCACCTGCCGGCCTCTGCAGGTACCCACGTCCCTAGGACCCGCCACTGGGCCAGGCCCAAGCAGCATCAAGCCCCGGGTCCCCGCCATTGCGCCCGCGTCGCGCGCCTCCAGTCGCCACGGCAACCAGGGAGGTGCTGACCCCTGACCTCGAGGCCCCGCCCCTTCACGTTCCCGAGACCAACATGGAGAAGGCCAACCCGGAAGTGCCGCCGCAGCCGCCCGCCCGGTGTTAGGAGCCGCCGGCCGGGCCAGGCCGAACCAAGCGCCCGCAGCCCTGCAGCCCGCTGCCCGCCCCACGTCCCGCCGGCGCCGGGGCGGCCGCGTTCCCCGCCCTCCCCCACTCCACCCCTGGCTACCCGCTCCCGCCCGAGAGGAGGAGCTGAGGCGAGGGGGAGGAGGAGGAGGGAGAGGTTTGCGAGAGGGAGCGAGGCCGCGTTAGCCGCCGGCGGTTCGTATTACCGGGGTCGGGAGGAGGAGCCGGGCCGAGCCTGCGGACGAACGCCGGGCGGGCGGGAGGCGCGGAGGCAGCGGAGGCTGCTCGGCCGCAAGGAGGCAGGCGGGAGGCCAGGGGTGCAGAATTGGGGCGGGGGCTCCCTTCACCCCCGCAGCCCTCCGCCCGGGTCCGTGTGGCCAGGCCTCACGTGCCCCGCAGGCCTGGGGAAGGTGGAGACAGGGGCGGGGGTCCGCGCAGAGGCCTGCACGGCGCGGCCAGGTGATGGTGGGCCTCTGTGTTTCTCCAGACGAAAGGGGACCCCCGGAGCGGCCGTGCCCCTGGGCTGCCCCCGCGAGGCGTTTTGACATCAGCCATAGGGAAGTCGGGGAGCCCTGAGCCTGCCTGTTTCCGTTAAGTGTCCTTAGGATGCAGTGATTAAGGAATTAGGCTCTCCCTCCGGGAGGGGCACTGCCTGTGCTAGGGAACTCGGGGGCAGAGAAACAGGACAGGATGATGCTGTCCGAGCAAGCCCAAAAGTGGTTTCCAACCCACGTGCAGGTCACAGTGCTCCAAGCCAAAGATCTGAAGCCAAAAGGCAAAAGTGGTACCAATGACACATACACTATAATTCAGCTGGGCAAGGAAAAGTACTCCACCTCTGTAGCTGAGAAAACCCTTGAGCCAGTTTGGAAGGAGGAGGCCTCTTTCGAGCTACCTGGATTGCTAATTCAGGGAAGTCCAGAGAAATACATTCTTTTCCTTATAGTTATGCACAGGTCCCTGGTGGGTCTGGATAAATTTTTAGGGCAGGTGGCAATCAATCTCAATGACATCTTTGAGGACAAACAAAGAAGGAAAACAGAGTAAGTTATGTAATTTATTTTGAATTTGGGGGAGTTTATATCTTATTTATGGTTTTTCTGTTCTTGGAAATTATCCGTATACTTCGGGCGTTGGTTTTTGGATTGAAATATGATCCAGTTTTAAGCACCATATTTGCATGAATCTGAAGTAAAAGTAGCACTCGTGATGAAATATTTTTTAAATGGAATCATTAATGATCCCTTATTCTTTCTGTTAAACATCTGTCAAATAATTGAATATTTTGTGGTGGATTTTAAGTAAGTTAACATTGTTTCAGTATGAGGACTGGATCACAGTATTGACCAACTAGAACTTCATATAAATTGTTATGGATTTTAAACCTTACAATTATCAATGAAATGGAAGATGAGAAATTAAATCTGGCAATGTAATGTTGATGTGTCGCACTTTGTAGCTGTCAAAAGATAAATCACCAGATTTAGAACTCAGTATTTCGTTTCAGCGTTATAAACACAGCTTTTATTTTAGCTCAGCCATTTTTCAGGGTCAGTGTGCCTTGATGGGAGTCTATACCTGTTAGAAAAAAAAAAAGTTTTAAAAGTATGTACAGACATCCTCAACTTCGAATGCACTTACATTTTCCTTTGAATTTGCAATTACATCAGAGTTATTGTATTCAGAATTGATTTTCCAAAGCTATTGTGTTTAGACCATATTAAATGCTGTAGGATGGAGAGAATGATAAATTTTTGTGATGAAATGATTTGATAACATCTTCAGTGGTCTTTTCAGTATGACTTTTGAGCTTGAGTTAGATACATTTTAATTTAAAAAATCATAATATAAATTAACACTAGGATATTGTGTCTTAAATTGAAAAAAAATATGTTTTTAGAGTTAAGTATACTCACCCCTTCCATAAACTTAAAAGGACATTATATTAATGAAATTAGTGAGAGAAAAATACTGGTTGAACTTCTAAGAGGACTTTCCATTTCCAAAATAGTGTTGGTGTTTTGTTCAGTTATAATTGAATTTATTTACTCTTTAAAAAACTTTCTTACAATGATATTTTTCTTGAAGTTTATGTTAATTCTTTACATTTTAAAACGACTCTCTCTTGTTCTTTTCTGTACATTTCTACTCTCAGGCTTCTCTTGATTGGAGTTTTTTTGTTTCATTTTAAATCAGGTCTTAACCTAAGATTTAATATATGTGGAGTAAAAGTGTAGAGAGATCAGAAATACTAGGAATGCAGGAGGAAAAATGGTACCATTTAATTGAGATGAAAATATTTTAGAAGGAGAGAAAAAGTTAAATGTAAAGTTTAATATATATCAGTGATTTGAATAATAAAATTATTTGATACCTAAAGAGTGGCATTCAGTTTCCTCCGAGGGATTCTTTATCAAATTGAAAGTGAAAAATGGATAATTACCAAATAATCTGTTTCAAATTGCCAATTTTGGGTGACACTTAGTAAATATTTAACGTGTTTTGAATGTAAACTATTAAGTATATTGCACCTTCAAATTCCTCACTTCATTTATAGTACTTTAATATTCATGGATCATGTATTTCAGGCCTTCTCTGAAACATAAATTTTCCTAGTGAAAGTAGGACCAAATGTGAACCCAAGGAGTCTGAGGATGAAATAACCTTTTACAATTTCTTCTTGTTTTACTCCTAGTCCTGGGCAACATCACAGTTACAATACATTTGGTGTGAGCAATACTCTAATATTATGGTCTCTCCTTATAGAAATTCTCTACTGGCTATTATATAAAATTGATTAGAACTTTAGGGGTAAAATGCTTTTAAATGTTATCAACAGGGTTTGTGATGTTATTGCATTCAAAGTGATTTTCATATATTGCTAAACCCTTAACATTTTATTTGTGGATAAATGGGGACCATGTATTTGATGAGATATCTTTATTGGTAATATTTCTAGTTTTTTAATATATTTAATAGCTTCCTTTTCTAGCACAGCTGTACCTGTGGCCCAGTAAGAGACAGACTTGAGCCGCCGGTATATTTCAAGGAAGATATTTAATATTCTGCACATTGCTAAACTTTTTCAGCATATTCCCAAGTGCTTTTTAGAAAACTGTTTCGAGTGATGAGGACTACCAGCTAACTTAGATGTCCTATGAAACTGCTGGGTGTGACACTTTTTACATTTTGACACTGAAGACATATATTTACAGCTTGTCTTCCAGTTGTGTCATGATAGATAAAGAAGTATGACAACTAAAATTATTACTTTACTTATTTTCTTACCTTGAAAATATATGTCTTTTTTCTCTCTTAAGGAATGGGGAAAAAGGGTCTGAGCCAGAACCCTTTGAGTGGGCCTGGGAAGAGAACTTCTGTATCTCCTCCTTTAGAGGATGTCTGGGTTGGTTCTGGCATGAGATTTAAAGAAATAATACAATGTTTAGTAATAGAATGTTAAAATCATTGATGCTGTTGTGTAATATCCATTGATTTTTTACAATAGAAGTAGGTGATGTTGACTTTTTTTTTTAATGCTCATGAAAAGTAATAACAACCAGAGTCTGTAGAGTTAGATGTGACTCAGACATATGCAGATTTTAGGACGTGTGTGTGTCTCAGCGGTGCACCTGTGTCCTGGCCTCTGGCACCCTTACTGCCAATTTTGTCCCATTTCTGACCACACAGCACCAATTGCTTGGGAATAGTTCCCATATGTGTGCTGGTTTTTGAACATGGACCTGTGCCCACTAAAAATTGAACAGAGGCCATGTACAGTTTAAATCCAGTACTCCAGAGGTGAAAAAAAGTCAGCTAATCCAGTAAGCTCCAAATGCTGTGTCTTCGTTTTATCTTTCTGAAGACTGGAAAAACAAATGCTATCTCTGAAATGATTCTTGAAGATCTCATTAAGACTTCCCTATTATGTCATTTTCAAAACAAAGCAACTAAAGTTATTTGTCATTGCTACATTTTCAATGAGTATATTTGTAAAAGTTCTTTGCAGTTTTTTTTGGGGGGTGGGGAATGGACATTATAGTGTATTTACAGTTTGTAGTCAAATACTGATTTGCTTTATTCAGGTTTACATAGGTCTTTACAGTTTCCTACTAAAAAAACAAGACAATGTAAACACATACACACACACACACAGTTGTAGCTTACTTGTAAGAATATAGTTCTAGAAATAAAAATTGAATAAACATTTAATGCAAGGCAGACTGCCTTCCAGGAGCTTATACTCTAGCAGTAGAAAATTTGCATTGTCTTTCTCTTCAGCTCTCATGTCTCCTTATTAAATACAGTGTCCTGCAGTATGTGCCAGCCATGTGGTTAACCTTATTAACATATGTGGTTCATCAAATAAGAAAGAGCTTCTATTTTCCTGCAGATGTTATTCATCAACTTTAGATTTTTTTCTTTATTGACTTTAATCTGACATTGGGAAGTTACATATCATTCCTTGTGCCTCAATTTCCTCATCTATGAAATAAAGATGTTAAAGTAGATGATTTATTGGTCTTATCTCTAAAAGTCTGTGAATTTCCACTACCCCCACCCCCTTCCATTTTGGGGGTAATTAATTTTTTTTTACTCATATTTGCTTTGATTTGTTACATACGTGCTCGTTTTTGTTTGCAAATTTTTGGTACATTTTTTGCAAAGTATATTCACCTACATTCTATAAAGCCTGAGGTACTACAGAGTATTTCTGAGCTACTGTTCGTCAGATGTGTTTCTCTCCCTATTGAAAATAGCTCTGTTTTCCAAAACTTTGAGTTAACTGGGTATATAATCTGCTTCATTTCCAGGCTTTTTGAGTGCTCAATTGTATGTTATTTAAGGTTGTCTATTTCACAGAAATCGCTGTCATTTCTTATTTCTAGCCCCTGTTTCTTCAGATTTTACCATTTGCCTTATATAAGGGATTTTCTCAGTTTAAGGTCTCAGGCTAATAGTATTTTAAAATATTGATATTCTAAGAAATGGCTAGTTTTGATGCAACTATATCTGAATTGATTGAATAGCTCCAATTTAGTTAATCAAGAAAATATTTTTCTTCCATGTTACGTGCAAAGATGTAGCTGGTATTTATATCATGTGCCAGTATTTCAACTTGATATACAGTAAATGTAATCTTCTCTTGGCATATCCAGTTGGTAACAATGAGAGAAAGAACTAATGTAAAATTAGATCAGAGTTCCTTTGTAGCTAAGAAAATTTGTTACACTCGATTAGAGCTATATTTAAATAATAACCTGTGTGCAGGAATGGATATTATGCCTCATTGCTAAGTTATGTGAAAACATTGTAGAAACTCTTTCAGGCTTGATTTTGTAGTTTTTTTTGGCTGTTTTCCCATAGAATGACCACTTGTGACATGGCCAACTGGAGAATTTCTCATGGATAAAAATACTATAAAACCAAAATATTGCTTCTTGTATATCATTTAAATACAGATAGTGCCATACATTGAAGGGACTAAAACGTAAGATTTGGCTTCATTTTCAAAATAATTTTTATTTGGTATTGTCACAGTAGCAATAGTAAAATGAAGCAAATAGATTCAAACAAGAAGCATTTTAGGTTTTTTTTTTTCCTTTTGAAAACTTCACAAGATTTATTTTTTGTCACTTCTTGCATTTTACTTATTTTTTGCATATTTTATTCAGGAGTAGGCTTTGATTCATTTTATGTCAATCTAAATGACATCATATGCTGTTTTAATGATTAGCAAGCTATATGCAATGATCTCCAATGTTAACAAAATTCTTTTGCTACTTTTACGTAAGTAATATTTTGGGATGGGGCCAGGTATTTATTATTGTATTAAAATGTCATGAGATTCATTTTATAATGCTCAAAAATAATTTGTATTGGTGAATTCTTTCAAAATCTCTGCCTCAATGTCTTTTAATGTTAAAAAAAAATGTCCTTAGGCCGTGAGCAACACTTAATCCCATATGGAAAACTTCTAGCATTGATAAGAATTTTTGATGATGAGTGATTTTCAAATTACAAAAGAAAAGATTATCTGAAAACATTTTCAAACTTGCCAAAGACCTATTCATTCCTTCAGTATATGTTACATCACAGAGACAATGATCAGTTTTTTAAACTAAATAATAAGTAAAGCCCGAAATACTGTGGCTGACAGATTCTTATTCAGAGCTTAGGTTGCCTTGATGTATAGTTACTTTACCTAAAAGGCTATTTGTATGTAACAGAACTCAGTATCCTCTCTCTATTATGTGTTACAGCCAATTTTTTTTTCTTCTCTTTAAGGTGGTTTAGATTAGAATCCAAACAAGGAAAACGAATCAAAAACAGGGGTGAGATAAAGGTCAATATTCAGTTTATGAGGAACAATATGACCGCAAGTATGTTTGACTTATCAATGAAGGACAAAACCAGATCTCCTTTTGCAAAGTTAAAAGATAAGATGAAGGGTAGAAAAAATGATGGAACATTTTCTGATACGTCTTCTGCAATCATTCCAAGTACTCACATGCCCGATGCCAATAGTGAATTTTCAAGTGGTGAAATACAGATGAAATCCAAACCAAAAAAGCCTTTTCTCTTGGGTCCTCAGCGACTCTCGTCAGCGCATTCAATGTCTGATTTATCTGGGTCCCATATGTCTTCTGAGAAACTGAAGGCTGGCACCATAGGTCAAACACATCTTCTCGGACACCAGTTAGATTCCTTTGGAACAGTTCCAGAAAGTGGTAAGTGTCACATTCTTGTGTACTCATTGGTCTGAACTACCCTTTTAGTTTTTAAAGTTTAATTTCTAAATTTAGTAAATCAAAATAGCAGTTGCTTTGTAGTATTTTCCAAATTTTGTCATTCATCAAATATTGAGTACCTACTATACCTCAAATTGGTAAGTTCCTTGAAGGCAGAGCTTGTCTGCATTTGTATTTATATTATTAGATGATAATAAAATGAGTGCCAGTTTCCTTTTATGGCTTGGCTGCCTGTTTTACTGCTGTTTCTGCTATCTCAAAACCCTGAGCATAAATGAATGTTCCATTTCATCATAAAGTCCTTAGAAGAAAACTTTTATGTTCAGAAGTAAGAAAGTAAATTTAATGCTAATGAAAAAGTCTCTGAGAATTTTTAACATTATCATGCCAACCAGAACCTCTAGTTTTGACATCATAGTTTATATGATTGTGAGCTGAATACATTACTAATGGTCTAGCAATATGCTAGTTGTTATCAGCCTCGATGCTTCAGACTGCTACACCTTAGCATTTTAAGATTGTTTCCTTGATTTTTTGAAGGTTAATACATTTAAGTGGCTAATTGCTCTCATTCTAAAAGCAGCAGAATGCACACAGACTGTGTCAAATAGTGTGATGTAATGTGTCACTGATTATGTACTAACTACAAAATTGTTTGTAGGAAGTCTCAAATCTCCACACAGAAGAACATTAAGCTTTGATACTTCTAAAATGAACCAACCTGACAGCATTGTGGATGAAGGTGAATTGTGTTTCGGAAGACAAAATGACCCATTTACAAATGTGACTGCTTCATTACCCCAAAAATTTGCAACACTGCCAAGGAAGAAAAATCCATTTGAAGAAAGCAGCGAAACATGGGACAGCAGCATGAATTTATTTTCAAAACCAATTGAAATAAGAAAAGAAAATAAAAGAGAGAAAAGGGAGAAAGTTAGCCTGTTTGAAAGAGTGACTGGAAAAAAAGATAGCAGAAGATCTGATAAACTTAACAATGGGGGATCTGATAGCCCTTGTGACTTGAAATCACCTAATGCATTTAGTGAAAATCGCCAGGACTATTTTGATTATGAGTCAACCAATCCATTTACAGCAAAATTCAGGGCTTCAAATATAATGCCATCTTCAAGGTAAGCTTAATATGGGGGAAGTTCTACTATTTGGGAAAATCTTGTACTTGAAGGTATCAAATATTTCTTTTAAATGCTAGAATATTTTCAAGTCATTTTATTTTATTTGAAAAACATTTTTATTTGTATAATTAAATTATAGAGCCAGGCAATGTTGCATATATTTTTGGAACTGAACTTTTTTATCTTAAGAAGATAAAAGACTCTTATTCTCTATCCTGGTCTACTTCCACTTATGTGAGCCAGAAATTCACCAAAACTTAGAAAACAACATGGCTTGTGATGAGACATGGCGAGAGTGAATTGCCAGTGGGTGTTAGTTCAAGCCAGAAATTTAGGTGATAATGTTTCTAGGGATTCGTTCATGGGCTACCTGGAAAGGACCAACAGCAGCCCATGTGCTATTCTTTAAAAAACGCCAGCTTCAGTATTAATGGCTTTCCTAATAGATGTTAATTATCCTTATTAAATGGCTATTTAGAAGTGGTTTTTATTTGAGAATGCTTGTTATTGGAATTCAGTAACCCTCATGGGTTCTGTAGGTATACCCAAGGGATCTATATGATGATTTATAGTCAGAAATAATCACTCATGAGAAAGATTGGATTTTCCAACTTTGAGTTTTCAGTTATATATATAATGGTGCTTTTCTTATTCCTTAGTATATCTAAATTATATCTATATATCTAAATTTAAATCTATATCTATATAAATTTATATCTACATATATAGATATAAGTGTAGATATGCTAAGGAATAAATTTAAATATGGTTATGGATTTTACAGAAGTAAACGATGAAATAGCTGATTAAGGAAACCTCAAGCAAAGAAAAGATAAATTTATTCCCATCTTAAGTATAGTTGGCCCCCCATATTTGCAGGTTCTGCATTTTTGGATTCAATCAACCATGGAGTGAAAATATTTAAAAAAATAAATAAGAAATAACAATATAGTAATGAAAAAATAATGCAGATTTAAAAAACAGTACAGTGTAACAACTGTTTACATTGGTTTACATTGTATTAGGTATTATAAGTAATCTAGAGATAATTTAAAATATATGGGAGGTTGCGTATATGTGCAAATACTGTACCATTTTGTATAGGGGACTTGAATATCCCTGGATTTTGGTATCCTTGGAGTCCTGGAACCAATCTCTCTCAGATACTGAGAGATGACTGTAATTATCTTGGAAGAGCATGCTAGAGTGTTTACCACGTAATAGAAGATTTTCTTCAAGACAATATTATAGAGTGTACAGACCTGAATGGGAATACTGGCTTAGAAGTGCTATGACCTCCATAAACCTCAGTATCTCCATCTTTGAAACAAGGAAAATAATCCCACTTGATAGGATTCGGTGAGGATAAATGAAAGTACATAATACAAAGCCAGGCCCCAAATAGGGAATCCATAAATGGTGACTACAATTATGTTTGATGTATCGTCATGTTATATTTTACTAAAAAACAGTGCTTTGTTTTGTCCCACTAGAAACAGCAAATAGAGTATTAACAATCAATCACTTTTAGGCTGTGCCCTCTCACCTCTCTTATGTATCTTCCATGATATTTTAAAAATTTGCATTTAAATTTTCAAAGTGAAGTGTACTTTTTTTGTTTTCTTTTACCTATAAATGGATATTTGCCATGGTTTAAAAGAGTATTCTGTTCTGTTTATAAACCATACTCCAGAAGAATAACATTTTTATCATATGGTATCAATATTTTATTGAAGAGTTTATAGTTTTGATATGCCATTCAAAAATATTTTGGTATTTTACATACTGTACTTCACATATTACATTAAATCTTATATGGGTAAATAGAAATATATTTGCTTCTTTCCCTCTTTACTAAACTTTTTTTTACAGAAGGTTGTTGGAAACAACTGTCTGAGGTAACTTGGAGATGGGGCAATTTAGCTAATTTTAGAGTCAGAAGAAAAGCAAGAAAATGGAAAATGATAGGAAAATAATGTTTTTACATTATGGGTGCATATGGAAAAAAAAGCTTATTGAGTATTTGCAAATCTTTAATTGCCCTGTATTTGAGTTGTTTATGTGGGCTGTTACGGGTTTTAAAAGTGCCTGTGGCATTTTGACACATCCAGGCTTTGTTTTCAGTTACTTTATTATTATTGGCTGTTTCTAGCAAAATTAGAGCTGTTTTATGATGTATGAAATGATTGCAAGTATGTAAAAAAAAATAGTTGTTTTTCATTTTATGACTTTCTCTTCTTCATATTTATGAGATGCCAGATATGAGGACAGAACATTTGTGGATTCCTAGGAAGTTATTCTTTTTGCATCACAAACCATCCGTGTGGTAAATGTAAAACATTTGCAGTAAAGGGGTAGTTCTAGTTAATCTTATAAAAAAGAAGAATTGAATATAAATAGACCCAAGAAGAGTGTGCAGTTCACACTTTTGGCAAGCAGCTTTATCTTGAGTGGAATTTGGGAGGATATTGCCAAGGTAGTGTTGTCTTTACGTAACAGTATAGTTCTATTTTTCCTCCCAGTATCAACCCTCAGCTATCTGGGACATTTTAAATTTCTCACATTAACATCCTAACCGAATGCACTTTTGGAGCTATGGGCTCACATTATTAAGACACGTGCTGTGAATTTTTTTCAGGAGTGCTAAATAGACCTATTTACAGTTTCCTGGACTCTTGTGGCCAGTGTTTGTGAGAATGCTGAACAAGGTTAAGGGTAAAATACATAGCCATGGAACTGCATTTTCTTCTTGGTGAGTGAACTGGCTCACTTGTGATTGCTGGTACCTAGGAACCATATTGTTACCCTCTGGTTGAATAATGTATATTATTAAAACTGGAGAATTTTCTTTATGCCCAAAATTTTAAAATGTACTAAGGCACACTTTTTTTAGAAGTTAGACTTTTTATTCCTTAGTGTTAAGTAAAGTCCGCCTGAAGAAAGCACTTTGGAAACCACAAAAAATACCACATTTTGATCCTGTCCTTGGAATAGGTCCCATAGTTTTACATAAAACTGATAGAGGAAGTTAGGCATTATCTTGGGTTACTTCAGCAAAGAGCAGGGCTCTTTGAAACACTTTTCCCCGAAGTTACTAATTTGCAGTCTCTTACATGCCCCTATTTCTTTGAAGCATTTCCTGTTCTTGTAGGGAGGGGTAGTTGTTCCCTGTGCTGCAGCATTTTCTTACGTAAGTCTTGTCTTCTGTGGGCATGGCATTGTTCACTAATAGCTTAGTCTCACTTTTTTTGCCCACTACCATGAAGAGTTTGATAGCAGGGTCTGCATTTCATTCCTCTTTTTGCCCTTAGTCTCCAGCGTGATGCTTGGTAGGTAGCAGGTATTAGATATTTTGAATAAACGCACACAGTATAGCAGACCAGTTTCTTAATGCACACAGTGTAGCAAACCAGTTTCCTAATGCACACAGTATAGCAGTTTCCTGAAATGCTACTCTCATTCCGTTAGCCTCCTACTTCCAGCCCTGCTTGCGTGGGCTGTGAAGATCTTTCTAATAGACTGAAAACAGATCCATAAAGCCGTATGTATGCATTTTTATGTACAACTAAACATTGTTAAAAATCTAAGTTTTAAAGGATTACTAAAATTTAATATTCAATCTAAATAGCACATTTCTGGAGACTATTAAGAACTGTGTATTAGGGTAGGTTGTCAGCTGTAATAACCACGGTATCAGTGGCTTATCACAGCAAAAGTTTATTGCTCACTCTTGTCACAAAGGAGTTCACTGGAATGGTGATAGGAAAAGTGAGTGCTTTGCTCTATGCATTCATCCAGCTCTGCACAGTCTCTCAGGAAGCAGGCTTCTTCCTTCTTGTGATGCCACCATTTAACACATGGCCTCCAAGATCAGTGCAGCGCAGGAGGAGAGAGAGGATCAAAGGAGGGTCATTTCTGTGTGCCAGGCCTAGTGCAGTATGCATTACTTCCACATATGTCCCATTGGCCAGAGCTCACCCGTGCCCCAGCCTCACTGCAACCTGTGAAGAACTGTGACTTAGCTGTATACGCAGAAGGAAGCTGAATTGGGTTTAGTGAGCTTACAATATTGTGTGTGCCATTGATGCCTAATCAGCTTGCTACTAAGAAGTCGGGATGCTGTCCAATGCTGGCATGCTGCAAAACTCCTATGACACATATACAGTAAGTAGTGTTGGAGTTCTTGTAATCTTCAGGAGAATGTTTTCTCAGTTTATTACTGGTACTAAGTTGTTTGTATTTTATAATTGCCACTAGTCTTGTTTTTTAATTGTAAGTCACAGGTTGTTTAGCATCATCAGTATCAACTAATTTTTTTCATGCTTTATCAAATAAATTGTCAACTAATTTATCATTTGGTTTATCACACAATTTGCGAAGTAATCCTTCTTTTTATCAGCAGTATATCATTTGCCAAAAACAAATATGCCTGAATGTTTGTTATACCATTTTTAATTTGTTCACAACAAATTATCTTTTAATATATTATAAAATCACAAATAATAAATTGTAAATAATGTTACCACCAGGCTGTTTTTCACTTAAAAGTGGAAATGATGGGTGTGTGTCTTCACCAAGCCAAATTTGTTCATTTCATTTCTTTTTTTTTTTTAACTAGGACATAGCAAGTTCTGGCTTATTTAAGAGTTCATGGAAGAGATGTATACCACTTTCAGGTCTGGCCCATGGAATGTCCTCTTAACACTCTTAACACAATCCTCCGTTTTGCCTCTTCCTCCATATCCTGGACCAGGGATTGGCAAACTAAGCTTGGAGGCCAAATCTGGCTTGCTGCCAGTTTTTGTAAAGTTTTGTTCGAACACAGCCGCATTATCGTCATAATTGTGTACGGTGGTAGCGTTGAGTAGTTGTGACAGAGACCATATGGCCCACAAAGCTAAAACTATTTATTGTTTGGGCTTTACAGAAATACTTTGCTGACCCCTGCAGTAGCTGAATGGAGAGGATCTTTGAGATGGGCAGAGCTGTAAGTAGGAGCAGCCTGGGTCTCTGCATGCAAGTGGAAGGCCCACCTGACGAGGAATAGCCAAGTGGCCCTTGTCCAAATGATAAATTCACAGGATATAAGTTACTGAGATTTATATATATATTTATTAGAGCACTTAGCATTATTTATCCTACTGAGGAGGGCACATGGGCTGTAGTACCTTTCGTTGTGTTTAAGAAAGCCCTAGTCAAAAAAGTTTAAGAACTACTGGTTTGCAACACCAAATCCAAACTCCTCTTTCTAACGTTCTAAGGCTTGTTGTATTTTAGGCTTTTCTTAACCTTCCAAGTTTTCTTTTACTGTTCCTCACCAACCTGTTCTAGGTAAGTTAATTTCCTTACTGCCATGTCTCTACACTGAGGTCCTTGTAAGCCATGCCGTCTTCATTCCCGGGCTCAATTGTGGGGTGCACTCTCAACTCATCTCTGAGTGTTCTTTTTTGAGTAATAACCTCGTGTTTCCCTTTGGATTTCTGCTGATATAGAAGAAGTAATTACTATACAATGTTTATTGTACTAGGTCTTATATTAAGCTGTGTAAGCTTCATAACAGTTGTGCAGAATCCTCTTTCTTGGGTGCACCACAGCACCTAGATTTGTGCATGACCTCAGTGCTGATCATCAAGGGCTCCTGGAGATTATTTTTTTTTAGCTACAATTTGTTGGGCCTCCCCTCTGACTGAAT
Source organism: Homo sapiens (assembly GCF_000001405.40). NCBI lineage: Eukaryota > Metazoa > Chordata > Mammalia > Primates > Hominidae > Homo > Homo sapiens. Next base: position 118,033,276 of record NC_000010.11, on the reverse strand, counting down.
TAGAATCTTTAGTGAGTAGGCCCTGAAATGAAAATCAACATTTTAATAACTTCCCATTGACTATCGGGTTTAAAAATTGCTAATCTATATTATATCACCTACAGTGGTCCTCCTACTCTATGGGGATACATTCCAAGACCCCCAGTGGATTCCTGAAACCAGGCACAGTTCCGAACCCTATATATCCTGTGTTTTTTTTTCTATACATATATACCTATGATAAAGTTTAATTCATAAATTAGGCACAGTAAGAGAGTAACAATAATAATGAAATAGAACAATTACAACAATATGCCAGCATCACTCCTCTTGCACATTGGGGCCATTATTAAGTAAAATAAGGGCTACTCAAACACAAGCACTGTAATACTGCAATAGGCGACCTGATAGCCGAGATGGCTACTAAGTAACTAATGGGCAGGCAGTGTAGACAGTGTGGGTACACTGAACAAAGGGACTGAACAAAGGGATGATTCACATCCCAGGCAGTACAGAATCGGATGGCCTACCATGTCATGAGGCTACTCAGAAGGACACGCAAATTAAAACTTAGGAATTATTTCTGGAATTTTCCATTTAATATTTTTGGACTATGGTGGTTAACTGAAACTGTGGAAAGCAAAACCACAGATAAGGGGATGGGACTACTTTATTTCCTAAGCTTTCAGTAAGTATTCACTGTGAATGGAGATCAGGAATTGTGCTGGCAAATGCGTACTTAAATTAGACAACTTAGTCATATTAGCTCTGCTTGCAGGTCCCTAACTAAGGTAGAGGGTATAGTAAGGAAGTTAGCTTGGCTAAAACAGAGATATGGTGGAAAGGAGTAAAAGATATGGCTGAATAGGTTAAACACACACACACGCACGCACGCACCTAATGCACACACACACACCCTAAATTATAGTGAGCATTGAAGACCAGGCAGAAAAGTCTATTAAATATTTATGGCATCTATGAATGAATTGTTTCTCAGGATTGAGGTAAAACCTGAGAGTCAATAGTGATGAATGACGCTTAAAAATATGCTTCTATTTGTATGCTACCCATGGTAAATTGAGGAGAAATTCCATGATGTGTATTCTTTGAAGGAGGTGTAAGTTCCTTGAAAAATTTCAGGACCACAGAACTCCACCTACTGAAGGGAATTCTGCTTGAGAGAATAAGATTGAGAGAGTAAGATTTTCTGTCTGTTAGAGAAAATTGCTTATGTATGTCTTATTCTGAATTTTTTTAAAAAAATCAATATAAGCCTACTACTCTGTGTGATGAGTTTCTGTTGTTTGATGTTAGGGGGGCAGCTGTTCTGAGAGTAATAATTTAATGGGAGATATTTTTACCAGAGAATTTTGTTTGGGGACCGACCTTCTATTTGTGACTCATAGAAAGAACATGCTTTCACTCCATTATTTTCTGCTCTACTGTGGTAGTTGTGAATGCCATGTAGCAAATTCTTAACTACTCCTGAATAACTAAATGGTATGTTCTGTAATATTATTTCTAGTATTAATTGATTTTCCAAAGCATGTATTTCCATTTTTAATGTTTGGTGGAAGAGCCTCCCTCCTTTTTAGCAGATGATCTCACGCCAAATAGTTATATTTTAGGATGGTACAGAAATAGTATCTAAGATGCAGACTTGTAATGTTTTAGTGATTTTTCATGGCAGTGTGCCTTCCACTTCTGAGGTCAGGTCTACCTGATTCTCCCCCTCTTCCTTCTTTCCTTCCTTAATGAGTCAATTCCTGTCTGTGCTTGTATCATACCTTCCTCAGGAGGTACAAAAAAATTGGTTACCTGGAATGTATATTTAAATGTCTTTCTAATTTTCAAATCACCATAAGCTTGTAAGCATGTAGCCATTTTTATGAAATTGTGTAACATGTTCATTAAAAGTCAAAGACTGTTTACTGTAGAATTTACATTTTGATTTTTAAAAAGTATAGTAAATAAATGATCCTAAAGAAAAAGAGCCTATTGATAGTTTTTAAACCTTCATTTTTATAATGTCCCAATGGACTTTTTTTTCCTGAATGAGTTTAAAGTTCAGTCGTTGGCATCATAAACCTTAATATGCAAAGGATTTGTTTTAATAGCAATATTTACTTTTTGCTCATATTTGTCTAGTGTTAAAGATAATTTGCCTGTTATTCATGGTAGGCTATAAATCTTTTACACACTTGAAAATTTGTGGCTTCATTTATGAGACAGAAGACAAAAACTTTTGAGATGATTTTTAGACCCATTAATCCATTAGTGCTCAGAGATTTACAGAATGTATCCAATGAAACAATGACTATAAACACGAAGTATGCAACGTGATTAGTTCCCTTAACACTAACTAGAACTTTTATGTTTAACTCCCCAGATACTACTTGAAACTTTTTTACCCTTTGTCATCCTAATACTCATTATAATAGCTCTCATTAATTGGTGTATCTCCCAGTGGGTTAATTTGCAGATACCAGCGATGCCATCCTTGTGCTAACTCTAATGCAAATTGATATTTAGAGTCTTCAAAATTGAAAACAAAAAAAGCTCTGTAACAAAAAAGACAAACTTTGCTGGTTTTTTTTTTTTCTTGAGAGATTGAGATATAGCAAGATTCTGAGAGAGAAGAAAACAGGCCAAAAAAATTCACAAAAACTAGTGTAGGCTAATAAACTGATGTGAAAATTTCTCAATTTACAGCACTTGACAGGTGCTAAAAGAAAAGCATCTTTAATTTTAATGTGTTGTTAGGACCTCTTTAGAGAGACTGTACAAGTTATTAACAAGGTCCTCTGAGACAGGAGACGGGTAATTAACAAGACCTATGGAGATATAGTTTAGGTAATTAACGAGCTCTTAGGCACTGGACACTGGATAACACGTAGCGAGTCCAATACTTAAAGAGAACAAGTTGTTATGATATGATCAAATATAAGATACAGCATGTAAGCCCTCTTGAGGTTTCTGATAGGAAAGTAGTAAGATTGTATTCCAGTGACCCCAGTGCACTGACTATTGTAAATCAGCATGTAAGGTTTTTGGTTTAACTTTTAAGGTAGCATTTGAGAGAATTATTTTTAATTGTTGTTACATGTAGATTAATAATCTTTGCTAATTGCCATTAATGAACATGTGTATTTTGAGAAAAATGCATTGGAAGCACATCAGTTGTATGATTCTAAATTGTCTTAAACATTTATTTTCAGTTTATTTTTTACCTGTGACTTGTCGGCTAAAATTGCCTATTGCAAATTAACCTTGCTTTCCTTGTCTACTTTAAAACAGTCAGGATCTAGGCCAGCGAGGAGATGTGGCCCTGGCACCAGTTTGGTTTTTACATGTTATGCCCAGGTTCCTCCAGTCATGCCCCTATGCTACCTTCAAGTCTGAGATTTTATATTCCCAACTTCAAATATTTGGTCCAGTTATTTCCTGTGTAAATTTGAAATTTCTGAAGTATGAATCTTGAGTTTTGGCTCAGAAAATTCCCACATTCAGCAAACATTTATTAAGAACATGTTATACTCTAAAGGTTAAGAATATAAAGAAGGCCCTTGCGAGGCTCCTGATTCATTCTGTTACCTGCTGTCTCAGTGGTGCTACTCTAGCCCATCAGGATGATTTTTTTCTGAATTTCAGCTCTGAAAATCAAATGATATTTTCATTATTATTTTTGGAATATTTGCTGTATATAAGGAAATCATATTGTTGAGATATAAATCCTGCTCTTTGTGCTCATAGAAAAAGGTGTGTAAATATCAGGTCTGAATTTCATATTAAGGGTTGGACATTGTATAGACACTGGGGAACCATGAAAATGTTTAAGTTGGTTTGTGGTATGATTGAATTAATGTCTTCTATCATGAAGTAGCTGTTGAGGACAGAGGATGGGAAAGGGAAGAAGGACTTGAGACAGGGAAACTAGTTAGGAAGTTAATATAATTGTTTTAGTGAGAGTTGATGGAGGTCATTTGGCAGTGAGGAGGGAGAAGAAGGGAACATCTTTGAGAAATATTTACCCATTATGGGACTTACCCATTCTGCTTTTGGGTAGGGGGGTATTGGGGGGACTGGTAAGGGAGAAGAGACAATAAAAACTATTCCAATGGTATGTTTTCAGCTGGTGTCTTAAGTTTAATGAAATGTAACATTTTTAAAACCCATTTAATTTAGTACAACAATGTCAGGTCTATAGTCTTTGAATCAAACTTGGGATTGTAGTCTTGATAGAAAGGTTTGAATTTTTTCTTTTTGTTTTTTTAATGAGGTGCTATATTATTTTAGTTTTTTTTTTAGAGACTAGGAATTAGGTGTTTTGAATTGTTTGAGACTAGCAAGTTAGCATGAAAACAATAGCAGCTTTTGAAAGTTTGTTTTTTAGCACTGAAACACTTTGGCTTCTTTGAACACAAGAGTGGAAGTTTCAGTAACTGGTTGTGAAAGTATGCATTTAAAGTGTTTCTTTCACCTTAGCATTGACATTACTAAATATATTTCTCTCAGGTGGTTTTGGCTTGACCAAAGCTTGTCTCTGTTGGACACTTTTTGTTAGTTTCTCACTAAGAGGATAACTTCTATTTCTTACATAATTAGCCCTCACTTCTGTGGACACTACTTTTCCAGGCTTCTATGTTTAGAACATTTCCAGTTGGGCCACTATGATCACCTCATCTGTGATTACTTTTTTCCCATGACAATAATGCTTTAACTTTTGAAATACAGGTAGCATTCCTGTATATTTAATTTATGGTGGTACAGTTACCTTGTAGCGGAGGTGTTTTAAATAGCTGCTGGTGATACAAATTAACTATGAAGTGATTTTTCTTACCTGCATGTAACTGGTATCTAAGACTATTAGGATCCAGACATTTGACATTTATCTCTTTGAACTTATATTTTAAGGATTAATTCTTGGTCTTTGACATGATATATTTAATATATTTCTATGTAATAAATACTTATAAATATTAAAATCTTATATATTTAATATATTATACACCAAACAAAATGTCTTTATGTATTTTATATATTTAAGCTTAGAAATCTTGGATAAAAGTACTGATACCACTTAAAAAGCAATTAGTTGAATCAGCTTGGCCTTCTTAGAGTATACCTTAATTCAAATTGCTATTAAGAAAAAACTGTTTCACAAATGTTGTGTGTAAAGCTCTGCTAGGGCTGGAGAGGTATGGGGGATGACAGTCCTAGCCACACCAGCTATGGAGAGGGATATGTAAGAAATAACCTATAATCAAAGCAGAATAAACTGTGTTAAACAGAAGTACATGGAGTTTACTGTGGAAAGGTAGATGAAAAGAGCAGTTCAGTCTACTGGAAATTGGGAAGTGCTTCTTCAATGGGGAGAACTTTGAGCTTGATCTTGACCATGGAACATCATTTTGTAAGTTGGGGCATGACTAGATAGACAACTCTGTTTTAGTAAACGGCAATAAAGCTCTTTTTGAAAATTATTAGATAAGTTTTGAAGGGATAATTTATAAAAAGTGACTAAATACTATTATATCATTAGCTGTTTATTAACAGCTTAGTAATTTTACCATTTCTTTTCTAGTTGGAGTCATGGAGCTATATTCTATGTCATTCCCTGACTGGTAGGTTCCTGAGGAAGTATGTTTGCTGCTTTAGGCTACCAAGGAGCCAATTAGCGGGTGTGCCGCAGCAGCAGCTCTGCATGAAGTATAATGAACTCTTTGTTACAGAGCCTGGTATGGGAATGGGGGTGTTCCAGTTAATCACATATTTTGTTTTCTAGAAGTATACAATGCATTTGTTTCATAGAGACTTTTTATCTTCAAAGAAATTAAATGCTGCAAATAATTAAAAATGAAAATCATACTGAACATAATTTAATATTTGATTCAGAAAGTACATTTGATTCACTTCTTTCAGTGAAAGGTTTTACAGTATAACATGAAAACATTGAAATACTAATAATAGGATATTCTGAAGGGAGTATAGGATAAGTATTAAGAGTTCAGATTTAGGAGTCAGGTCTGCGTTTGAGTCTCTGTTAGCCGCGTGGCCTTACTTAACCTTTCTACACCTCATTTTTCCAACTGTAAAATGGAGATAATAACCTTGGTGTAGGACAGATTAAATAATGTCTTGTACAAAAAGTGCTGAGGGTAGTGTTTTACACATGGTGCATCCAGAAACGATAGCCCTTGCTAGGATCTTAATATACAGCATCTAGAGAATACTTAACAATTGCTTTAAATAAATTAGGTGGAATTTTTTTCCAAGTAATAATATCTTCTCAACTTAAAAAAAAACTTAAATAAAAGTAGAATTTAGAAGCTTCTGGTTTTCACCAACTGATAAAGGACCTACATTTGGCAGGAAGTAATAAACTTGATGGTTTTTCTAGTATCTTTCAAGACATATATTCAGCAATAATCTTTGATGAGATAAAACTAAAACCACATTGAAATTAAGTAAAAGTATTCTCTGTATTAAGTAGAAAATTTATAAGGCAAAGCTATTATGGTGAATATTGATGTAAAGTCTTATGTTCAGAAATTCTTTCATAGTACTAATAAGGATATTGCAGGATAGATATCTAAGCTGTGGCTTTCCATTAAGGCATGGTGACAATTTCATAAACTCAGATGGCTGAGCTCAAATTAGATTGTTAAAGAAGGCAGTTCAGACTGTGATAGTAAGAAAGATAAAGGCTGCTTATTGAAAACTCCTCAGAACATTTCAGTCCCCTTTGGTAAAAAGGGCACTTGCCTTAGGAAATTCACACAGGCACTGGTGTCTCTCTTCCAACCAAGATTCGGAGGTTGGCTCTTTTATTTCTGTGTCAGAGCAGGTGCCCTCTTTGTTTTTCATCAAGAGTATAAAATTCTACTCTAGTAGTCTCTGAATTCAAGGTTCTTTAATATATCAGAAATAATATTCATTGTATTTTTAATGTTTTGTCATCCTGGTTTTAAAAAATAAATATTCTTCACTTAACAGAAAAAAATACATAACCAAAATTTGAATGTTAAGTATTGTTAGACTGTCGTCACGTCATTTTATGGAATAGTATCTCTTGTACTTACAGAGATGGATAAGATCTTATAATGGCAACTCTTTGTGCCTCCCATCTTTAGACTACCAGACAGTGTATATTAGGGTGACATTCTAAGATTCAGATGTTTATTTTTGAATTTGATAAGGGATGGAAATTTTTGCTTTTCCTTGGTTATATGTATTATTGCTGTTCTTTCTCTGTGAGGGTTATGTTGATACTCTGATACAAAGGATGCACAAAGCAAAGTCTCTGTCTTTAAAAGTATAAGCAGGTAGATATAGAATGTGTAATTAATTGTCCTAGTTGTAAATAACTGTCCTGGGTGGTACAGTTGGTAAGTGCTGATAGAGATAAAAATTATAGATTAGATGGATAAGGTTAGGCAGTCTAGGCATTACAGAAAAGGTAGAACTAAAAGTCTCGAAGGATGGATCTGTGAAGACAGAGAGGTAAAGATAAATGAGAAAAGGTAGAGAGGTAAAAATGAATGTGTGAAGTGGTTCTCAGGGACCTAACCTGCCTAAAACTGTTAAGGGTTAGAAGTAGTAGTGAAGATGTGACCTTATTAGTATGAATTTAGCATACCAGAATGAAGAATTTGCATCTAATTCTATAGAATGTATGAAGAGTTTTCCATATATGACTGATGTGATGAAAATACTATTTTAGGAAAACTCAGAGAACAGTGCCATTGCTGTTATATACGTAATAATGCCGGAATCGGAAGAGGTGCACATGAACTCAGAAAAACTGCGTTTCTAAGTGTGATTTTAGATTCCGAACAAAAACTTCTTGTAGTGAAACATTTTAATGATGTAACTTATAGAAGCAGGACAATAGTGAAATTATTGTGGCATAAGAAATTTGCAGATATTAATGTGTATTAGAGGTACACTCTTTAAATCAGTGGGCACCTGTTTTAGCTGTTCTTTGAATAGTTTATTTTTTTTCTTCACGCAGAAACATTTTTAAAAGCTGACTGAAAGTTGGATAGGATAATGTACAATTTCTAATAAGATCATTGTATTCATCTGTTGGGGGATGGCCCTGGAAATTTTATTTTACACAAAACAATATATTCTTTTCTGGCAAAAATTTTATAATTTAATAGCCCCACTGAAACAAACTCTTGACTGCCAAGAATGTTTTAAGGCTGGGCTTCTCAGCTTGGGTTGCAGAGTGGTGAAAATCCCCCAGTCATGCCAGCAGTTGCTTCTAAGAAGCAAGTGTAGGAGCCTGTGGCTTGCATCACCCAACTGGGGGGCCCCTGGAAGTCTGGCTGCCTTGATGTCCCTCCTTGAAGCCTCTGCAGAGATGGCTGGGGCTAGGAAAGTGGGTGCTTGCTGGCCAGGGGCTTCATTGCAGGCTGTTCTTAAACACCTGAGGCCTTCCTGGTAACCAGAGGACACCGTGACTTCTCCAAAACATAGCTTTGTCATAGGCCCACACAGAGCCAGCTTGGGATGCTTTTGGCCAGGGTGTTGTGGGCCGTCTGTCTTTTTTCACCTGCTTCACAGGGACCAGGGATGCCTTGCTTGCACCCTCATGGAAGAGTCACATCTCTCCACATTATCCTTACACTCCCTCCTTGCAGGAAAAGCTTGATCAAGACTGCTGGGTCTGTCTTGATCACGTAGACAGGCAGAGCCTGTGCTGGGTTTGGCCCTGCAGGTGCCTTGCTGTCATCACTCCTGCCCACTGTTTTGCTGCTAAAATGAACAGGACTTGTTTACACACACACACACACACACACACACACACACACACACACACGATGATGATGACTAATGGATACGTAGAAGGTGGCGGGCAAGGGTCTACTCAGGGGAACAGACCAAACGCAACACAGCTTCCCAAAGTGACACATTTCCTAAAGATACAGGGAGAAAATACTCATTTTATATCAAGAGACACATGATTATATTAGTAAAATGCAAAAATTCATCTGAGTTTTTAACTTGAGATGTCAAATTGTATGCTTGTTGTTGGATTTATTCTTATGTATTAGAATATTAAAGAGAAAAAAGGGTGAGAAGCTTAGTTTTAAAGGAATGGAGAACTTTTGGAATCCATAGGCTTTATGTTGAGATTTGTGGGTTGTTTGACTGTCTTTGAAATAATTATTTCTATTCTATTCTTTTTTTTTTTTTTTTTAAGACAGAGTCTCACTCTGTTGCCCAGGCTGGAGTGCAGTGGCGTGATCTCAGCTCACTGCAGCCTCCGTCTCCCAGGTTCAGGCAATCCTCCTGCCTCAGCCTCCTGAGTAGCTGGGATTATAGACACATGCCACCACATCCGGCTAAGTTTTGTATTTTTTAGTAGAGACAGGGTTTCACCATGTTGGCCAGGCTGGTCTTGAACTCCTGACCTCAAGTGATCCGCCTGCCTCCTCCCAGAGTGCTGAAATTACAGGCGTGAGCCCCTATTTCTGTTCTTTACCAGGAGAAATGTGTAAGTTAGACTTGATTGACTATTATAATAGTCAAACCAAGCCTTAATTTCATTGATGTCTTTAAATCCTCAAGTTCTAGGACTTTCACCAACAACATATTCATTATTATTCATTATGGAAAAGCAGCTAGGTCTGAATTTGCTGTCCGTGATCTTTGGTGTCACTGACCACAATTTTTAATTGTCTTGCCTCTGAGAGCTCATAAAAGATACCCCATGAGAATATTAATAAGTAAATTACTGTTAATCCCCATAGACATTTATGTATTAGGTTCTGTTTTGTCATCGAGGTTTTGGTGTACATGCCCAGTCCCAGGAGACAGAATGTAGTCTTTTCATCTGTAATATCATTAATTTGATTTGGTACTGAGTTTTTTGCTTTTTTCTAAAAAGAAAGAAAAAATATTGAGTTTCGTCTTGCCTCTTAAGGCTTATTTGCATGTATAATGAACGTAATTGGAATGTGCTAAAGATTCCAATGAAATCTCTTTAGTGGAATCTCTTTGGGCACTTCACTTTTTTAGAGCTTTGGAAAGAGCATTATTAAAGAACATTAAAAAACAAAAACTTCAACATGTAACCTCTGTGGAATAAACGTTTTCAGGATTTACCAGAAAAATCTCTAATTAATCTGTATTGTGTCAAATACCTATCCTGGTAGACCTAGTTGGTATACTCGATAAACTGGCTAATTGAATTGATTCTGTTGGCAGTCCACCAGTTTGAAAATGTGTTTTAATTCCTATTGACTTAAATATGAGAATAATTCTTCGTATCTTAAAAAGAACTGAAAAACACTCCACTAATGTATCATCAGGTATAGATATAAGTAATCTTTCTTATTCAGGAAGATTATTTCTTCCACTCTTTGGGGACTTGGTATCTTGTTGGTGGAACTTATATTGCCCTAACATAGATGTACTCAGTCAACTCACCCCGGTTTTTACACATTTTTATTAAGTACTGGTTATTAATGTATTCAGCATACTTTTGTTAGGAATTTTTCATGCTGGCACTGTGTCAGATGCTAAGAATGAAAAGAGGAATGAGATATGGTTCCTTCCTTTAAGTGGCTTGCAGTAGAAAGGGAGGGGATCCAGGGGTAAGATAGATACACAGAAGCAAACTTTTATACCATATATTTGAAAAGCACTTTTGTCAAACAAACCATTTTCATACTCATTTCTTTTAACCCTCTTTTAATTCTACGAAATAGATGGTAGCATTTCTGTTTCTTAATTTGAAATTTAGAGCAGTGAAGTAGATTGTTCCTTGGCATTAGGGGATGGGCAATAAGTCTGGAAAGGTAAATTGGATAAAATCCAGTGGACTTTGAAAGCCAGTCTAAGAAATTTTGTCATTATTCAGGAGGAGGTTAGAGGTCAAAAGTTTTTTGACAGACGAATAATGAGGTTAGACTTGAGCTTGAGAACGCCATATTCAGTATGCATAGGCTGGATTGGACAAGGAGGGATGGGCAGAGACTGTGAAGAGGCTGTTGCAGTAGTGTCAGCAGAAGACAGTTTGGTCTTATGGTCAGAAAGGTAGCAGTAAAAATGAGCAGGGAGGAAACGATGAGAGTTCTGTGGCAGAGGCTGAATGGTGAGAACATGGCAGTTTATTTGTGAGGCATGTAAGCTGAAGACTGGAGTGAAGGGTGTCTCTGAGGCTTCACCTTCGGTGCGCAGGAGATTGGTGGTATGAGTAGGAAGAAAACCAGACAGAACTGTTCTAAAAGACATGATTGGTCTTTCAGGGACAGGTAGGATATTCGATCTAAGATTTTGATCAGACATTTGTAAGCATGACATTATAAAGGGTAAAGAGATTGGTAGTTGAAAAGATTTACTACTCCTCCATCCATATAGGGATGGTAGTTGGTGGTGAGAGAATATGAAATCTCCGAGGTAGAGCGGAAAAGGCCTGAAAACAACCTTAAGAAATATCCAGTGTTTCCCACCTAAGGGTGAAGAGGAAGATAACAAGGAAAAGGAGTGATTGGAAATATAGGACAAAAGTTAGGCTACCAGATAGCAGGAAGAGTGAGTTTCAAAAAGGAGCACCCATTTGGTATCACATGGAGCTGAGAGGTTAAAGAGTGAGGTGATTTTAGTGAAAATAGTTTTTTGGTGACCTTCGTCAAAGAAGCAATGAGTATTGGTGGTGGGAGTTGTGTTTCAGATTAAAGAATATGAATGAGTCAAGGTAACAAAGTCAGCAAGGGCTACTTGGTAGGGTTTAGAGATTGGCAAAATAAAAATGGTAGAATGTCCAAGAGATAATGGACTGTCGACGAGTCCTAGTGAGTAAATACAGGTGGATTAGGAGACAACTGGGATGATAGTGGGAGTGCACCAGCAGGTCTCTAGGAGAGAGGGAGTGTCAGAGGTGAGATTGATCAGATGGGATTCTGATTGTATGAGATTTTATGGTATAAGATTTTATTGATTACTGTTCCTTTGGAAACATGTTCAGAGAAATTCAGTTTGTGAAAATGTCTTATAAATTGTAAGGCAAAATGTAAATATGAGGTGGTATTATTCAAATCCAAGTCACTTGAAGTAATTACACCATTTTACATACTGCAGGAGCAATGAATCTTTAAAAATGCAATCCTAAATGGAAAATAATTTTGAACACAAGTACTCCAGCTCTGTGAATTGGAAAAGCATATTGTTAAATGAAGGCCAGGAGTTTGTGTGTGTGTGTATGTGTAGGCAGGGTGGGTTGGGGGAGGCTAGCAGTGAATTATCATTTACAAAGTAAGAAGAGGCTATGCATATTTTGAAAAAAAAAAGTTAAAATAAGTAGTTATGGAGCATACGCCAGAAATTGAAGGGCAAAGGAAAGTATAGGTAATTCATATGAGTAATTATTTTTCTTTGGTTCTTTCTTTCTTTCTAATAGAGAAATAGAACAAACCTTTGTCCTAAATTATTTTACATTATTAAGTGAATGGTTTATGGCATTTATTTTATATTCATGTATCAGTTAAGAACCTAATAGGAAACAAATGACACACTCAAAACGAATAATTGAGGGAAGTTTAGTGGGGAGGTGTCTGCAGGGTTAAGGACATCAAGAAGGAATAGTACAGCACCAGGGACCAGCATTGCATGCTTAGCTGCAGCTGTGGCTGTAGGTAGAGATGCTACTGCAGCCCAGCAGGGAGGCAGGGGAGCGGTGCTGGGATGGGGCTGGGGGAAGGGGAGTAAATACCCTGCCTCCTATGCTTTCAGTGCTCCATCCTCTTGGAGGTGCCTCCCGGTGGCAGAACATAATAAGCCAGTGGGCAAGCCCAGGTGATACACTCTCCAGAGGTCAGTATCCTGGGGTGCAGTGAGGGTCAGAGTGGAGCAGGAGGGGCAAACAGAAAATCAAGAGCACAGTTATTTCCAAACCTGTTGCATTTCAGCCATTATTCTGTCTCTTTTAGACTAAATCTAAGACTTTTCTGAATCATTTCTGATTGGAAGAAGCCTCATGAAATTGCCCTGGACTCATTGAAACCAGCCAACAGTGAGCTCACAGTAGAACTGACAGTTTAGAGCAGCTCTGTGGAAGAAGCAGAGTTTATGACTAAAGAGTTTGGACTGTGGAGTGGGGCTGCCTTTCTTTCATCCTAACTGGGCCACTTACTAACTGTGTTACCTTGCACCTTACCATCTCTGTGCCCATTTCCTCATCTGTAAATGAGGATAAATAGAGCACTCAGGTCATAGGATTGTTACAAGGATTAAGTGAGTTAACATGTAAAGTGCTCAGAAAGTTACCATGGTTAAAGTCCAATAAATACAATTGCTTTTAGGATGTTTTTCTATGCTTCATTATCGATGAAATACACGGGGTGTTTCTCTTTTCCTCCTTTTAGACTCACTGAAGATTTTTGTTATATTATGTCACAGTTCTCAGTATATACCTTTGTCATGAAAGTGAAGCCCCAAGTCTCTTTTTTTTTTTTTTCTTTGAGGCAGAGTCTCGCTCCTTCCCCCAGGTTGGAGTGCAGTGGCGCGATCTCGGCTCACTGCAAGCTCTGCCTCCCGGGTTCATGCCATTCTCTTGCCTCAGCCTCCCGAGTAGCTAGGACTACAGGCGCCTGCCACCACGCCCGGCTAATTTTTTTTTGTATTTTTAGTAGAGACGGGGTTTCACCGTGTTAGCCAGGATGGTCTCGATCTCCTGACCTCGTGATCTGCCTGTCTCGGCCTCCCAAAGTGCTGGGATTACAGGCATGAGCCACCATGCCCAGCCGTGAATCCCCAAGTCTCTAGAGCCCACTTGGTTAAGATCAATAGGACACACTCCTTGGAAAATAGTTAATGTCAGTTCTTCTGTGATAATTTGAAGTTATACTTATTTGCCATACACAATAAGGAGTTGACTGGCGTTTGAGAAAGTTACTCCTGTCTTGCCCCTTCCCTCTTCCTCCTCTTCCCTCCTGCCAGCCAGGTGGCACACCTCCTGGATTTCACATTTAATTTGAATTCACTTCTTAAATACAAAATGAGTCAAGGTGTAGGCCAAAATGGACTTTGCTTTGTAATTCCAGCAGTAGTGGGGTTTGGAAAGAGATATTATGGAAGGTGTAATAATACTCTAAATACTTAAAAATACTTATTTTTAAATGCCCTCCAAAGAGCTTGTTGTTATGTGACTTCTCATTGAAAGATTTAAAATCCTAGAACCAGGAATTTATGGTTTACATTGTCTTATAAAAGCACTCTTAACCAGTTTTAATAGATCTTTGTTCTTATGTAGGGTTTTTTTTTTTAATCTTTGCAAGCACTGTACACTTTTTACTCTGAATAGTTTCTCCTCCTTAGGTATTCTTGTTCCAAAAGAATATATATGTTTAAGAAAGAGAAACAAACAAAAACAAAAAAACAAAAAAAACCCACTTTGATCTCTGCCACATGCCGTAGTGATTACTGTGGTGAACAGTTTTTTTGCTCTAATGATTGAGTTATTTTCTGGCCGATATATGGAAGGTTAGTCCATAGCACAAATTAAAGGACAGTTTCAAGACCTCACTGATTTATTTCTTATCTCTTTACTTATTATTTATTTTAACTTTGAGGTAAATTAACAAGTGATATTGTAGAAGAGATACTAGTGATTCCTAGAAATATTTGAAAACATTTCAAATTTTAGAATTACAGTTTACTGGGGAAAATTCTTTAATATTTGGAAATATCTCAAAGTAAAACTGTTGATGCTTTTGCATAAAAACTTCAGAATGTTAAGGTAAGTCATTTTATTTAAAATAACTTTTAAAATACTAATTTAAAATGTTTAAATTCTGTAGTTTCATTTTACATAGACTCCTTTTTAAATGTGAGTGTATCTAGGTTTATTTTGCACCTGATTAAAAACACCATTTTCCTTAACCTGTCAGCAGCTCGGCTGAGCAGTCAGACCGGATTATTCGATATCTTGTCTGACATGAGGACGGCAGTCCAAAGAGAAAGATATCACAAATTGGTGCCACACTTCAATAAATAGAGACATTTTATTTTTCACCAAGCTAATTCAATCCAGTTCAGTTAACTCTTTTTTCCCCATTAAGGACAGATCAAAAAAGGCAGCCATGAATGACTGAGTTCGTCAAGTGTTTGACACGTCAGTGTGTGAATATAAAGCAGACCACAAGGGAGGGGTTCTGCCTTTAGACTTCAGACAATACCCAGTACAAGAGCCTCTCACTCAGATCTGCACTGTGGGGAGCTGGAGAGAGTGGCTCAGATCACTCAGGTAGAATGGGAAGTAGCCGGGCTTGCCGCACTGCAAACCCTTCCCCTTAGAGTTGCGACATTTTCAGCATTCTTAGGAATTCTCAGGCATTTTTGAGCAGCCATTGAGTTGCATTTTAGTTTTATAAGCTGTGATTGGCTACTACATATGGTTAGTTTTGTGATTTTGATAAAATCTTTGTCCTAAATGTTGTTCCTTGAAAACCCTTATTGCAATAAGTATAATACCGATATTTCTGTTTCTTAGTTCAGTGATTTTTTCCTGAGACATATACTGAAATTTGTATAGTCATAATACTGTTCAATCTCAAGGATACAATGAGATGGATTATGCCACCAAATATAAAATGTTTAAATATTTACAAGAAAAGATTAACATTGTCCAAAGCTTACCTCCTGCTCTACGGATTGGGCCTGAGGAATGCGTCATCAGAACCTTTATGGGCTCCTGCCGACCCTGCTGCCTCGCTGCCAGTCTCCTCCGTGTCCTGCAGCGACACTACTGTCTGACAGCCCCAGGCCACGCCATATGTTTGCAGAGCCCTCCTTGTCTAGCCTGCCAAACATATCCTTCATGTCATTTTAAATCCTGCTTTTTCCATGAATTAGGCATTCCTTGACTAATTGCTGTGATAGAACATTTCATTTCTCTATGAGGTCTAAAAATTTAATTATCCGGAGTGCTCTCCCCCACCTCCCACAAGTACATCTCTACCGTGTGCCTTCTTGAAATGCAACATTGTTATTCTCTGATTCATCTATGTGGCCTATATGTTCAGGGCTTCCGCAGTGCAGCCAGTGCTCACTAAGTAAATCTGTATACAGGGAATGGGGCTAGGGCTGTGTATCATAGGAGGACGCAGTCTAGAGCCACACAGCTCCACCAGCTACTAACAGAATGACCACACGCAAGTTACCTAACCTCTCTGTGACTTGTTTCCTTACCTTTAAAATGAAGATGTGGAAGATACTGGGCCGTAAGACTACCGTAAGGATCATGAAGATTAAATGAGTTAATTTTGGTAAAGTGCTTAGAATAGCATCTGGCACACATTAAGTGCTATGTAAAAGTTTATGAAATAATTATTTCATTATTTTATTTATGAAATAATGTTCTATCTGGTAGTCACAGTGCTAAGTGTTTTCCATGTAGTTAACTCATTGAATCTTCACAGGAGTCTTATGTGGTAGATACTGTTGCCATCTCCATTTTACAGATGAGGGAACCAAGACATAATCAAAGTTAGGTAACTTGCTCAAGGTCACAGGGCAGAAACAGGATTTGAATTCACACCACCTGGCTCCAGCCACTTCTCTGCTTGCAAGCACCTTGTATGCTGTCGGGCCTGAGTGTATATCATTTTGTTTTTTAGAATATCCCAGTCAGATGGGAGATGTAGCAGAATGTGTTTCTTGACCTATTAGAAAACATGCTGTGAGATAATGGGGTAGGAGAGATTAATCCCACTGGACCCCCTGTTGGCTACCTTGGATCGAAAATCAGAGAGGATGGAAACCACATGTGTTAGCAGCTGCTACCACGGCACTCTAGGCTAAGGTGGACTATGTGAGAATGCTTTTTGGATTTAGTTTTTGTCTTTTAAGCCACTCCTTTGTGGGCTCTTGATGCTTTGCTGGTATAGTGACTTGAGTCCAGGACCATGCAGAATACCATAAAGATGTTAAGAAAATGTGCCAGCCACACAGGCCTTTAACTGGTGCTTTGTAGGTTTTTAAAACATGTTTCACTCTCTCTACATGCAACCCAGCTCTGCTGAAATACTCAATTTATCCTCAGGAGTTCTAGTTAGAAAAGGCGAACAATCACTTCTGGAAGCTAGTACTTCAAATCTTAGTCATAGCCAGTGAAATCTTGGTTACATGGGAAACTCTCTGGAGGTGGTTGTACATGTGTGCCCTGTACATCTTAGAGCGTAGGATTTGTACACGTAATTACAGATACTTTACCAACATTATATCCAGTGTCCAGACTTTTTGTCACACAATCAAAAGTTTTAAAAGTAAATTTCTTAAATCTTCAAAGGATGCCAGTTATTTTACTGGCAAGGGACAGATAATGAAAACATACATATTTTACAGTTGTTGTTTTGTGCATGGAATAAAAAGGTTCTTAGGACACTAATGCTTTGTGAAGGTTTTAAAGGCTAATACCTTTAAGTGCTGGGTAAAAATTAAACTTGAATAGCACCGATGAAATATTTACTCATCAGATGGCTTTGAAGTTTAGCGTCTTTTGGTTGCAGTCCCATCTAATGGACATGTTTCAAAGAAGAAAATAGTTATAGCATTCAGCTGTGATGTTTTCTTCTCTGCATGGGAGAAATCTGTGTTGTTTTGATTCGTTTCAGTATTTAAATTTTCAAGACTAGCTACTTAGAAATCACATTAACGAGAGAAATGTTTCCCACAATTCTGAATTTATTCTTATTGATAGGGTAATGTTTGAAAGCTGAGTTTTCTAACACTTATGGCATTTTTAAACAGATTGCTTTAACTCTTTTATTCTATAATCTTTCCAACCTAAATTTACTTAATTCTCCCTAGTTTTATATCAGAGGGCCTAAGGTGAGTGACTGTGTGTAAATATAATGGGAAATCTCTCACACAAATTAGTTTTGCAAAATATCTTGCTGGATAAAAGTGCTATGTTTAAAGTTGTTTAGAAACTTCCTATTTCATTCTTCAGTTCTGATAACTAAAAAGTTTTCCTTCAAAGTTTGAAATTGTAATGATGCTTTAAGAATGTTGGGGAAATACTGGATTTTTTTCTACTTCTTGGATTAAATTTCACTCCTCTGAATAATGTAGGGCTTTAGAAATTTGTATTACAATGTTGGTTAAAATTTTTCTATTTTTATGTTTCCTCCCACATGAGTTATGACACTTTTAACATTTGTTTGTGTTTTATTAGTTTTCATATGAGTCCAACAAGCAATGAAGACCTCAGGAAAATCCCGGTAAGTTGCTGAAGGGGTTAGAGGGTTGTCAAAGAGTAAGCTGGTCTTTTTCTCTGGCACACATTTCTAAAAATGCCTTTGTCTTCTTGCCTTCTGCCTCACTTACCTAAGAATTGTAGCTTAGCGTAGTAATTTTAGGAGAAAGAAAGAAAGTAAAATACAATCTTTGCCTTTAATATACAATAGGGTGTGACTCGTATGATCTATGAAAGTTCAAGCAAAATTGGTTATAATTGAAGCCAATTTAGAATATACATATTTTGTTTACAGACTTTTGAAATTAATATGCAAGCTGTATGTCAGGGTCAAATTTGTGGTTATGAAATAAGAGCACGTAGAAAAGACTATTTTTTGTTGTTGTTGGGACAAGGATTGAAGAAAGAATAAAGCTGCTTGTTAACATTCAACAATAGAAAAGCATCCTGGCAGGAGAGCCAGATAACCAGGAAAGTATTTGAAAGAACAAATACTTTAGGACACTTATCTTTCTCGTCAGAACAAAACCAAATATGTTAACAGGATTGGTAGCGACCACCTAAATCAACTCACGTATTTTGCAAGGATTATTCAGATAATCTGAACTTTATTGTAGTATTTGAAGTCCAGTATTTAATCTCTGTTCAGAGTTCCATTGCATCTGCAATCAATTCTAACTATATTAAACGTAGAGAATAAATTACTTTGCCAAAATATGGGCAAACGTTCTTGGTAGAAAACTAAATTCTCACTGAATAACAGAAATAGAGGCTTTATTCCAAGACACTGGTGGTTGCTGTTTCAACCATCTGTCCTTGATGTGTGCGATCCAGATGTATAGTAAGAATTTTTTTAGGCAATCCCATATCACATATCACTATTTTTTAGGATGTGACATGGCTAGAAGAAGCTAAGGTGGGTTTAGGGTTTATTTTCTAAACCATTCTAAATGCAGTTGTTTATCTTTAAAATTGTGGAAACTGTTACAGAAGCACAGGACTTTGTACTGTGTTTTTGCTGTTTTATTTAAACGATTCGTAAGTTTTGATGTTTTATAAATTCTCAAGTCTTTATAATATGGCAGTCTGGCGAGAAATGTGAGAAAATATGAAGTCAGCCTTTGATCAGATAGTAAAATGAATTCTATCAGGCGGTTACTTAATCTCAAACAAAATGCAACATCAAAAAAATCGATTTAATGTGTAGCTATTGTTTATTAAGTAACCTTAATTACAATTTCGATTGCTTGTAAATGTACTTTTCCAAATCTTGTAATTTATTGCTGTAGAAGCATCCTTAGAATTCTTTAAAGAAATAAAATGTGAAAATTGTTTTAGTTAAAGGATTTAAAGGTGATAAAAGAATCCTTGATGTGTGATTATTTTTCTCTGGAATACTAACTATTCTAAATGACAGTTAAAGGATTACTAGGTGTTGTTAATTTACTGCAAGATACAATTAAGAGGAGGAAGCGCATCTTCGTACTGATCATGATTGAAGAAAAGCATTCGAACAATTTTTATGTTGAAGATTATAAGATGTTTGAAGTAATTTACATTAAGTTCTCCAATAATAGCCATCCACCAAGTTATTTTTTCTCCCTCTGGACATAGTATTTTGTAATTAAGTTTGTATGTCTTATATGCTAGTGCCAACACCTGTCTGTGAAAGCACAGTGTTTAAACAGGAGCAGTAGCCAGTTGAAAGGGCAGTGTGAGCTCTTTAAGGCCTAATTAAGAACTGAAAGGGAGATGAAGGGAGTAGGACAAAAGATGTGAAAGTAGCTGAGATGATATTCCCAGAGCAAAGTTCCTCATTAGAACAATAATGAGATGATCAGAGAATGCCAAGCCTTCATTTTTTTTTCTCTCTCTCCTCTAGTTGCCTTGGATGTCAGTTAGTACCCCACCAATATTTGGTTACCAGGACAACCTTTCTTTAAATCTTCAGTTATTTTGAGTCTTGATAATTTGCTTTTGTTTAAATTTAAATATTGTAAAAAATGTACATTTCCTAGTTTAAAAGGCTAGACTGTGTAAAGCAAAAATAGATCACTAGCAGTTCTCAAAATCTTATGCAAAACTGTATTATTTAAAATTCTGGGTTAGAAAACTTCATGTAGTAATTCTAATATTTTCTTACCAGTCCACATCTTCTATGTCTGCATATGGACATTTTTAACAGAGGTGGAGTAGAAATGAGAAAAGGTTGGTTGTAAAAGGGGAAGAGAGAAGAAAAATTTACATTAAATTTCAAAATAAGAAAACATCTTAAAAACATAAGTGCTGTCTGTATGGAGTACTGTAAGAAAAAATATTGAGCACTTTGGAGTAACCATTGTAAGTTGCATTTGGTCTTTGCCAGTTTAGAGAGTTATGAATTTTGCAAGTTTTTGCAAGAATAATCTTTCGAAAAAATAATTTTTATATTTACCTGAGAGTTTTCCTCTCTAAAAAAATAATTTTTGTAATGAGCATATGTTTTAATTTTCTATTGTTTATATTACTTAATCATTATTTTATTTGGAGTTATATCAACAAACAGAAATATATATATATATGTGGAGTATATCAGTCAATTTAAGAATCTCATGCCTAAAATTAGAAGGTTTACATTGTTTTCAAATATCAGATAAAATCTGGAACTCAGCATGAAACTGTTTTTAATTATTTTATATTCTTTTCCAGAATATAATTCATAGTACATATGTTTCTAAGATGTTTTCCTGCCTAGAAACTTGATGCTAAAATTTGAGGTGAAATTTTCACATAAAAGGACAAACGGAAAATTTATTGAAAAGGCCAGAAATGTATTTCCAGGAAATCTGTCTACACATTAGTGTTAGATTGTTGTAAGGAAAAAAAAAATAATCCAAATAACATATCTGTGTATTCTAGAGTATGGCTATAAAGTATGACCAGTAGTCTGAAATAATAATTGATTATTTTGAAAGATTAAACTATTAATTTATATCATGGCTTTAATTTATATCAAAACACAAATTTTTGAAACGTTTTTCATCTTCAGTGTCTTTAGAGAAATGTTACAAAAAATTTTTAACTACATTAACTGGTAATAGTGTTAAATATAACAGTGCACTTTTATTTTAACTATTTCATAGCTTAATTAGTTTGGAGAAATCAGTTTATATATGTGTAATTTTATTAAGATTAGAGAGACTTGAATAGATGCTTTTATTATGTTAAATAAAGAAAAAGCATAAAGCAGTCAACTAATCAGTAATGAATCCCATTTAGCTTCCTTTCATTAATCCCTGCAATTCTCACAAGAACATGAATTTCTCAGTAAATGTTTTATTAGAAAAGTGAAATCACATTAGTTAGAGTTTATTAGTTTTTAAAGTGGGGTTTAGAAAAATCACTTGGTATACCAGACAATTTTAGAGTTGAAAGGGACCATGGAGAACATCTCATCTATCAGATAAGGAAAGTGAGACCCAAGTTGCTTTCTCTCTCAAATTTATGCAGAATTACTCGAGTTGAAGTAAGACACTTTAGCTTATTTTTAAGAAATTTCAAAAGTATACCGAACTCTACACTATGTCTTCTCTTTACTGTAGAAAACGGCTTAACATAATCTTTTATAAGAATGTAATTAATACTTATGTATCTCCAAACTATATATTATGACCAATTAAACTAGTAACTACGTGCATGAGAGTGTGTGTGTGTGTGTGCGCATGTGTGTAGACTTATAAAAGATTAATTGATCTGAGAGAGGAGGGAGAAGTAAAACAACACTTATCTCTAGAATTGTCCTTTAATGGTTTTAGAACAATATTTGAAATGTTTTTAAGGATGAAGGAAATATGACTGAAACTTACATCTGTTTCCAGTTTCTAATGCTAAAATAAACTAAGTTGTTTTAGACATATTTTATAGAATTTAAACTCACTTCCCTTTAATATCCTCTCTATTCATTCTTGCTAACTCTGGTCTTTCATATTTCAATAGCCCTATACCTAATCTTAGCCCCTCCAAATGATTCCACTGTTGCCATTTTACTTTTCCTGGAACATAGCTTTAATCATATCCTTTCTCTGTTTAGAAACCTTCAGTGGCTTCCTATTTTCCATAGCAAAAGTCTAAAAATTCTTTATACTACCATTCAGCATTCTTGGTGGTCTATTTCAAACCTTCCATTTCGGCCCCTGTCTGCTCGCTGTCCTGTACAGTATTTTCCAGCCATGCTCTACAGAGTACCTGTTATTGGATTACCTGTTGGCCACTATGCCTTGAGCCTTGTTTCCTTCTTTGAACAAGCAGAGTTCACTGCTTGAAATGCCCCATTACGCATTTCTGCCTGCAAACTCTTGAAGGCCTAGCGCAAGCTGTATCTTCTCCACAAAGCCTGAGAGATTCTATGAAATTGGAAAAGTTTTTCAGTCCTGAATGTTTTCACTTATCCTGGAGAAGTGGGTGTGCTTCAATGACCCAAGCATCAAATTGGTATC
Organism: Homo sapiens; assembly: GCF_000001405.40. NCBI lineage: Eukaryota > Metazoa > Chordata > Mammalia > Primates > Hominidae > Homo > Homo sapiens. The sequence continues at coordinate 118,010,614 of NC_000010.11, read as the reverse complement.
TGTACTCTAGCTTCTCTTTCTCTGGTCTGGTAAAGTCCTGGTTCCTTGGGCTGAGAGGCTGGGGAAGTGGTGAGGGCCAGTGAAAAGTTAAACTTTGGCTTTTCTCATGAACACCCCCAAATACATAGCACTATTAAAGTAGATCCTGAAAACAGGGAAGGACAGTTTAATTCTTATTGGGGGTGGGGGTCATTCTGCATTCACCAGTCCCCATTCCCCATCCTCCACTGAATAGATTAGATAGTATTCCTTAACAGCAAGAAAACCAATTTCCTCAATATTTTAGTTAAGTTTCCTTAAAGCCAAATGGAAATGTTTTAAAAGATAGTGATGAAAATTATTTTAAATTGTTGGGCTTAATGAGAGAACTATGATTTAAAAAGAATAAAAAATTGCTTAGTTGTAATTGGGCATTATGTTTTACAGAATGAAAACTCTTAATGCTATACACTATAAATAAAAGATTATGTTACAGGGCCTTGATTAAATTCCTGAGAAATATTTTTCTTTCACTTTTGATATAACATTAATATTAGAATGCTTTGTAATAACAGTGAATTAATAAGTGTCTTTTAAAAAAGATTTTTGGTTATATTTATGCTTTTGCCTAAAAAGAATTTTTGTCAATAGAATAAAGTTAAGTAAATAGATGAAATGGGAGAGAATGCAAATATACTAACCGTAGTATTAATATGGTTGAACTCTTGAGTTTCCTGATAACCAGGGTCAAAAAGGGAAAGAAGATAAATTAGATATTATTATAGGAGAAAGAAATAGACCAGTTACTCAGGGGAGGAAAAGTTCTGCCTGTTTCTAAATTAAAACAGAAGTTACTCACATGGGGCTTCCTGTAAGGATAATCTTTGATTTAATTCCGAGTGCTTCCATTTTCATAGCAAATTAGAAAAGATTTTTGCTGTAACCATCTTCACTAAGAAGCCAAACATATAACATTAAATCACAGTTCAGTGGAAGCAGTTTCATAAGGACACAAGTCCAAGTGTATAGTTTTCAGTTACTTCTTACAGTTCCTCTGAGTTAACTTTTAGAAATCTTTAGTTTTCATCTATTTTAGTTGTATTTATTATAGAATATTTCATCTCTTAATGTAATCTTACATGATATAACCAGTCTCAGATATTAGGAAATTGCCCACAATGTTAGAAAGGGTTTTAGGATTTAGAGTTATAGTCAAAACTTTGGTGCATCTGCCCTAGTTCTTGCCTCAGGACTGGCTAGCCAATTTGTGAACTGTCACATTCACTTTAAGCAAGGCTAGCGAAAAACTTCATCAGGGTTTGAAAAACAAAAAGTCGAAGTTCCAGGTAATTCTTAATGTTTGTCCCAGATGTTATATCTATGAAAGTGACAGTCTTTATCCTGTTCTAGGACAGCAACCCCTTTGATGCCACTGCAGGGTATCGTAGTCTGACCTATGAAGAGGTTCTACAGGAGCTGGTGAAACACAAAGAACTCCTTAGGAGGAAAGACACCCACATCCGGGAACTCGAGGACTACATCGACAACCTCCTTGTAAGGGTAATGGAAGAAACGCCCAGTATTCTCAGAGTGCCGTATGAACCATCCAGGAAAGCTGGCAAATTCTCTAACAGTTAATAAAGCCAATTGTATTGTATTGATAATTGGACAAAGAGAGAGAAAGAAAGAAGGAAGGAAGGAAAAACTTGTTACTGAAAGAGACTACACTATCAGGTTTCATTACATATTCTCCTTTATTGTGAAGAGTAGTTTTACCTGTAAATATTAGCAGGGACTATCAAGAGTGACCTTTGAAGCAAGCTAAATCATTTAAATGTTTAAATTGAAAATGGGCCAGATTCTCAATGAATAAGTGGTTCCTTAGGACTCACTCAGGTGCTGGTACTGACCCACTAATCTGCCATAGGCCCAGAAATATCTTCAGAAGTACGTGAGTTGTTCCTCAGGAATAGATTTTTCATAAAGCAGAATTGATCCTGTGGCTGGTTTCTCAGAAATCAGTTTGTAGAAATATTTAGCTTCAGGAATACTGCTCGTTATAAACACTACTAAAAAAACAGTTTATATTTTATATACACATATGTACATGAATATATATATATTCATGTATCTTGTATATAAAATATAGGCATATACCTCATATATACATGTGTTTTTAGAACATTTAGAAACAATTGATTGCCTCTAAAGTTAGGCTACCAATTTCTTGATTTGAAAATGTGTGTGCTCTATTGATGCAAGACAAGTCATCCTTCCTACTGTCATGGTTTGTTATAGAGAAGCTGCTTCAAATCACTCTTGACTACATGGACCTTGGTTTCAAAGTGAGCTGCTATATATTATTCTAGCATCAAAGTTTTTCTCTTTCCCCAAAAGTGATGATCTCAAGTCCTTTTTTAAAGAATGACAAATTTTAGGAGACTTCATTAACTTCATAACAGCATGAATTTATTTGAATTAATTAACATTTGAGTTTGTTTAAGGTATAAGCAGAAGATAAGCTAATATAGCTTGTTTTGTTGAAATTCTGCATGCCTTTAAATCACTAGCAAAGCAAATATTATAAAGTTATATCTGAAAATAATTGTGGGAAGTATGTGATTGCCTGGTGTGTCTGATAACCCAAAGCAGCGGGCAGATTCCAGGAATGAAGAATTAGGCTTGGTTTCAGGTTACATAAATAATAGAGCAGATGGTTGCCTTTGGGTCTTGAACCAAAATAAGACTTACTAAAGGAAGAGTGAGTTTTTAGAAGAGAACTTTACGAGCGTGACATTATGCATTACTCCACATCCACCCTTTAAGAATTGATTTATTACAAAATTATGTTCTATTTTAAAGTCCACTCCCCCAAAATACTGATTTCTTCCATGGATTATTTTTATATGATTTGTACAAATTTTTTCTGAAATTTAAATTGACAAGCAATGTTATAAAAATATTGCTAATCTTCTGCTTATTTTTCAGCCTTTAAAGTCTGAAATACTATAAAACACTGAGAGTATCTATGTCTTTCTGAATTTAAAATGAAAATTCATGTCCATATGGAGACTTACATATTCCCCAATCTTTCCATGAATTGCATTTTTTTCTAATACTTATCTCTGTTAAGACTCCATTGAAAGTTAAACAAAAAGCCGATATAATAGTTTGGGTTTTTTTTTTTTGCTTATTTTAGTATTTTGAATCAGAGAATACTTGGCCAAGCTCGTATTTGTAAACTAAAACCCCTTGTTATTTGTATCTTCTGCATTTCAGTTTTACTGTAAGAACATACATTTTGAAATTATGAACATTTTTTTCATAAAAATTAAATGCTTTAAGAAATGGAGAAGGAAAAATAGCTTTTATCAATTTTTTTCTCCTCAAGATTCTGTAATAAACCTCAAAGTCTGGTGTAGAATGGTATTTTCCCGTTTGAGGTCTTGGTAGTTTTTTTTTTTTTTTTAAACATGGTGCCACTTTTAATTAACTAAATGTTACAAAATTCTCAGCATTTGTTTTTGTCTGGTAGTATTATTGAGTCTTTTCATACACTTCTTAAAATGTGAAAATCTATGTTTTCAGTATTATGACAGTATCTGCAGATACTATAATAATATGCTTTGGCCAAATTTGCTGTTTATAGAGTGAACCAAGATGTCAGTTTTGTATTGGGGATATGTTTTACATAAATAGAACTCATTTAAAAGTATGGTTCAAGTACTGCTCTTCTTTTTATGGGGAAATTGATTTTTAAGGAGCGATTCTTTTCCTATATAAAAGCTATTGAGGCTTAGCTTTATTCATACATGAGTGATTTGGTTATAACTCAATCAAAATTTTTATCTTTAAATCTGAGACAAGTATTATATTTAAAACTAGATCTATTAATACATTCATCACTGCCTGAAAATTTGCTGTTCTAATGTTTGTGAATTTTCACTCATTACCTAGAGTAAACTTATTGCATATTTTCATAATCAGTCAAAATAATAAAACTAAAAACAAAAAGTAAAAATTAGTTCCCAAGTAAATATATCAGTGTTTCCTGTGTTTGGGCAGAAGTGCAAAGTAGTTTTAATTTCTCACGTTGTAGAAAAAGAGGCCAAAAAGGTCACCTTAGTTTATTTTTCCAAAACATAACTTTAGGTATTCTAATGTATTTTGTTAGTTGCTTAGAAATGGAAATAAAATATATGTGCTTATTAAATAATGCACAGTACACTAGATTATAGAGTTTATTTTTGCTTTTATGCTTTAAAGAATGCATGCCCAAAACACTACTACCAACAAGAGGATTTTTTAAAATCACAGAATTGATATTTATCTCAAGACTATCTTAAGCTAATGTACTTCTGTTACATAATTAAACTATTTCTGCTATTATTTTTAAAGCAGTATTATTTTATAACCAATTCTAAAATTCAGCTTTAAAAATATTGAACATACCTTCCTACCACTTACGCTTCAAGTTTCATTTATTGAATACCAGGGTCATATCTTAGAATTGTATATAAAACAACATGTAACCCATTCATGAAAAACGTTTTTAAGTATTGCTTTTTGCTGCTATGTTCTGCATTGAGCCTAGTTTTGCCATTGTCCCCTGAATGTAGTATTATCTATAGATTATACATAACTACATCTATTGCTTTTGGTGGTAAATCAAGATTTAGTTGTAATTTTCCAGCTGTGAAAATGTTGCCTTGTATTTAAAAGGGTTTCATGAATGGAAACCTAAGTAAAACTAAGCTCATTAGTGACAGACTTGTTTTCTTCTTGTTATTCCTCCAGCAACTCCCTCACCACCACGCCTCCCTGCCTACCATCCCCGGAAGGGTGCTTATTCTTTAACAAAGAGAATCTAAAAAAAAAAACAAAAAACTGTTGTCTAATATATCTACAGTAAATGTTACACTAGAGCTTTTATTTTCCTCTGTAGCTTTTCAGAAGAAGCAATTTACCTTGGATTTGTAAATCAAGCTGAAACTTTTTTGATGTTCATGTACTCATATGTCTTGTAGGTGGTAGGTGTCACTTGTGTGTATGTGTAAGTGAAGTATGATGCATGCTCATTCACTTGGTCCCTTTGAAATAAGGGAAAGGATCACAGTGCTGCTGGGCCATGATGGTATGTAGAAGGGTCTGTCAGCACACATGGAAAGCCCCCATTTGCACAGATGTAGAACTTTAATAATCCAGATGCAATCATTGGAAGTATTTAATATGCAATTGGTAGCACCTTAGCTAATTAATCTGCATATGAAGCATTTTCTGATATATTTAATAAGAGGTATAGAAGCTCTTCAAGCATTAAAATAGAGTTGATGTTTCATTCCATTTGTTTTATCCATCAAAAAATGCACTCTCACAGTGGAGTTGAAGTCTAATACATGATACATGTGGGCCTGTTAGTCTTCGAAGCTTCCAGATGGTTTGTGTTTTGAGGTACAAAAAAATGCTGCAGATCTAGAAATGCATATATTTAGCGGGTATTTGAAAGATAGAAGCATTATTTATAACTGAAGAGTATAACACTTATCTTCTTAAGTAAATGCTCTCATAACTTGTATACATTTTTGCAGGTACAAATTCAAAAGTATGTAAGCATTGTATAATGTGACAATTGTATAATTTATGTAATCTGATGCATGAATCAGAATTTTTATATAATATATGATTATTGACTTATAGTTGATTAAAGTGTTTAAACTTAATTCAGTTGTCAACATTTATTACAGATACAGCGGTGTTACCATAATGGATTTATATATGAGTCCTCCTTGTTTTTTAATAAATACCTAGGATGCCTCTTATTTGGTGTATTGTAGCACATATTCTGTAAGACCTACAAACTTATTTTACTATGAAGATAGTTCTGAAAAGTCATTCAAAAGAGTAGTTTTTAAGTACAAGTGAACATTCTTCAACAAATGTGTGGATGCCCTCTACATATAAGACATCCCCTCATAGGGATGGAGCTTACGATTTAGTAGAAATGATATTTGAGTATTTATATATAGGCTAAGGTCTCTGCTGAGTACTTCCTATTTATGCTTTATTTTATTTCTCACAACAACCCTGTAAGGTAGGGAATGCACAAGCTTTCAGAGGAAATGTAAGAAAACCTTTTGTGGTACTGAAGAAAGTAGAATAGGGTTGGTACAGCCGGTAGCATTTTTCACCACTTCTTATCCTCCAGCATCTACCAGAAGTCATTAATCAGTCACCACTTCCAGTCCCCTCAACACAACAGTCTAAGTGCATGCCCCTCCATCCGAGGTATGGGTACATTTTTATGGCAGTGTATTAGGCAGTTGTATTCTAGATTATGGGACATGAACCATATGTAGTCTTAGACATAAATCATACATATTTGGCACAAGGGATTTCTCAGCAGACCAGAACGCCTTTCTGTTCTGGAATTGTAGTCCCTTCTGGAGGCCCGTTGAACCTGTCCCTCTACTTCTCCCAGCACATCTCCTTTAGATTCTTCTTTCCACCTGCCCACAGCATGCACGTTTCTTTTTCCTTACTCTGCTGAGGCAAAAATATTTGGAGTAATTTGGAAGTGGAGAGCTGTTATGAGTCTGTTAAGGTGGCCATTTTTCATGTAGGGCTTGTGACCTAAATGCCCAACATTTGACATTTTTCCTCAGATAATTTTGCATGATACCACAACTTCATACTTTTATATTTTTATGATTATACAGTTAATACTTATAAGCAATATTTAATTTTGTATTTATGTACCTATAATTACATGAACTAAAAGTGCTTAATTTTGATCTTACAGTCCTCACACCCTAAAACTTGATTCTTAAATGTTCAGTGGTTTCATCATTTGGCATACTGAAAAGCGAAATTTATGCTAGGAAGCACAAAATCAAATTTCTCTGTCAGAGGATTTCAATTAATGGTGTGTTGTGTTCAGATGTAAGGTATGGTATGGTTGGTCACTAACATTAGTACCAAAGTTTGCGCGTAATTTTTTAAAATTAGAACAATGTAAAGATTATTGCTATGATAGTGTTACATTCTGTTATGCTCTGGCAAATGATGGAAAAGTGTGTTGAGAGTGAGACTGGGGGTTATGTGCAGTTCCCAGCAAACTTTCTCATTTGTGCTGCAACCCTTAGTGCAGGAATTGCAAACTCAAACATTTACAGAGCCAGGAAGGTACAGTGGATGATAGGGCAGGTGGAGTGGAAAAGAATAGGGATTACTGAGGACAGTGGCAATCTGGAGAAGCTCATTTTTTTTCCACTAAAAAGGAGCAACAGCTGTTCAGCTCCAGCTCATTGTGGCCATTCGGAAATGAATGTAAGTCCAAGATTGCTAAACCTGATCTTTCTAGAGAAACTGAAAGTAATACAGATTTTGTGAAATATGATTTCCAAATGTTGGCAGTTAACTCATTTTCTTTTTAACCAAAAAAATTTAAGGGCCACCTGTTTGCAATCTCTTTTTTTTTTTTTTTTTTTTTTTTTGAGATGGAGTTTTGCTCTTGTCGCCCAGGCTGGAGTGCTGTGGCTCCGTCTCGGCTCACTACAACTTCCACCTCCCAGGTTCAAGCGATTCTTCTGCCTCAGCCTCCTGAGTAGCTGGGATTACAGGCGCCCACCACCACACCTGGCTAATTTTTGTATTTTTGGTAGAGACAGGATTTGACCATGTTGGCCAGGCTGGTCTCGAACTCCTTACTCAAGTGACCCATCCGCCTCAGCCTCCCAAAGTGCTGGGGATTACGTGAGTCACCACACACGGCCTGCAGTCTCTTCTTAGTGAGTCAATATTTCTGATGTAACATCAGTTACCATTGTCATCATGGTAAGAACAGTTTGGAGGAGGGTTGTCGTTTACTTCCTCCCCAAGTGATTTTGTGTTTAATCAAAAACTGGGTTGGCTGAGGAGCATGTGGGGTGTGTGTAATATGTTAGACTGAGAACAACCCGCCCAGGACTTCAGGGATGATGGGGGGTGGTGTTGAGGGAGGAAATAGAGAGTAACTACTCAATGGTTATAAAATTTCACTTAGCACCATGAGTAAATTCTAGAGATCTGCGGAACAGCATTATGCCTGTAGTTAACAATACCATATTAGACACTTAAAAATTTGTCAAGAGGGTAGATCTCATGCTAAATGTTATTACCACAATTTTTAAAAATGTAATTTAAAAAAGACTTTCTCCAGTATACTTGTCTCTGAGCCTGACTACAGTGACTTTTCAGAGAACAGTGCAGGTAACCAGAGGTCCAGTCTGAGGGTCACTGCTTCTAATGTTTAAAGCGTTTTCAAGTGTTATCCTGGGATCTGTCACATACTCTTTTGTGGTAGTTTTGACTTTTCAATATCTTACTTATGATGATCTTGTCTTTTTGGTAAAAATTGTATAAAAATTACTGGTGTCCCAAAGATCACTGCACGTCTGTTGTGCTAAGGTCAAATCACAGCTATTGTATGACAATTTTCAGTAATAGAAAGTGAATAGATTTCCATGTGACTTTTAGGGCATTAAATACATATTTCAATTAAAATATAATGGCCACTGATTTCATAGTTTAATCTTTACATCGGCTATTTAAAATTCACTCATGCTTTTTGATCCCAGCCCTGACACTGGTGCTCACAGTGTCATCCCCAGGGCAGCAATGTCGACGTCACCTGGAAACTTGTTAGAATACAAATTCTCAGGCCCTACCCAGACCTACTGAATCAGAAACGCTGAGGGTAGGACCCAAAAAGTCATTTTCACAAGCTCTCCCAGGTGGATCGAATGCATATTCAGATTTGAGAACCATTGAGATAGGGACCCTGTCCACTCTTTTCCCCCCATAGTTTAATGTAGTTTGGAGAGAATACTGTTTAGGGTTTTTTTTTTTTTTTTTGGCTTAATGTAACTTTCCTTGCCAATTTGTTTATAAACTGATTTTTAAAAAGTTTTTTGATGAATATATTTTAAAGAAAAACCTCATGTATGATGAAACTTCATATACGTAGAATGTTCATAAGATAAGTACAATGCCCTATGCAGAGTAGATACATGATAAATATTGTTGATTATTGATATATGTTTTGTTTGTGCAATAAGATTTGGTACTGTGATTGAGAAGAAAAAAATACACAATGGGCCTTAATGTAAAAGTGCCAAAATAGTCTTCCAATTGGTCTGACTTGACTATTCAAAGTTTGGTTAAGGAGGGCATCTTTCTCAACCTCACAGAGGCCGTAAATAACGTAAAAGATACTAGTGTAGAAAAGGAAATCAAGAATGCAGCCACACAGGGAGTGTGAGAGAATAGTTTTCAATGTATGCCTGAAATTGTGTAATGGGCCTTAAGATAACAAATGAAGCCCACTTGTGACTTTAGGTGAGAGGTTTTATTTAATGCATACTTTCTAGTTTTTTTTTTTTTTTTTTTTTGAGATGAAGTTTCACTCTGTCGCCAAGGCTGGAGTGCGATGGCGCGATCTCAGCTTGCTGCAGCCTACACCTCCTGGGTTCAAACAATTCTCTTCCCTCAGCCTCCTGAATAGGTGGGATTACAGGCCTGTGCCACCATGCACGGCTAATTTTTGTATTTTTAGTAGAGGCAGGGTGTAACCATGTTGGCCAGGCTGGTCTTGAACTCAAGTGATCCACCTGCCTCAGCCTCCCATCAAATAACTTGTTTATTAAAAAGCTTATGTTCTTTTCACAGTCAAAACGGGGTTGAGGTTTTGTTTCTAGGGAGATCTAGAATGAAATTGGAAAGTCTTGTTAGGTCTTGCATCAAATATTAGAAACCCTAAATGATTAGAAAAAGATCATTATGCATTCAGTTAAATAACGTAATTTAAAATAAGGGTGGGGTGAAAGAAAACATCCAAAAGGGAGAGTATTTTATTGGTTTTTATTCCTCAGTGGACTAATGTCTGAAACACTGACACTATGAAATGACTTCAAAGGTATCTAAACAAGGCAGAAATTGTTGCGTTTGATTTGTTTTTGTGTTTATTTGTTGCTTGTTTTAATCATACAAACCCTCAATGAAAACTTCAGTGCTAAACATTAGGTTAGCCTGTGGTACAAACTTAGTATTAGGAAACTAGAGAGCACCGATAATTAAAACCATAGCTAATTCGGAATCCTCAATTTGAACCTATAGTTTCAACCTCTTTCATCAAAATTTTGCTACCGATAATCTAAACAGTAACAAGTTGGTTTATGAGTTTCATCTCCTTTCCTAGTTTTGCAGGCAAGGGGGAAAATGGCAGAGAAAACTGGGAGTTGGGTGGAGAAGGGAAACGGTAGGCCTGGTTCACTGGGAAACTGGTTGTCAACCTCAGATTAATTTAGGTTATAAGAGACCATACAGGACAAACACCTCTTTTAAAGAAATAATTCATTTGTCATGACCAGTTGACTGATCCAGTAGTTGCATTTAATGTTTTTATGTTTACATTGAAGATTTTTTCACTAATGTACTGTTATTGAACATCTTTCATGAATTATAAGCTGTAAAATATTTTAATCCTTGACTCATTTGTTTACCAAGCTATTCATTTAATGCTATATAATATGTAGCACTTGAGACCATCTGTTAGGGAGTATTTGAATAATACGCACACTGTGAAGATATGCACAGCAAATAAAGCACAAAACACATGAAATATTCAGGAGGAGTTTGCGATGAAGACAATCCATGTATTTTAATTTTTTAAAATGTCTGAAATCTAGCAGTAAGTCTTTCCAAAAATGAAGCTCTCTTCTTATTCTGGGCAAGTTGCTATATTGAGATGGCATTAAGGTGTCATCCTAACTTTAAGTGAGCAGATTTTACATTAAAATATTGGAATTAATGCCAATTAGAATTGTGCTTCTAAGAGCTCTTCATTAAATGGGACAAGGTATCACAGAGTAACTGCAGCAGTCATGTGGGAATCACAACAAGCATTCTGTTTTGTGAAGCAAGCCAAAGAGGAAGGCTGTGATTAGGGGATGACTTGGGTGTCCTGGGGTCATCCTTGGAGGCAAGTATTTGAGGGGAGCACCAGGTTTCATTTGTAGTCTTGGAAATACTAAGTTCGGTGCAGTGATTGGGCTACAGAATCCTAGGTATTGAAAGGTCCTTTAATCCCATTGGAGGCTGAGGCTATGTATTTCTCTCCTCTGACTTGGTGGAGGGTCAAGAGGAGGTTAACATCATGCGCAGGTCTCCCAAAGCAAGGGACCTTCTGGAAGATCAAAAATTGAGGTTTCCTTAGTCAGCTGCATATAGACACCTGGATTCTTAGACCTATCCATCTCTCAGCCCTAACTGATTCTAAGGAGCCTCACTCACCCCTGGCAGACGTGTTGTCCAGGGTTACACCACTTGATATGCTATAGCCTGTCATGATGCCTCCTGTGAGAATGGACCAGGATGGTGTATACATGGGACAAAATGTGGTTCCCGCCAGACTAGGGGGGATGTCTGGCCAATTACAGTTCCCAATCCTAGTATTCACTCTTTAGCAGTGGCTTCCCTAACTGCTTTCAGCTCTGGTGTTTTGATGCCCAAACCAGACCCCCTTGGAATTAAAAACAGTCTACTTTTTTAGTTTTCGTTACTGGTCTCACAATAGCAGAGCGATGCCACTCGTGGGTGTCCCTCAAGCTCCCAGAGCACATCCCTTTGTTAAAAGCCATAAAAAGACCACAGCAGCGAACCAGGCCTTAATTTCTGATGAGCTGTTCCGTATATATCACTGTTATTAGGATACTAGCATATTATTTCAACCTTTCATCTTGTCTTTACTCTTTCAGCTGTGTTACGGTCTCCATAATATTTGTTATTATCCACTAATTATTCCTCTCTCTTGATTCCCACAGACCGGCCAATCATTTTATAAATGCCTTTCAGTTGTCTTTACACTTAGTTCTTACTTATTGGCAAATTGATGCATTAAATGGGCCTCACTTGTTACTCTTCAGTTTTGTGTTTGGCATTCCCTAGTAACTAAATGAATTTCAGTGTGCATCTCTAAATGGTGAATATACTCCTACCTTTATTATCTTCACACTCATATTTCCCTTTGTCCTGACTCATTTATTTCGTCATTTTAATTTGTATGCATTTTTGTAAATTCCTCAAATCTTTTGTGGGATGGGCCATCTTATGGATAAATGTTTTAAATCTGGCATTGCTTCCAATCCTGCTTATTCCATTCCATCAAACTTGCATCTGATCTTTGTTGACCTCCAGCAAACTCCCTTGTGCTTTTTTTTTTCCTTGCTTCTGGGTCTAATAGTTATTTTTTAAAAAATAGACTAAGAATTCCTTGAGCCTCTAGTCATTGTGACCCCAAGATGGACACTTAGCATAGTGCCTGTAATATTGTTGGTACTCAATAAGTATTTGTTGTATAAGTGATCAAATTATTTTTATCAAGATCTATATGAAAATGTATTGTAAACGATGTTATCCTATAAAGGAACCCCCTTTGAAGTGATTAAAAATAGGGGTTTTTAACAGGCAGTGGGAGTTGGCACTAGAGGACAAATGATTGCTACAGAAAACATTGCAGAGTGAACTGGGAAAAAGCAAAAATAAATGTTCATCTCAAATCATAGGCAGTCTACCAAAATTTGATGAGTATCCTCCATCAACTTCTTCATTCATTCCTTCCTTCATTTTACTGAGGACTTGTCATATCCTCCTGCAGATATTTGTTTACTTGTTCATTTGTACACATTCTGAGCAGAACAAAATATCTGCTTACTAATGCTTCCCTACTGCTTATAGGTCACATGTCACATTCTAGGTCCTCAGTAATGCGTCTTAGGGAAAGGAGTGGAGGGAAGAGCTTAGAGGCTGATTCTTTGAAACACAGTGTAAGAAGGTTTTACTTTTTTGTTGTATGTGATTTGGATGGCAGCATGCTGAGATTTTAATTATCTGTACTTTAAAATATTGCAACCATGGTTATTATAAAACACTTCCCATTGTCCTTGATAAAGGGAGGAGTTTCCATTCTAGTTTGACTTACATTTGTAATTAATGAGAAAGAAAGAAACCTTGAGTGGTCCCTAATTGAAACAGGGTGTACATTGATCCACTTTTGTTTAGGAGTCTTATAGAAACTCTAGACATAAAAATAGTTTTCTTAATTATATCATGATCCAAAAATAAATATATTATTTTGATGAGAACATTAAGCAAGATAGGCTTTTCCACCCGAAGTCCTTTATTTAATATACATGTCTTTCATTGAACAGTCTGCAAGAATGAGCCCAGAATAAAATCTCAGTGCAGCATGCAAAGTAAATGTCATCTTGAGTGTTAATGGATTGATCAACAGTTGCTGCTGTGTTCTGGAAATTGATGAGATTTCATTTGGGCTCTCATTCATCCATCAATCCAATCCACCATCCATACATACATCCTTCCTTCCTTCTACTCAACAAATATATATTGAACATCTGCTATGTGCAAAACACTATTTTAAAACACTGCTGGTACAGAGTTGAATAAGATGTGCAAAAACGTGCCATGATTAATGATGTCTACCAAGTGCTCATGAAGTTCATGCTTCCCCCCAGCCCATTTTTTTTGAGGAGCAATTTTGAATCTTTTAAGGCCTGTTCAAGTTAAAGTGACCAATTAAGTACTTGAGTTAATCATAGCAGCAGCAACTCACAGAACTTGAGTGTTATGTTCTGTGAGGATGAAACTTCATATCATCTCACCAATGCTGATCTTAGACGATGAGGTAATCTAGATGCACCCTGTAGCATGAAGAACTAATGATGAGCTCACATGAATTTTTTTCATGACTCTCTTAGTTAACCCATGGGTTTAATTTTGGAAAAAAAAATGTAGGTGAAATATGGGAGATGTTTCTAAGCAAGATTGAAAGAATGCTGAATTATCTTTACTACAGGGACAATTCTTTAATAATTTAAGTAATAATGTAAATGGACTGTTGTGATCCTTTTCTGTATTGCAGAAAACTCACTACCATTCTTCACTTGGAATTGCAGTCATATAATTTAGAAATGAAACATGAAGTAAATTTTATTTAAGAAATCTGCATCAACGTTTATAACACATGAATTCTTTGGAGAAAAATAAGTACCAGATTGCTGAATGGATTGAGAATTGTATGTAAGAGGACGTTTTCAGTAGCTTCTAAATTGAATAATACTAGCCGAAAATTTTTCATACCCAAAACCTAATGATGGCTGATTTAGCCTTTTTTTAATTGAGAACAATTACCTTCATAAGATAAAATACACTTACCATCAAAAACAAACATTGAATCATGGGGAAAGATGTATCAATAAAAAATCTTGAGGCAACTAAATGCTATCTGGAAAAAATATAAATTCATATCCATACCTCAGTCATTCCAGCAAAAGAGATTCAATATGGATTAAAAATTTAAACATAAAAATGACAAGTACCAAATAAAATGTTGGATTTTTTGTTGTTTTGTTTCTTAATAATCTCAGAATAGAGAAGACCTGTCCATTCACATCATAAAACCTAAATTCTGTAGAGAAAAATATTGATATAGTTGACAATATAAAGTTTTTTAAATGTTTGAACAACAAAAAAAACTATAAACAAAGACAAAGGCAAATGACAAAATGGGGAAAAGATTACAACACATATGACAGACAAGGTCTAATTTTTCCATTATATCAAAAGCCTTCATGTACTAATAAAGAGACAAACCCTTAGGAAAATATTCAAAAGACAAAAAGGCAAAAGAAGAAGCCAAATAACCTTGCAAATATTTGCAAATTAGAAAAAACAAAGAAGATGCCACATTTCACCCATCAATCATGTTAATACACAGCTTTGCCTGGAGATAGGGACGTGGGCATTTTTAATACATCGTTTGGAATGTAAATTGAGACAAGCTCTTTGGAGGGCAATTTTACAATGTTACTAATATTTTAAGTGCATACTTTTGACCCAGCAATTTTATTCTAGGAATTTGTCCTACAAATATTTGGGACATGTATACAAACATACACTTGCAGCATTGTTGATAATAAAAAATTGGAAATAAGCAACTAGTCAAACGGTTTTTGGTATCCAATTGAATACTATGCAGCAAGTAAAAAGCATGAGATCTGTATTGCTGATGTGCCAAAATACCCAAGATACATTGTTAAGGGGGAAAGAAAAGTCAAAGAAAACTATGTGGAGAGCATTTCAGCAATTTACATATTAAAATATGTGGATATATTGATGTGTTTGCTGGAACATTCCTGGAAGAATACATAAGACCAATAGTGATTATTTCTGAAGAATAGGACTAGGTTTTTGCATAGGAGACAGATTAACTTTTCATAAACCTCTATGGTCTGTTTTAGTTTTTCGTATGCATGTGCCATTTTTAGAATTAAAGATACATCTTTTGATCAATTTCAGGACTGTTTGTCTAGTTATTATCCGGTTTTAGGCTTTAGCCATTCTTTCTGTATATAATTTAGTTCTGTATTTGGAAAATAATATGTATAGAGCTTCAAGTAAACCACTGCCCTGCAAAGGTGAGTGGTTCACCATCTGGTCAAGAACAGGAGTCAGGTTCCTCCATTTTCAAAACTGTCAGCTTTCTCACTGGAACTTCTGGCATCCAGAACCCCGGGGGTCACCCATCCAGCCCAGCACAGAATCCCTTCGAGCCAGGCTTTCCATGAAGACTGATGCTGCCTCTGCTGGGGAACCACAGTGCAAGGTGCTGCCCATCATGTTTTTTAAAGTGATAAATTCCCTGTGGAATTTAGTCCAGGAATTTCTTTTTAGATTTTTCTGTGTGAGTTGAACAGTTCTAGAATTTGTGTTTTTTTACCAGATATTTTCTTTGCCTGGAATCTTAGCATCAAATTCAGTGGTCAGTATATAACTGGGTGTTTAATAATTATTTTAACGATCTGGTTGTGATTAAAATATATCGTAAATCTTTTTGGGGGAGAAACCACAACATCAACATAACTTGTAAAGAAATGAACAAGCTTAATGCTACTCTAATGAGGACCTTTTGTTATATAGGGGAGACATATCCCTTTGAGGTATGACTTCCTTCTAGGAAAGGCAGTATCTCCTATGTTGTATTCTTGACCAAGATATTTAATTTTAATCTAATCATGAGAAAACAATCAGACAAATCCAGAATGTGCCACATTGTAGCCCATTGGGTTCAAAAACTTCAGTGTAATGAAAAACAATGAACCAGGGATTGTTCCAAATTAAAATAGGCTAAAGAGACACACTAAATGCATTGCACAAATATTATTGGATTCTACATTAAAATAAAGGCCAGAAATATTTGGAAACAACTGAGAAAATGGAATATGAATTATAAAATAATGTTAATTTTCCTAGGTATATTGATGGTTATGTAGTAGGATGGCCTTACTAGGAATTGCATGTGAAAGTATTGAGGATTGGCTGGGCGTGGTGGCTCACACCTGTAATCCCAACACTTTGGGAGGCCAGGGTGGGTGGATCGCTTGAGCCCAGGAGTTCAAGACCAGCCTAGGCAACAAGGAGAAACCCTATCTCTAAATAAATGAATAAATAAATAAATAATAAAAAACAGAAACCTGACATTTATTTAAAAAAACAAAAAGTGTTGAGGAGTGAAGTGTTTTGATGTTTGCAACCTACATTCAAATGGTTCAGGGGAAACAAAAGGCTTTAGCTAGATAGTGAAAGCAACTGTAGCAAAATGTTAACCATCAGGGAGTCTAAGTGAAGGGTAGATGGGCAGAGAGTATTTTTCTTTCAATTCTGTAAGTTTGAAAATTTCAAAATGAAGAAATGGGGAGACAAGAAAAATCCCATTTGGCTTTCAAAAAATCATATCATTAGTAAATGATAGCAAAAGTTTTTTTTTTTGTTTTAAAAGACCTTTTAGGTTAGGCTCCTCTCCTTTCTGTTGCCCTTCCTAATTTGACTTCATCCCTTGTTTTACCCAGGTGAGGACATGCTCTTGGTTAACTGTCAGTGTCATGGGTTTTTCCTAGTTCTTGTGACATCTCTGGACTACAGCAGGCTGCCCCCTCTGGCGCCACCATCTCTGTGCTCTGGTTTCTGGAAGCCTCCTTGACCCGCCCCTTACATATCCTGGGGGGAGTGTTCCATCAGGGGTCCCAGGTGGCTTGTTGACGCCACCTTTGCCCCTGACCCCCACTTCGCTTTCACTCCCCAGGTGTCTCTGCTTTCAGGCCACACCCCACCCCCAAGCCTTTGTCTAATTAAACTGAAGTGGTGCCACCTGGCAAAGTCTGCCTTCCTGGGTGGTTTTTTTTTTCTCCTTTTTCCCCTCTGGGGTTGTCAGGAGTTTCTTGTCAGCATCTTTGGCCTTTCCTGCCCTCTATTTCCCTGAACTGGGTCTGTGGTTTCCCCAGGTGTCCAGTTCTTAGATGTCATGTGAATTGCTGATGGCTCTTTCAGAAACAAGGAAGGCCCCGTTAAGACTGCCCCATGCCTTTCTAGACAAAAATTCCAAAGATAGGTGCCCTGGGAGGTGTTTTTCAGTCCTCTGCCCCTGCGCTCTCTATTTGGGGCACGATCTGGGCTTGCGTTCCCCAATTCCCTGCGGCCTGTGTGCCTGGAAGGGGTGCTGTGGTCCTGTCCTCAGCAGGGTCCCTCCCCGCTCCTTCCCCTCACCCTTGCCTTTGACTCTTTCACACTTTGAAAGTTGATGCCAAAATGTTTCCTGTCTTTCCACCAGAATCCCCAGAACCCTCCAAACAACTGCCAAATCAAATCCTAAAGTATTGAGGCCAATTTAGTGATTTATGCTCCCGGTCTGTTCAAGGAAGGAAGCAAAAACTCAGGGATCAGTTTTTACCTGAATTTCCCAGATTAGAGCTGTGATCTGTCTAATAGAGTTGGACTGTTAATACCGTGACCATAGTATAAAATATACTGAGAAGAGAAATGAAAGCTGTCAAGCACTGGCAAATTGTGTGAACCAAGGGACAGTCTTGCTTTGGGCTAGAACATGGCATCTACAACAGATTGCAGACCTTCGTTAATACTCCAGCAAATTAGCCTGATACACAGAATACAGATATTAGATAGAATTGCACTACCTTCTTTTAAGTCTTGAGTATTCATCCCGAAAGTTTCCAACATTTGAGAAGCAGAGACTAAGAAAGATAGATGGAGAACCAGAAAACCACTTGTACCTCTGACCTACTTACTGATGAGCTTTGTAATTTTGTTCGAGTTAGTAAATGTGTTTGCTTCTATTTTCTCTGTTTGTAAAATGAAGAAGTAGGTTGGGTGGAGGTGTCAGATTTGATCTCTACAGTGTCCCCCGGCCCTAAAACTTCATGATGATAAAATACAGTGGTCTGGGGTTTTACATTCTTCGATGATTTTTAGAAAATGCCCTTTTAAACACTGAGAAGAAGTCTCTGTATTTTTTGCAATTCTAGTATTTGGTTTTGAGCACAGTCAAACCTGATCTGAACCCAAAGCCAGGATAATATGAAAAGAACTGTGTGGAAATCTAAGACTGGCACATGGAAGACACCTGCAGAGTATCAACACTGAGGGTCTTCCTCATTGATCGCAATCTCAGAGGAGCCACTCCACAAACACCCTGGACGCCCTGCCTGCGTCTACACTACAGAGCCATGTCTGGTGTCATCACCTGTCGCTAAGTGTTTGATGCTGGTACCTTTGATCTGAGCCCGAATCCCCAAATCAAAGTGATCGTTTGTTTAATATTTGTCACACATCCGGAAATTCTAAAACCCCAAACAGAATAGAAGGCACACTATAACAAGGATTTCTCTTTCCAGCCAATTAAGGTCATTAAAGAACAGTTTCCCAATTTAAATACTTGCCTAAGCTTAGAATTACCAAGTTGCCCCAGCAACAGGTTACAAAAGGGCATACAAAATCATGGTGGAGAAGAGAAAGAGAATGCAAGCGTGTAAGTAAAAGTATTCAAGTAATTCCTTTGACAACAACATAGTTTAATCTAAACAGAAGGCAGATTTAAAACATTGATCTAAGCAATGGAATGAATATTAAAGTTAGCTGGAGGGATATTTGTCAAGTTTTACTCTGATTACTACAAGAATAGAGTTGAGAATGTTAGCCCTAGTGGACCCCTTTATAGAATAATACAACATATAATTTTGAAACAATATTGCCCACATTTTACTCCATGGTTATATGTTTTCAGAGACAGGCAACAATTTCCATTCTGCTCCCAGAAGTAAAAGCATTGGGGACACTTCCTCCTTCCCTCTGCCCCTCTGCCCCTTCCTCATCAGGAAGGGCGTGGCTTACCTGATTGGTGGGTTTGGGAAAGGAGGCAGCTTGTGCACAGGATGCTTGCATCCTGGGATGTCTGGGTCATGGTCATTTAGTGAGCTTGGACAGGTGCAGGGGGACTGCTAGTTGTCAGAGCTGCCCATGACTGAGGGGTCAATCCCATCTAATTCAGGATGAAGGATTAAGAGGCATGCTGCAGCCATGTCTTCTAATTTAGTTTTATCTTCAATAAAACTGACCATTTTTGTCTCCAGTTGTCTGATTCCTATGTGTCTCAGGTTGGGAAGAAACAGGTGTTACTTATTGTGGCCACTGTGATTCCGTAATAATAAGTCAATCAACATTTACCTACAGGGTGCCAGACTCATTCCCAGGAACCGAGTCTATAAAGTGAGACTCGCTCCCCGTCTGGAGGAACTTGCAGTTTAGGATTATGAAATTCAATTTTATTCGTTTTAATTGTGAACAGTGTTCTGCCTCAGTCTTCTTTTGATCTCTTTAGGTGTTATCAGTCTTATAAATAACTAGCATTGCATTTCTAATATGAGTTATGGAAGAGCTATTTTGGTCACTTTGTATTACTGTAGGGCTTTAACAGCTCACATATAACAAATTTGATTGTGTTTATATTTAAACCTTATTAACAAAGGAAACAGAAGGATTAGATTCAAGAAAAACAGGAGCAGCATTCTGAATGTGTTTAAACAAGTTTTCCCCACTGATAAATAGAATAAATAGTATCATTTTCAACTAAAAAAATAACTGACTGCCAAAAAAAAAACCACACACACACACACATGCACGCATGCACAACAACTAAAAAAAAGTCACCAGTTCCCCTAAAGAATTTGTACAATCCTCAAGGCAAGTTACAACTGGGTCCTCTTAAAGAAATCAATCTTTTCTAGTAAATGACTTGTAAGACCATTTAAATCTATGAAGCTTTTCAGTAAATTTATTCAATTAAAAGGATTTTCAATATTTTGAGATGAAATACACTCGGCACAGAGTGTATTTCATCTCAAAATAATATTTTAGCAAATATTAAATTACACATAATATTCTTGCCATGTCACAAGAGAAAACAAAGCACACCACACCCCCAACAGCCACTCTGCAGAGGCTGCAGCTGATTCCTCGGCAATGGCCTTCCAGCCTTCAGGCAAGTCTCCCTGCAGAGGGATGGAAGTTCCTCTGGTACACTAATGCTGATAAATTTACTTATCATTCATGATCATCACTCCTGCTGCTTTAGGGGAAAATGTTTTGAGTACCTAAGTGTTGGAGGATTACATTATGCCATACTCAAAAGGAAGAAAATAACCGCCTCTAAGGACAAGGCAATGTCAATCAAGACTCCGGACTAATCCTATTATTCTCTTAGGAAAACAGAGTCACTTCTCTGTGCCCAGAATGTATTTCAGCTCACATTAGGACTGTGACTTTTTCTTTCTTTAAAAAAGTCATTTGAGAAGATTCACTCTACAGACTATGCTTGGGATTTCTGTTTATGTGACTTTCATTTTGGGACTTGACAAAACACCATACTACCAAGCATGTCTTTTATTTCCATTCAAGAAGTATATTCCAATGATTAGAAAACTGAGGTGAATTCATGAAGGAATATAGCAAGAAGAAAGGCAGTCCTCAACCCTTCCTCCTTGCCAGGAGTTGGAAGTCATAGAATTTAACAGGTAAGGTCTCAAAGTACCCACTGGGAAGAAAGATTTGGGCCTTGCCTTTTGGTGTGTATGAGTCACCAATAAAATGGAGAGAATCACCTACCTTTCAGGTCTGAAGATGAACACAAAGAGTTTTTGAAGTCTTCTGAGGTTCTCAAGAAAAAGTATGTTAATTCTGGAAGTACACCTTGGATTCTTAGAGCAATGAAATATCACTTTCCATTGGGCAGGAAAGAAGAAGAAAGCTGGATGATGCCAAGTGTTGGTGGGGATATAGGAATATAGGCGCCTTCCTACACTGCTGGTGAGATGGGAAGGCAGCGCTGTGCACAGTACGCACCTTATGGCCCAGCAATCCTGTATTTCGAGGTATACCCCAGACAGATGCTTAGACAGGTTCCTAAAGGACTGGTACAAGTTTTTCATAGTAGGACCTGGAAGCAACTGGGGAGAGTGGGCAGGTAAAACACAGTCCAGGCATACCCTGTACACATACACACACACACACACACACCCCTCCAGATAAAATGACTTGAAAAAAGTCCTAGCCACAAAAAAAAGGGAAAAAGTTGAATGAGATTTCTAGAATAGCACAGTTTATGTAAATTAACAATATTTGCATACGAAATGACAGTATGCATTTTACAAGGACACATACAAACAAAAGATCCCAGTCAACTGGAATGGTTGCATATGGCAGGGCAGGCACATGATGGGAGTAGAAATGATGATAGAAGGAAATAAATAAAATGTAATTAAAAAGTACAAAAAAGGGACGCCATGCAGAGAACGATGCTAATAGTGTACTATGAATGTGGTAGGATGGATTCAAATCTCTACATTTCAAGTGCTGTCCCTCCCCCAAATGTATAATACACACACACACACACACACACACACACACACACACAGAAGGTGTTGCAAGATAGTGACACATGGGCAAAATCAGGCCCTCAGATATGTTTTGTTTGGTCTATGCAGTACATAAAAGTGGCTTGAATTAGTTGCCAATACTTAAAATGCAGGTCTTCAGCTACTCTAAGAAGATCCAACAAGCTTGGGCTGAAGACAGCAATCCCCATTTGTGCTTGGCGGCTTGCCCCATCCCTAAAGAGCCTGAAGTCTGCTGGTCACCATAGTCCTTATCCTTTCTGCCCTGAAAAAGGAGGAGGATAGGCTCACACTTTCCTTTGCACGGTGAGCTGAACCAGATGATTCTCCTGTTCCATTTCCTGCCTGGCCCCTAATCGGATACTGGTTGATACAGTGGTCACCTGCCCTCGCTATCTCTCATCCTCTCAGAAATTTGGTTCTACCAGATCAAGTGGTTGAGGCAAGGATTGGGCCTTTTGCTGAAATGGGAGAGGCAAGACAGGAGCAGGGTGGGGCAAATTCAGAGCCCCCTTTCCACCACGACATGTTTCAGATGCCCATTACATATCCAGGTGGTGAAATTAAACAGACAGCACTTATGTGAGTGTGGAGTTCTAGGGAGAGGTCAAGGTTAGAGGATAAACAGTTGGGCAACACTGACATGAATGGTAAAGATGTGGGACCAGATGAGATCACTCAAAGTATGGAAATAGAGAAAAGAAGGAGGAATAATGAAAACAGGAGGGGTTGAGAGGGGAAATGCGAACAAGATATGAAAATTTGGGAGAATTCCCTGACAGCAGGCTTTTTTCTCGAGAGCAATAATCAATTAGAGAGATCTCAAAAATGTGTCACTGATTGCAAAAGCATGCTGCAGAATGACGTGTAATATGGTAGTATTTTTGACTATTGAAAAGAATATACAAAACAATACAAGGTATTTTTTCATGAATGTATAAAGTCTGGATGGATGCATAGCCTCTTGAGAAAGACAGGAGAGCAGGGCTGGGGAGGGTAGCAACAGGGCTGTAACCATCTATAGTGTTCTCTTTTATTTATATTGTTTTATTTTATTATTTAATTTTAAAATAATTTTAAAGTAATTTTTAATTTTAAAATAATTTTATATTATTTAAAAACATTTCAAAAAATAACTATGACAATGAGCAATTTTAGTGAAAATGAAGATGAAATTAGGAATATTGGAAATCTGTACAGTACTTTGAATAGGGGAATTTGCACATAAAATATATGTAAACTCTTAATAGTATGTGTCATGGTTAATTTTATGTGTCAACTTGACTGAGTCAGTGGGTGTCTGCATATTTGGTCAAACATTATTCTGACTGTATCTGTGAGGGTGTTTCTGGGGCCAAGATAACATTTGAATCAGTATTCTGTGGAAAGCAGGTTGTCCTTCCTTATGTGAGTGGGCCTTAGCCAATTGATTACAGACCTGAACAGAACAAAAAGCTGAGTAAGAGGAACTTTGCCTGCCTGGTCCTTGAGCTGGAGCATTGATCATCTCCTGCCTTCAGACTGGAACTTACACTGTCTGCTCTCCTGGTTCTCAAGCCTTCAAACTCAATCTGGAACTACACTGATAGGTCTCCTGAGATCCAGCTTGCCAACCTCAGATCCTGAGACTTCTTAGCCTTTGTAATCATGTGAGCCTATAATAAATCTCTTTTTCTCTATATGTATATCTGATTAGTTCTGTTTCTCTGTAGAACCCTGCCTAAGACAGCATTTAATAGCAAAATTACCACCTTTGTTTTATTCTCAGCAAATTGAACTGGGCTATTCAACATACCTTTGATTGCTGATGCAAGTCTTTTTTTTTTTCTTTTTCTCAAAAGCATTTTTATCAAAGGAATGCATGCATATAATTTTAAATGTTTCAAATCACTGTAAGGCAAAAAATTAAAAATAATAGTCCCGTGCCCTCCTTACCCACTGCCCAACCCTGTTTTAGCTCTCCAGAAGCTTCATTCATTTCTTCTGATATTTATCTCCATTTCTCACAATTATAGTGCACACTGTTGGATCATCACTTTTAGACATTTGCCATTAATTCCCTATTGTGCAGGATGAAGTCAATTTTATCTTATACTTCCATTCTCCTCCCTCTCTCCCTTTCTCAAAATATAGGGATACCACAATCGTAGATTAAATTCACTGTTAATGTTTTAATTAGTATTATTCTACAAATGTAGCTCATCATCTACTGAGCCAAGTAGAATACCAGGATTACAGTTACCTTTTTGTACTATTATTCTACAAATGTAGCTTATCATCTACTGAGCCAAGTAGAATACTAGGATTACAATGACCTTTTTGTACTAATGTTTTGTTTTTCCCAGACTTAACCCTTCCTTCCTTCTTTCTATTTTCCTTTCTCTCTTTTTTCCGGATTTACTTGTTTTTCTTTCTTAATTTTCTTGTGAGGCAGACTAGTAGTTTCTGGAGCCCCATTCCTTGGGTTCAAAACCATCTCTGCCCCTCGCTAGCTGGGTAAGCTTGGGCAAGTTACTTCCCGTTTCAGAGCCCCCATTTTTTCATCTATACAGTGAGATTGATAATGGGATGGCCTTACAGGATTGTGATGAGAATTAAATGAGTTAACATAAGTGAAGCACATAGAACATAGTTGGGTCTTCTCTTTTTTAATCTGCTTTGATAATACCTGCCTTTAAGTGGAAGTTTAATGCATTAAAGTTTAATGTAATTATCAGTATGGTTAGAATTAGGCCTACCATTTTATTTGTTTTCTAATTGTCACCTCTCTTTTTTACTTCTGTTTCCCTGCTTCTGCCTTCTTTGGAATTATTGTAATAATTTGTCTTTTGAATTTTTAGATATCACTATACACAGTTTATTTACTTTTATTTTTTATTCTTAGTGATTGCTCTAGGGATTACAAAATCCATTTTTTACTTTGCACAGTCTACTTACAGTTAATATTGTACAATTTCATAAAAATTATGGAAATCTTGCAACTATTTTGATTCATTTACTACCTTACTGCCATCCTTTTTGCTGCAATTGTCATGTTTTTCATTTACATATGTTATAAACCTCACAATATTATAATTTGCAGTTTAAATAGTCATATATGTTTTAAGAAAATTAAGAGAAGAAATAATCGTAAAGACAGCCATTCAGAGAAGAGGAGATCACAACCCCAAGTTTCTGTTTCACAGATAAGGTAGTTGCTCACACATATGCCTGCAAAATAAATGAGACAGGATCCCTCTTCCCATTCCACATCACTACCTTTTTCCCCTAGGTTGCCCCTGTTGACTGCATTTGTTATTCAAAGTCATTCTCGAACTTCATTGTAGCTAGATCTCACCTGGAAAATCCTAGTAGGAAGAGAGGAAAAGTGTAGTTTGAGCTGACTTTGCCCCACACCTTCCTAGACAATATCCTACTTTGAAAATTCACTCCTTAAATGACAGTCTCTTTCTGGATGACACCATAATGTTATTAGTTGCTTTTCAATGAAGCAAAGTGTATTAGTTTGTTTTCATGCTGCTGATAAAGACATATCCGAGACTGAGAAGAAAAAGAAGTTTAATTGGACTTACAGTTCCACATGGCTGGGAAGGCCTCAGAATCATGATGGGAGGTGAAAGGCACTTTTTACATGGTGGCAGCAAGAGAAAATGAGGAAGATGCAAAAGCAGAAATCCCTGATAAAACCATCAGATCTCATGAGACTTATTCACTAGTACAAGAACAGTAGTGTGGGGTATGAAACCGCCCCCATGATTCAAATTATCTCCCACTGGTCTCTCCCACAACACGTGGGAATTATGGGAGTACAATTCAAGATGAGATTTGGGTGGGAACACAGAGCCAAACCGTATCACAAAGTAACCCAAAGTCTTATCAAAGACAATGAAGATATGAGTTTTGATTGTATCAAGCTGTGGGGTGGGGTCGGGGGAAGATTGCACTACATTTTTCAATGAACTTTTCCTTCCAAATGACTTCCAGTGTATTCTTTCCTAAAGATCAGTGATTGTAAACCCACCTTAGCTAGACCTGTGTGGGTTTCAGCAAATCCATCTCTAGACCCCAGAAGCAACCCTACATCCATGAGAGAACAATAAAAATAACGTTTCAAAAACATATCTCCAAGTATTCTATACATATATCCTATGCCATCACTACCTCAAGGAGAGATATCTTTTGCCCTGTCTTTAAAACTATAGTAAAATGGGCCAGGAATTTAGTAAAATTTCTTTTTTTAATTTGTGGGTACACAAATGGTCCCCAGTCATTCTTAGGAAATTGATGCCATTGAACATCTGGGCTCACCTTCGTTTCCTAAACAAGTAAGCAAATCAGATTCCGAAAACAAAGCTCTTCACCTGAGTTATCTTTCTCTCTCTCTTAGCCTTCTCCTTTACTGACCTCCCCTTTATATGTGACAATTAATTTATATTTATGAGGACTATAACGCAGGTTTTATTCATGCTTGGGCTTCAGCTTTTCTTATTAATCTTTGCTTTTGCAAAGTTTCTAGGTAATCTTTACTTTGGCCCCAGGGTTTTAAGCTTTTCTCTTGATAGCCTCTTGCCCTGGATTACTCTGTTTTCTATTTTATGGCATCAGTGTTTACTTTCCTTTCCTCCCTAACTATGAATCTGAACTTTCCGCTCTTGTGACTTCACCTTTATACATCTCCCTATCTTTACTTTCCTCCTATTTTATTTTTCTCCAGTGGTTTTATCATCTGGAAAGGTGTCAAAATAGTGTTAACATTACTCAACACCTAGTCTCTTCCATGCACCATCAGCTGAATTTAGTCACATTAAAGTCTAATTACAGAGCTAAATGGATTATGACTACATACTCTACTGCTTTGGTCTGTGAAGTGTATTTTCAGTAAGGTGAAAACTTGCCACATTACCTAGGAAGAAGTTTAAAAAAAAAGATGCTAACTCTTCAGCTAACATAGTACTCATTTTTTCATTTGTTGAATATTTATAGAGCTCCTATTATGTGCTAGACATCTGTTGAACTTTTATTATGTGCAAATTATTGAGAATATACTGAAGAATAAAATAAACATAGACTCTGCCCTTAAGGAGCTTAAAGTCTAGATGGGGTTAGGACAATAAACAAGCAAATGCATCCATATATGCTTTAAAATCATGGTGAGTGAATGAAGGACAAAAATAGAGTGACGTGGTTGAGAATAACACCAGAACACATTGGGTGGTCAGTAGAGCTGCCAGATCTGTCAAATAAAAATACAGGATGCCCAGTTAAGTTTGAATTTCAGATAAACTGTGAGCACATTTTTGGATGGGCATGCCCCATGTAATTTTTGGGACTTAGGCAGAATAAAAATGTATTCGTTTGTTATCTGAAATTTAGATTTAACCGGGTATCCTGTATTTTATCTGGTAACCTGGCTGGTCAGGAAAGGCCTCTCTGGAGAGGTGACATTTGAACTGGTAACTGAAGGATGACTAGTGGGCTGACAAAAGAGCTTTGAAGACCCCAAGAGTGAGAACTGGACACATTAGGGGCGTGGGCTGGGACAAGGGCCGCTGATTGGCGTGGAGCCGTGGGCAGAGGCCAGATCATGCAGGGCTCTCTAGGCCATGGTAAAGAGGGTGAATTTTATTTGAAATATACTGCAAAGCCTTTGAAGCATCTTAAGCATGGAAATGGGGTGGTAGATCAAATTTTGATATGAAAATGATTATTCTAGCTGCAGCATGGAGAAAATATTGGAGGGGTGAGAGGGGAAGTGAGGAGAAAAGCGAGATGGGTATTGCTGTTGTCCAGGGAGGGATAACAGTTGTTGGGGTGAAGGTGGAGATGACATGGGTAGATTGGAGGTAATTTTGTAGGCAGAACTGACTGTAGTTGCTCAGGTACTAGATATGGAAAGCAGTGAGGGAGAAGGGGGAAACATCCATAATGACTCTTGTTTAAAATGGAGCACCTACATGGGCTGAGGAGCCAGGCCTGAGATGAGTGAGACAGGAGGAACTATGAGGGGGATGGACTGGGGTGAGGTGACCAGGAGCTCAGAATCACAAGGGTTAAGGTTCTGCCAACCATGAGACATCCAGTGGCCACCAACACTGAAACATGCACAGATCTGTGTGGTTCATTCATGGCTCACACCTGTGTTATCTCATTTGACACGGCACTTCCTTAAGTTGGGTGTTATTTAATTCCTGAAGCCCTAAGCTGGTATTATTATACCTGAACCCCAAACGATCCTTGCTTGGCACCTCGCTTGGGCCCCAGTGATTTGGGCCCTGAGTGGTGTATGATGTCTGTGGCTTCTTAACTGGTGGAAGTTTCCTTTCTTCTGTAAAACCAGTTTATCAGGGTCTTCTAATATGTAGATCAGAATTGAGCCAGTGCTCTGTCTGATAATGCTGTCTGCACACTGGACTTCAATGGAACCAGCTATTTGTTGTGTCAGTTTTAGGAAATGTTAAGTACCAAGCGACAACCCACCCTCTGACCTCCCACCATGTCATGAACTCCTGGGGTTATTTATGGGTAACAAAAGTCTTCATGATAGAGAAACTCTGATTTTCCATATATGTATATGTATATGTATATGTATATGTATATGTATATGTATATGTATATGTGTGTGTATATATATGGATTTTCCATATATGTATGTGTGTGTGTGTATATATACATATATGTATATGTATATGTGTGTGTATATATATATCTCCATATATATACACATATATGTACATATATAACTCCATATATACATACATATCTCATATATATACATATATATCTCCATATATACATATATATATCTCCATATATATACACATATATATCTCCATATATATACACATATATATCTCTCCACATATATCTCCATATATATATATGGAGTTTATTAAGGAATATTAACTCAAATGATCACAAGGTCCCATAACAGGCCATCTGCAAGCTGAGGAGCAAGGAAGCCAGTCTGAGTCTCAAAGCTGAAGAACTTGGAGTCTGATGTTCAAGGGCAGAAAGCATCCAGCACAGGAGAAAGATGTAGACTGGGAGTCTAAGCCAGTCTAGCCTTTTCACGTTTTTCTGCCTGCTTTAAATTCTAGCTGTGCTGGTAGCTGAGTAGATGGTTCCCACCCAAATTTAAGAGTGGGTCTGCCTTTCCCAGTCCACTGACTCAAATGTTAATCTCCTTTGGCAACACCCTCACAGACACACCCAGGAACAATACTTTGCATCCTTCAATGCAATCAAGTTGACACTCAGTATTAACCATCACAGCCTGGAATTTGCAGCAGCCACCAGTTTGCCATTCTGAGAGAAGTCAGCCTGAGGCAAAGCCATAACATACGGGAAAGCAGAGTCGAGAGAATTGCAGAGAAACATAGCTGGACCTCAGAGAACACCATGAACCTTTGGATCAGACCACGTCTGCAGGTTACATACCTGTAAAATATTTTAGTTATGTCAGCAATAAGTTCCTTTATTGTTTAAGCCACTTTGAGTGAGCTTTTTTTCCTCCTTGCAACCTGGCTTCTTCCAGACTCAGAAATCTGATTTTTCAGCCCCTGAGCAAAGATATATCTTACCATAGACAGTCTCACAAAAACCAGTATTTTTCTCTTGAGTCATTGCACATGCAATGCCCAATTGTAATGAGAAGATTGCTTGATGTACATGGGATCAGAGAAAGGGGAGTTATTTATATGAGTTGAATGTTTTATGACATTAAGATATTCTGAGATATCCAGTTTTCATTCCTGAAACCAGTTGGAGTCCTAAGAACTGATGAAGTCCTTAGGGAGCACTGTCCTAGAGAGTATGGATGCCACATTAATCAGTATCAGCAAGGTTATGCTGCAGTGACAAACTACCCTCCAAATCTCAGGAGCTTAAAACAACCAAAGCTTATTTCATCCTTATGCTGTCTGTCCACCATAGGTTGGTTTGGGGCTCTTCTCTGAGATGTTCTTACTCAAGGATCCTGGCTGATGGAGATGTCACCCTTTCGAATGTTATTGGTTGCTGTGGCAGAAGAAAAGAGGTCTCTAGAAAATCTAGTTAAATCTTCCAGCCTAGAAGCAACACGTTATTTCCATTCACAACTTATTGGCCAAATTAAATTGGCTATTTAACTAAATAGCTCTACTTCAACCACAGGAAGTCCAGAAAATGCAGTTTTACTATGTGTTTGAAAGGAGAGAGCCAGAAAGTATTTGGCAAACAGAACTACCTTGACTTCTGTAGACCTCCTTTTGTCCTGGTTTTTATGACTGCACAACTTCTTTTTTTGATTGACTCATAATTCATGTACGGTAATAGATTTAGTTAGGTTACAGTCAACTAATGAAGGCATAGGAGGCGTTTTGTCCTTGTTAGATGACATTGCATATCTCTGTTCTGATTCATCATTACACATACAATAATGTAATCCTGTAAATTCTCTATGGATGAGAATACTGTTGGTTAGGTCATTCAGTCCTTTGCTTGTCTAAGACTATGTTGTCAAATTTTCTACCACCTCACCACCTTTTCTCTAAATCATTGAAAAAGTGTATTTCTCTGAAGTGTGATTATGTTAGCTTGACCAGTGGTCTTCAAATAACTTTGCTCACATTCCAACTAAAAGAATTGTGAAAAATTATGCACTTTAAATAGAATTATCAGCTGATTGATCGTAATAAGTAGTTACTGATGTTATAATACTATGTGACTTTTGTAATATAATTCAGAAGGATTTTAAATAATTGAACAGTATTGTATAACAACACAGAAGGCAAGCGATACCACTTCAAGAAAGGCAGAGACACCATTACCTACCCAGGAGAATGGCTCAGCGTGAGGTAATTATTTTCCATCATTTTCTTCCCTAGGTGCATTTGCTAAGGCTGAGCATGGGCTAAGGCCTGGTCTCAGCCCAGGTAGAGGGAATATCCTGGGGAAAGATAAACCAGGCATTTGCATGGAGAATTCAAGCACACAGCCGGTTTTTCCACCGTTAACTAAATTCTGATGTGGTGTGAGAAGGTGACAGGGTAGGCTGGGAGCTTCTAAAAGCAAAATAACGTCTCTCAAAGACTCATGATGCTTAGGAGGCAAAGTCCTACTAAAGGAAAGAAGCCTGCTATAAATACCTAGCCAGCGTTCCCTTCAGGACTGTGGCCAGATTTATTTTTGAAGTAGACTTTACTGGCCGGGCGCGGTGGCTCACGCCTGTAATCCCAGAACTTTGGGAGGCTGAGGCAGGCAGATCACGAGGTCAGGAGGTCTAGACCGTCCTGGCTAACAGAGTGAAACCCCGTCTCTACTAAAAATACGAAAAATTAGCTGGGCGTGGTGGTGGGCACCTGTAGTCCCAGCTACTCGGGAGGCTGAGGCAGGAGAATGGCATGAACCAGGGAGGTGGAGCTTGCAGTGAGCTGAGATTGTGTCACTGCACTCCAGCCTGGGTGACAGAGTGAGACTCCATCTCAAAAAAATAAAAAATGAAAAATAAAGTAGACTTTATTAAAATAAACTATTTTGGAGCAGTTGTATGTTCACAGCAAAATTGAGAAGATACAGAAGTTTCCCGTATACCCCTCCACCTCTATGCATGCATTGCCTACCCCACTATCAACATTCTGCACCAGTGCAGTCATATGTAACAATTAGTGAACCTACATAGACACATATTATTACTGAAAATCCACAGTTTATTTACAGTAGGGTTAACTCTTGGTGGTGTATGTTCTGTGGATTTTGACAAATGTATATATAATGACATGTATCCACTATTACAGTATCATACAGAATAATTTCACTGGCCTAAAACTCCTCGGTGCCCTGCCTACTCATTCTTCCCTCCCCCAACCGCTAGCAACCACTAATCTTTTTATTGTCTCCATTATTTTTCCTTTTCCAGAATATCATATAGTTGAAATCATAAGGTATATGGCCTTCTCACCTTTTCAGATTGGCTTCTTTCATTTAGTAGTATGCATTTAAGGTTCCTTCATATCTGTTCGTGGCTTGATAGACTTTTTTTTTTTTAGCACTGAATAGTATTCTGTTGTATGGATATACCACAGTTTATTCACACTCACCCATGGATAGACAGCTTGGTTGGTTCCAAGTTTTGGCAATTATGAACAAAGCTGCTATAAATATTTAAGCACAGGTTTTTTTGTTAACAGAAGTTTTCAACTCATTTGGGTAAGTACCTAGGAGGACAATTGCTGGATCATAGGGTAAGGGTGTATTTTGTTTTGCAAGAAACTGCCAAGCTGTGTTCCAGAGACTCCCATTTTGGACTCTCACCAGCAGTGAATGAAACTTTCTGTTGTTCCACATCCTCATCAGCATTTGGTGTCAGTGTTCTGGATTTTGGACATTCTAATAGGTGTATAATGTAGTATGGCATAGTTTTGGTTTACAATTCTCCAATAACATACTATGTTGAACATCTTTTCATATGTATATTTGCCATTGTATATCTTCTTTGGTGAGATGTTCAGATCTTTTGCCCATTTTTAATCAACTTGCTCATTTTCTTATTGTTGAGTTTTAAGAGTTCTTTTTATATTTTGTATAACAATCCCTTATCAGATAAATCTTTTGCAGATATTTTTCCTAGACTGTGACTTTTCTTCTCATTCTCTTGACAGTGTCTCTCATGGAGCATACATTTTTAATTTTAATGAAGTTCAGCTTATCAATGATTGCTTTTATAGATTGTGCTTTTGACATTGTATCTAAAAAGGCATCACCATACCCAGGGTCATCTAGACTTTCTCCTGTGTTACCTTCCAGGAATGTAATAGTTTTATGCTTTACATTTTGGTCTATGATCCATTTTGAGTTAATTTTTGTGAAAGGTAAAAGGTCTATGTCTAAATTATTTTTTGTTTTTTGCATTTGTATGTCTCATTGTTCCAGCTCCATTTCTTGAAGAGGTTATTACTGCTCTATTGTATTGCCTTTTCTTCTTTGTCAAAGATCAGTTGTCAGTATTCGTGTGGGTCTGTTTCTGCACTCTCTATTCTGTTCCATTGATCTATTTGTGTATTATTTCACCAGTCACACGGTCATGATTATTGTAGCTTTATAGTAAGTCCTGGAGTGAGGTAGTGCTCCAACTTTGTTGTTCTCCTTCAGTATTGTGTTGACTATACTGGGTCTTTTGCCTCTCCATGTAAACTTTAGAATCAGTTTGTTTACATCCACAAAATAACTTGCTGGGATTTTGACTGGAGTTGCACTTAATCTGTAGATAAAGTTTGGAAGATTGGTCATCTTGACAATAATGTGTCTTCTTATTCATGAACATGGACTATCTCTCCATTTATTTAATTTTTCTGATTTTTTTCATCACAGTTTTGTAGTTTTTCTCAAATAAATCTTGTACTTTGTAAGATTTATCCCTAAGTATTTAATTTTTGGGGGTACTAATTTGCTCATGTAAATGATACCGTGTTTTTGGTGATATATAGAAAAGCAAATGGCTTTTGTATATTAACCTTGTATTCTGCAATCTTTATACAAATAAACTACTACTAAGCAAAGAAAAGAAACAAACTACTAAAAGAAGCAGCTAGATAATTGAATCTCAAAAATGATATGTGGAGTAAAAGAAGCCTTGTACAAAATAGTACATATTGTAAAATTTCATTTATATGAAATTCTGGAATAGAGAAAATTAATTTATGATAGAAACAATTAGAATAGTAGTTGTCTCTGGGAATGTCAGAGGGAGATTGATTTAGGAGGCTAGGAGTCATGACGGAATTGTTCTAGTTGATAATGTTTTCTATCTTGTTAGGGGTTTGGGTTATATAGGTGCATATACTTGTCACTGAATGGTACATTAAAGATTTCTTCATCTCGCTGCCTATACATTTTATCTTAAAGAAAATTGTAAACAAACATTGAATTCCAGTAATTTTGTACATCTTTAGGTGATTAGGGGTGAAGTGTGATGGTGCCCTTCTTAGTTTCTAGGAGCAATGCGAGTTTGCCTTTTTTTTTTTTTTTAGTACTTTTTCATCATTAGAGTTTGGAGAAAGTTACTAATAAACACTTGTACTTTGTTACCTTAAACACCAATAGTTTGTTCATTGTTTTATTTATAGAGCGTCTACTATGCATTTAGTACATATTGACTTTATGCTTCTTTCTACAAATAAGTTAACAAGACAAATACAGCCCTTTTCCTAGTGCAGCTTACAAACCAGCAGATTTACTATGTCCTTTTCCAGGATCTGAGATAGACTCATAATAGACAATCAATATAATCATCTGACAATGAAGATGTACCACATTGTGTTACATCTTCCATGTGGGTCATACTATACTCTGAATACTGTAAGCTCAGAACCACCTCCTATGCCTCACTTTGATTTCTTGTTTCAGTATGCAGAACTCTTCAGTGATTTAATCATTGTGCTATGATACTGACACATCTGGTTGTCTATGTTTTTCGTTTCTTTTAAAGCTCACTGAATTGCCGAGCCCAGTATACCCAAAGAAAGTGCCAGAGGATGTGTTCCATTCACTTGAAGTCCTAATGTGGCAGTTTTCTGATCTTCTGTCATTAGGCATGTTCTAAGTGGTGGTAGTGATACATGTGATGAAACGAAGGCTACCTGGAACTCACATCCACAGTATCGATGATGAAAACTGAGAGAGGACAATGTTGAATCTGAACAAATAAATTCAGTGGTATTTAAGCAAGCTGCAGAGGCATGCCACTTTTTGTTGATTTTGGTGCTGAGCTTTGGAATCCAGCTTTAAAAGTGCCTGACTGGTGGAAGTCAGGAAGATTGCAGTTATACTCTTGGCTCTTTTCTGTGGCAGGCTTGGAGGAAAATTACCTGTCTGTAATATTGAATTTTATCTATGTAATTCTTCTATGAGGCCTTTGAGCTTGCCTTGTGTTTTTCATGCTTCTTAATTTCACTAAGCCAGAACTATAGGACTGGGGCTGAAGTAAGTGATATTTCTGAAAGAAACAGACCACTTATTGGTCCCAGGTGGGACCGAAGCTTTTGATCCTAATACAACCAATTTTAAAGCAATGCTCGGGACTTGTAAAATTGGTAATTTTATTACAGAAATACATTATACTTTTGGTTAGAAAATGCCTTCCTTGAGAGCTGCCACCTGATTGGCCGATGATGTAGTCAACTTTTGCAGTCACTTTCTAACCAAATAATATGTTAGATTTTTACTGTGCTTGTGTAGCTTAGGGAGAGAATAATCATTCTCTACTTATAATAAGATACAACTTAGAACACTTGGACAAGAAAATTATTAAACAAAGTGACAGTTTATTTTAAATGACAGACATTTGATAGTTCATAAATTATTATTAAAAATCCTACCAATGATTTGCAATTATCACTTGTTTATTATCTCACCATCTTGTTTGATCCTCATAACAGCTATATGGAATAGGGAGGTCAAGAGTTGTTATGTCTGCCTGCTGGTCAGATGAAGAAAATGAGGTTCATGAAGCAGAAATGATCAAGTCTCATATGGCTAGAGACAGAGATGGATCTAGAATTAATGCTTTCATTCCAATTATCTTTCCAGGCCATTTGTGGAGGGCTTTCTCCAATGCCAACAAGTGATAACTCTGGGAGCATCTTGAGAATAATCACATGATCCAAGGGGCTGTAGATGAGTTGAGATGACCCCTCTGGGAAAGAGTAAGGGTCTTAAGTAGGGATACAGGCAAGAAGAAGGCAAAATGGAAAATAAAGAGACCCTTCTCCTTCTATTTTTACTTCTTCTTTGTTTTACTGGCTGATGAGAAAGTGGTGAAACTTGAAGACCACCAGAAACACACCCTCTCATCTGGCATTTTGCTTATAAAGGACTAACTCTTTTTAGTGACTGAACCCACTTGATCACCATCTTTTCCAGTGGAAATATTTCTGCTAAGAGCCATCCTTCTCTATGAGTGCACCTTTATGGAGCAGACCAGAGGGAAAAGTAATTGAATTTAATAAAAGCTGTTCCCAATATGAAGTCACAGGGAAATACATTTAACTTCAAAGTCAAGATGCATGGTTTCTAAATATAATTAATTGCCTGGCTGTTTCTTCCATCAAATCTCAATTTGACAATAAAGAAGTGAATTCCTTGGCATTTTTTATTTTATAGTAACATGAATTCTTCATTGATGGTTATGGCTAGATTGAGAAAAGTCATTCTCAGAAATGTCATTCTTTAGATTTATCAAAATTGCCACAGCTGTAACTTCGTACCTGCTCTGCTTAGGAGAGCTAGAAATAGTATTAGATAATCTTAACAGACTTGTCAAAGGTGAAACTTTTGAGAATGGTGCTTTCTGCCCCCCAAACCTCCTCCCTATCTCTATTTTAAAACTTTCCTGCAAAAGAAAATAAAAATCTGCAAGAAAAATTCTCTAAGCAACCCCATTAAGAGAACACTTCTGGTCTCAGTGTCTTTGTTTGCAAATGTTAAGGGTTCCTTAAATGTGGATTTAAAAGTCATAAAGTTTGGGTATCATTATCTGAGCCTGCATAGGGGTGACGGCCTCCAACTGAGCAGATTAAGAAAAAGGGAGTGCAGCCTGTCCCAGGTGCTGTGGTCTGAATGTTTGCGTCCCCTCCCGACCTCCAATTCATATGTTGAAATCCTACTCCCCAAGATGGGGGAGTTAGGAGGTGGTGCATTTGGGAAGTGATTAGCTCATGATGGGATGAATGCCCTCATAAAAGAGACCCCCCAAAAGCTCACTTGCCCCTTCCACCATGTGAGGACATAGCAAGAAGTTGCTGTCTGTGAGCCAGAAATTAGGCCCTCACCAGACATGAATCTGCCAGCATCTTGATCTTGGACTTGGACTTGATCTTGGACTGTAAGAAATGAATTTCTGTTGTTTATAAGCCACCAATCTATGGTATCTTGCCATAGCAGGTGGGTCAGACTAACACACCAGAGTGTGCAGAACCATAGGCCACAACATGCTTCCTGGAGGGACTTCAACTTGCATGTCACACCACGCTTCTCTAGGTCAGAGCTCCTTTCCAGGTGACAGACGGTTGTTGTCTAAGGACAAGCCCCTTCCTGTTCTCTCTCTCCCAAGGGAGGGTTACATTTTCATTCTATGAAGCTGCCTAAGGAGAGAAGCTAGATATAAGAGAGAAAGGTTGTTGCAAGAACTGAGACTTCAGAAGACCTTCACTCCAAATTCTATTGCACCTGGCAAAAGCACATCTCAGATGAGCCTGCATGGGAAATTTGCTGAAGCACCATCTGTCTATTTAGCACCACAGGTCATCATGGGAGATGGTGTTTCACCAGGAAGCAGCTTCACACTAAATCACTTGCATTTAGAAGTGACTCTAAGAAAAGTAATGGTCCTTTGAGCTGGAGCCATAAGAAAAAAAAAAAAAGAAAAGAAAAGAAGTAACAGTTGAAAAGGAGAGAGATGGTAACAAATGTATTAAAAATTTAATAATATCAAATTTCCAACAATATGTGAAAGAAAAAAGTTATATACATAAAAATATCAATTGCCTCATTGTCCACCATAGTAAAGTACTAAAGTCATATAAATGTTCAAAAGAAAAGTATTGCGTAGATAAATTATAGTACAGTTACTCGGTAGTATAATAATGCCGTTATTAAAACGTTAACTATAAAGGCTGGGAAGAATATGGAAAAGTGTTTATGACATAATATAAAATTTAAAAACACAAGTATGTGCAGACATGACTACAACTATGTAGAGAAGTTTCAGGGCAAAGGCTAAAAGTAACTGTATACAGAAGAAAATATGCCAGGGTTGTGAAATTACAGGTGGTTTAAAAGTTTCTGCTATGTTTTATTTTATGGTATGATTTTAAACATATATATGTGTGTGTGTGTGTGTGTGTGTGTATGAAATATAACAGAAATCAAAGCTGCTGTTAACATTTATTAGCTTCTCCTCATCAAGAACTTCAGGCTGGCATGCCCTTCATCCATAGTTGACCGTTGGATTTTAGCCACAGAACCAGAGAGCAGAAGGGTCTGAGTCTGATTGGAAAAGCATTACTTTCTCCATCTGCACTGTGAGCCAGACAGATCCCTTCATTTCCCTCTGTTCACAGCTGGATATTCTTGGAATTATCTAATCTCCAGCTGGCCAGATGGATGGAGCACCGAGTTTTCCGCAAAGCAAGGCCTTCTGGATGGCCTGAGATGACTGCATGCTTTCTGACTTCTCAGTTTCCATAGCAGGAATTTATTATGAGTAAGTAGGGACTTGGGGGACTCCTGACCTTTGGGACTGGCCAATCTAACCGCTTTCCCTGAACGCCTACTCCCCAAATAGCATTTCTGGACAGAAATAGGGTGTCCTTGGACTGAGAGTATGCTACCAGGGCCCTGAAAGAGGCTAATTTCATCAAAATGGGAATCAGCAAGTCCCAGGGCCTGCAGTCCCTGCAGCAGAGCCTGGACTGGACTGGCCAGTGTGTCTGTTGTGAGGCTGAACAGAGAACTGGTCCTTTGATGTGAGCCCATGTCATTTGTCAAGAACAGGAGGAGAAGACTGGCTGTCATGGTCTTTATTTTATTTTACTTTTACTTTTTTAGAGACAGGGTCTCACTCTGTCACCCAGGCTGGAGTGAGTGGCATGATCATGGCTCACTGCAGCCTCGACCTCCTGGGCTCAGGAAATCCTCCTGCCTCAGCCTCCCAAATAGCTGGGGCCACAGGCACATGCCACCATGCCCAGCTAATTAAAAAAAATTTTTTTTGGCAGAAATGGGGTCTCACTTTATTGCCCAGGCTGGTCTTGAATTCCTGGGCTCAAGTGACCCTGCCACCTCCGCCTCCCAAAGTGTGGAGATTATAAGTGTGAGCCACTGTGCCTGGCCTTGACATAGTCTTTAGACTCACATGCTGGGCTAGCAGATCTGTGCTTTGTGGAAGGGGAACTGAATAGCCTTGCCCACTCCCCTCCACCTCAATGGGCTTGGCTCAGTTTATCCAGATACTTTACGCACATACATTTCCATCTCCGGGTATTTGATCTTCTCTTTCTAATTCCGGGAAGACCTTCTCCTCTTTTTCTTCTCCATGCTTGCTTGTTTTTATCCTTCCTAACTTACAGGGCACTGTGGAGGGGTCTCTCCAGCCCCCTACTTAAAGTATGTTGTTCCCCAATTTGATTGTTCTCTATTTCAACTTCCTGTTCGTTTCCTTCCAAGCTCTTGGACACAGACAGTGTAATTTTTATCTACTGGCTTGCTCATCTTCCCAGGGACTGTACTGGTCTCATTCACCTTGTATATCAGCAACCAGCGTATACCAGAGCAGTGCTTGGCACACAGTAGGGTCTCACTGAGTATTTGCTGAGTGAATGAGTAAGTGAATACTTGGATGCTTGGATCTGGGATGACTCAGTATCGTGTTTTCTACAGTAGGATGCTCTCGGGGAGCCTTGCCTTGCTGCACTCCCATACAAAGCATGGGCTGGCTGCTCACAGTTGCTGTGGCCGGAGGCTGGACTTGATGTTCTCTGAGCCAGAGATGGTTCAAACCACCCAGAAGAGCCTGCTCCATCCTTAGATCTCAGAAAGAGAGTGATGGAGACTGTGGAGGATTGTTCATCTTAGACCTGTTGGCCAGCAGGTGGCTGCCAGACCAGGTTATCCTAGGGTCCTCTGCCAATCTGCAGGGGGAGGGGGAAATGCAAAGGTGAGCTGGGCAGTTGGAAGAAAGACTTGGCTGTCATTGCTCAGTGATGTAAAGATGCCTGACCCAAAGGGAGTCCAAGTGCAGAATGCCTGTGCAGCCTGGGTTCCCATCTTAACCTTGATGATCACTTGAAGGCCAGGTAGCTGTGAGCGTACCAAGGCTGATGTGGTGTTCTATTTGACTTTCTAGTGCCCAGGGAAGGTGCTGTGGGTGGAAGACCAGGAAGGAGAGCCCTAGCACCATGCTCTTCCCTGATCTGATTTCTTGCTTAGGGCTTCCGGCACTCCCATCAACCTCCATCCTGGTGGGAGAGGCAGCCACCATATTTCTTGCTTAAGACTTTTGATTCAAAGTCTAGTTCTTTTGCTTATGTAAGTTATTCAAGAAAGAAAGCCTTGTCAAAGTCTCTGCCAGCAATAACTCATTTGTAGAAAACATTTGCATAGTGTTACTTGCTTTGTGCTCATGTGGCTAGAGATGGAAAGAGAACTCACATTTAAATTAATATTTCTGACCAATAAATAGCCCAAACAGCAAGAAGAATCCTCCTTCTTAATTTCTAGTCCAGTTTGTCCCCTGAGTTTTGAAAGCTGAGAGATTCATTAGTTTTCTAGCCTCCTATTCTTAAAACTGGTAGCCAAGGACTCTTTATAAGAAATTATTGCACCATAAATTTTTAACCATTTTTAAACTGGAATATTTTGGTTGCTTCCTTTTTTAACTCAGCAAATTATGCTGTAATAAATATTATTGTATGTCTTTATGTACGTATTTGTTCTCCTAACAAACTCTGGGTTCCCAAGAATCACATATAATGGGGAACATTAAAATATTTTATAATGAAACATAGCATACACATGGGTATATATAACATGTATACAGATTAAACAATAATTATGAAATTAACACCTGTGAACTCACCACCCAGCTCAAGAATGTATGTTACCAATTCATATAAAACTCTCCCTCCCTCTCACCTCCTGTGCCCCTCTTCTTCCTTCAGAGACAATCACTACCCTGAATGTTGTGACTGGTATCCCTTCACTTTTCTTACAATTTAACCACTAATGTATACATTCCCTAAAATATACATATATGCATTTCTTAGGCTAGTCAATTGAAGCAGTGGGAATATGCATTATTTTGCATGTTTTGACCTGTATATAAATGAAGCCATACCCTCTGTATTACTCTGTGACAAGCTTTTATTTACTCAATTTTATGTTTCTAAGATTTGCATATATGGATACATGTCATTACTTTTCATTGCTGTATAGTACTCCTTTGAAGAACTATACCACAACTTATCAATTATACTGCCCTTAGGATTTCAGCTGTTTCTCATTTTGGCTCCAGAAGCAATGCTGCATGTGAACATTTTGCCCATGTCTCCTGGTCCACACATGCAAATGTTTCTCTAGGAGAGGAATTTGGGTTATGTTCATTCTATGCATGTTCAAATGTAACAGATAATTTAAATCCGTATTCTGTAATGGAAGCTTGGGCATTTATAAAGCAGTAAGGGACAGTTTCATGACAAGAAGTTGAGGGGAACAACACAGTTGACACACAGACACACAATATCCCTAGGTCCTCCTCTGCAACCTTTGCTGCCATCCTACCTTTAAAGGAAGAGTTACTTTTGGCCCAGGTGGGAGCTGTGGAAGGTCC
Organism: Homo sapiens; assembly: GCF_000001405.40. Lineage (NCBI taxonomy): Eukaryota > Metazoa > Chordata > Mammalia > Primates > Hominidae > Homo > Homo sapiens. The sequence continues at coordinate 117,969,421 of NC_000010.11, read as the reverse complement.
TGCATTTCCTGAGTTGTGCAGTATGACATCTTCATCCTTGGTGACAAACAGGCACATTCCCTGAGTTGCGGGATGTGATATCTCTTTACTTAGTGACAAACAGGCACAATACTTTGACCAATTTCTGGGAGCAGAAGGAAGGGAACACACATTTACTGAGGGCCTCAACTGTATTAGGCAAATTGTCAGGCACTTTACATGTAGTATTTTATCTCATGTAATCATCACAGCTACCCTTTGACATTAGAGAATATTGACCCCAGTTTGCCCACTGGGCAAATTGAGGCTCATAGAGATTGAGTTGTTTGTTCAAGGTCACTGTCAGTAGGTGGTGAAGGTGAGATTCCAATCTGGCCTTATCATTTCTTCTCATAGGTAATAATGCCTGGGACCTGGTTGTTGCTTCATAAGTATTTGTGAACAAATGGAGGAAGAAACACATGGAAACGGGTGACTGTGCTTAAAACCAAAACCAAACCAAAACAAAACCAAAAACAACTCTGGCAGGCTCAGGGGTCCAGCTATAACTAGCTGAAGGCTGCAATTATCCTTTGGACCCCAAAACTGAAGAACAGGTTGGAAATTGCCAAGAGTGTCCAGAGCTCTGCACAGTCACCCGTCTGGGTGAATCAGCATGTTTTCCGGCCTTCTGAATGACCCAAAGTGAAGCAACAGCTGGCGGGGCAGGTGTCGCTCTCTGTTGGTGAGGACACAGCGCGGGCCATTCTGTGTGTGCTCTGGTGTCAGGCTGGCCCCTGCTTATCATAGCAGGATTTCAGACACTTAAAAAATCCACCCAAACCATGGGGAGGAGGTGGGATTATCTCCAGGTTGGGGTGGGGAGGGCTTGGTTCCTGTGGAAGTCATAAATCACTGAGCCGGGTGGCCAAGGGCAGCTGAGGAACTCTCAGCTCTCTGACAGCCCAAGGCGTGTCCCCAGGGTCCAGCCACAGCCCCTGTCAGAGGTAATCCTGGTGCTCGCCTAGGTCATTGGAAGCCTGAGGGTCAGGCCCAGGTCCTGGGTCCCAGGTGTCCTCTCCCTTTTGGTACCTACCAACCTATCCCTAAGGATCCCTTGTCATTCCCCAGAGCTCAATACGCAGCCCCTGGAGCCAATTAGGAAAAAACGTAGAAGCAAACAGATGAGGACCATTATGATAAATTATACTGATGGGGGGGTAGAAAGGAACAGTATATCCTTTAGAAGAATTAAGTTCATTTTAAAATGTGGATTTATGTGCAGGGGCTTCATAATCAGCCTATATTACTACCTGAAAGAATGAGGTCATCGAATAATAATAAAGATGCATATATGTGTGTGTATATGTATATACATATACACACACATATATAAGGATATATCATTTAAAAGTTTCCAGGTCTTTATTCTTGACAGAGGTCAGTTCTTTTAACCTTGACCCCCTCGGGTTATGATGTGCTGTTGTTGTCACCTTCATATGTTAATGAGTATTAATATATTTTTGTGTAATATTTTATATAAGTACATAAATGTATAGTTATATAATTATCTATATATTTATAAATGTATGATATAATTACATATAAATTATGTATTATTTATACTTACATAGTTTATAAGTATATAAATATAATATTTAACATTTTATATATTTATACTTAAATAGTTCATATATAAGTATATAAACATAATGTTAAAATTTTATATATTCATTTAAACATATTTAATATACAAATATATACTCAAATATATAATATAAATTAATGCACTTTGGCATGGAAATTGGGGCGGGGCGATCAATACAAACGTAGCTCACATCCAAACAAAGCTGAGTGATTAAAAATAAGGGGTGTGGGCTCCCCGCCGCTGTGCAATAATACCAACGCTCCAAGGCAGTCCAGGTATTGCCTCTGGGCTCTCCTCTCTGTGCATATCAGCCTTAAACAACTCTTGTAAAGCTGCAGGCTTGTTAATCTAGAAGGCTGTACAGATGGACTAACTGTAGCTTTAGTCATTATACTTAATTGGGCGAGTGGCCCTCTGAGCTGTCTATAAACTGTGTGTTCACAGTGAGGTAATTAATAACGCCACTTCCTTTTGAGAGACATATCATTAGCCATTATTTCTAGAAACATGACATTGATCTCTTTATTCAGAGAGGTAATTGCAGGTTTCTGAAAAGAGTGTATGGTTTACCCAACAATTCCCCACAAGTGACATCATCTCTGAAAAGTAAAACCCACAAAATCTGTCATTTTGAATCCATAGTTGGGATTTTGTTCCCTAGGGTGGTAAAAGAAGATTCTGGAAAAAAATATAATGAACTATTTTGGTATGAAAATAAGAGTGAAGGATCAGCTTTGTTTTTTTTTAGATATTAGCAATTTCTTTAAGAGGCGGGTTAACGGAGATGCGTTTGTGCTTGTTAGGATTATAGCAAGAAGTGAAACAAAACAATACTAAAAATTTTCAAAAAGGTTAACGACTGCCTTTTGATAATAGTTTTCCTATTGCATCTTACAACGTGCTCACAACTGAATTCAATTTCAACATTAACATGTGAAAACCCATGCATTCCAAAATCCAATTCTTAACATTAAAAAAGAAGCAGGGAAATTCAACAACACTGGGCTTCACATTTTGCATTGATTGGATTCTTACCGTTGAGCAAGAATTAAATGAGAATTTCAAAATAATTTTTGCTAAAACTTCTAGCTAACTTAACCATCAACAATTCTACCTTCAGTGTTCACATTAAATTGAAAAAAAAAAAACTCACTGCCACATTTCAATTTTTTTGAAAAAGTCTTTATAAGGTAATGGTAGGATTAAAGAGAAACAAGACCTTTATTCATCTGGATTATTTTCTTGCCAGTTTCAAATCCTTGCCTGGATTTTAGAGCATGAGTCCATTTGAGAAAGGAGAGGCTAGCAATTTAGAACAAGGTAGCATATTTGAATCAACTGCAAGGTAACCTGCCTCCAAATTCTTTTGTAAACTTTACACTGTGAATCTTTCAAATTGCTGATGAATTTTCAAACCACGATTTTTTAAAGCATCTTTCTTCTTATAAATTTGTTTGGCACCCAGCTCTTTGCTTTTTGGGATAGAGTTTTAAATGAAAATCACAGAACCTCTGGGTTTGCTGTGAATCAGCATTTCTCAAGTACATTAGAGGTTAGAGGGGACACTAAATGTTCAGGATGCCACAAATTAATTTAGAACACGATGTATTTCCTGTTCTCCTCTTAGAAACTGCCCGTGTCCATTGGTGTATCAAAGGCCCTGACAAGTCCTGCTGTGAAGAAACCAGCTTAACTTTGTTTACCAGGTTTTATTGTTTTTTTAAAGCTATTTACCCTTTTAACTCTTCTGTATATTTGAAAATATTTCTAATAATGGGTTAAAGCAAAACAATTTGTATAATTGTTTTTTATTTTTTAATAATACTTATTAATATCCTGCAGAATTAACATTTCCCAAGCCTCATAAGAAATGTTGCCCAAAGTTAACCCATTTTACTACCATCTATTTATTGAGTTTTTCTTCTTTTTGGATAAAAAAGAGATTCATCTGCCTATGGACTTAGTGCTTAAACTTAAAACTTGGAAACTGTAAACTTTAAACTTGGAAATTATTGAACTTCACAAGTATGAATTCATTTCTCAGACATAAAATAATTTTTATTGTTAGTCAAAATTGGTGAGACAGTATTGACAAGACTGGATGTGTGCTTCAAAAAAGGATGTTTTTCATTAAACAGTTTTAATCACCATAAATTTAAGTTCACGAAAATAAACTCAAAATTTTAAGAGAAACTTGTTGAAAGAAAATGTCTGTCTTTTAAATTGTAGGTTCAAATGTATGATGGAATTTAAAATGATGTCCAAGTGCCTGAATAATTATCTTAAAGATAATACTAAAATGTCATTTAATGTCTCAGTACCAAAGGGGTATATATTGGATTGGATAATTTGGCATTTTAGGGTTTGGGGACTTGGGGAGGGTATGTATGGCTTATGGGTTTTAAAGCCCTAATCTCATGATGAATTTGGTTAATGTTATTAAAAGCAACATATTAAATATCTATCCTTTATTTAATATATTAGATTTATTACTATGGTTTTCTGTTGGATTTTGTTTTTAACCTGGCAGAAGCATATGCATTTTAATCTAAAATTAATCTAAATGCTCAAATCTATCTTCAAATGCTTTACTTAGTTAATATGCAGACATATCTTGCTAATGCAGCAAACAACTCCATTCAAGATGTACTTTTGATTCCTAATTATCTATAGGAATTAAAAATCCTTTGATTAAAAAAATTACTCCCATTAAGAATCAAAAACTGGCTGAGGTGGGCGGATCACCTGAGGTCGGGAGTTAGAGACCAGCCTGACCAACATGGAGTAACCCTGTCTCTACGAAAAATACAAAATTAGCCTGGCGTGGTGGTGCATGCCTCTAATCCCAGCTACTCAGGAGGCTGAGGCAGGAGAATTGCTTGAACCCGGGAGGCAGAGGTTGTGGTGAGCCGAGATCACGCCATTGCACTCCCACCTGGGCAACAAGAGCAAAACTCTATCTCAAAAAAAAAAAAAAAAAAAGAATCAAAAACTTCATTTTTCTTTCCCAAGTTTAGACCCTGGATGTTCTTGGTCATTGTGTATATCACCAATGAGTCTGTGCTCAGAGAGTTGGCAACACCATAGGAAAGTCTGAGCGAGCACTGAGTGAGAGGTGCTGTGAATAAACCACTGAAGGGCATGCTTCAGAAGTTTATTAGTTTTAGGGATATTAAAATATACTGACAAATCTAGTGCTTTCCTAATGTCTTAGATTACCCTATGTGTGGCAAATAAACAAGGGAAGTCCTCTAAGGGTTGTTTAAGTTAAACAAATAAATTCTGGCTATGCTAAGTTAGTGCATCAAGATGTTTTTTGTCTTTCCTTTCCTGCCTTGGTGGGTCTGATAAAATCAGAAACCTCTCTACCCTTTGGATTTTTAAGTAGGAAAGAAAGACCAGATTAAGGCACGGATGCCTCTCCCTGGGCCCACTGAACCCGAACCAAGTGGTTGTGGGTTGCAGGAACAAGAGCTCCTTTGTCGTCTTCATTAATCAAACTCACCAAGCCAGATGAATGGGAAGCATTTTTTAAAGTAAAATAATTCACTAGAATTTGGATGTGTTTCTCTTTAATTAGTTTGATGAGCCCCAAGTCTGAGGACTTGTCAAACACCTGGTATTAACCCTGCGCTACTGACCTAGGGGAAAAGGCTGGGGAGAGGCAAAAAAGATAGGCAGGTGGAATTAGCTGAATGAAGAGCCCTTTTCTGTGCAGCCTGTGCTCCAGATGAAAAGAATCATTACCACAATGATACTTCTAATTATACTGTCATTAGGGTACCTCTTCGGTTTGCTGTGGTGCGGGGAGCCCTGCTTTTAGACAACATGATCCAGGAGAGAGTGGAAGCAGGGAGGCCTGGGAGGCATTTAACCCTTTCACTAGACACAACTTCAGCCCTGAAAATGAACCTAAGAGTTTTAAATTTGCTTTGCACTGTGCCTCCCACATTGCACATAAAAGATGTCAAAACAAGCAATATATGGGCCTCCATGGGGAAACTTATCAGTAAGGAGCTCCTGGTGCACCCACCATTCGCTATAGTGGCGTTTCCAAGCTCACATGTTCAAAGTTCTGCTCAAGCTCAGCCAATGGACACGCTGTTTCCTATGGGATGTATCATTCTAACCACCTCCACACCATTGGGTAACAAATGACCAAACAACCACATCCTTGTATTCCTAATTCTAATGTGAGTTTACAAAATCAAAATTGGGTACCACAAAATTAAGGGTAAAGGACATTCTGTTCATGGAGGGTGTAGCTTATCAGTTCAAAGTATGAGTTTTGGAGTTTGATGGGCTTCCATTGGAACTTCCACTTCATAACTTGCTAGGTCTTAGGCTTTGAGTAGATTACAGGTTTTTAAGCCTAGAATTCTTCATCTGTAAAATGGGGTAAATAATAGATCTTGCCTCACAGAGCTGTTAGAAGGAAAACATGAGATGATTCACATACAATGCTAAATAGCACTTGGACAGTTAATAGCAAACACTTAGAAGATGGGTGTGAAGAGGTCGTCTCCAAAAGTTTTCTTGAGGCAAGTCCACATTTTCCTGAAATTACCAACATACCAGAAATACCTGCCTGTGCTATATAACGAGAAACTGCATTTATTTATTTCCTTTTTCTGGAGTTAGATGCTTGTCAGTTTCTGTCGATAACAGTTGCAGAGTCCCTAAAAAAGGCTGTGTGATCAACTAAATTCTTTATTTTTCTAGTGTGTGAATGATTACAATAAGTTCCTCAAAACAGTTGTGGTATAAGTATCCAATAAGACAGTTTCCTAATAAAAATGGTATATTCAGTGTTGGTGACATTTGGATAGAGAGAATGATATTGTTAGAAAGAATCTGTGAATATTTTTGAAACTTTATTCTTCAGAACAGTGGACCATGATGCCCCAAATGATGCCCCAAATGGGGTCATGGATTTTAGCATGAATAAATCCAGTCCTGTTGACATCTTTTAAAAACTTTATCTGCCACAGTCTTCAATTGGCATTGAGATTTTAAAAGATTTTATTGTATGTGTTCTTCATACATATGAATGGATTTACACATAGGATGAAAATTTGAACTATCTAGAAGAAAAGCACTATTTATATTGAAGGTATTCATATACTTTATTGCTAGTTTTTTTATGTCAGCATTGAATAATAGTCTAGAGAAACCACAATTTAAACTATTTTAAAATAAGTCAGTCTTGAATTTTGCACTTAAAGGGTGTGGATTTTTCATGAAACATAATGCAAAGCATATATTGGGAGGGTTTATTTTACTGACAAATACCACTGATGATCCACTTTTTTGGTGGGTGGTATGAGGCTAGTTCAAAACAAGCATGAAGTGAGTGAGTGGTATCGGAAGACAGAAAGACACACATAAACGTACACCTACAGAGTTTTCTGCAAAGTTTATGCAGAGCACTCAATTTATGCAAATTTCATGCAACATACACACATATGGCTACATAGAGCTATGTATGCATCCCAGACACTTATTGATCACTGAGAAATTATTAAGCCAATGTTGTCATGTATGTCTAACTCAGTAATGGGATTTTCACTAGGTGAAATTATTATTTTTATTTTTAAATCCTTGCTGTGATTATTTTAAAATCTACATATCATGTGGGTTTGGATATTATGCTGAAGTCAAATTATTATGAACTCTGAAATGGCTAAATTCATGAGCTAGTTAATTTCTACGACCATTGCAAAGATGACATTGTATTGCTATGAATTTTAATTAAAATAGCAGACTTTGTTTAATCCTTTTATTAAAAAACCGCCCTACAATGCAAGTAAAAAGTTTATGCAAGAAAGCAGTTAATTTTTGAAATGTTTAAATATCTTTTCTGTTTAAATCTCATAAACGTAGCCCTCCATCAATCCATTTTTTCCTTAGAAGGCGGTTTTCCACCTATTTTTTATAAAAACTAGAGCCTGAAATTTACTTTAAGTATAATTAGGGCCCTAAAATGTATGGTTGCTCTCTGAAAACTATATCTCCAAGCTCTTTTGCAATACAAGTTAATTAACTGGATTTAGATATTTGCAAGATGATATATTTAATGGGATTACTGCTCATATAATGTTCTCAGTGACTGATTTGCAATCTAAGCTCACGAAACCGAGTGCTGAATTTCCAGCTCTTTGAGAGTTAATGTTGTGTTAAGGAAAGGTACAGTTTGAACCTCATTGTTCATGAATAGGTGAGTTATTCCCGTGAAATGGAGCTGGGCCCTACGAGGGGTGCAGCAGGCAGATGCATGATCAGAAGCCCGCAGACCATCACATTCCAGCAACTGCCCCAGGTAGCTGGATCCCCACACCTGAACTTCTGAGAAGTTCAAGGCAATTGTGTGTTCCATCAAAATATAATGGCCCATTATTCACAGTCTGTCTCCTAAGTGGGATCAATTAGTTGCTCCTGCTCCACAGGCTTAAACACCCATATTTTGGTCGGCTGTGAGTCCAAATGAAACCATACATAACCATTCTGCCACTGTGAGCACTGAACGTTCTAAATCCATCTTTCAATGCAGGCATTCAAAATATTTGTGATTATTTTTATCAGGCTGGGTGGATAGATAAGTAATAATTTGCTTGGAGGGAAGAACTGTCAGCCTTCCAAAAAAAAAAAAAAAAAAAAAAAAAAAAAAAAAAACCCTTCCTATTCATGTCTGCCTTTGTCTCTTTTGCTCTTTTTTTGTTAAGCAAATATATTTCTGCCCGTCAATTGGGTTCACTCTGATGTTATGGCTTCAGTCATTGAACATGACACTACTAATGAATATAATTTAAATCTCTCTGAGCAGAAGACTACTGTAAAAATAGCATTTTAACTAAAATGTTGAAACTTTTATTAAATGTATAAATATTAGCTGAGTCAAATCACTATTAAGAGAAAATTTAAATTCTCTCTTAGTTTAGAAGTCTATATAATGGTATATCCAATTTCTCCTTTTCATTGGAACTTAGCGAGTAAAATAATTCTTTGTACTTGACCTAACAAGATTATTTCCAGGGATTCATAAATGCAGACTGTACTTTGTACCTAGCTTCTAGATAACCGTTGAACTCTCTCACAACAAATGGATGACTTTAAAAAGAAGCTTGTAACGTAGTCATGACTGTTTCCCCCAGTCTTTCTCTAGGTACTCATACAGATGACTGCAGACAAAAATGAAAGAGCAATTTGAATGCAGATCAAAAAGCCAGAAGCCAGAATCAACAAACCCAAGGATTGAGTCAGCTGTGAGGTCATTTGGTCTAGATTTGCTTTATGGAGGGGTAGACTGTTGCCCAAAGAGGTGGTGTAACTTGCTGGATGGGAGAACCAAAGCGTGGGTCTCATTCAGCTCCTGAAGCTCCCTGGTGGAAGGCTAGGCTCAGGGAAATGGCTGTGAGAAGGGAAGGGATATATATGAAGGAGGGAAGGTGTCTGACTTCTGCTCTTCTTTCTTCCCTAACACTCTACTGAGTCAGAAGCAGCTCACAGGCTGCTCCCCACAGCTCCCCTGTACCTGTCAGGTAAAGTGAGTTTAGACCGAAACACCTGTGGATGGGGAATTCCCTCACCATGGTTGGGGATTTAGAGGTTAGCATACACCAATAAGCCCTGCAGTGATTTTAGAGGGCTCCTGACTTGACTTGTTGGGGTTCACCCCACCCTCTCTCTTAGCTATCTTGCTTCCCTTCTCCCTACCCTTCTAATTTGCCCAGTAGCTGACGGGTTTCCTAGGTCCCTGAACCCTTCTTTTTTACCCACCATAGATGAAGCCTTCACTGCTCATCTGCACTGTTGTGTGTTTCAGCTTTGGAGGTTCATGGAAAGAACTATTTTTCTACCTTATTGAACTCTTCCTAAGTCAAGAGAATTGGATTCAACCTCCCTGCCCTTTTCACCTCATTAACCTCTATCCTTTCCTTAGATCTCAGTTCATTTTCAAGCCTTCCCTGACCTGCATCACCAGGTCAATCCCTGCATCAGAGGCTTCCATAGCATCATATAGCTCTCCCTGTAGCACTTAACAGAATTGTAATTTTATATGCACTTATGTGCTGTTTCTAATATAAGTTTTTATTTTGAAATAGTTAAGACCACACGACGTTACAACATGAGTACTGAGAATTCCCGTATACCCTACTCCCAGTTTCCTCCAATGGTAACATCGTCCATAACCATGGTACATGGTCAAAACTAGGAATTGACATTGGCACAGTGCTATTGATTCAGGTAAAAACCTTACCCGGATTTCCACATTTTTTACATGAATGTTGTGTATGTATAGTTTCATCAAATTTTAGGTTCTGGTAACTATCACCACAATCAGGATACGAAACTCTTCTTTCACAATTGAGAAGTGACTTCATGTTACCTTTTAATAATTTCATCCTTTCCCCAGCCCTAACCCCTGGCAACTACTGATCTGTTCTTCATTACTTTAATTTTGTAAATTGAGGAATGTTATATAAATGGAATCATAAAATGTTTAACCCTTTGGCAATGGCTTTCTACATGCATCGTGGTTCCCTTGAGAGCCAACCAAGTTGTTTGCATGCAGCAGTCATTTGTTCTCTCCTATTGCTGAGTTGCACCCCTTGGGATGTTTGTATCACCATTTGCTTATCTGTTTACTTGTTGAAGGGCATTTGGGTTGTTTCTCGTTTGGGGCTATAGAAGTCAGTAGGGGTTTGGGGCTTATATAAGTAAATAGAACTTCTATAAACATTTATGTACAGGTTTTTGTGGGAACACGCCATTTTCATTTCTCTTGAATACATACTGAGGAGTGCATTTGCTAGGTTATATAGTAAGTGTATGCTTATAAGAAACTGCCAAACTGTTCTCCAGTGTGGCTATACCATTTTTCATTCCCATCAGTGATAGATAAGAAATCTCGTTGCTCCACAGCCTCATCAACACTTGGTTTTATCCATGCTTTTAATTTTATTTTTAAAATTTTTATTTATTTATTATTTATTTATTTTTGAGACTATGTCTCATTCTATTGTCCAGGCTGGAGTGCAGTGGCATGATCTTGGCTCACTGCAACCTCAACCCCTCAGACTCAACAGTCCTCCCACCTCGGCCTTCCAAGTAACTGGGACTACAAGCATGCACTACCACGTCTGGCTAGTTTTTAAATTTCTTGTAGAGATAAGGTCTCATCATGTTGCCCAGGCTGGTCTCAAATGCCTGGGCTCAAGCAATCCTCCTGGCTTGGCCTCCCAAAAGTGCTTGGATTATAGGTGTGAGCCACTGCACCCAGCATGTGTTTTTATTTTAATAATTCTAATAGGTGTGTGGTGGTATCTCATTATAATTTGCATATTCTTAATGCCTAATGATGTTTAACATCTTTTCATGTTCTTTTGTGCCTATATATCCTCTTTGGTGAAGTATCTGTTCAAGTCTTGCCCATTTTCTAATTGGGTTGTTTGTTTTCTTACTGTTGAATTTAAAGTGTTCTTTATATATTTTGGATAAGCCCTTTGTCAGATATGTGATGTGCAAATATTTCATTCTAGTCTGAAGTTTGTCTTTTTTTCTTTATAAGAGAGTGGTTTTCAGAGCAAAAGTTCTTAATTTGTGTTAGTTACAATTTATCTATTTTTTTTGTGAATAATGCCTTTGATATCATGACTAAGAACATTTCACCTAATCCTAGATCACAAAGATTTTTTCCTATTTCTTTTCTAAAACTTTTATAGCTTTAGATCTATAATCCATTTTGAGTTAATTTTAGTATCAAGTACAATGTTTGGGCTGAGGTTCATTTTTTTATTTTTGTTATTTTTTGCCTATAAACATTGAATTATTCCAGCAACATTTGTTGAATTCACTTCCATTGAATTCCTTTTGAACTTTGTCAAACATCAGTTGGTCATTCTTATATGGGGCTTATGTGATATTTTTATTAGTTGTTTCCTCTCCTATTAGACTCCATGGGGGCAAGGACCATTTTCTTTTTCATTTTTTTCACCACTGAATCTTCAGCATGTAGCACATTGGCTGAAACACAGTTAACTGCTCAGATATTTGAACGATGGAATAATCAATTGAGTTAATAATAAGGTAAAAGCATTTGAAAAATACAGAGCTGTACATATACATTATTATTATTGCTGTCTGTGTTATTTGGGTGTTTTTTTCCTTTGTTTGTTGTTTTTTCTGAAACAGGATCTCACTCTGTCACCCAGGCTGAAGTGCAGTGGTGTGATCACAGCTCACTGCAGTATCAACCTCCTAGGCTCCAACGATCCTCCCACATCAGCCTCCTGAATAACTGAGACTAAAGGAATGTGCTACCGTACCCTAGAAATTTTTAACTTTTTTATAGAGATGGGGTCTCACTCTGTTGTCCATACGGTCTCAAACTCCTGACCTCAAGCAGTCCCCCTGACTAGGCCTCTCGAAGTGCTGTGATTACAGCCATGAGCCACGACACCTGGCCTAGTTGGTGTTTTAAAGAAAAGAGGCAGCAAAGGATTAGAGCAAATCGTGTGCATTTATTTATTTCTCAGTGTGTGCAGTGATAGCTCAACCTAAACTACATTTTTTCCCCAATTTTTCTTTGCAAGAAATTTTTACTTGTCTAACTTAGAGTTATATTGTGACAGCATCTGACAGGATCTGACAACTTATATATGAAGCCATTCTCAGTTCTCAATAGCTAGTTCAGTCAACAGAAACCATTTTATTGATTTTACAAGTTACTTACAACCATAGTGCAAAAACACACATTCTTGAAATTAATATATTCATGAAAACAAGATTCTAAGGAAATAGATTAAATTTTGAATAGGAAGGTAGAGCAATGAAAGAAAATAGACATTGATTATAAAACACATTACAATGACATATGTGTGCAGCCTATTCACACACGCCATATTGAGTTACTGGAAATGGCAATTTTAGTTTTATTCTGGTCTCCCAACTAAGAAAAACAGAAACCTATAAACCTTTTATTAAATACAGACTAAGAAAAGAAGAGGGATGCTTGTGAAAAGCTAAGTGGGAATCAATAAAAACAAATTCCTATTCCCTAGGATATTAGAAATTACATCACGTTCTTATTTCTATGTTAAAGGCTACTTGTTCATGTCATGAGGAGTTAAAATATATTAACAAGAGGAAGGACAACCAGTAGAAATAACTGATGGTATTCTGACCCTTTGTGAAGGAGTTTATGGTATAATAGATATTGAGTCTGATATTAGTTTCCAAAGAGTGATATAGCTTTTTTAAATATAATAACTTTAGATGCATTGGGGGAATGTTTGAGGGTAAGTGGGATGTACTGAGGTTTAGTACAGCGCTTGGGCTGTAGAAGCTCCCAATTCATTTTGGTGAATGAATGAACATTGACTTTATTCAGTTAAGTATTACAGCCTGGTATTGTGGTCAGATCCTGGGTATGGACTCATGAGGGAGGGAGAAAGAACTGGCATGTATTAGAGTTCCTACTGTGTGCCATGTAACATGCTAGGTGATTTCTGTGCATCCTCTCACTTATTTCATATAACAACTCTTAAGCTAGGTGGCATCTGAAATTTATAAGTCAAGGAGCCAAGGTTTAGAGAGGTTGAATAACTTTGGATTTGAATCTAGGTCTATCTGATATCAAAGCCCACGTTCTTTCTGTTATATCACACAGATGATGATCTGGGCACAGTCACTGGTTAGCTCTATGACCGTTTTCTCTTTATTCTCCACCTACCTTCATTTTAAAAATAAAGTTCTACTTTAGATGGCTAGAGTGAAGACTTGGGATGGTGCCTTTTGAAAAAAAAAAAAAAATCCCGGGTGATTGTGATTCAATTTGAGCATCTACCATTAAACTAGGTTAGGGTTCTTTTCTATGTTAATATCTATGAGTGTAGCATCTGGGATCAAAGACGGCACTAACAGTTCCTTTAGTTCAATGCCAACAAATAGAGAGTGCCTACCAAATGCAAAGTATTGTTGGGCTGCAAAGATGACATCGACTTTGCCTTTTGCACAATTTTGTATAATTTAGTAAGGGTGGCATCTTTAATGGATAAATGGCTATCGTAAGGGAAGGATCAAGGAAGAATTATATCAGCAAAGTAGGGAAGGAGGAGAATTAGAAATTCTCCAGGGACCAGTGGGATTTGAAGAATGAGGGGGAGGATTTCAGCAGGCAGAAGCTAGGAGTGGAGAGGAGACTTCTGGTGGAAAGGACAAGGTAAGCAGAAACCTGCAGATAGAAAGTACAAGGTGTGTTTGAAGCAAGACAAAGGGTTCCATTTCAGGGTGGAAGAGGTGGGAGATGATAGAAAGGTGACTTGGGACCATATTACAAAGGCTGTGAAATCCAGGAATCCTAAGAATAGATGGAATCTGTTGAATGTTTTTGACCAGAACATGTATTTGATCTGACTCATGACTTGGGAACATGTAGCTGGCCTGGTATGTGAAATGGTTTTTGGATCGGGGCAGAGAAAGGATGCTGGCAACTACTGTAGCCCAGACTAAGCAACCCTGTTGTTACTTCTGTGATGGGAACTAACTCAATACAACTTCATGGGATAGAGGAAGAAATATAAATAGGGCCTGGGAATTGAATATTCCTAATAATTATTTGTTGAATAAATAAAAGCTGTATTTTTCAAAACAGACTTATATTTGTGTGAAATATCCATTATCCAAGCAAGATGTTGAGCAACAAAAAAGGTGTGCACGCATTAAATGACAATATGGCTTACGTAGCAAAAAACCCAAACCAAAAACAAGAAACAACTGTATGGCTTGCAATGAATACAAAAAGTGATTGGCTCACCACCTAAAACCATTATTGTACAGCATATCCCAACTATATAAAACTTCAAAGCATATGGGTGAGTTAATTCTACTGCCCCTTACTGTCAAAACCAGGACAACAGGGCTTCTTTAAGAATTAAAGCAGTCTATACTTGGAATGAGTCTATATTCTGTGTAGAGGAAAGGTGTGCTACCTGCATGGTGTACAGAGCACAACCTCTTCTGGTGCCCTTGGCAAAGGGGGTGGTTGTCCATGGGAACTTCTACATGATTTGCAATGAATTCAGCCTAAGCCAAGGCCATGGAATACAGAATCTTTCTCATGACATAAAATCTAGGAAAGGACTGAAATCTAAAGACAAAATTCTGAATTTACTTTCTCAAGAGAAAAAGAGAAAAGAAAGAATAGAAGGAAGGAAGGAAAGGAGGAAGGGTGGAATAAAGAGAAAAAGGAAGGCAGGAAAGAAGGAAGGGAGAAAGAGAGGAGAAAGAAAGAAAGAATCAGAAAGGAAAGAACAGAGGAGAAGAGAGGAGAGGAGAAGAGGAGAGGAGAGGAGAAGAGGAGAGGAGAGGAGAAGAGGAGAGGAGAGAAGAAGAGGAGAGGACAGGAGGGGAGGGGAGGGGAGAGAGGAGAGGAGGAGAGGGGAGAGGAGAGGAGGAGAGGGGAGGGGAGGGGAGGGGAGGAGAGGAGACGAGACGAGACGAGAAGAGAAGAGAAGAGAAGAGAAGAGAAGAGAAGAGAAGAGAAGAGAAGAGAAGAGAAGAGAAGAGGAAGTCCTAGCCCTTTGCTCATGTGTTTCCATAAGCTACATCTGTACTCTACCAGGTTCAAAAGCTTAGAGATGGCTTTAGTAAAAAGTACATAATAAATAACCTTAGTACTTGAGAAGCCAATCTAACAGTGCCTACCATGTGATGAGAGGTACACATCAGAGGCTAGGCACCTGCACACTCTAACTTTGCTTGCTTTGTAACTTTAAGCAAACTCCATATCTTAATCTCAAGAAATATAAAATAAATGGTTCCCCTACGATTTTTTTCCTCCACAGTCTTATACCACTGACCCTTTCTAGCTGTTAGAAAGATGCTGACTCTCAACATCATCAGAGATGAGGATTCTCAATCTTCTTTTTAAGGAAGGAGGAGAGAGGAAGCCACTGTGAGGCCTTTAGAAAATCAGCATATGAGAAACAAAATAACCCATTAAAATTCAACACAATACCCTGAATTCCTGTTAGTCATTTTTGAGTAGAAAAACAGGCATTGGTTACACAAAGATAAGGCCAAGATGCTTAACAGCAAGTAATTGAGATGCTCCATAGCAAGTGGAAGGAGGAAATGGCGGGGAAAGCAGTGGGGGCAGGTGTCTAAAGATGACTTTCGATTCTGCCAGAGGGAAACTTGTAATGTCCCTCCAGCAGGCATTCTGGGTTGTCCCTCTGTCGCCACCACTTTAAACAAACTCTTTAGTGTCCTTGTGAATTGGCATCATGAGATGTTAGGAAAGAATAGTGCTTCAGTGTATTCATGAGCAAGTGGTCAGGTCACCTCTGCAAGCAAATACTTCAAAAAATAATACAACCGTGGCTGTGCCTCTGCCCTGAAGCAAGCACGCGTTAACTCCTTCAGAGCAGGGGCTGAAAAGCTTACATTGAGGATACATTAATCTGGAAACAAGTGTACTTTTGTGTCTGGGAAGAATTCTTTTCATTGCCATCAATTTAGTACATCGATAGACTGAGATTCTAGCTTCACTATCAGGTTGCCCTCCAAGCTGAGACCCCTCCATAGGCCACACTACTTAATTTAGACTAATCTGAAGCTGAGTGGGGCTGTGTATCTGCTCCGGTTTCTCCCTGCCATCAGGAGCACTCTTATTGCCCTTCCCCTCATGACCCACTCTGAGTTTCTTGGCAGGAAGAAGTGACCTCCAGGTAACATGAACAGATATTCAGCTCTGTTGATAGTGTGTTAACTGAGGTTGAAAGAAACACACATGCATACCCACACACACGTGTGCATGCATTCATAACAACTAAAAGCATGTAGCCTCTTTTGCACATCCTGATATGGTATTACAGATTTTGGCATTCTGGAAGTGACAGGCACTGGCCAGCCCATACCCTTTTCCATGCTGCTGTGAGTTTTCTGAAGATGCTACAATATGTTGAGCCAAATTCTGCTGAAACTGGGGGGAAGATGATTTTTTGAATGTGTACTCTTTGGGTGCTCAGAACCTTGAATGGATATCCAGGACTGAATCTGGTTTTTAAATTTTTTGTTTTGATTTTGTTTTGATTTAATGCCTTTGTCTTTTTGGTAGCTAAAGGAGTTGGGAATTAGAAGTTATCTACAATAATCCTGGCGTGGTGGCTCACGCCTGAAATCCCACCACTTTGGGAAGCCTAGGTAAGAGGATCACTTGAGGTCAAGAGTTCGAAATCAGCCTGGGCAATATAGTAAGACCGTGTCTCTAAAAGAATTTTAGCTGGGCATGGTGACACACACCTGTAGTCCCAGCTACCTGTGAGGCTGAAGCAGGAGGATTGCTTAAATCCTGGAGTTGGAGGCTGCATTGAGCTGTGATTGCACCACTGCACTCCAGCTTGGGTGAAAGAATGAGACCTTGTTTTTGTTTTCGTTTGTTTTTTTGTTTTTGTTGTTTGTTTTTTTTAGAACTATTTACAATAGAAATTTCTGGCTGGATGCAGTGGCTCATGCCTGTAATCCCAGCACTTTGGGAGGCCGAGGCAGGCAGATTGCCTGAGCTCAGGAGTTCGCGACCAGCCTGGGCAACGTGGTGAAACCACCTTCTCTACTAAAATACAAAAAATTAGCCAGGCGTGCAGCGTGTGCCTGTAGTCCCAGCCACTTGGGAGGCTGAGGCAGGAGAATTGTTTGAACCCAGGAGGCAGAGGTTGCAGTGAGCCGAGATCGTGCCACTGCACTCTAGCCTGGGTGACAGAGCGAGACTCCGTTTCAAAAAAAAGAAATTTCTACTACTTATATTTGTAATATTGTGACAATCACATGCTTCTACTGTTTTAATATTAATAACAATACTAAAATAATATATTATTGGATTGAGTATTTACCATGACTACAGGGCTAGTCACTTTACCTATATTAGCCCTAATCCACTTGGTAGTCCAAGTTTTCAGAGGTGAAGAAAGGCAGGGCAGGAAGTTTGCTGGCCTGTTCAGGGTGAGCTCCTCCGGCCATGCACACAGCTTCAAAGCTATGTCCTGCCCGCTGCACAGCATTACCCAAAGGGGACTGTGAAAGCGTCCACAGTTTCATCATCCAGGTGCCTTTCAAGCTCATGATTCAAAAAGTGGGAGTTAAAGTTATTTGTTCCCATTCTCTTGGGTTTTAGTTCTGTTTTTAAAAAAGCATAACGAATTTGAAGTGAATTATGTAGTTAGTTTCAAGTCTTTGTTTCAAACAACTATTGGCTTCTGAAATTATTCATATTTCCAAATCCAAGTTCTGGAAAACTCAGAGAAGTCAATCAAAGATGAGATTATCAGTTTAGGATGTGCTGTGGTTCAAACTGTCCCCCTTTACTTTTGGAAGACATCAATGGCGTAAATGGGCACCTCTGAAAGGGCCCCTGGTCTTACCTAATTCAACCCCTCTGTTTCCCCCATATAGAAAGCTGAGGGTCAAGGTTACTGACTGAGTTAGAGACAAAGCCAGAACTTGGACCGGCCATCCTGCCTCCCTCTCCTCCATTGTCAGGATTGTTTGGGGACCACTCCAAACAAGGTCCTTGCCTCCCTCTGTACATCCCAACTGCACCATCCTTCCCTTGCTTCAGTCTGTGATGTCCTCTGCCTGGCCCTTGCTCATCTCTGCCATGCAATTGAGGTACTGTTGGGAGCTTTCCTCGTTGGCAAGGACCCCTGTGGACCCCACCAACCACACACAGTAAGCCTGTCCCTCTACATCAGCCCACCTTCTCAGAACTGGAAATTGAGTGTTTGAAGCACTTTGCAAGTCTTGTTTAGTTAAGCCCCATAATAGCTGGGAATGGAGGTCACTATTAATTCCCCCATTTCATTCCTCAAGTGAGGAAACCAAGAAGCTGAAAGATTCAATGGTTTCCTCAAATCACTGGGTGCTGGGAGCCCTGGGTTCAGAAGCTCTCAGGTGAGCATTTTCCTCTCCCAGCCCTGAGGAAATGAAGGCTGGGGAGGAGCTTGGGAGCCAGCCTTCCACTGCTACCTTCAGTACCTCCCCACCCTGACTTTCTTTGTACCTCTGGATCCCCCAAGATGAGCTGCCATCTGCTCTCCTGGCTCACAGGGAAGTGGACTGAGGAGTAAATTCCTCCCTATCACGGCTCAAAGGACTTCCTGGGCTTTGGTTCATTTATTCAATAAATATTTGCAGAGTGTCTTCCAAGTACCAGGCATTGTGGTAAATGTTGAGGATGTAATGGGAGACATGCCCATCACCCTCGTGTGTTTTATGAAGCTCCTCTCAGAGTGCTGGCCATTTATTCTTTCATTAATCCAGTCCTTTAGTTACTCCCCAGTCACTCCCTGGGCACCTAATCTTTGATTTTCAAAGACAGCTGAAGGAAGGAGAAGGAAGTACGTTTATATTTTCACATGCGCACTTTCCTCCAGTGCTGGGATGTATTTTAGGTGTCGGGGAAGGATCCCCTTTGTCCCCCACAACCCAACCCCTGCAGAGTTATTTTCCTTGCCTTTTCTAATCTAGGTGATAAGTAATTTGGAGATGATTTAAAATATAGGTGACAATATGCATTAGTTCTATGCCAGTGTCTCAACTGTCTCTCAGCAGCAAGTTCACACCCATTCCTGCTACCTGCCCAGGATAATTTCCTGCTGTTTTAGTCTGTTCAGGCTTCTATAACAAAGTGCCACACACTGGATGGCTTACAAATGACAGAAACTTATTTTGCACAGCGCTAGAGGCAGGGAGTCTGAGATTGGGGTGCCTGCATGGTCAGGTTCTGGTGAAAGCCCTCATCCTGGCTGCAGAGTGCAACATGGCCGAAAGAGGGTAAGAGAGCTCTCTGGGGTCCCTTTTATAAGAGAATTAATCCCATTCATGGGGTTCTACCCTCATGACCTAATCACCTCTCAAAGCCTGCATCTCCTAATACTATCACAGTGGTGGTTTTGGTTTCAACATATAAATTTTGGGTGGGGGACAAAAGTAGTCCATAGCACCTGCCATTTAATTTAATCCGGCCAACGTTGTATGCCTTCTGTATACAAGCCAGTTCTGTACATGGCATTCTTCTGCTCAGCTTGGTTGTTCACAGCAAGATGGAACTGCACTCTGAGCCCTGACCACTTGTCCAACTGCCCATTGTCAATCCACCAGATGCATGGACTGAGGCCCTAGAATACACTGTCCCAGGCACAGAAGGAACAGCAGTGAACAAGGCAGACACAGTCTAACTAGCCATGCATAGTTAAAAGTCCAGGCCTCCAGGATCTTTGATTTTACCCAACACAGTCACTAGGAAGTGGGAAGCACTTAACAAAACTACCAAAGGTACAGTCAGCTCTCATATCCATGGGTTCCACATCCATGATTCAACCAACTGCATATCAAAAATTTTTGAAAAAAATTGCATCTGGACTCAACATGTACAGACTATTTTTCTTGTCATTATTCTCTCAACAATGCAGTTTAGCAGCTGTTTACGTAGTATTTACATTTTATTATGTATTCTAAGTAATCTAGAGATGATTTAAAGTATAGGAGAGGAGCACGTGGATTCTATGCCAATACAATGCCATTTTATATAAGGGACTTGAACATCCTTAGATTTTGGTATCTGCAGAGGTTCTGGAGCCAATCACCCATGGATACTGAGGAACAACTGTACTTTCTCTTAAAAAAAATTGAAAACTTCTCACTATAAAAGTAATATGGTTCAATGAATTTTTGAAAAAGAGATATAGAAAGAGAAAACACAATCTGCTCTCGTAATACCTCTCTTCTTTCTAGTTTATTTTCTCTGTATTTTTATGTAGCTGTGATCATAATACCCACAACTTTTATTTTTAACCCTGGTTTTTAGAGAACATTGTAGCATATCACTTTTTTTTTCTTGCAGTTACAAAGTCTTGTTGAATATTTTCAATGACGATACAATATTCCAGGACTTCTCTCAAGGCTCTTACAGCCTATCTCCATTTCCTGTAGCTGCTGTAACAAATCACCACAGACTTGGTGGCTTGAAACAACAGAAATTTACTCTCTCAGAATTCTGGAAGTCAGAAGCCCAGAGTCACTATCACTGGGCTGAAATCAAGGTGTCAGCAGCGCTGTGCTTCCCCACAGAGCCTCTAGGGAAAAATCAGTTCCTTACCTCTCCCAGCTTCTGCTGGCTGGCAGCAATCCTTGGCTCCTGGTTGTATCATGCCAGTCCTCAAGGCAGCATCTTCAAATCTCTCCCTGTTCCATCTTCACATCACTTTCCTCTTTTTTGTGTGTCGAATCTTTCTCTACTTCTCTTATAAGGGCACTATGATTACAATTAGGGCCCACTTCGATAATCCAGGATACTTTCCCCATCTCAAGACTCTTAACTTGATCATATTTGCAGAGACTACTTTTTCTAATAAGGTAACATTTCCAGGTCCTGGAAATTAGGACATGATATCTTTGGGGACCATTATTCAGCCTACTGTGCAGGCATATGAGGAGACAAAACCAACAGAAGAAAAAGTAAACTACATGGTGTGAAGGTAATTAACCAAGGGAAATGAAACTCAAAGAAGGTGGAGATTGGGTGAGCTAAACTCCAGAGGTCAGTAGGGTCTTTATGGCACAGATTACAGGGGCAGAGGATTCAAGCTGAACCCTGATGAATGAGAAATAGTAATACCAACCCCCATTCTCTTAGCCTCTTAGAAGGCTGCAGTGTGCTTTCATAATTATTCCTTCATTTTGTAGGTATTCCAGGTTGTTTATGGACTCAGACCTTGGTGGTAAGAGTATCAGGCTTCCCATCATAGCAATGCCACATCTTACTGGATGACCGTGGTAGGCAGAATTCTAAGATGCCCCAAGATTCCTGCCCCTTGATGTCCGTGCCCTGCATAATTCCCTCCACTTGCATGTGGGCAGGACTTGTGAATGTGATGGGATTTCACCAGGCTGAAGAGGCTACATGTAGACCTTTCATTGACAATTCTAGCTGAGTCCACCCTTGCAGCCATTTCCTCCACGGCACCAGGTATGTGAGTTGAAGTTGTTTTGGACACACAGACCAGACCAGTCTCCCACTTAATATACCAGCTAACCTTAGTCAATCCCAGGTAAGTGGAAGAATTTCCTAGCTGAGCCTTACCCCAAATCTTGATCCACAAAATAATGACACTTAATAAAATGACTTGTTTTAAGCCACTAGGTTTTGGAGTAATTTGTCATATAGGAATAGATGACTGGTAAAGTAGTGGTTCTGGAACTTGGGTGGGAGTTTTCTAGTTCCTTTAGGATTCCTTCTACTAGAACATGTTGGCTGGGAGTTGGAAAAGCAAAGGGCAAGCAGGAGAGTGTTCTAAGTAAATGGAGACTAAATAATTCAAGGCCTTGGGGTCAGAATGGAAATAGTGGGGTCGTGGAATAGGAGGAGCAGAGATGACTAGAGAAAGGGAGGAAGAGGCTGGCAAGGTTGGCTGGGCAGTTGGAGGCCAGGGAATGCAGGGACTTAAAGGGGACAGGGAAGTGTGACTTGGTGAAGTGATCAACAGAGTCACTGCAGAATCTTGAACAGGAGGAGAGATGAGCTTGTCTCCGGAAAATGAACCGAGCAGTAGGGACAGCAGTGAGAGGAACTGCAAGGATGCCTCAGTAATCTGGGAATGAGGGAAGAGGAGCCTGGCTTTGGGTGTGGCCATGAGAACAGAACGGAGGAGAAAGTGATGAAGAAAGGATGATATGGAGCAATAGAGTAGGAAGAGACGTGGAAATAACAAGGATTTTAGGCCCTGGGACTGAAAGAATGGAAAGGTATAGAAAAGACATGATCTGGAACTAACGCCTACTTAAATCAAAATATAAAAATAGCAGGAGATGCAAGGAGTGCTTCAGACTTCAGAGAAAACACACAAAAGTGAACCAGAAACCACAATTGCGGTTTCTTAACCATTGCTGATCAAGGGGAAAAAGGCTTTGGCTAATGCCTTTAATTAGAATGAGCAGTAGGAAGCAGCCACTGCTGAAGGTCCTGACACAATATTAAAAGAACTTCCCAAGCAGTTCGACCTGCAGGTTGACCTGACTGTTGGGTTTGCTGCGACTCATGAAATAATGAGCACACAATAAATTCCAGTTTGTCCCACGCGTCTTTCCAATGGGCATATTATTCAATGACTAATACAAAATACGGTTCTACCTCCTGTTTGTGGTAAAGCTACTCATGGGTTTTCCTGTGAATTCACCACCATATAAATTGTGATAATTTTAGGCTGGTTTTAATGTTAATTATGACTTTCAAGAGAACAACTAAAAGTTTGCAGTATGAAACGTGGCCCCTGCACCAGCAGGAACTGCAGTTAAGTTGGCTTTCCTTTGAAGTCAGCACAAATGATAACTGTAAAACAGTCAGTTTCTCTGGCAGGTCTAATTTGGGATGTATATTAAATAGAAGGTGCCTTTAAAAAATAACAACTTCCATTCTATATAAAGGCTTAATAGCTTTCTCTAGTCATTAGATGCAATTTAAAACCCAGTAATACAATGCAATTTAAAACCCAGTAATAACTTTAATGATGTTTATATTAGAAATTATTTTTTTTACTCTGTATGCACATGAGCTCATAAACCAAGAAGTACTGTGTTTCAAATTCTTTCCTCAGTTTCATGGTTTTGTTGGAAAGAGAGGGTAAAGATTAGCAATCCTACTTCAGTACACTTTCATTGGGAGCCAGCTCGTGCCCAGGGGTGGGATGGGAAGATGAAGTTGGGAAGCTGCCCTTCAGCGGTTCAAAGGAGGGGTCCTGCAGGTGGGCCGCAGTGGCAGGTGGTGAAAGACACAAGGCCAGGGGAAGCCCTGACAAGGGAGGGCATTCACTTTCCCAGTGTGAAGACGGCATTTGTGTCATTTTCTAATTACTGAGGCAGTTTTTCTTTGTGGTTAAGTCCACACTGGACTCTGAACCCAGACTATTACCTGCTGGGTGTGGCGGCTCACACCTTTAATCCCAAGAATTTGGGAAGCCAAGGAGGGTGGATCACTTGAGCCCAGGAGTTCAAGACCAGCCTGGGCAACATCATGAACCTCCTCTCTGAAAAAAAAAAAAAAAAAAAAAAGCAAAAATTAGCTGGGCGTGGCAGTGCATGCCTGTTGTTCCAGCTACTTGGGAGTCTGAGATGGGAGGATTGCTTGAGCCTGGAAGGTGGAGGTTAGAGTGAGCCAAGACTGCACCACTGCACTGTAGCCTGGGTAAGAGAGTGAGACACAGTCAAAAAAAGAAAGGAAGAGAGAAAGAGAGATGAAAGAAAGAAAGAGAGAAAGAAAGAAAGAAAGAAAGAAAGAAAGAAAGAAAGAAAGAAAGAAAGAAGGAAGGAAGGAAGGAAGGAAAGAGAAAGAAAGAAAGAAAGAAAGAAAAAGAAAGAAAGAAAGAGAAAGAAAGAAAGAAAGAAAGAAAGGGAGGGAGGGAGGGAGGGAAGAAGTTAAAAAAAAAGACTGGCATTACCACACACAAACTGTATGACTTGGGCAAGTTATGGCCCATTCTGTGTCCCAGTTCCTCATTTTAAAACTGGGCATAATAATAGTGCTGATTTTGGGTACAAAGGTATAGTCAGTTAGAAGAAATAAGACCTAGTGTTTGACAGATCAGTAGAGTGACCACAGTTAACAATAATCTATTGTACATTACAAAACAGCTAGAAGAGAATAATTCATATGTTCCTAGTATAAAGAAACGACAAATTTTTAAGATGATGGCTATCCCTATTATCCTAATTTGATCTTTACACATTATTTGAATGTATCAAAATATCACAGAACCCCCAAAATATGTACATATATTATACATCAGTAAAAAATATAATCCCACCAAAATACTACTGATGTCATAAAATATTACTTGCAAGGCCCAAATGAGTCACTATACAGAAAGTGCCTAGACCACAGAAGTAGTGCCTCCTATGCTTCAGCCATGATTGCTCCTCTGATCAGACCATGCACACTCATTGAAATCAAGGCAAATGGTTCAGTAAAGGATGAGGGTAGAAAGTGAAAATTGCCTTCACTCCCTCTCGCCTGAGATAACACTATTCCTACTTGATGCCAATCTTTCATTCATGTCTTAGTGAAGATAAACATGCCCAGAAATATAATTTTATGTTAATGGATATTATATGCTTTTCTTTTTTTAATCAGTCATTAAAAAAATCTTTTATTTTTGGGTTATTTCTCTCTCTGTCCCCAACCCTCATCCACCCCTGCACCCAGGTCATCAGTGCTAAGAATCCAGTGTGCATCCTTCCACATCTTTCTGGATGTTTCTGTGGTTTATGCAAACCTGTGAGGCACGGCTTGCAAAGCTCACTCTTTTGGTAAAATACGGTCACAGTTTTCACATTTCTCTGTGTGTGAGTGTATAGGTTTTCTTTTCCCTTATTAATAACATGCACCAGCAAGCAATCCCTCCAAATCAGCTTGTAATAGTTCTAACTCACTCTTTTTAGTGATTGTGTAGTATTTTGTGCTTCTACCATGAGTTCATCCATTCTGCCATTGATCAACACTCACTCACCTTGTTTCCACGTGTATATGTGTGCGTACAATCTTATACGCACAGAGCTCTCATTTTAGGTATAGTCTTTCAGGAATGAGATTGTGAGCCAGTGTGTGTATTTTTAACTTTATGGAGAGTTTGGGGAGGTGGCTCAAGGGGCCTTGGAAAACAGCCAAAGACATAGACACTATTCCAAGAAGGAATGAGATCAACCCATCCAGATTTTCAAATCTATAAACTTTGAAATTAGCCTACATGGGAAGAGTGACTTGTTTTGTGTCACATATCTAGTGAATGGCAGAGCTGGACTTCAGGCTAGGGCTTCTGGTTCATGGTCCATTGCTCTTTCCACGTGGGCAGAAGTGACATTTGAACTCAGTCTTGAAGGATGACCAGAATATAGAAGGTAGAGAAGAGGGCAAAGGCATCTCAAGTAGAGCAAAGAGTATGGGCAAAGGCCAGGCCAGTGTAAAAGAGCATGGTACAGGAAGGAATGGTGGGTCTTACTGCTTTAGCCTAGGGATCTAGCAGGGGGCACAGATGATGGTGCCAGCTATGGGGAAACACCAGATTTTTAAACTGATTTTATCACATGAGTGTGTGTTTTGATTTTCTTTTTGTCTGTTTGTTTGCTTGTTTTTCAGACAGTCTTGCTCTGTTGCTCCGGCTGGAGTGCGGTGGCACGATCACAGCTCACTGCAGCTTCTACCTCCTGGGCTCAAGCAGTCCTTCTGCCTCACCCTCATGAGTAGCTGGGACCACAGGTGCACACCACCTTGCCTGGCTAAACGATTTTTTTTTTTTTTTGTAAAGACAAGGCCTCACCATGTTGTCCAGGTTGGTTTTAAACTCCTGGCCTCAAGTGATCCTCCCACCTCAACCTCCCAAAGTGCTGGGATTACAGGTATGAACCACTGTGCTCAGCCTCACATGAGTGGTTGGGAGAGATCGCTCTGGTGGCAGGTAGCAGCTAGGAGGTTTAATTTACCAGAGCAATTAAAGCTGCAAGTCAAGGAGTCCAGGCAGGAAGTCGGAGTAAAGAAATCAAGATATTTTAGGGTAAAAGCCTGAGGATGTGTTGACTAAACGCCTAAGACATTGATTGTCTTGAGCACATGGTAGGCTCTCAGTAAATATTGAAGGAAAGCATCTCACAGGGGAAGCTGGTGATGATGGGGAAGGGTCAAATACGGACATTAAGGCTGAGTGAGTCGTTGCCAAATTGCTGTTCCTTTCTTGAAGCAGTCACCCAAAGAAAGAGATACCATGGTGGCCCTTAGCCCCAGCACTTTGGAAATGTCTCCCCAAATTCTAAAGGATTACCCTGATCTCATGTTTATGAAGTAGGATCTGTTACATGAAGGACTATCTTTTACAACCCCGTGCTCTTGGCAATGAACAAACATCTCAAATTCCCAAGAAGAAAGCCATGGTTCTATTATGAAATTAATTTTCCACTGATCCAGGACCAGAAGCCTGTTTGAAAGATAAGCGTTGATTGATGTGAGCATGAAGACTTCCATCCAGCTTTGCAAAATATGAGATCTGCAAATCTGCAAGTAGAAATAGAGTCTCTCTGGAAAAAATATTAATACTGTACCTTGGTGTTACTGGGTGATTACTTTTCAACACCTGGGAGGACTTTTAAATGAACAATTCCTATTTATATCTTCCCCCAAATAGGGTTGGAACTCCCAGGCATCTTATAAAAGTTTGGAACAAGCCTGTGTTGCCGAGGTCATAACTTGATTAATCATACAGCAAGCGCAAGCCCAGGCATATTACAATTATAGAAGGATCATGTCTCAAATGATCCAGGCATCTGAATTGAGTGAATGTCTAAGTCCCAGGGGGAATTCTGAAAACAAAAATGCAAGGAATGAATCCAGAGGATGGTCGTGAAATCTACAGCAGTTGGCGAGTTTAAGAAAGAATTGAGAAATGACAGATGAGAAAAGAAGGATAGAGGCAGGACCCTGAGAATGCATTTCCATGGCAGCTGTCAACTAGTGGGGGAGAGAGTGGACTGAACAGAGTGCTGAGATGAGAATGGAGTGCAAACACACACGTCACAGACTCTGGAGGAGGAGAAAACTGAAGGAGGCTTTGGAGGCACCCAGAAAATCCTTTTTGCCTCCCCGTCTTATACAAAGGAGAAAACCCAGTTTTGATCCTGAAAGTCAACCCAAAGCCCACTTACCAGGATTTGCTTTTATTTCACCAGGCTGCTCTTCATGAGGCCCCAGCCTGATTCTCTCTATGCCTATGCCAGGGACTGTGCAGGGAATTAGATGCACTTGGATTCTGTTTCCATTTGCCCAAACACTGAACTAAGACTAGTGGTTCTATGGAACATTGAGGCACAAATAGTGATTCAAGAACAAAGCAACAGCTTTTCAGACAGATGCAGGAGGTTTGGGATTTCTTTTCTTTTAGTGTTTTACAAACTGGCTTGGGAAGATATGTGAGGGCGCAGAACTCACAGTGATGGGCAAAATAATAGACACATCCCAAAGAGAGCCACATCCTAATCCTCCTAGCCTGTGAATATGTTACCTTACATGACAAAAGAGACTTTGCAAATGTGATTAAGGTTAAGGACTTTGGGATAGGAGATGATCCTGGATTATCCATTTGGGGCCAATGCCATCACAAGGGTCCTGGCTGCAGAAAATCAGAGAGACAGCAGACTGAGAGGAGACCTGGCCCAATGCTGCTGGCCTTGAAGGTGGAGGAAGGGCCATGAGCCAAGGAATGCAGATATCCTCTAGAAGCTGGAAAAGGCAAGGAAATGGATTCTCCCGTAGACCCTCCAGAAGGAACACAGTCTTGCTGACACCTTGGTTTGAGATTAGTGAGATTCTTGTCAGACTCTGAGCTCCAGAACAGTAAGATGATGAGTTTGTATTGTTTAAAACACTAAGTTTGTGGAATTACTTTTAGCAGCCACAGAAAATTAAGCCACTCATCAGGCTGGTGGAGAGAGAAGACCCCCAAGATGAGAAGATCTCCCCTAAAAGCAGAAAGAGGCAGAGTTCTGCCAAGATTTTACCTCAAGATTTGCCTTAGTCAGCTCGGGCTGCTATAACGAAATACAACATGATATAACAACATACCGCATATTGGATGGCTTCAACCACAGACGTTTATTTCTAACAGTTCTGGAGGCTGAGAGGTCCACAATCAGGGTGAGGGCAGTTCAGTTCCTGGTGAGGGTCCGCTTCCTTATTTGCAGGTGGCTGCCTTCTTGCTGTGCCCCCACATGGCAGAGAGAGACAGAGACAGAGCAAGAGAGAGAGAGAGAGACAGAGCAAGAGAGAGAGAGAGAGAGACAGAGAGAGAGAGGGAGAGAGAGAGCTCACTCTGGCCTTCTTCTCTTCTAAGAGCACTAACCCTGCCATGGGGGCCTTACTATCATGACCTCATGTAAACCTAGTCACTTCCCAAAGGCCCCATCTCCAAACACCATCACGTCTCATGTTAGGGATTCAACATGCACATTTTAGAGGGGCACAGACCTTCAGTGCATAGCAAGATTCTTAAAAACATCAATGGGCAAGAATGAAAAGCAAAACAAAATAGAACATTTATCTAAATCTATAAGCAGGTTAATTTTCCTCAGGGGTAGACATTAAATGTTGATTATGACTGGTATAGGAAACTCTGAGATATTTCTTTTCACGAATGGGTGTACCTTGAACTTATTGCTTGTCATGGGGAGGCGTGTATATCCTGGACAAGTTCACAGCTATCATGGCTGGAAGCGTGCAAGACTATGTGAAGGCTGTGTGGCTGCTCATTGCGGTGGAGGAGGCGCGAGAAGAGAACCTGGACCTGACCCAGGGAGGTTCCAGCTAGGTTGTCCTGTTGGCTTTTGTGTTTGTCAAAGTAAATAAGTAATGCAAGCCTGAATTTCAGTGGCTTCACTCAACATAAGTGAATTTCTCACTTCTATAACAATCCTGTCAATTAGCAAACTGTCGGTTTGGCAGTTGACATTCTACATAACGGCTCAGGGACCCAGGCTCCTTCCCTCTTGTGTCTCTGCCCTTTCCTAGGGCCTTGATGAACTTTATGCCTGGCCAGTGGATGAGGAAAGATGGTGAAGAAGACCCACCTGCTTCTCTTCTGTCCCAAAGTTATTTATTTTCACTCACATTCCACTGGTGAGACTCAATCATGTTGTCTTACCTAGATACAGGGGAGGTAGGGGCTGTCTCTGCACTAAAGGAGACACAGAAACCTTTGGGGTAGCTGGCAGTCTCTTCCACAGTGTTCAGCACACTTGGAATTACTTTTAGCAGCCACAGAAAACTAAGCCACCCGTCAGGCTGGTGGAGAGAGAAGGCTCCCAAGATGAGAAGGTGGGGTTTTTGTTTGTTTTTGAGACAGGGTCTCACTCTGTCACCTGGGCTGGAGAGCAATGGTGTAATCTTGGCTCACCACAGCCTCCATCTCCTGGGCTCAAATGATGGCATCTAGTAGGATGCTGCCCAGGCTGGCTTCGAACTCCTGAGCTCAAGCGACCCTCTTTCCTTGGCTTCCCAACATGCTGGGATTACAGGCATGAATCACCACGGCAGACACTAAGTATTTTTAAGAGTCGAGCATCTAGACCCTGGGAAATGTACTGATATTGAATGATTATGTCTGATTTAACTGTCCAGCTATGAGCTGCAGAGATCACTCTTTTGTGGGTAGTGTGTGTGTTTTTTCCATCAGGGAATGAATATTGACAAACTCAGTCACCCCAGAAGGAGCTACTCCTGGAAGAGGAAGGGAGAACTGGAGAGGTGAGACCAACAGCCAAGAGTCAGAAAAACTTCTTTCTCTCCCTGGACCTCCCTGGTTGGGACTGGACTCTAAGGTGCAGAAGTAATTTTGATTTCAACAGCATAAGAGAGTGGTTGGTCACTGCCAAGTGTAGACAGGTTGGGTGTTTTTTGTTTGTTTGTTTGTTTGTTTTTTGAGATGGAGTCTTGCTCTGTTGCCCAGGCTGGAGTGCAATGGTATGATCTCGGCTCACTGCAACCTCAGCCTCCCGGGTTGAAGCAATTCTCCTGCTTCAGCCTCCCAAGTAGCTGGGATTAGAGGTGCCCACCACCATGCCTGGCTAATTTTTGTGTTTTTAGTAGAAACAGGGTTTCAGCATGTTAGACAGGATGATCGCGAACTCCCAACCTCAGGTAATCTGCCCACCTCAGCCTCCCAAAGTGCTGGGATTATAGGCGTGAGCCACTGCGCCCTGTAGGGAGGGTGTTAAGCAAGCTAACCTCCTTTCAAGTGGCCAGGGGATTTGGTCTAGACTTGCAACTTTTGAGAGCACCTCTATGCAGAAGTAGTTGTAGTGGTGCTTTCTTCCATATTCTCCAAACGATTAGTAAAGCCCTCTTAAAAAGTGTGCAATGGTAGCTGTTCTGCTGTGAAAATTAAAGGAAGGGCTTGTGTTATGGGCTGCCTTGTGTCCCGCACCAATTCACATATTGAAGTCCTAACCCCCAGCACCTAGAATGTGCCTTTATTTGGAAATAGGTGCTTTAAGGAAGTAATTCAGTTAAAATGAGGTCATTAGGGTACACCCTAACCCAACATGCCTGGTGTCCTTGTAAAAAGTGGAGATTAGGACACAGACATGCAGAATGAAGACCAGAGGACTAAGCAGGAAGGCAGCTGCCTACAAGTCAGGGAAAGAGGCCTCGAGGGAAATCAACCCTGCTGACACCTTGAGGCCAGACTCCTGGCCCCCAGAATTGTGAGAAGACACACTTGAGTTGTTTAAACCACTTAATCTTCCGTCTAGCAGTCCTAGCAAATCAGTACAGCCTGGTTCACACTTGAGGCAGAAGAGTGAAGAGGAGGGCAGGCCACCCTCCCCAGTCCACAGTGCTGGTGTTAGGAGAAGTCACTGGCAGAGGCAGTGTATCAGTCTGTTTTCACGCTGCCAAGGCTGGGTAGTTTATAAAGGAAAGAGGTTTAATTGACTCACAGTTTCATATGTCTGGGGAGGCCTCACAATCATGGCAGAAAAGCAAGGGGTGTCTTACATGGTGGCAGGCAAGAGAGACAACAAGAATCAAGCAAAAGGGGAAACCCCTTATCAAACCATCAGCTCTCGTGAGACTTATTCACTACCACGAGAACAGTATGGGGGAAACTGCACCTATGATTCAATTATTTCCCACTGGGTCTCTCCTACAATACGTGGGAATTATGGAAGCTACAACTCAAGATGAGATTTGGGTGGGGACACAGCCAAGCCATAACAGGCAGCCATTCCCAGGGTGCAGTAGCAGGAGTGGCGAGGTACTGGGCCAGGGGGCCGGGCAGGGGGACATGAGGGACCTGCTCTTGAGAACACATAGAACTCATGGGACTTACGGGGCGACCAAGTTTCCCCGTGGCCTGGTGGGCTGGAAGTCTTCATACATCATATTAGTGGATATACGACCTCTTCTGGAAGTTTCTGGTTGGTGAAGCCAAGCCTGGTGTAGGCTGCAAGAGAATGACTGTTCTCAGACTAAACCGTTCAAAGGAACTGATGGTATGATTTGAATCCCCAGCTCCCTCTCTTTCTGTGTGTTCTTTACTTAACCTCCATGAACTTGGCTTTCTCATCTGTAAAATGTTGATGGCCTGGTGCGGTGGCTCACGCCTGTAATCCCAGCACTTTGGGAGGACAAGGCGGGCGGATCACAAGGTGAAGAGATTAAGACTGTCCTGGCCAACATGGTGAAACTCCATCTCTACTAAAAAAAAATACAAAAATTAGCTGGGCGTGGTGGCATGTGCCTGTAGTCCCAGCTACTCGGGAGGCTAAGGTAGGAGAATTGCTTGAACCCGGGAGGTGGAGGTTGCAGTGAGCTGAGATTGCATCACTGCACTCCAGCCTGGTGACAGAGTGAGACTCTGTCATAAAAAAAAGTTTATAACAACAGTTTTTGCCTATAATATAATATATAATATAATATAATTGTCCTGCCATTCGACCTAATGACCATGACGTAAGGCTCTTAGTATTGTGCTTGGCACATACTATGTGCTTAATAAATGGCAGCTGCTGTGTTTATTATAGGAAAATATCACTTGTGAGAGGAACAGAGTCCCTGGAGCCTGGGTTCCTTCCTTATGAGCAGAATGGATTACTATGAAGAATGTTGGCCATTTGTGTGTTGGGGAGATTTCAGCCCACTCTGGTAACTTTCAGCATGGTGACCAGATTCCCTGTGGAATGAAAATGTCCTCAGAAAGGAGCAAGAAGACTGAACTACACAGAGATCTGTAGTTCTCTTCTGTTTCGAAAACTAATTCTATTGCTGCAGGGCCAGATTCAAGCACGTCATCCCACCAGAGTCATGTGCCAGTGCTCACCTGAATTCTCTTTCTCACAGCTTTGATCATTTCTAAAGGAGGCCCTCTATGTCTCAGCATAAGTGTGTTAGCCATTACCAGAAAGGAGGTTCACAAAGGCAGATCACAGAGGAAAGCTGCCCACGTGTTAAGCCTTTATACTGTGTTGGCTGTGTTTAGGATACACAGTGATGCATAGTTGCATAGGAACCAGAGCAGATTTTCTTTTTGGAAGGGGCAGTATTTAGTCCCTGTGCGATTAGAATATTACGCCTGTGAGCATGGAGATGAAATACTCTAATGTTTAATCCATATTAAATATGGATTATAAATTCAGTGGATATTTGATTTCTTGATGGAGTTCCCTGTCATTTCCCACCATTATCTTGACCCTAAAGGCCTTCAGTGCTGTTTCCTTTCACTTTTCAGACTGATAGAATTCAAGAAACTGAAGGAAACT
This sequence comes from Homo sapiens, assembly GCF_000001405.40. Lineage (NCBI taxonomy): Eukaryota > Metazoa > Chordata > Mammalia > Primates > Hominidae > Homo > Homo sapiens. The sequence continues at coordinate 117,936,471 of NC_000010.11, read as the reverse complement.
TTGGAACAGAATGCTTGCCACGCACACTGCTGTGGTCTGTGCCTGATTACACACAGGCAGCTGCACCTCGCAAATGCTGCCGGGATCACATCATCCTGTTATGAAATCGGACTTTTAAAGAGCTGGAGTTAAGTGGCAACTTTAGTGGTTGTCAACACAGCCTCAGTCAAGGCCTGAGAGAGTGTAGTTTACTGGGCGAGGTTGCTCTGGGTAGCCTTAAAAGGGCCTGGAATCGGTGAGTGAAGGAAGGAGGACGAGGGCGGGGAAGGAACCAGGAAGCCAGGAAGCTGCAGCACGAAGTCCCCCATCTTGCTCTCTTAGTGCTGACCCCAGTGTTTCAGCTTCCAGTCTCCATTTGCTCCCTGAGCTCCTGCCATGCTCATCTCTGTCTGCTCAGGACTCTCTCTTTCATTTTCTCGAGCTGTGTTCCTAAACCTTGGGGCAGAAGGGATAGGGAGTCAATCAAATCAGGCCAGGATTAGAAAATCAGCTACTGAGTTGGAGGGCCACAAGGAGCCACACAGTAATCACATTACAAATGTCCTATCTCATCAACTCTGAGAGTGGGCATGATTTTTATCTTCATTCTGTAGATAAGTAAAGTCAGGCTGATAGAGGCTACATGGATTACCCAAGGTCAGACAGTCCACAGATGGCGAAAATTCAAATGCAAAACGTTTGGGGGCCCACGCTTGTTTTGTTTCCTATACCACATGATCCTCCATTCAAAAAGGAAAAATATGGGAATTCTTGGAGGTGGTGTTTCAGGGAATTTTGAATGTGCTGTGTGTGTGCGTACGCACCTGTGCATGCCTGTGTGTGTAAGGGACAGAGGGAGGAAGGAGGAGATCCCGCTGGAAAGACAAAGAAGGATGAAACTGAGGAGGACCTTCAGTGTCGAAGGGAAGAGTTTGCATTTCATTCTGAGTGAAGTGACTGCACAGGAGAGAAGTCTCGAAGGCTTGTGAGGAGAGGAGGGGCCCACAGTAGGGTGAGCCCATGGTTTCACTTATCAGGGATAGACTTGGGTGGGGACAAGAGGCAGTGAGACCGCCTGGTGTATATCCACAGAGCTCCTGAGACACTGCTGCTTATGGAACCACTCATTCCATCAGCCAATACGAGGCTCTCCATGTGTGAGTTTCCAACTTCCATCTGGATTGTTAATTATTGGATGGCAAAAACTGCCTCGCACATTTTTGATTTCCCACAAAACCTAGAATACTGCTGAGCACACAGCCAGAGCAAACTTAACACATGTGTTAATTGTTCTTCCCTTTCGAATGAATCCTGAGCTATTGTCATACATCTATGTGTTACATATGAATCCCAAGAGAAAGGATGCGATAAATCTTTTCATAGGGAAAATTTCCTCCCCCACCATTGTAGACCTTTTAGCAAATGTGTTCTAAGTTACTTTGGAAATTTCCCAGTCTTCAAAATAAGAAATGACAGAGAAGTTTTACTGAAAAGTCTTGCTTTGTTTTTTCTTGCCTTTTTTTAATTTAATACTATATGAAGATCTTCAATAAATGTCATAAAAACCCAGTGAGATCTTGACTCCTTACCCCAACTCTGCTGGATTCACTGGAATTTTCTGTCAAACACACTGCTGAATTCATGCATAAATGACAAACTCTAGAATCTGATTACTACCTCTGATGGGCTTCTTCTTACTGATCACAAAACAAAAAGGCAAAATAGCATTTCCCTGGCTCTGCCCTCCCTTTCAATTGGAGGGATTTACAGTGGCCAAGAGCCTCACCTCATGCTGTGAGCTGATTTAAGCAAGTCAGCTATGAGAGCTGATTGGCACTTGATGAACCAGCAGGCTAAACACTTGAGGTGAGTTTTTTTGTTTGTTTGTTTGTTTTTTCTGAGATGGAGTCTTGCTTTATCGCCCGAGCTGTAGTACAATGTTGTGATCTCAGCTCACTGCAACCTCTGCCTCCCAGGCTCAAGCGAGATCCTCCCACCTCAGCTTCCCAAGTAGCTGGGACTACAGGTGCACCACCACACCCAGCTAATTTTTGTATTTTTAGTAGAGATGTAGTTTCACCATGTTGGCCAGGCTGGTCTTTAACTCCTGACCTCAGGTGATCCTCCTGCATCAGCCTCCTAAAATGCTGGGATCACAGGTGTGAGCCACCGTGCCCAGCCAGGGGTGACTTTTAAACAATGGGACTCAGCTTCCTGGGAACTTTGTTATCTCAAGGATTTATTGTATTTATGCTTTTATTATTATTTTTAATTGACATAGTAATTGTATATGTTTATGGGGTACAGTGTGGTATTTTGATACATATGTATACAGCATTAGTGATCAAATCAGGGTCATTAGCAAATCCATCACTTCAAACATTTATCATTTATTTGTGTTGGGAACATTCAAGATATGCTCTACTAGCTACTTGAAAATATACAATAAATTGTTGTTAACTATAATCACCATATCCTGCTATAGAATGCTAGAACTTACTCCTCCTGCCTAGCTGTACTTGGTATTTGCTAACCGACCCTCGGCTATCCCTCCTCCCTCAACCCTTCCCTGTCTCTAGAAACCATTATTCTACTCTCTACTTCTAACAGTTCAAACTTTTTGGCTTCCACATATGAGTGGGAACATGCAATATTGGTCTTTCTGTGCCTGGCGTATTTCACTTAACGTAATGTTCTCCAGGTTTATGTATGTTGCCTCAAATGACAGAATTTTCTTCTTTTTTATGACTAAATAGAATTCCATGTGTATATATACCACATTTTCTTTATTCATTCATCTGTTGATGAATATTTAGGTTGATTTTATATCTTGGCTATTGTCAAACACGTATTTATTACGTATAGTCATGTGTCCCTTAATGATGAGTATACATTTTAATAAATGCATCATTAGGAGATTTTGTTGTTGTGCAAACATTAAAGAGTGTCCTTACACAAACCTAGGTGGATTAACGTACCACACACCTAGGTTATATGGTCTAGCTTATTGCTCCTAGGCTACAAGCCTGTATAGCATGGTACTGCACTAAATACTATAGGCAATTGGAACACAAGCGTGACAGGGTGTATCTTTATAAACATAGAAAAGGTATAGTACAAATACCTATACAAGATAAGAAATGGTACACCTGTATAGGGTACTTACCACGAATGAAGCTTGTAGGACTGGTAAGTTGCTTTGGGTGAGTCAGGGAGTGAGTGGTGAGTGAATGTGAAGGCCTAGGACATGACTGTACACTACCATAGCCTTTATAAACATGTGAACTTAGGTTACACTAAATTTGTTTATTTTTAAATGATTGTGCTATGACATTTTAACGGCTATGATGTTGAAATTTTCAACTTCATTATAGTCTTATGGGTCCACTGTTGTATATCAGTCCCTAACAACCAAAACCTAATTCTGCAGTGCATAACTGTAATTCAACTTACTTATAGCCCAAATCATCCTGTCAAGGATTTGAGAGCTTATGGCAAAAACACACAGAATGAAGTGGTAACCTCAAAATCAAATTAGAAAATCAGATGCAGGGAAAATGGAAATTAAAACAGGAAGTCAAACTCAGGGAGAAAAATTGAATGCAAATATCTGGGCCTCACAAGAGATTTCAAAATGGCAGCACATGAGCAAACTCAACTGAAGTGGCGTTTTGTTTGGCCCACATAGTGTTTTTTAAAAGTTTTTTATCCTGTTTTACAAACCAGTGAAAGGAGAGACTGTTATAGGACAAAAGCAAATGAAGAACTGTAACTAATGAATGCAATGTGTAGGCCTTGTTTAGTCCAACTGCAAAACTAACATTGGTTTTGGATTTGCAAGATTTGAATATGGATTAAATATTAGAGGATACTAAGGAATTATCATTAATTCTCATAGGTATGATAATGGTACATGTGCCAGTAAAACCACAAAACATCTGAGATGTATTTTTAAATATATAAAATAAAATATATTTTAAAATATATAAAATAAAAAAAGTGGGGTAGGTAAATAAAGAGTACTAAAATGTTGACAATTTCTGAATCCAAATGACAAGTTTATGAAAACTCTCTATTTTTATATGTTTGAAAATTTCCATAATGAATACTTTTTTTTTTTTTCTTTTGAGACAGAGTCTCCCTCTGTAGCCCAGGCTGGAGTGCAGTGGTGAGATCTTGGCTCACTGCAAGCTCCGCCTTCCGGGTTCATGCCATTCTCTTGCCTCAGCCTCCTGAGTAGCTGGGACTACAGGCGCCTGCCACCATGCCCAGCTAATTTTTTTGTATTTTTAGTAGAGACGGGGTTTCACCGTGTTCACCAGGATGGTCTCGATCTCCTGACCTCGTGATCGGCCCACCTCGGCCTCCCAAGGTGCTGGGATTACAGGCGTGAATGAATACATGTTTTTAAAATGTAGGTATAAATGTCTTGAGATAGGTTATATGCTTCCTAGTGTCATAGAGTCTCCAGGCCTCCAACATCCCCCCTGCCCAGACTCAGTCTCTTAATTTAATTACTGGCCTGGGCTACATTATTATATAATTAAGATTCTTAGAGTCAGATAGAAAAGGGAGACATGGTCAGTTGTTGAAGAGCAATAAACATAGTTTTCTTAACTGGGAAGGACTTAACTAGCACCTAACAGTAAAATAAATGTCTTCCAAGGCACTTCACAAGGGACCAGAGTAATGTAGCTGGTGTCCTTTGCAATAGCACTTCTCAACCTACTTTGGTGAAGGATTCTCATCTTTGAGGACTGGTGAACATGCAGTTTGAGGAATGACATCCATCTATGGGCCACACTCAGAGTAACACTCCTCCACTTCAGCACCCCTCAGCAAGAATCATTAGAAACTGACCGAAATCCCTTTCTCAGGAAAGCCTTTCTGGGAGGACCCAAAGCAAGAAGGCCTGGGGATGCAGCTTTTGATGGTCTTGCTGAATCTAAAGACAAAACATGAACTATTTGAAACTTGAGGAGAATGGGTGGAAGACATTTCTTCAAATAGCCCTCCATAAACATTACTCGTTGCTGTGGGTTAAATTGTAGTCCACCTCAAAATATGGTCAAGTCCTAGCCCCCAGCACCTGTGAATGGGATGTTATTTGGAAATAGGATCTTTGCAGATGTAATCAAGATGAAGTTTGTGATTATTAATGTTATGTGTTAACTTGACTGGGCCACAGGATGCCCAGATAGCTAGTTAAACATTATTTTTAGGTGTGTCTGTGAGAGTGTTTCTGGAAAAGATTAGCATTTAAATAGATGGACTAAGTAAAGCAGATGGTCCTCCTCAATTTGGGTGGATGTCAAGCAACTCATTGAGGGCTTAAACGGAACAAAAAGGCAGTGGGAGGTTGAGTTCTGTCTCTTTGCCTGACTGCTTGGGCTGAGACATTGGTCTTCTGCCCTTGTAGTAGGACTTACTTACACCATCAGCACACCTGGTTCTCCGGCCTTTGGATTCAGACTGGATCTCCACCACCAACTCTCCTCAGTCTCCAACTTGCTGACTCCAGATCTTGGAACCTCTCAGTCTCCATAATCATGTGAGCCTATTCCTCATTTTGTGTGTGTGTGTGTGTGTGTGTGTGTGTGTGTGTGTATGTGTGTATGCTATATATATAAAAAGACTGACAGGCTGTGGATGTATAGATTTATACATATATAGAGAGAGACCAATATGCTATATATGTAGGGGACACAGTTGGCATGTACTAAAATGATGAGTCTGAGGTTACAGATGGGGAACCCACAGCTTCCACCATAGGTGGTAGGCTGAATAATGCCCTGCAAGAGACCAATATAAATAGCCTATACACACACACACACACACACACACACACACACACACACACATATATATATCTAAGTCTATACATAATATATATTATATTAGTCTACAGTCTATTATATAATAGTCATATTATATATAGACTAACAGACTAATATATACATCTATATATAGGTTAATAGGCTACAGATATATAAAGAGATATATATGCTAGTCCATTAGTCTGTATCTATTATATAGTTTTTTATATATGTATATATATGCCTACATATAGGCTATATATGTAGTCTAACATATATTTTAAACTATATATAATATATAGTTATGTATAATATATATAGACTAATATATGAGTATAGTTATATATAATATATATCTATATATATTAGTCTATTATAGTCTATATATTTTTATATATAGACTAATCTATATTAGACAATAATATAGACTAATATATATTAAACTGATATATATAAAGTATATATTACATATAAACTAATATATATTAGACTATATATATTATATGTACATATATTATAATAGGCTCTATATATAGAGAGAGAGCCTATTAGTCTGTTTCGCTGGGAAACCTCGATTGGCTAATACAAGGTCACGCTAGTTTACATTCGGCTCTAGCTGATCACTGGTGTCTATAAGGAGAGGGAAATTCGGGCACAGAAACGCAGACACACAGGGAGAAAAACAACGTGACGATGGAGCCACAGATTCTACTGATGCATCTACAAGTCAAAGAACCCCAAGGATCACCAGTAACCACCACTAGCTAGGAAAGAGGCACGGAACAGCCTCTCCCTCAGAGCTTCCCAGAGGAATTAACCCTGCCAACACCTTGTCTTTAGACTTCTGATCTCCAGAACTGTGAGAGAATAGATTTCTGTGGTTTTAGACCACCAGTTGGTGGTAATCTGTTACAGCAGTGACAGGAAGCTAATACATTCCTCTCAATCAGGCTTTTGGTAAGTTTGGATCCCAAACAATTATTTCCTGAGGCGAGTTCCTTGAGAACAGGTGTCCTGTGCACTTGCTGAAGGCAGCCCCCTGCTGTTTGCTGTTTGAGAGCATGGGTAGACACAGGTTGCCCCCATTCAGGGGAATGAAGCTGCCTACCCAGGCTGTCTTAGGGAACAATTTGTCTGCAGGTAGCACCTGCAGGCTCCAAGCCATGATTTTTTTCTGGAACAAACTGTGAAGGATCCACTTTAGAATGAGAAAACTGAGAGGAGTGGGAGAAGCCTTTTGGAATGCCCTCAATGACCTGTAAACGTGAGTGTGCCTGAGACCTGGAAATCGTATTTCTAACTCAGATTCCTGTGGCTCTCTCTAGAGACTCAGACGCCCAGGTGGGACCCAAGAATTTCTGGGTTTCCAAAAGCTGCTGGTGATGCTGATGAAGGGGGTTGGGGGAATGGTGCTTTTAGAAACACAGACCCGGGTAAATTGGTTTTGCTTGAAGTACTTGTTCCTTGAACAGACCAGCTAGCATCACGTCCTGAAGAGACAGCACCCTATTTTGGCTTTGTTTTCTCCTGGACAGACAGAGAGTAATGAAATGCAGAAGATGAAAATGGCACTGATTTAATTCTCTGAACAAGGTGGGGCTTAGGTAGTTTTATTTTTTTTTAAGTAAAAATTCCCCAAGAACTGTAAAAACGTCAACAGTATGAGAAAAGGATGGAGGCAGACACTGGACGGTTGCGGTTTTTTGTTTTTTAATCTGTCACTTAGCAACAACATATGTATGGCTGACAGTTGGACTAATCTTTGAGTTGGCAACACCGAATTGTTAGGAAGTTTAAATTTGTGTTTTATCATTGTTAGCGGTGTTTTAGCAAATCGTGTAAGGTACAATATGTGCTTTCTGCTGTTTTGGAAGGGAGACATTTTAAGTCAGAAATATTTGACTATAAACATATTTTGTTCTGATCCCTATTTTCCTTCTACATAGAAGAAAAACCAAAGCTTACCTAAGCACAGTAAGAAACTCAGTTAATCACTGCTATAGGATTAGGGGGAAATGTGCTTCAAAAATAGTTTATGAAAGTTTTAATTACACACACGATCATAAAATGTTCAGTAATTGCTGCATATTGATTCCGGTTTTTTTTTTCTTCTGGAAATGCTAAAACTATTTCAATATACACAGAATCAATAAACATAATTAAAATATGAGCTCATCAAAACAGTAATTAAATGTACTTAACAGCTTTTGTGGCTTTTCCCCATATGGTTACTGTGGGAGTGTGAATCTGGCGCGCTAGATAAATGTAACAAAATAAAGTGAAAGCCTCAGAAAAGATTACTGTCGTATCATAATACAATAAAACCCAGCTCTGCAGCAACTTGCACTAAATCAAAAAGTTGACAAAAGGAGTGGCGTATGCAATTATTATACATTTTGGGGCTGTTTTCTATTTATAGAAGATTAACACTATCATGGTCTGCATGCAGAAGGAACAGTAAAATCCTCCAACGTGAAAGGAATTTGGGAACAACACCCTGAGTTCTGAATAGGACAATTCCTTTTTTAGGATCTTGCCGGCAAAGAGTTTGATCTTCAACCTGTTACCCCCTAGACTCAGTCTGACTTTCAGGGGCTGAGTCACGTGACTCCAGAGGCCCTAAACCATGTGGTTCTCAGAGTCATATTTTGGTTTCGCCCTTTCCTTAATTCATTTCAGCAGACCCTGGCAATGGAAAGGTAAATTGGCTATGGCCCTTGCCCTGCAGGGGTGTGTACAGCCCATGCTGCCTGAAAATGGGGTTGAATCAGAAGGTAAGAACATGAGCCCTGTCTGAGGTTGGTTTCCTCCAGGAGGAGATCTTGAGACAGGCTTTCACTGCAAGTAGTTTATGTGGGAGCCCATCCTTGGAAACACCACCAAGGGACAAGAAAGTCCGGGAAGGAAAGGAAGCAAATAACGTGCATCACCAAGCAGGCTACCATGGTGGGTAGCTAGAGCTCTACCCCAAAAGAGAACTCCAAGAGATGGTACAGAATATCTCTGAGTTGTTCCATGTGAACTGGGATATTTATCCTCCAATTTCTATATGCCTTTGCCAGAAGACTGCTCTGTGAGGCACTAACTCCCTGGTCCTCTGGCCTGATTCTGGCAGCAGCTGAGGGCCAACACCCCATGGAGAATCTTAAGCACTTTCAGGAGACACCATTAGCATGTATGGGGGGCGGGGCAGGGAGGTTCCCTATGGTGGAACCCACAGCTTCCATCACAGGGTCTGTGATAAGCTGAATCATGCCCTGCCAGAGATGTTCATGTTCTAATCCCTAAAACTTGTGACTGTTATATTACATGGCAAAAAAACTTTGAGGATGTGATTCCATTGAGGATCTTGAATGAAGATCTTACCCTGGATTATCTAGATGAGAAATAAGTGCAATCACAACTGTCCTTATAAGACGGAGGCAGAGGGAGATTTCAAGCAGAAGAGGAAAAGGCATTGTGACCTTGGAGGCAGAAGGTCAGGTAATGTGATCATAAGCCAAAGAACACCAGCAGCAACCATAAGTTGAAAGAGGTGAGGAATGAACTCTTCCCATGAGCCACTGAAAAGGGTGTGGTCTTACTGACACTTTGTTTTGGCCTGAAGATATTGATTGGGACTTCTGGCTCCAGAACCAGAAGAGAAGATATTTCTGATGTTTTAAACCACCAAGTTTGTGATAATTCATTACAACAATTACAGGAAAACAATACAGGGTTGTAGAAAGGAAAGATTCTTTCAAAGAGGAAGGATAATGTTAGATAGAGAAGAAACAAAGTCAGCAATCATGTAATCATCAATAGGTAATTGAATCTGACAGGGTTTTTTTTGTTGTTGTTTGTTTGTTTTGGAGACTGGGTTTCGCCATGTTGCCAAGGCTGGTCTTGAACTCTTGGACTCAAGCAACCTGCCTGCCTCAGCCTCTCAAAGTGCTAGTATTTACAGGCATGAGCCACTTCGCCTGGCCTCCATCTGAAACTAAGACTGATTTCAACATCATCCCAGTTTCCTGTTCTCTTTCTCTCCTAATACCCTACTTCCTGCCAAATCTCCTGCAGAATGGTTTTTTTTTTTTTCTTTTTTTTTCCTTAGCAGGTTTATCTACACTTGATGGTTGGACCTAGTTCTTTCTTAAACTGAAATGTCTAAAATGCAGCCATTCTTATTCTGTATTTTCCTGTATCTTGGCCATGGAGGGTTATTCACATGAGCTGTCTTTTTCTGAATTATCTGGAGACTTTCTACCGACACCTGTGGAACATGTTCTCTACGTGTTTTCCTGAATCCCTCAGCACACCTGTTGTAGAATTCTACCCAGGTTATAAATGAGTGGGATCACTCGACTCTGAAGCCATACATGAAATTTCCCCAAACTGTTTAGAAAAATCAGACCGTACACTGTGATTCCTCCAAAGAGCCTGTAATTAGACCTGGTTTTTAAAGTTGAAAAATACCTAATCTATGAAAATTAAAGAAGATGAAGGAAGAAAAATGCATGAAAAAATAAACTCTAAAACCTCTTGATTATTTTGGACTTGGGATACAGATGGGAGTTCGTCTTTGTGCCAAAAAATCCATTGAACAACACCAGCTGTGGGGGTAAAGAAAATCTGAAAGAATCACACATTGCTGTTCGTGGAAGGAGCTGTATTAACGAAGGAGGGAAAAGTTTTGCAGATCAGTTGATTTCTCAGCGCATCATGTGGCCAGATGAAAAGCCTAAGACTACATCTGCAGGCGGATTGTACTATTATTAATATTCATGCAGAGACAATCTAGAAAGCTGTTTCCCCTGCATTTTTAGCAGTATGGTAGGTCTGGAGGAAAAACATTTCTTTTGTGTTAAGGAGTTTGTGCTGCGTTACTTTAGAGCTTTATGAGGATTAATTTTAAAAGCATTGGGAGTAAAAATATTAGGCCTTATGCAAGGGTAACATTCAAAATATTATACAGTCAGCAAAACCAGGTTGACCAATCAGATGCTGTCCTGGAGCCCCTGCTAGGGTATTAACCTTTCTTCACTTACTGGATCCTGGAGAGGTCTGGGGATTTCTGGTGGCCCAGAGAGTGGGAGGGGGTGCTAGGGGACATGCACGGGCTCTGAGGAGCAACTATGTACAGCGCGGCCATACCAGTATGCACCAGCTAAGTGTGAGCCCTTACCATACCGTGTATAAAAATACCAGGCCCTCCTCTCACCTCTTCTCAACAGGGGGAGGTAAGAGCAGGCGGTAGATAATCACTTCTTTAGTGCATGTTATTTGTGCCTACTATGTGCCAGGCATCATGCTAACTGAGCGCTAGTTATACAAGTGCTTGCCAATTGAGGAACAAGTAGGGGAAGTGTCGTTGTTATTATTTATTTGAGATGCCCGAGCACTTGTCTTCTTTGGGGCTTCTTTAGCTGCAAAGTGGTAAGAAACTTGATGCTGGCTGCCCTCAGTAGAACAGTAAAAGGGAAGGGGATTGGGTGGCTCAAATGACGGAAATGTTCAGAGGCAGTTGCTGCTGGACCCAGGGGATCGTGAGTGTGTGTGTGAGTGTGAGTGTGTGTAAGTGCCTGTGTGCGAGAGTGTGTGTGTGTAAGTGCCTGAGTGTGAGAGTGTATGTGTGTGAGTGCCTGTGTGTGTGAATGTGTGGGTGTGAGTGTGTGTGTGTGAGTACGTGTATGTGTATGTGTGTGAGTGCATGTGTGTGAGTGTGTGCGCTTGTATCTGTTTTCCCGCTTTCCTTCTAGTGGCTGATACACCGTTTGAGTTCCTTGAAAGCAGAGCTTGGGACAAGAACTTGAGAGCAAATAGTTTATTTGGGAAGCGATCCCAAGAGGCAGAAGCAAGGGAGAGGGAAAGGGACAGGGCAGGAAGAAAAGCCACCACATGCTGGGGTAATGAGCCGACCACATGAGCAACTGGGGCTCAGCCCTGCTGGGGCACCTCTGAGGAACCACATAGAATTCAGAATTTCTACCGAACTGTCCAGAATGGAAGATGGGGAAAGCTAGGACATTTATCTACAGATCTTTGCCTCCCATTGGTGGAGGGTTGCTCCTGGGGACATTAAGTCCCTGTACTTCTGGGCTGTACCTGCTCGTGCCTGGTACAGGTGGCACACTCAACACAGGACACCCCGCAGTAGGGGTGTGAGTGTCCACTCCAGTTGTCCTCAAAATGGGTAGGCCAAGGAGCTGTGGCATGGTGCTTCAGAAACATCTGCCCAGCTGGGCTTTCCTCAGTGTTGGTGCCAGTCCCAGACTCCATGTGGCTGCCCCCATCACATCATACCAAATGTAGCAGCCTTGGTGGGAACAGGAGCTTCCTGGATCCTTGGAAAAACCAGCTGAGCAAGCTCCCTTCTCTCTGGTGTTCACAGAGGTTATTTAGCGTAGAATCTAAATTCTGAGCTCCTACATAATGATCTCAGAATGTCATCCGGAGGTTAAACTTAGAACCATCTCATGAACCATGTTCTGGATTTGTTTCACTCTATCTTAAATGTGGGTAAAATTCCCCAGGCCTTTACTGATTGCCCACGAGGCACCTTGAGAGTTCCATTGGTGAATTCCCTCAATCTATGAAGACAGCAAATTTGGGGCCCAAGGAATGGTGATCAGGGTTCCTACCTATAATTAGGTAACTGTAAATCAACTTGACTCTAAATCTCCAAGCTCAGCCTCTTAGTAGCCCCCTTTGAAAAATACTTGCTGTGCTGCATTTGTGTTCTCTTAATATTGTATTGTAAGGTTTAAATGTCATGTTACGTTGGCACTTTAGCTATATATTGGAAAAGAATGAAGTGAAAATTGCTGAGTTTTGCCTCTCACTGAAGCTTCATTTGCTAGTCAGGGTTATCTGCCTGGCTCCAAAGCATAACGTGACTCTTCTAACCTGATTCAATTTTAAAGTTGACCTTACTCATGGTGGAGGTCCCTGTGGGGTCTCAGCCATTTCCATTAGGTTCCAGCCCAACACTCAGCAATGCAATTCTTGTAACCTTTAGGTCCCTAGATCATGATCCCAGAGGCCGTTTTCCCTAGAGTTTCTGGTGAGGTCAACTGATGTAGATGGTGTGAATTATTCTGGTCAATTTTTTTTTTTTTCTTACGAGCAACACTTTCATCTGCAGGGGTCTGTTTTGGTCAGAATCCAGGGAGGGGTGTTGGACTTGAATGATCTTGGCAATTGTCTTCACTCTTTACTGTATTTGGTCTCTGTTGACAAAACCTGCTGATACTCTTAAGGACTTTGAGGTCAAAATAGTTGCTTTCTGCCTCTTACCTTTGTGAGCCTGATTGCGTTTGAAAAATAGATTTTCCAGATGGACTGCAGGTCACAGAGCCTCACGGTTACGGAAGGGACACTTAAGCTCTTTTACCTGCTGCCAAAAGCCAATAACAGAGCGCAGCTTTTTTCCTCCTGTGGGAGAAGGTGATGGGCTACAAGAGCCCATGCCTCTCACTCTGCATTAGGGCATTCCTGAAGACCATATGTGAAATGACGCTCCTCTTTCATTCCAAAGGCATTCAAGGTGGAGGGTACTTCCTCTAAAAACTCTTGAATTAATCTCTTGGTACCAATACCTTTTCAAATTTGTTTCTGGACTTTTATTAGCTTTCACTTCAAATGCAACAGTCTAAGGGCTATGAAAACCCACAGAGAAACTTGAGTGAACACCTACTATATCTTGGAGTGGTTCTAATTTATATCCTGTGAGGAATGGCCTGCTGAAAGTGCGTATTCATTTCCAGTTCTAGGTTGGCTTTTTGGCTGATCTAATTCTTTATCACCATTTAGCTTATGAAACACCTATTGGTGCAGCCTGAGTTGACCTTCTGCATTCCTACTGACAGTTGAGACATAGATAGGCATAAATTAGAATACAGAAGTTTCCTTTTTGGATATCAGTGGCTTTTAACCCTTCAGAGGTTAAGTAAGCAACAAAAATAAATAATCTTTCTTTAACATTTTTTTTCTCATGCCCTAGTGTGATATTTATTGGTGTTTTAGGTAGTGCTTTTTATACAATGTAGTATTGGTTAATGCGTTCTCCGACTATACTAGTAAAGAGAGCTGCTAACGTAGGAAACAGCTGTCATGTCCTCATGCCCTGTTGGGTTGAAGGAGGATGTCACAAGGAGAAATTTTTGACGACAATTTCATGACTTGTTTATTTATTTAAAGTGGTTAACAGCACACGCTCTGAAGCTAGACCTCCTGGTTTTGAATCCTGATGGCTTTACTTACCACGCATGTGACTTTGAGCAAGTTACTTGGCTTCTTTGTCCCTCACTTTCCTAATCTGTGACTAGGAACAGTACCTGCCCTACATAGTTGTTGAGAGAACTAAATAATATCATATCTCAAGAGCTGAGAACAGTACCTGGCACACACCCAGTGCTAGATACGTTTTTAAGCCTGCCTGTTATTTCAAAAATCACTTTTAATATTATTATTGTGTGCCATATACTGTTTGAGGCTCTAAAGATACAATGGTAAGCAAGACACAAACTTATTAATTAAACAAATATATTTCAGGACCCTAACATAGGAGCTGGATGCTGGGGACACAGTGGTGCGTCGGAGAGGATCCCTATTCCTCCCTGCAATCTAGCAGGGTAGACAGAGAATAAACAAATCAGAAAAAAAAGAAAATAAATGAAAATGCTAAGAAGAGGAAAGTAGGATACCAGGATAGAGAGGGAAGGGTGTGTGAATCACAGGCTTCTCTAATGCATGATGTTTAAACAGAAGGAAGTGTGGGACTCTTGTCGATATCTGGGCAAAGATTCTTCTGGATACAGCAAAAGCAAAGTACAAAGCTCTGATCCGCAAGCAAACCAGGGTGCCTGGAGCACAGTGGTAAAGGGGAGATGGCAGAAGATGAGGGCGGGAACGTGTGGGACCAGACCGAGAACTGGTAAGTGATGATAAGGACATGGGTATTGACTCTGCATGAGGGAGCATGAGGCAGTGGCAGGAGATATCGAGTAGAGGAGCGGCTTAATCTAACTCACACTTTTAGAAGGTCCCTCTGGATACCATGAGGAGAGAAGGGGGCAGGAGTGGAAGCAGAGAGAGCAGCGAGGAGGTGAGTGCAATCATCCAGGTGAGGGGTGCTGCTAGCTTGGGCTCCGATGAGGGCTAGGTGGTGGGAGGCAGTGGCTATACACCGGATACATCTAAAAGTGGCTCTCAGGGATTAGCTAATGTTGGATGTGGCACTCGCATTCTAGTGGGAGGTGCCGGAGACTAAACACGCACAAACAAAAATAAATAAGGTATTACAGATAATGACAAGTGCCAAGTAGAAATGAGAGGACTGTGGGATAGTGGGATCCAAGGAGACCTCTCAGAGAAGAAACCATTTGAATCAGACTTCAGTGGCAGCCAGGTGTTGTAAGCTCATTGTTGGCAAGGGAGGGAATCCCACCTGAGGATGATGGAGATAGGCACGTACACGACACTGGGCCCTGGGCAGGTGAGATGGCATTTTATTAGTCACACATATTCACAGCCTTGGCGGGGGGGCACCACATGCCATCCAGGGCTGCCTGGAGCTTGCACTTGGGAACAGAGTGAATAGCCAACAGCTGTGTAGTATCAAGTGGATGAGGTGACCTGCAGAAAGATGTCATTGGTTTGTCTGAATAATTCTGCAGGTTGGCAGCAAACTGAAACCTGCTACTCAGGAATAGGCAGGAGCTACTTGGTCCCTGGATACAGAGGTTATTTGGGTGGTGGGTCTTATCTGCAGGAAAAGAGGGAAGCTTGGGATCAGGCCATGTGAGACCCTCCCAGTTTCAACAGATGTCAAAATTTGGGCCTTAAATTTAGGTTTTACCACACACCAGGTTGGGAAGGAGATGATATGGATCTGGACCAGAGGATAGCAGCACGGATGGGGAGAGGTAGGGATTCACTGGACATTTCTGAGGTGGAGGTGATAGAATTTGCTGATGAACTGAATGTGATTGGGTGTGAGATAAAAATATAAATCAAAGATGTCATCTAGATTGTTTT
This sequence comes from Homo sapiens, assembly GCF_000001405.40. NCBI lineage: Eukaryota > Metazoa > Chordata > Mammalia > Primates > Hominidae > Homo > Homo sapiens. The sequence continues at coordinate 117,920,659 of NC_000010.11, read as the reverse complement.
TACTTGAACTACTTGTGAATTGTGTCGTTTACCTCCTGAGCCAGTCACGGGGTGGTGAGCAGACTGCCTGGGAGTAATGAAGAGTTTATTTTGTATATGTTACGTACGAGATGCTGTTATACATGCAAGTGGAGCTACCAAGTAGTATTTAAATGTATCTAAAGTTCGGGGGAAGGAAGGAGCAGAAGAAATAAATGAAGGAATTATCAGTATATAGATTGTATATAAAGCCAGTGGACTGGATGAGGTCAACTTAGGGTGTAGAGCAGAACTTTGGAATCCTTCAGCACTTAGAGATTGGACAGAAGAGAAGCTAGGGAGGGAATCAAGGGAGGTTCAGTGAGGTGGGAGGAAAGCCTGGAAAATACAATGCTTAAGAATTACAGAGAATAGAGGGTTTCAAGGAGGAAGGTGTAGTCAAATGTGTCAATAGCTTGCTCCTGAGAGGTCAAGAAATATGAGAACAGACAGGCATTGCATTTGGGAAGATGGTGGCCATTGGCATTCTTCAGAAGCTGCAGAAAGCTGGGAGTGAAAGAAGACGAAATGAGGGAGCAGAGAGCAAATTTGGACAACTCCTTGGAGGAGCTTAGCTGTAACAAGAAGAAAGAATATGAAGAAATCATGTTGAGGAAGAAATCTTTGAAAATTGGCATAAGCTGATAAGAGTGATAAAAAAAAAGATGAAACTTGTGATGCCAAGGAGATGAGAGCCACAAATGTAGGAAAACCTTGGGTAGCTGGTACGGTATTTAACAAAGGGGACAGGCACTTCCACTGCACATTTCAAGCTGATAATATAAGTTGGAACTGCAAATAGTATTTGTGAAATTGAGGACTGTGTGGTATGTGGATAGTCCTAAAGAGAATAGGGATTCTGTAGAACCGGCCCTGAATAGAAAGATGGAGATAAATTATTCTAAATATATAGGACAGAGGAAGATGGCATGACATGCACACTATTTCTGTATAGCTGATAGTTTTAAGACACAGAAAAATAAGGAAATGTTATGAGGTATTATTGGAGAAAAGCTGTTCTATACTGACAATGTAAAAGACAATTTTAAAAGTACCTTCTTTGTATATGTTCACATTCTAGTTTAATCATTAACCCCATACCACCAAAAAAGGCCACGATGGTAGATGATTAGAGCAGTGCACTTCGAGTCAGATATAGGTCAGGGTTGCACTTTTCTGTGACTCAGTTTCCTCATCTGTGCAATAGAAGTACCATTACCAGCTTATAGTGGGGGCCAACTAGAAAAGGCGCTAATGTCCCATTTGTCGTCCATCAGCATTTTACCTACGTTAAAGGAACCACAAGAAGGTATCACAGTTATCAAGTGCAAGTGGAGAGAATACCAGATGAGAAGAAATTTGGTGGTAACCTCCTCCAGCTACATGTAAGGTAGCAAGACATAGTGGAGTCTGCCATTTTTATGTTTTTTACAGGAGTTCTCATAACCTTCCTTGACTTCATCAACTTGTTATGTAAGGTTCTCCATTTCCTCAGTAAAACCTTCTGACTGATGCCCAAAGCATGTCAAGTGCTTATGGCGAAGACTACTCTCTATCAAGCCCTGACACTTCTATTCCCACCAGTTGTGACAACCACGAGTTAGCCATGTGTCTTCCCAAACCTATTTCTGTTCGCTGGCCTAGCAACTGTTTATGCAAATGTTATAATCTTATTATTTACATAAATATTATGTAAACTGATGAAAGATTTAATAATGACAAAGTGCTTCAATAAATTACTATCAAAGTATATGTAAAGGACACATGAAAGATGAGAAGAGAGTAAAAATGTAAGAAAAATTGCTTTATCAGTATCTTAAAGGTCTCATTCTGCCTTTAAGAAACCAAAATGGAAACTTCTGGATGATGCATTATGGGTGGTTTTGAAAGAAAGACTGCTTGGAACTCAGATCAGACCCCGGCACAAAGAAAGGGCCTTGGCTCAACATCAAAAGAGTGGCACGTGAATGAACATCCATATGTTTTAAGTTAAAATTAAATCTTTAAGGTATGTATATATCACATTTTATGATTCACTGCTTTAATTAACTTTTGCAGTTGACTTGCCAAGTGCCAGTACTAACTTCACTGGATAACAGTAAAACTGTAGTGTTTATTTTTCAGTTATTATAAATGTATACTCATTGCTTAAACAACTATAAAAAATTGTAAATGCATAAAGAGGAAAATAAAAGCTATTAATCCAGAGACAAACACCAGCAATAATTTAATATAGTTCCTTCCAGTCATTTTTATCATATACTTTTGAAAATAAAATTATACGACATTCTTTAGTTTTTGTCTCTGCTTTTAAATGTTATATTGTAAGTGTTCCTCATGTTAATATTCATCTACATTCACCATTGTATTTGTTTTGTTAAAATTTAGAATAATATTATTGGTAATTGTATTACTCCATTCTCACGCTGCTAATAAAGACATACCTGATACTGGATAATTTGTAAAGGAAAGGGGTTTAATGGACTCACAGTTCCACATGGCTTGTGGAGGCCTCACAAAAATGGTTGAAGGCAAAGGAGGAACAAAGTCACATCTTACCTGGCAGCAGGCAAGAGAGCTTGTGCAGGGGAAACTCCCATTTATAAAACCATCAGATCTCGTGAGACTTATTCACTACCATGAAAACAGTATGGGGGAAACTGTCCCCGTGATTCAATCATCTCCACCTGGCCCTGCCCTTGACACATGGGGATTATTACATTTCAAGGTGAGATTTGGGTGGGGACACAGCCAGACCATATTAGTAATAAACATGATAATCAGTTGTTGTTAACTTCAATCAATAACAAAAAGTATACAAAGCAAAAGCAACAAATCACCCTGAAGCCAACTACCCAGAAACAGCCAGTGTAAAATTTTGAGAAACACGATCCTAGGCATCATTCTTCACAAAGATTTAGGTTAAAGGATAGGTAAATATGACACATACTATTTTGTAAGAGACTTTCTGTATTGGAATTAATTTAGATTTACTGAAAAGTTGCAAAGATAGTATAGAAAGATCCCAACTACTCCTCACCTGGACTTTCCTAATATGAACATCTTATGTTACCATGGTACATTTGTCACAGTTAATTTACTATTAACTATAGATTTTGTTTGGATTTTACTAGTTTTTTCACTAATGTCCTTTTCTATGTTCCACGATCCAATCCAAGATACCACATAGCATTTAGCATACTATTAAAAGAATTAGGTTGGTGCAAAAGTAATTGTGGTTGGAAACCACAATTACTTTTGCACCAACCTAATAGATAAATTTTAACTTTAACAGAATAAAAAGAAATTGAATAAACATAAAGAACTTCTAAACCACAGATAAACATTTCTCCATCATAAGAGAGTGAGTGTTTCCTAAATGAACACATCTTAAAATAAATATTATGAAAAACATTAAGAAGTTAGTCATTAACTTTTTTAAATTAGACGTCATTTTTGAACAATATTCATCTGCTATGAAGATAAGATTTGTTCCTTTCTATTTTTTCCTATCTCCCTCCCCACTTTCATTGGTTATATTGCTTTGTAGAATTTTTCCAGGTTTCTAATGTGCATATTCTATTCTGCAATCAAATTTTCACTTTCAATCTTAGCCTATAGTTAGTTGGCTTCATCATTTTTCACCAGTCTCTTTAACTACAACTTATCTATTCCTAATTCTATATTTGATTCGTCTCTTGGTTGGCTGGTATACTCTGTTGGAAATTCATTTCAAAAGTGGGTTAAGGATGCTATATTTTACTAATTTTTGAGAATGCTGTCTGTGATCCTTATATTTAAAAATAAATTATTTTCATATCTTTAGCAAATCTTTTCTTTTTTACTTAGAAAAGAATTATAGCATGTCTGAGATAAACCTCATATTTGCCCTTTGATGGTGGATTGCTTTTACTCCCTGACAATTTGAAGAATTCTTTATGTATACTTTTTACATAAACCAATAATAGTTATTATCATCATCAAATATTATGTACTGTACATAATTGTATGTGCTATACTTTATTATTGTTGTCATTGATGCATAATAGTTGTCTGTGTGTATGGGGTACAGTGTGATATTTCAATATATGTGTACACTGTCTAACGATCAAATCAGGGGAGTTAGCATGTCCATCACTTCCAACCTTTATCATTTCTTTGTGGTGATAACTTTTAAGATCCTCTTTTCTAGCTATCTTAAAATATATGATAGGATTATTATTAGCTATAGTCACCCTACTATGTAATAGGACTCTAGAAAATATTCCTCCTATCTAACTGTAACTTTGCACTTGTTGAACGACCTCTCCCCATTTCTCCCTCCTGTCTCCCCTCCCCAAGCCTCTAGTAACTACCATTCTAGTCTCTACTTCTATGAGATCAACTTTCCTAGATTCCACATATTGTGAGATCATGTGGTATTTGTCCTTCTATGTTTGGCTTATCTCACTTAATATTATTTCCTCCAGGTTCATCCATGTTGCTGCAATGACAGAATTTTATTCTTTTTATAGTGGAATAGCATTCCACTGTGTAGATGTACCATATTTTCTTTATTCTTTCACTTGATGATGGAAACTTAGGTTGATTCCATTTCTTGGCTATTGTGACTAGTGCTGCAATAAACATGAGAGTGCAGATATCTTTCCAACATATTTAAATTCTTTTGGATTTTTACCCAGTAATGGAATTGCTGGATTATATGGTAGTTATATTTTTAATTATTTGAGGAATTTTCATACTGTTTTCCGGAATAGCTGTACTAATCTATATTCCCACCAGCAGTATATAAGAGTTCCCCTTTCCCCATGTCCTCAACAGCATTTGCCATTTTTTTCATCTTTGATAATAATGATTTTAACTGGGGGGGGGGAGGGCGGGGGTGGTTATCTCATTGTGGTCTTGATTTACATTTCCCTGTTGATTAGTGATGTTGAGCATTTTATCATATACCTGCTGTATGTGAAAAAAATTTTTTTTTCCTGAGTTTACTGTTTTCCCCAGAACACATTTCCACGTGGACTCACATATCAACTTTTCCCTAGAACACAGTGTACCCTTTCAACCTTCAGATCCAGTTCCTCCTTTTTTTCAAAGATTTAGTTTTTCACTATTATGTCTCAAAAGAACTTCTGTTCTTTTGCAGTGTTACTTCAGGGATACCAGTTATCCTTGTGTTAGATTATCTTCATTCTCCTTCTTCTTTCTAATTGCTTTACTTTCTACTTTTTCCTCTGCATTCACTATGATTACCTCCAGATTTTCTCCATTCCAGCAACTTAATTTTTATTTTCATCTTTTTTCTTGCTAATTTTGGTTTGTTGTAATATTGTTGTTTTAGTTCTCAATGTTTCAATAATTGCTTCAAAATTCATTTTTGTCTCATTGTGTTATTATTCTCACTTTACTACTTTCTTTTATTGACTTAATGATTTTAAGTTCTATCGCTAAAGCACTTAATCACTTGGAATGCTTTCATCTGTTTTTTTAAGTTGTTTTCTTTCAGATGTAGTTGCTCATCTATGTTCTATACCATAGATCTTTATTATATAAATAAAAGAATAATCTGACTCTTACTATATAAAAGAATAATCTTTTATTATCCTTCAGCTGGCCAATGATCTCCCTCTGTCTCTATCCCTCCCCTGTCTCTCTCCCTCTGCACCCCCTAACTTTTTTTTTTTTTTTTTTGAGATGGAGTCTCGGTCTATCGCCCAGGCTTCCAGGCTGGAGTGCAATGGCACGCTCTTGGCTCATTACAACCTCTGCCTCCTGGGTCCAAGTGATTCTCCTGTCTCAGCCTCCCGAGTAACTGGGATTACAGGCGCACACCACCATGCCCGGCTAATTTTTGTATTTTTAGTAGAGATGGAGTTTCACTGTGTTGGTCAGGCTGGTCTTGAACTCCTGACCTCGTGATCTGCCCACCTCAGACTTCCAAAGTGCTGGGATTACAGGTGTGAGCCACCATGCCCAGCACAGCTCTCCCTTTTCTAAAGGACCTTGGCATGGTTGTCCAGACCTTCTATTTGCCACAATATAGTGTGTATGACTCCTCCTCTATGACTTTCCCAGCTTATCTGAAGTTTGGGTGTGTATGGGTGTGTGTGCGCGCATGCGCACATGTGTTTTCCTCTTAGTTTGGGGACAGAGTGCTACATGACTCTTAGCTACTCCTATCTTTTTTTCCTCTCTCTTAGCCTGACATATGGAATGGAATGTGGAGATGCAATAAGCTCTTGTACGGCGGAACACAGCTCTGCTCTTTCTTCTGAAGTCCTGTTAGGTATCCCATGTTCCATCTTTAGCCTGTCCCTTAAATTGACACAGCAGAATAAAAGGCATTGGCATCCCTCCTTTGCTAACCCCTTTGTGGTATGAAGGGGATTAAATTTGCAGAGTTTCCTGAGGATCTTCCCCATGTTACCTGTTCAGTCTTCTCTCCAAATTAGAAGGCATTAATGAGACATCTCAACATTTCATTAACTCACTCTTTCTTCAGTGCTAGGTACTCAGTCTTCCCTCCAAATCAGAAGGCATTAATGAAACATCTCAGCATTTCACCCAGGCTTGAGTGCAGTGGTGCAATAATAGTTCATTGCAACTTCAGTCTCACAGGCTCAAACTATCCTCCTGCCTCAGCCTCCTGAGTAACTGGGACTACAGGCACATGCCATCACACCTAGCTAATTTTAAAAAAATTTTAGTAGATATGAGATCTTGCTATGTTGCCCACCTCAGCCTCCCAAGTAGCTGAAAACACAGGTGCGAGCAACCACACCTGGCTAATTTTTTAATTTTTACGTTTAGTAGAGACAGTGTCTTGCTATGTTGCCCAGGCTGGTCTCAAACTCCTGAGCTCTAGCAAGCCTTCCACCTCTGCCTCCCAGTGTTCTGGGATTATAGGCATGAGCCATTGTGCCAGGCCACTGGATTTCTAAAAGGGGAGTTACTGGGTCAAAAGGTATGGACATCTGTTTTTTAAGATTCTTGATACAAATTGCCAATTTGCTTTCCATATTTGTTATGTTTCAAAATATTATTCAAAAAGTTCATGTCAGAATTCCCAAATTGAATTTGTTGCAATGGGTTTCAGAAGAAATGGAAACAAATCAGTCCAAGAAACAGAGAACTGTTCATCTGAATATGTAAATAACCAAGAATGAGAATGTTTTGGCGCCAAAATGGTATGAAAGTTGCACTCAGTGAGGTCTGAAGAGATCAGTTCTGAAACCTGGTGAGAATAAGATGGGTTCTGAGGCAGTTAGGTGGTCTTCAGGATCAGTCACCAAGAAGGAAATGTGAGGTGTCACAAAGCATCCCAAGTGGACAACATGTTAACTAGGTCTATAAAAAGTGCTTCAAGATAGCACCCATCATTTTTTTAATCCTCACAAACTATCTGCTATGCTTTCTTTCTGTCTGCTGCAACAACAAAATAGTTTATTTTTACTCAGTTTTTCTCTGCCATAAAGAAAAATCAACAAAGCATTATCATGTTTCTTCAATACAACTGACCTCATCTTATTAGTAAAAAACAAAGAAGGATGTGTCATCTTATTAGAAATGACATGATGTATATACAGCCATATGTTTTCAAAGGGTTTTCTGTCAGTGTTAATCAAAACTCTTCCAAATTTATGAACCTACAGAGCAGCGTGTCAACCATATGGTAAGTATCTCCCATTCAATATTGAGAATTTGAATTAAACATTACTTAGGGAAGCTAAATGAGAAAAACATCAATGTTAAATTTAAAAAAAGTAGAAACTTGTAAAAAAAAATGTCCCCAGGCATTAATATTCTTAGCGTGCTGTTTAATACCTCTATTACACTCCTCTTTGTTTTTACTGTCTACTCACTTATTGGGCATTGCAGAGGGGGCTGCAATCTATTTCATGATTGCTACAAAATTGTCAAATAACCACTATGCCATATTTTCCCCTTTGCTTTGTATTATGTGGGAAAACACTGGAAAAATTTGGACTGCAAGAGAAACCAGGAAGGCTATTCAACTTACAACTTAGTGTCTAAAATCTGTCCAGTGAGACCTTCCCTAATCTTTATCCATGGCCTTCTCCCCACAAATTAGTAATGCCTTTTGTGCCTAGCAGTCACCTCCAGCCCTTTTGTTATCTTAGGAGAAAATATCATTCCAGGATCTGTGTTATTTAACTTAGGTTGATTTCTAGCATGTGGGTTGGATGGAGAATCTGTTAGGGTCTCTCATTAGGCAAGTGAGTATTTCTTATTTGGAGGAAACATCTTTGATTCGTACACATGGATCTTAAATACAAATTTTCAAAAGACTTGGGGTGGGGGGGCAGTCCTAATTGGGAACAGGCTGAATAGGAGCCAGAAATGTGCAGCTGTTGACCATAATAAGCCCAGTGCGATGGGCAGGGGCTAAGAAACAAACCAAGAGCAGGAAAGAGGGGCTAATTCATCTTTACAGTACTTTCTCTGTCATTTGGAGGGTGATCTGGACGAGACAAAGATGTTGATGGTGATGATGAAGATAGTGTCTAGTTTGAGCCATTATAATACTGAAAAAATATGAAAAAGTTATAGGGACTTCCAAAAAAGATGTGGCAGACACACACTAAAATGATCCCTGAACAATCCCCTCCTGTTGAGTGTGGGTGGGACCTGCAATTTCCTTCTAGCGCATAGACTTTGGCAAAGGTGAAGGCAGTTTCTAGCTGTAATTAAGGTTCTAAATCAGCTGCTTTTGAGTAAATGGAAAGAGAGATTATCCTGGGTGGGACTGACTTAATCAGGTGAAAGTCTTAAAAGAGAGATTTTTTCCTTCTGGCCTTCAAGAAGTCAGCTGCCTTGCTGTGAGAGGACCTATAAAGGACCTGTGATCCCGTGATGTAGGAAGAATTCTGTATTTGGTCTTCATTCCAGGCTCATGGCACAGAGCTTCTAAAACCCTGGTGATACCCTGAGTGATAGGAGTGTCTCTTGTTATTCATAAGAAGTCCCTTTTTATTATTCCTGGGTTCATGCTAATGAAGTGACTTAGGGTAGGCGCCCCTAGACAAACTCAGGACGGAGCTGGTCATCACCAAGACCAAGAACGTTCAGCTCCATCCACTGACCTCTAGGAAGGAGATGAGGTGCTGAAGACTAAGCTTCATAAAAACTCTTGAACAGTCAGATTTGATGAACTTCTGGGTCAGTGCCAGGAGGTGGGAGCACCCTAACACCATGGGGCTGAAGTTGCTGTGTTTGAGATCCTTCTGGAATTCACCTTATGTACCTCTTCATGTGGCTGTTCACCCTTACCCTCTAGAATAAACCAGCTAATGTAAGTAGAGTACTTTCCTGAGTTCTGTGAGCCATTCTAGCAAATTATCAAACATGAGGACAAGGTTGGGAAACCCTCTACATTTATAGCCTATCAGTCAGAAGTTCAGGACTTGTCACTGGCATCTGAAGGGACAGTCTTGTGGGCCTGAGCCCTCACTTGTGGAACCTGATGCTAACTCCAGGTGGATAGATCAGAATTGAATAGAATTGTTGGACACTTCAGTGTCCAGAGAGTTAGAGAATTAGTCAGTGTGAGGAAAAACCCCACATATTTGATGTCAGAAATGTCGGGTGAGTAAAAGCAGTTTGTAGGACTATGTGGGAAGACACTGCAGGTAGACTGTACGAGCTGAACAAAACCCCTGGGTGAGAGCCAGCGAGAAAATGAGGACCTGGTCCTACAGTAGCAAATAACTGAATTCTGCCAACAACCATGTGAGCTTGGAGAATGACTGAGCTCCACAAAGGGAAATAACTTAGCACCTCAATTGCGTTTTTGTTTTTGTTTTTTTTGATCCTAAACACAGAACCCATCTAAGCTGTGCTAGCTTCCTAACACATAGAAACTGTGAGACAATAAATGTATGTTGTTTTAGGCTACTAAGTCTTTATAATTTGTTACATAGCAAAAGATATCAAAAACAAAGGACAACCAAAGCAATATAAAGGCTAGAGGTTTGGTTCAGCCATTTGGTAATGAATTTGGAATTACTTATTACAGAGAAACTGCAACATAATTCTTTCTTCAACTTTACTTAGAAATACAGGAAGTTTCTAGGAACATAATTATCTTCAGTTATTTTCTAAGACAACAGATGACAAAACAAAGAGATGATTTTGCTAATTTTTTTCAGAGACTCTTATCTCCAGAGAGTCTGATCTGGTTGATTTGGGGTGGTACCTGAACATTAGTATTTTTCAAAGTTTCCCAGGAGATTCTAATGTGCAGCCTGGGGTTAACATCTATTGTGCTTCTCCCTGGGAAGAAACATGCCCTTCTCAGTCTATCGTGAATAACAGTAAAATCTTTTTTTTTTTTTTTTGCAGGCCAAATGTCTTTAAAATGGGCTTCAGAAATGCCAGTGTCATAACTACATGAAGGGAGAGAGAAGGCCAGACTTGCCAGGATAGATCTGGAGATTTTAACCAAATAGAAGGTGTGGGTGAGAGGTGACAGGCAGAGGCGAGGGAAATTCAGATGGGACACCCAGGGGCTGTTGATTTAATCTGAAGGGCTGATATTACTCAGTCCCCTTCTTGTTAAAATTTTGATTCCAGATCAAGCCACCCTCTTCAGACCTACCTGAATCTCATTTGAGTAGTTTGGGCATTCATTTCATCCACCTGCATATTTGGTCCAGCATGTTTTATTATTGTTGTTAATATTTCTTTCCTGTATCCTTTCTGTCCACTAGAAAAAATTACCTACATTAGCAGCCAAAAGGCTTTCTAGCTAAGGTAGAAAACATTTCTAAAGATTAAAAAAAATCCAGAGCCATAGGGAATGGCAATTCCATGCTTGGAAATACATTTGGGAATCTTCTATGAGCCCAGAGATGGTGACAAGGAAGATCTTAAACTAATTGGGTAACATATACTGCTTTGGAGTAAGTCATTGAGACACTAAATTGGAGAACCATAAAGAACAAATAACTTCACCCTGAAGGACTGTGCAAGTAGGATCAGCCTGGTTATGCTGCAGTAATAAACAGCCCTAACATCCCAACACAACACAGGGTTATTTCTACTAATGCTCCATCATCATTTGAGTATGGCCAGGGTGGTTGGAGGTTCTTCCTTTATGTCATTCTCAGTCAGAGACTGGTCAGTGGAACCTCTGACAGCTAGAACTTTGCCAGTAGAAGGCCAAACCATTTATAGACTCTTAAAGCCTCCTGCCAGGAAGCTGCACACATCACTTTCACTCACGTTTTATCAGCCAAGGTAAGTCCCATGGTTCTACATAACTCAAAGGATCAGGGAAGTGCAATCCTACCCTGTACCAGGGAGGAAGAGAAGCCGATCTTTTGGGGAAATCACTAGTAACTACCATAACGATATAGTTCAGAGTCTCCCTGAGGCCATAGACTTTGGCAGGGCCACAGGTATACTACAAGAAGTCCATGAATCCACACTGGCTAAATATACTGTCTACAGACCCACAAATTACTAAACGTTGGACAAATGCAGTTCTTCTGGAAGTAGCTATAGATGTGTTTGTGCAGAATTTCAAATTATTATTGAATTCATAGTAGCTTTTAGTCTTAATGCATTTTTTCAAAAAACTTGCATTGAAATTACAACTATTATTATATTGAAGAAGGGTTTTGAAGTGAAAAAAAATTGTTCTTGTGTTCCAGAAGGTTGGGAGCCACTGGATTCATGATTTACCTGACTCAGTGCAGGGAGTCATCCAGATGTTTCTCTCCTGGGTAGTATCCTTGATCATCCAGCATCTGGGATGTATGATGATGCTGAGAAAAGTCTCATGAATATTGAAAGAGTTGGTTAAAATATACACTCCACCTATGTACCACATATTACCGCTGCTACCATATAATTACGCATGAAGGTTTCATTTATCAATTTCTCCCACACCCTCCAGAATCTATCTGAATATAAAGTTGCCTTTGAAACTGCAATGCAATAGAGGCAGTCTTTATTATGAAGAAATATGTAACTTCTTTTTGTACCTTTTAGATGAAATCAGTTGTCACTAAATAACTAATATACCCAAATCTCTGTGGCCAACTCATTAAAAATTAATTTGAATTAAGAAGTTGCTGCTTTTGGAATGTCCACCTGTAATTTACGGTTTCTGCTTATGGGGAGGGAGGAAGGGAGGAGCTTTGTTCTTAAATCTTTTGAGAGATATTCCATCGTGTTATTTGCTTTCTGCTTTTGAATCCACCCTGCATCCAGTTCCTTTCATTGGTGTTGGTTGAAAAGATGTTGAATACAACCAGCGTACCCTGAGGGGACACTCCCCCTGCACCTGTTCTTTTCTTCTGGTAAAGACTGGCCACAAAGAAACCAAGTACGAGGAGGAGAATTCTCAGCTCTGTTCCCTACTTACCATTTTGTCAGTCTCTGGAATTTTCTTACACTATTGGCTATGCCATATGATATCCTGCAGAAGTTCTTCACCCACGAGAACGTTCCCTAGGCTTGGAACTCACCATCCACCTGCAAACGGCCTGATGATTCAAAAACGGTGTTCCTCTTTTGGATGGCTATTTACAGTTTTGAGAACTCCTGCCCCGGATGTAGAAAGAGAGAACAGTCCCGTGAAATTGGCATCTTTGAATAATTTCCGCATCAGATGAAAATGAAGAATTTTCCAAATACAACTGGACATGCCACAAAGAGAAAAATTAACTGGAAAACAACTTAAGCCCTCCACTGCAGGTGTGTTGGCAAAAATTTCCATATAACTTTCACATGATTCCTGGCATGAAAGAAAATGTTTACACTGAGGTCTCTTGAAACAAGAAGAGGAATATTAAGGAATGCCCTCTAGAATTTTTTTTTTAAAAAATTAGCTCTTATTTCTAATTATAAAGGTGATCTACAAATTGTAAAAACACTTGACAAGTACAGAAAATAATAAAAAGAAAATGCTTCCCCCAAGTAATCACATTAGCCAGAGATAATAACTGTTAACATTTTGCTTATATTTTTCCAACACTTTTTTATCCATAAAAGACATATTTTATTCAGATTGTATAATGCCAAATTTTGTGTTAAAGATACAAGATATATAGCCATAGATTCAACTTTATTGAGTTTATTATCGAAATAGTTTTTCTTTATTGATTTTTAATGTACTTAATCAGGCAACAACCAAGAGTGGCAATATTAAAAACACCCAATCCAAAAATTAGTTGATAATTGTTTATTGTATTTTAATAGGTTTTGTTTTCTATATTTTAATGTTTAATCTTTTAATGTACATGACTGTGGTACCTTTATTGTATATTTTAGCTCTAAAAAATCTTGAAGGTGTTTTACAAACTACAAAGCCTTTACAAACTATTTTTCTTGTCTGTCTAGCAAAGGGAGCTTATTTGGAGAAGAAAATGGAACACAGAAGCTGTATTAAGGATTGTTACTTTTGCCAACATAGAATGACCTCCATTTCCTCATTTAATTTTTTGGATTTAAATTGTCCTTTGAGACTAATATTTTATCCTTGCTTTATTTGATTTGATATTTACTCTTCACATTTTTGTTTCTACTTTTCTTTTTACATATGCTGTAGTTTTTTGGGGGCGTGGTGCTGTATGTCTTGTAAAAGGCGAGAGTTGGGTTTCGTTTTTTAACCCAATCAGAGGCTTTATCTTTCACAAAGGTGTTAAACACTTTCACTTTTACTGATTGGAGCTGCACAATACACCTCCATCATTCTGTTTATACTTGTTTTCTCTTCCATGAAGTTTCTTTTTGCTCTGATTTTTCCTATGTGTACTGTTTTCATTGATATTTTCTCCTCTAGGACAGGGATTCTTAATCTTAGTTCTCAGAGACTCCGAATAGCAGGGCTTTCTAAGGATTCCCTGAAATTGTACAGTCCTCTGTGTGTGTGTTTGTGTGTGTGTGTGTGTGTACTCACCTGTGCACGTATACATGTCTGTATGAGCTTTGGACAAAAAGATCCACACCTCTCATTACATTCTACTCTCAAATCTCCAATACATCCTCCACGGTCTTCACTTTTACCTGTTTAGAAAATAGAAGCAAGCACAAGAGATTGACCCCACCCTCCCCATCTCATCTCCCAACCTGTTTTTGTGCCCACGGGCCTGAACTTTGTGGAAATGGAACCAGCCTCTCCTTGGAGGTCCTTGGTCCAGTGAGAGTGGGAAGGTGGAGGATGTAGAAGGGGCACTGAGGATGGCTGACTGTGAGTTCCGGGGGTGAAATAGAGCAGCGTCGGGGGCTGAAGAGGGGAGGGAGGGGGATGGTGTCAGCCAGGGCAGGTACGGGACCACTAGGCAGATGCATGAGGGAGAGTTGGGCTCCAGTGGCAGCTCCCTTTTGCTTCCTGCCAATGCAAGTGTGGAGGCCAAGGGAGGGGTGATCATCAAAGAAGTGTTTTTCTGAAATTAAAAAGTACAGCCCCCACAGTGCTACCATCTTAAGAGGCTAATTTCTTGTTTTGGTAAAACCTTTCACAGATACACATTTTGCATGTTCCAGGATGGTATTCATATTGTTCTAACAGATTGAACTTATTTGACATACCACTGAAGGACTTTTCCCACACTTCCACGGGGTTTTCAAAATTCTCATCAAAATGGCTCTGTGAGACTCCCTCCTATTTGATGGGCCATGCTGATTGCCTGAGCCATCCCCCCGGATGCTGGACACTTAGCTGGCCTTAACATGTTTGGCATTATGCGATGGCACTGCCCGAACCCCGCTGAGCACACAGCTGCTCTACAGACATCAGGGGCTGGCCTGGTGGGAACCACACCATGGCTCTGCTGCTGCCCTTCTAGTGCCAGCTTTGCTCCAGGACTTGGCCTGGATCCCCTGCCACCTTTTCACTAGCAGCATGGACATGCAGAGCATCTTGCCTCAGTTGCTCAGTTTTCTGGGCTGAAGGAGGCCAGGGCCAGGCTTGAGCTCTGTCTGCAGTGGAGATGGGAGTGGCATGGGGTGGAGGCTGAAGTGTTTGGCTCCTGCTTAGGGAGGCAGGGCCCACAGAGCTGAGAATTTCCCAAACACAGCAAGAATGCAGCCACAGTGCCAGGCAGGAAGGGATATGGCAAATGTTGAGTGGAGGCTATATAGGCATGGGATACAGCTAGAAAAAAAGGTGCACACAGCGTAGGTATGAGCTGGTTGACTTTGGGGCTAGGACATTTGAAAAATGTAAAAAGCTACCTTAATAGTTGGGAAATGGTATCTCAAGATATTTTATTTAATCATTAGAGAAGAAAACAGTTCTTCCTCTTTTCTTTTTCTTGAGTTTCATTTGGCCTCTTGGGAATCCATTCATTCCTCATCTTGGAATCCCCAGTGCCTAGCAGAGTGCCTGACACATACTAGATGCTTGACAAATATTTGTTGTATGGATCGAATGACATTCAAAGAGACATTGATGTAGCTGGCAGAGCCTGTCCCCGCTGAGTTCCAGAGCTGCGTGCCACTGCTTGCTGGGCATGGGCTCCCCACTCCCCATAATGATCCTCAAATGAAACTCAACATGAACAAATTCAAAATCATCACCTCCCCATCTCTGCCCCAGTCTCCTAGTACCTAGTCCTCAAATGCCTGGATGATTGTCTTAGCCTCCTACTAGGCCATCTGCTCCCAGCCTCTTCCTACTCCACCATCCTTTCCTCTTTTAAGCCACCTTTCTTACATGCTGTTCTGATCATGTTACATTTCTGTTCTAATGTCTTTCCTGGTTCTCTATCATCTGCAGGAAGGAGCTCTAAATCCATAGTTTTTCTTAAAGGGTCTTTCAAAATCCACATTTATTACCCCTGTAGTTCCTTATCAAATCACTACCCTGGTGTCCCACCCCCAATCCTTGCACCATGCACCCTACACTCCAGCCACATGAAAAGCTCAACGATGCCTGAGAACCCAAACCCGCCATGCCTTTTTTGCATTGCTTATGTCATTTTGTCCACGTGGAATAGTTCCACTTGCCTCGCCCAAGTTATTGACTTTTACTAAATATGTGAGATAGAAATTAAACACTCCTTCTCTGAACTTTTTCTCCTTTCTTCTCCTTTATTCCATCCCAGTTTCAACCCCACAGAATCAACTCATCTGAATCCCCTTAGCCCTTATATCTAGCACATATGTGGATATTCTCTGTGTGTGTGTGTCTGTCTCAGAACTCCTTGAGGGCTAGATGGATAAATAATTCATTTTTTCATCACTAGATCCTTGTTCAGTATCTAGAACACAGTCGGCACTGTGTTTTGTGTGATTTTGTAGAATTGAATGCCATGTCTTAGGTAACAATTTTACCTGTGGCAATACTCACGGGTTTTTCATCACCAATGTCTGTGTTCTCTTCCTCCATATACCCCAGATTGAGCTAAAAAGAAAATGCAAAGTCAAATGTTTCCCACACATTAGGTCCAGCACTCCTCTTTAACAAAGAAGAAAACTCTTCTGATTCTCTTTTTGAATGGCACATGACCTCTCAGGACAGAAAAAAAAAAAAAAAAAAAAAAAAGATTCCATTGTGTGGCAAAAGTCAGAAAGGCTTCACGCTGTCTGAATGCCAACCAGACAATCTGTGTTCCCAATCAGACCTACAATCCCCAGGCACAGGACGATGTTGGTTTGACCTCAGCAGAAATCAGATCTGCTCTACATGGTGATGATGATAGCAAACATATGGAATTGATTAAATGAATAAATAACCTTACTTAGTTTTGCATAAGAATATGTGGTACCCAGGTCAAAGATAATCCCTCATTTTTCTATGCATAATAGATTCCAAAGTGTAAACATCACCAGTAGCCTGAACCAAACTAGATGCTTTAAGTCAACAGTCAGAGGTGTGATTGTAAACTCGGAAATATTGACAATGTTTGTGAATATCACTTCTCTAAATTAGGTGAGAGGTCCACAGCTGATGTGGGTGCCTAATTTATCTGACATCTCAGTGTCGGGTCCTGGTCAGCCTCAGAAATTTGATCACAGCCTCTTCCTACATCTCAACTGTAGATAATTTTTCTAGATGTTGTCTGCTGTCTTTTAATTTATAAATGTAGTGCAATGTCAAATAATCCATTAGAATCTAGTCATTCTCTGCCAAAATTCCTTTGGTCATGTCTCTCCTTTGAAGCCAGGGGCATTGAACAAAATTTGTTAAGGTCTCAAGGTGATTTCTGTCGATGGAAATTTTATTTCACTCTTTCATTTCACAAGATTTTAGGAGACATTTACTCAGTGATCACTGGTTTTGTTATCTGTATGCATTCCCTCTGTCTGAATCTGGCTGGCTAGGGTGCCAGGACCCAGAACCAGGGTAGCTTGGGCATGCAAGGTTGGGAAGGTCTGAGTAGCAGGTCACAGGAGGAAGTCCAGGAGGGTATGATGTCAGAAAATGGACCAATGGCCACTAAACGAGATCAACATTATGAGGACTGGTGGTGAAATTCAGCAAGACTTCCTGTGGCTGGGTGAATTGCATCCCTCCATGATATGGTCTGGCTGTGTCCCCACCCAAATCTCATCTGAAATTGTAGCTCCCATAATTCCCACTTGTTGTGGGAGGGACCTGGTGGGAGATAATTGAATCATTGGGGCAGTCTCCCCCATATTGTTCTCATGGTAGTGAATATTTCTCATAAGAGCTGATGGTTTTATAAGGGGAAATCTCTTTCGCTTGGTTCTCATTTTCTCTCTTCTCTGCCGCCTTGTAAGACATGACTTTCGCCTTCCACCATGCTTGTGAGGCCTCCCCAGCCACATGGAACTGTGACTCCATTAAACCTCTTTTTCTTTATAAATTACCCAGTCTCAGGTTATGTCTTTATCCACAGCATGAAGATGGACTAATACACCCCAAAAGACATGTTCAGTCCTAACCCCTATCCCTGTGAATGTGACCTTATTTGAAAATAGTTTTTTGCTGATGTAATTAAATGAAGGATCTCAAGAGGAGATCATCCTGGATTTGGGTGGTCCCTGCATCCTTGATGGGTGCCGTTGAGAGAAAGGAGATGAAAAACTGAGACAGAGACACAGACGGGAAGGCCGCATGGAGACAGAAAAAGAGATTGGAGTGCTGTGTCTACAAGCCAAGGAGCACCCAGGGTTGCCAGCAACAGCCAGAAAGTAGACTAGACGTGTGCAAGAGTCCCCCACAGAGGTTCCAGGGGGAACAACCCTGTGGACGCCTTGATTTCAGACCTCCAGGCTCCTCACCTGCAAGAGAATAAAGTCACCAAGTTTTGGTAATTTGTTAGGGCGGCCCTAAGAAATGAATACCCTCTTCCATGTACATACATACTTCCCACACACCAGCATGCACAGAAATTCACGAGGGCAGGGCCTGAGTCTTGTTTACTCCATGGTCTCTAGTCCTACAGCAGTGCCTGGCATTTAGTAGGCGCTCAATCAGTATTTGTGGAATGAATGAATGAAATCTGTTCTGCCTGCTTCCCACTAAAACAGATTGAAATGTTAGAGGTGAAGAATGATAGGGCTTTTCCTACAGATTCTAAAAATATACTTGCTTAGGACTGATCGTTTTTGAATATAAGAATCAGTGTTTAGAGAAGATTAGGTAAGGTTTTATCATCTTTAATTATGAAAACATATAAATAATTTAAAAAATTATTCTATTGTATTTTAGCTCAGGTACAATGTTGGAGGTAAATAAGATAGGTTTATGACTTGGCTAGAATAAGACATTCATTCATTCATTTTTTTTTTCCATTTAATCAGAAAATACAGCTGACCTTTGAAAAACATAGATTTGAACTGCACAAGTCCACATAAGTGGATTTTCTTCTACCTCTGCCACTCCAGAGACAGCAAGACCAACCCCTCCTCTTCTTCCTCCTCCTCAGCCTACTCAATGAGAAGACAATGAAGATGAGGACTTTTATGATAATCTGCTTCCACTTAATGAATAGTAAATATATTTTCTCTTCCTTAATAATTTTCATAATAACATAACATTTTCTTTTCTCTAGCTCACTTTATTGTAAGAATACAGTATATAAAACATGTAACATACAAAATATGTGTTAATCAACTGTCTATGTTATTGTTAAGGCTTTTGGGCAACAGTGGGCTATTAGTAGAGAAGTTTTGGGGGAGTCAAAAGTTACATGCAAATTTCTGACTGCACCTGGTGGGAGGAGAGGACAGTGCCCCTAACCCTGTGTTGTTCAAGGGTCAACAGTATTTCAAATATTCCTTAAGCACTATAGGAGTGGTGAGCACTTTGCTCAGGGTATAGATCCAAGGCACAAAGAGTCAGAGACTTGTGGACCCTAACCAGAAGAGGAAACAGTTCATCAAATTGCTGTGCTAGTTGATCGCTGCAAACATACTAAGAGCACAAAAGGGGAAGACAGTGTGCTCTGGTCACAGGTAATGACTTAGTGTATGTTCCTGCAACCCATCTGTAAAGTCAGTGGGGGCAGGGACCATTTCTCTTCTTGCTTCCTTCTATTTTCCTAGAGCTTAGCTCAGTTCATAATGCAGATATATTTTATTAAATAAGTAAATAAAGGTTATTGTTCTATCCTCTAGAATCCCAGGTACAGAACTTTTCTTCCTCTTCTAATCGACTTTGTTGTTGTTGTTGTTTTGAGACAGAGTCTCACTCTGTTGCCCGGATTGAAGCTCAGTGGCATGATCTCAGCTCACTGCAACCTCTGTCTCTCAGGTTGAAGCACTTCTCCTGTCTCAGCCTCCCAAGTAGCTGGGACTACACACACGTGCCACTGCACCTGGCTAATTTTTGTATTTTTAGTAGAGACAGGGTTTCGCCATGTTGACCAGGCTGATCTTGAACTCCTGACCTCAGGTGATCTGCCCACCTCGGCCTCCCAAAGTGTTGGGATTACAGGCATGAGCCACTGCACCCGGCCCTAATTGACTTTCATCACGGGGAGAAAAATGCATCCTTTTACCAGGATCAGAGATGCTGAATAAGCCAGCATCCCAGGCAGCCAAAAATCAGTAAGAAGCCAAAAAAAAAAAAAAAAAAAGGCTGTTCTCAAGGACACGGCTTAGAGGTGAGGACAGTAGGCAGAGTAACAGGGTCTGGCTTCTTCACAGTGTAAGGAAACTTCATCTGGGGGAACCATCAGCATCCTGCCTGGCCATCTGCTGCGGCAGCCTCAGGCACCTGTTGAAACATGTGCTTACACAGAGCCCATGTCTACAGGAACAACCACTGGGGGCTGGATGGTGTTTGCCAGTCAAAATAAAAGAATCATCAAGGCAAGGTTTTGATTAGCCACTGTTTAAAACATCTTGATTTTCTTTTGGCTTTGGCGATATTAGTCAGAAAGTTTATGTGAATAATTCTCAATCTTTTGATGCCCTCATATAGTACCTGTTGGGTGTAGGGTATAGTGCTCAGCCTAAAATAGCAGCTGAGATTTCTGTCCTCAAGTTAGCCTACAACTGGGTAGGGGACAAGGCACTAGGGGACATTCACATCTCTTCTAACAGTACTCTCTCTCTCTTCTTCTCCTGTAAAGTGACACCTCCCCCCCACCCCACCCCTTAGTCCCTGTGCTTCTGAAGGATTTGACTCCACTCTCTGTTTGTGATTGGAACATGTGGCACAAATCAAGCCAATCAGCTCGTCACATTGTCCTCTCCACGGTCAATGAGATTTTGGCTGGGAATGTGGCACCAAAATCTCCCTGTCTCCTATTGAATGGGAAGATGGAAGGATAGAATCTCGGGAGCTACTGGCAGCCACCTTATGCCTAGGAGGGACCACAGAATTATTTCAACATCAAAGATATGGAACTGAGAAATGGAAAGGAAAACTGGGTCTCAGGCACAGCATTTGAAGCCTGGATCAAGCCAACAACCATCCTGAACTCTGTTCAGTTACAAGAACCAACAATTTTCCTCCCTCCCTCCCTCTGTCCCTCCTTTCTTTCCTTCCTTCCTTCCTCCCTTCCTTTTTTTTTCTTTTTTTTTTTTTTTTGTTTAACCCAGTTTGGTTCGCACTTTTTGTCATTTGCAACTGAAAGAATCTTAACTGACACAGAGTCACTATAAAAAGGATGTTGGCAAGAAGTGCCTGAGGTCAAGAGAGTAGCCAGGATGGGCTATAGCTAGAATAACAGAAGAGGCAGAAAAAGAACATCCTGGGCTCAGCCAGCTGTGCTCATGAGTAGAACAGTGTGACTGAAGGACAGCTCAGAGGGCAGAGGTGGGAAACGATTAAGGCTGATGCCAATTCAGTGAGTGGCTGATGCCAGTTCATTGAATGGCTGAATAATGAGTTTGGAATTTAACCTGTGGACCTTGAGGAGCACTTGGATCTTTTGTGCTGAGAAATGACCTGATGAGGAGGAAATGTTTCCTTAAGGATCATCAATTTTGTC
Organism: Homo sapiens; assembly: GCF_000001405.40. Lineage (NCBI taxonomy): Eukaryota > Metazoa > Chordata > Mammalia > Primates > Hominidae > Homo > Homo sapiens. The sequence continues at coordinate 117,899,261 of NC_000010.11, read as the reverse complement.
AATCAGCTCTTCAGGCCAGGCTGGCTTGAAAGGCAAGTGAATGCTTTGTTTGCTTAACCATCTTTTTTAGAAGCTTTTAGCACATCAGAGAATGCTTTAAATTGTACTGGTTCCCTTTGGTGACAGAAGAGCAAACACAGCAAGGAACCCTGACCTTGCTCACTGAGGACAAAGAGCCAGGTGAATACACCATTAGCCCCCAAAGAAGATGGCCTGCAGCCTCTTAATAACCACCTAGGCTGCTTTGAAATTTTTCAGGTCTACCAACCAACCACTAGGCTGACTGTGTGTGAATCTTAGTCTTGAAAGTGCATCTAGGACAAAGGGACATCAACCAGGGAAATGACCCAGATGGTAGCATCTTTAGTCTAATAAGTTAAAGATTCCTTAAATAAGAGCTTCTCAATGCCTCTTTCCCAGAAGAACATAGAGGGTATGTTTTGGGTGCTTGTGGCTCAAACACACCTGATTAAAACCAGACCTACAACTTGTCTTTAGAACAGTCCTAAGTGAGTTGACTATCTCTACATAGTCCTGCTTATAAACTGGGGGCAGAAGTAGAAAAATCAAAGGGAATGTTTTAATTCCCTTTTAGAAGATCTGTAGACTCTCTGACTCCACCATTGGGGTAACTATCTTTCAACAGCAATTAATTTCAAAGTTATAAAACATATGAATAAACCGTTCTTTTTTCTGTGTAGTTATCGTTTTAATATACCATTACAAATAGTGAGAAAAAGGCCTGCGTGAAGATAAAATTCCAAAGAGGAGGAAGTTATTTCAGAGGGACTGTCTAAAATTTTGTAGGGTTTTAAGGATAACATGAGACTCACAGTGGTATCACGTGAAAAAATGCCAGAACATCTGTTATGTTAAGTATAACAACAACAAAACCAAAATAAATCTCTAGTGAAGAAAAACCTCGTAATAGATTATTGTGGGGCTTCTGCCTTATTCAAAGGGAAACTGGCAAAAGCATTGCAGTGGGAATATGACGGGGAAAAAGTAATAATATGATAATAATAATTGATGCCAACTTTTAGGGTCTACTAGCTCAGGTCTCTCATGCTTGGCATATTTGTGCAAGGAGTCCTCAGTTACCCCAGCCAGCTCCCAAGGAAACCCACTGTCAGTCACATACAACTTTGTTCTTTTGTGTTTTCTTCATTGTTTTCAATATAAGCATTTTTTTCTATTAATAAGAAAAGCGTGATCTGATTGGTGACAAAAAAAAAACACACACACACGTTGTCGAGTCAGTTTCCCTTCATTCATTTTAATGCGTAGCCATGCTATTTGAGATGAAAAGACTTTAACCTGGCTAGATATTAAGAAATAAACAGATGAAATGCTAAAATCTTAGCAAATGTTTAAAATCCAGATTGGCTCAATTTGATTTATAAGGAAGTTTTTGAATAATTTTCAAAATGCAGCGAATACAATCAAACTTTCGTATCCTCAGGAAATAAAATGCCCCTGTTCTGGCTGAACCTGAGAAATCTTAGCAGCATTGCAACGCATTTAGAATTTTGTGCAAACTTAAAACACTGTACTGTAGAGGGTATAAATCAGTCTAAAGAGTAACAAAGTGATACATTCCTTACATCTTTTTTTTTAATTTATTTTATTTTTTTAGACAGAGTCGCGCTCTGTCACCCAGGGTGGAGTGCAGTGTCACGATCTCGGCTCACTGCAAGCTCCGCCTCCCGAGTTCACGCCATTCTTCTGCCTCAACCTCCCGAGTAGCTGGGACTACAGGCGCCCACCACCACACCTGGCTAATTTTTTTGTGTGTATGTTTCCTAGAAACGGGGTTTCACCGTGTTAGCCAGGATGGTCTCGATCTCCTGACCTCGTGATCTGCCCACCTCGGCCTCCCAAAGTGCTGGGATTACACCTTACATCTTAAAACACAAAAACCTCTTTAAATAATTGGTTACTGAGCATCGGGCATCTCTAAGTCAAATGTGAGGACATGATGTTGTGCCACTTTTAATGTACAGATAGTATGTCCCTTTTGGAACAGAGTAGCTGCTATCTCAAAAATTTAGTAAATGTACATAAGACAAGAATACCTAAAAGATCTCCAAAGAAATTTGTCACACATTATGAAAAGGAGGAGTCATAATGGGTTCTGTGCTTTTGATCTAGAATATTCTAGCCATCTAACTCCGGCTGCTCTCTCCAAACTCATCTCAGTTCACCGGTGCCCTGGCTCCCGGGCTCCCAAACTTTAAGACACACTGACTTTCTATTGGTTTCTTTTATGTGTCAAGTTTTCCTGCTACTCTCTCCGTCTAGAATGTTCCTTCCCACTCAACTCTTCATGACTGGCTTTTTCAAGACCTAAGTTGTGTATGTCTTCTGGACATTTCTCCCCACTTCTTTTGATAACAAAAATACAAATCTTCATTGAGAGGACGAGCTTGCAACCCTCAAACTCTGAGATTTTAGAGGAAGAGGCCAAACCCTTTCCCGGAAGCCAAAGCCACATGACTTAGCTACTGCCACAGTGATTGGTTCAAAGATTGACATGTGACTTATGACAGGCCAATCAGGGCCAGCCCCTGTAGTCACACTGGAACCAATGAGAAAGAGGCACTCCTTTACCTCCCTCCCTCCCTTGTTTCCTTTTTCTCTCCGTCTCCCTCTCTCTCTTCCTGTGTGTCTTTCTCAATTTCACCCTCTCTCCCTCTCCCTCCCTTCCTTTCTTTCTTTCCTTTAACTGATTTGAATTTACTTTTTGTCACTTGCAAACTAAATATTATGGACTGATGAGCTTCCTCAAAGGGGACACTTCTGAGTACAATATCTAAAGCAATTGCCTGTCCCCTTCTCATTATTTTCTTAGCAGGCTGAGTTTTTAAAATAGCTCTAACCACAATTTGAAATTACGTTGTGGTTTACATTTTTTTGTCTGTCTCTCCCTGTAGGATGTAAGCTGCATGGGGTCTCAAATACCAGACCAAGGAGGACATTTTATTCTATAGGCACTAAGGTGTCACTGAAGGACTATGCACAAGGTAATAATCGAATCTGAGCTTGGCTTGGAAAAAAAATACACAAGTGATAAAAATATTAACAGCAAGACATGGTTGGATAGTAAGAGAAGTGTGTGTCTTAGAAGTCTGTATCTGCTGCTTCTATCATGGAAGATACTTATTAACTTAAGAACCAATGTTTCATCACAGGGGTAGTTCATAAACATGCTAGCTGAGCCTTGAACTCCAGACCATCTGCTCGAACACAGAGCAAAGGACCATGGTGAATGGTTTCAGTAGTAGTAGATTATACTTAATAGTCCAGCAGATGAGCTGGAAATTGATGTGTAAGTGGCTTCCTAATAATTCCCTGATGGTCTTGCTGAGTTGCAGGCTTTAGTTAGTTTGTTTGTTTTGAGACCGAGTCTCACTCACTCTGTTGCCTAGGCTGAAGTGCAGTGGCACAATCTTGGCACACTGCAGCCTCCACCTCCTGGGTTCAAGCGATTCTCTGCCTCAGCCTCCTCAGCTGGGATTACAAGCATGTGTTACCACACCCAGCTAATATTTGTATTTTTAGTAAAGACGGGGTTTCGCCATGTTGGCCAGGCTGGTCTTGAACTCCTCACCTCAAGTGATCCACCCGCATTGGTCTCCCAAAGTGCTGGGATTACAAGCGTGAACCACTGTGCCTGGCCTATTTAGTTCTGTATTTAGTTAGGCAACTCACTGAGTGAGTCAAGAGATAGGGAGGATAGCATGGAAATGGCCATGAGTTTTCCATGTTGTCAACTTGGGAACTTTTAAGGGAGAGGTGAGATTTCAGAAACCATTTAAATGATATGAGTATTGGAGCTCTTACAGGTGCTGAGGAGGCTGAGAAATTCTAGGCCTTCAGTGCTATGTTAGAATGGGGATGGGACATTCCCCTCCCCTCTTCCTATCAGCACCACTTGGGGTGGATGGATGAACTGAATTATCTCACCTCTGTTCTGCGTGAGATACTTGCTCAGTGTTCTAAAAGCTTAGTACACATCAGAATAACTTGGGGCCAGGGCCAGGTTCTCTTAGGAGGGTCCCCTGCTTGGTTTAATCCCCTGCTGTGGCTGTCTTGAAATTCTTAATAACTTTTTACAAGGAGCTTCACATTTTTATTTTGCTGGCCTCTACAAATTACATAGTTGGTCCTGCCTGGGGGAGTTTGTAAGTGCAGATTCCCAGGCTCTACCCCAGAGCATGTGATTCAGAAGGTCTTACATGGATTTCAGAATTGTCATTTCTAGACACAGTCTAGGCAATTCCTTTACTGACCATCCTTTGAGAAATATTTTCACTAATGCTAAGGTATACGTTCATTTAGTATACAACAGGGAGTTTAAAGACATTTTCCTAAGAAAAGCCGAAGTCTGAGAGTGTAGAGAGGGCAGGCACCAGCATTTCCAATAAACAAGAGAAATCTTTTTCCTGTTTTCCCTGGACACAACTTCTTTCTGCCTCAGCTCTATCATTTCTCTAATGATCACTCTTAGAAATCCTTGGGTCCCTGGCTTTTTAAAAGTCCTTCGAGAGAAACTCAGAAATGCCAGAGTAATTTTCCTTTGTTATCCAAAAGAAGAAGGGGTAAAGAGTGCCTGAATTTACGAATGAGTGTCACAAAAAGCAACAGAGATGTTTAACGTGAAGGATTAGTTTTTTCTAGTCCTTTCCCTAGCAGACATCACCAATCATGGCCCCAGACATCACTAATCCATCACAACATTCATCTCCTCTGAGTCCAGGTATGGCCCCAGATCCCCTCTCATTCCAAGCAGCCAGCACCAATGAACTAGATTTCACAATGTGAGTGAAAACTATTTCCCAGGTATATCAACTGGGACAGGGACTGGGGAGCTGAGGTAAAGCAAGTGTAAGAGAGTTACTTTCTTCTAGATAAAGTAGAACCATTAAAAGGGTCACCCCTTTTAAGGATAACTTTACTTACCAGCTTGCCTGCGTTGAAAATAAACAGAAACCCAACACTTTCAGGGAAATGATATTATCACTGTCAGCTCCTTCCCTTGGGGTAGTTAGAACTCTGCGGCACTAGAAGTAACTTGATGACTTTTGATAGGGAAAGTACTGGGTAACATTTATTAACATATTTACCAATGGTATGGGGGACCTTTGTGAGCTGAGGGGGGCTTCTCCCTTTAGCTAAATTCATTAACTACTGTGGTTTCAAAGAAAATCAGGGAATTTGCATCCTTAAACAGGAGGTAGCTACTACATTACCCCTGAGATCAGGATCTCATTAAGATACAATAGCACATCTTGAAAATTGTCTCACCGAATTGACATTTCTCTGAACTCAGCTTTTGGCTCAAAAATGTCACACATACTAAAACTCACTTGAAAGTATATTAAATTCCAAGACACTGCTGTCGGTTAGAGAGGTGGGTGCCTACGAGCCAGCTGATTCTGGGATCCAGAGCTCTGGTTCCAACCACAGCATTATTGAGCACTTCATCAGGGCACAAATAATTTCTCTCAAACACTAGCTGATCAGATAACTTTCTTATAACATGTTGGGAAGTGGGGGGTGGGCAGGGCTGGCAGTAAATCCAGCCTTTCCAGAGGCATGTACCACACTTTATGGTGTTAGTGTTTGAAATGGAAAAACAAATCCCCTGAACAGGCAAACAACAAAAGCCCCCTTGTCACTTTCTATAATGTTGTAAACATTGCATTACGACATTGCATTAGGATGTGTTTTCTGTTAAGAGCAAAGCTGGAGGGGGGATTACAAAGACACTGATCAACCATTTAGTAAATTTCAAGCAGGAAGTGGCTCAAGCTGTGAAATCCATCACGTTTGTCTTTCAAAGAAAGAGAGACATTTTCCCCAGTCAGCCACACCAAAAACCTGTGAGATGTGTGTACACACACACACACACACACACAAATATATATAGAAGAAGGCATGGAAGGAAACACAGTTCCTTCTGCCACACAAACACACAAATATTAAAGTGATCATCTTGTGGGTGGGGACCTGGAGTAGGAATGATGCCTGAAGAAGACTTTGGTCATTTTCATACTTCTGTTTTTCTCAAGGAAAACGGACACGTTGTGAGTCATGACATTAAAAATGTAAAAATATTCTCTATGATCTTCAGATGGACATGTTAGATCTAAACCTGCCCTTTTTGTGGCATCATCCTGGGTTTTACAGGAAATGGAAAAGATATTGCATCTACAAATTACATCACATGACAAAGAGAGGAGTGAGTGGCAGGAAGTCAGGCTGGCTGGGTGTAGTGAAGGCAGTTTGAAAACCAGGCAGAGAGTTGAACTCCTCTCTCTTAAGCTGTGTGGTTCCTGTGGAGAAGGAGAGAGGAGTAGCTGGCAAAGGTGGTATATGAGACTGATCATTCTACAAGCAGCTGTGGGCTGTGGCTGGGATCAGAAAGTCCACATAGAGAGTCCTGGCAGGACTTGATGAGAGCCTGTGTCAAGCAGCAGGATAGAGGAGAGAGGAGAATGGATGGATGTGAGAGATATGTCCAGGTAGTTGTCTGGGTAAGACTCAAAGCTGACACCCTGGTTGTGAGTCTAAGAGACATGGAGACGGAGCAATGCCGTCTAATCCAACCATGTGGGAAAGGGGAGCCTCTGGGAGTTTAGTAGGAAGGAAAGCCAGTGAGAAAACCAAACAGGAGCATTTAGGAAGCCCTTGGAAGAGTTACGGGTCTCACAGGCAGGAGTCTTGTAATGAGTGATTTGGGGAGGTTTATCAGCAGTTCCATTCTACAGAGAGATCATGGAGAAAAGACAGAGATTTTTGTCTCCAAATACCAAGATCTAAACTCATGCTAGTAAGTCCCTGCTGCAGTAGCTAGGTAGTAGAGATGTTGACTTAATTTGTTGATATGCCAATTCCCCAAAGCTTAATGGGTCATTTCTTCAAAACTAAGATAGGACTAGCCTTCTCAAAAGTCTACTAAAGCAGTGCTTCAGTCTATGGCAAGAGTAAGCTGACAATTGGCTGAAGATGGGTGGGAATATATTTGTGTGTATAAATACACACACATACATATACATATATTTTTAAATCAACACTGTATAGGTTAATCAAATACAGCTATAAAAATTCCCCATATTTTCTTCCCTCTGAAGTAATAATATAGCACATTTTATAGCATTAATCTTCAGGATTACTCAAACTTCATTAGATGCCATTTCCAGTTAGGAAGGGGAAGGAGGGTAAAAGCCAGACACATGACATTTCTGCTTGCTCAGTGAACAATTGAGATATCCGAGGTCTTATTCATATATTTTACTCTCATGAAATCAATTGAGCTCATTGCTTAAACTGTCAGGTCTGTAGGTTATGTCTGTATTTAAGAGACTTAAATATTTATTTATCAGTATTTTTATTGATTCATCTGAAAAATCGACTTGTACAGCTGGATATCCTTGGGGGACAGAGTCCTGCCCTCCCCAAATGAACTAGGAATATTCCCCCATTTCCTCCTTTGCCCCCTCTCTACCTTAACCCTTACCAAGAAGTACATGTTTCTGAAGAAAAAGCCTCAAGGATGTCAAATATGATATTATATTATCTCTGATGAGAAACATAAGGTGGGGGGAGTGGCACAGTGGCTCACGCCTGTAATCTCAGCATTTTGGGAGGCCCAGGCAGGAGGGTCGCTTGAACCCAGGAGTTGGAGACCAGCCTGGGTGGGCAACATGGTGAAACCCCATCTCTACCAAAAAAAAAATTAGCCAGGCGCAGTGGAGCACACCTGTGGTCCCAGCCACTTGGGAGGCCAAAGCAGGAGGTTCACTTGAGCCTAGGAGGTCGAGGCTGCAGTAAGCCATGATCATGCCATTGCACTCCAGCCTGGGCAGCAGAAAGAGACCCTGTCTCAAAACAAAAAAGCAAAACAAAACAAAAAACGAAGGTTGGCGGGGTAGGGGTGGCGGGGGGGTGCCTGAGACAGACATTCTATGATAACGCTGAGGTAAAGCTGCTAAAAGCTGCTCTTTCTCCTTTCTCTCTCAAGCAGAATGATTCTAATTGTGAAGACAGCTCTATTTTCATATATATATTTGCTTTGTAAACCTTTGGTAGATACAATATTATTTCAAATAATGTAATATACACTAGGTGATAAAACTAAACGAGCACCTATTCTATTTAGCCATCACTGCATTTAATGCAAAGATTACAGTGATTCTTTAGACCCACACGTTTGCGTCTGAGTACATCCATGCACTTAAGGCTAAGACATTAACGAAAAGCCTGCAGCCCAGTAAGCATGCTCAGATAAAAAGAGCTGTCATCTCTTAAGTGCCTACTATGTGCCAGATATGTACAAGATATTTTATAGCCATTAGCTCATTTTATAGCACAGCTGTTTTAAGGTAGACGTCTCTCCTTTTTTTTTTTTTTTTTCCCGGATGAGCTCCAAGTGGTTAGCTGACTTACTCAAGATCACACAGCTGGTGAGTGTCAGGACAAAGATTCAATTCTGGGTCTAGGCGGAATAAGCCATGCTCTTTTTGTTTGTTTGTGTTTTTGAGACAGAGTCTTGCTCTGTCTCCCAGGCTGGAGTGTGCAGTGGCATGATCTCAGCTCACTGCAACCTCTGCCTCCCAGGTCCAAGTGATTCTCCGGCCTCAGCCTCAGCCGCCTGAGTAGCTGGGATTACAGGCATGCACCACCACGCCTGGCTAATTTTTGTATTTTTAGTAGAGACGGGGTTTCACCATGTTGGCCAGGCAGGTCTCAAACTCCTGACCTCGTGATCCACCCGCCTCAGCCTCCCAAAGTGCTGGGATTACAGGCGTGAGCCACTGCGCCCTGCCCATGCTCTTTTATCTCCCTTCCCCACCTCCCCACTCCATTGTAAAGAAGAATTTTCCAAGCACCAATAAGCTTCTTACTACCTGCAGTTGACTGTCTAACATTTCCAGATGCTTCCAGTGAGACCATGCCAAGACTATAACACATCCTTGATCAATGGTTTTAGACCATATTTCCCAAAGTTTGTTCAGTAAGGTGACTTCCCCATCAACATACTCTTAACTGTCAGCAGAGTGAAGAGCTATTATCAGGTAAGGGAAGGTTTCTAGAGATTCCACTGTCACAGATGCTCTTCGCCCTTCAGCTGATCCTCTAAGGCTGCAGTGGTGGTCTCCATCCACAGTGACCATCTCATTCTCCTTGTCTTTTTTTTTTTTTTCCAGAAGAAATAGGACATACCCATTTCTAATGGGCGTTAACCTTTTCTAGACTTGAGCCTATTTGTAAAAGCACAGAGCACCATGAGATGGCCAGAAACCAAGAAAAATCTCGGTTCTTTATTACACTTGCTTAGTGATCAAGGATTCCTAACTAGACGTTTCTTCCTGCATTGGTTGTTTGCATTGGATATGCAAATCTTCTCTGTTCCCAGGCCAGTCTTGAATATATTTACAAGGTTATGGATGTCCATTATTCACTTAAGTATAGATTAGGAATACTGACAAATACTTTTATTCAAAGAGTTAGATCATTTTCAGATCACTCTTCATTCTAGGACTTAACCTTCCTCTACTCCCAACAACTTTCAAGTACGCATTCCCACAAACCCAGGGTTTCATAAAAATGTACTAAATAACCTTAAAGCCCTTTATGAATAATTATGAGTTTTTAAGTTTTTGTGAATCTGCATATTAATTCTGTCCCATAAATAAAACATGAAGCAAAAATCCAGTGTGTTGAGTGTCAGGGGGATAGAAGAAAAGAAGGAAGGATAATTATCAGTTTAATGTGGGAACATACTTAACCTAAAAGATTACCTCCAAAATTGGTGACATCCAAAGTATATAGAATGTACAAGGATGTTTTCATTTAAATAAAAGGAGGAAAAGCTTTATATTAAGTTTCTGCCATTTCCAGAGCTCTCTCAACCGCGCATGTTTGAAAATGCAATTGTCAAAATTTGTATTTGCTAGGGATTAGGCTTTCTCACTTATTCAGTGTCTTTCATCTCTAAGCATTGTATGCCTTGTTGCCATATAATTCACATTTTCCTACTTGGTGTGTACGATTTGGTTATCTATCTATAATTACAGGTTTTCTTGGGGGGTGTTAATGAGATGTCATTGGTAACCAAATTAACTCCATTTTTCTCACTCTCAGACCTTATGCATGGAAAGGGCAGAAAGAAGCAGAGCTGGTATCCAGAGAATTCCATGTCACTCGTGCCTGAAATTCCTGGGGTGGGCATATAGCAACCAAAGTGGAGTGGGTGGGGATCCATGAATATCTCCTCTAGAACATGATGCCCATGGGCGCCATTTTCATACCTTTAACCAGTTTGCAAATAAGGGAGCTGCTGACTAACCCAAGACTCTGTGGGCCCACCATGCCTGTTTGATCATTAAAACCAACCCAACTAAGGTATCTAACTCTGAAATGCATTTTTTCCAACCCTCTGAAGCTCATCATGTTTATAAATGTCATCTGTGAAGAGCTTGAAATCCTCCACAACTTGCACTAATCATGATTGCTTTCAGGCCTTTTCTTTTTTTTTTTTTTTTTTTTTTGAGACAGTGTCTCCCTCTGTCACACCCAGGCTGAAGTGCAGTAGTATGATCACAGCTCACTGCAACCTTGAACTCCTGGGCTAAAGGGATCCTCCTACCTCAGCCTCCCAAGTAGCTGGGATTACAGGTGTGTGTCACCACACCTGGCTAATTTTTAATTTTTCTGTAGAGACTGGGTATCACTCTGTTGCCCAGGCTGCTCTTGAATTCCTGGACTCAAGAGATCCTCCTACCTCAGCCTCCCTTACTGCTGGGATTACAGGTGTGAGCTACCACCCTGGCCCTACCTCTATGCTTAATACTGGTTTTTGTCAAACTCATGCTATCACCTGAGGTGGCTCCAAGCTGCCTGCCCCAGGACTTCTGATCCCCAGAGTCACATGGGGTGGAAATGGGTTTTGCCCAGGGCATTCTGCTGCTTAGTTGGTTGAAAACATTTCCAAAGACTTTTTGAAAGTTTGGAAAGGGCTAGCCAAGTGATGGTAATGGTACTATGGACCCCATAATTACTGAAAATGTTTCTTTAAAGGCATTTCTACTTAAAATGTCATTTTTATTTTCCATTTCCAGATTCCGACAGAACTGGTTGGGGCAGGTGCTAGGAAGGTCCTGTTGTAGGTGGGGACACCAAAGATATGGAATTTGACACTCTATCACTAGTCTGTACAGTGTAGAACACCTTTCTGTCCTCTTTGCTTTTTTTCCTCTCTTCCTCTCCTATGTTTTTCTTACCCAACTATGAGGAACTGGGATGCTTTAAAGTTTGTGAAAAGGGTAGTTTAAAATAACACCCATACCAATGACTCAGTTTTACCAATTCTGCCTGCCCCCTGCAGAAAGACACATTCTCTATTCAGTTGAACAGCCAAGACAGAATCAATATAGAAATGCATACCCACTGGGAATTTCTCACAAGAAACCATCAAAATGGTGATTTAATGTTAAAGCTCAACAAATTATACTCAAGGTTGACAAGAGGAGCATGAAGTTTGACCTGATTTCAAAATGGGTTCTATTCCCACCACTGCTCCATACTACCTGAGCACAGAGGGCATGTTACTTAACTTCTTGGAGCTTCAGTTTCTTTATCTGTCAAATGGGGATGTTTTGAAGAGCATTATGGGGACTAGAGGTTACGTATTTAAGCGTGTGACCTGTGTGTACCCCTGCCACCTCTCTGAAAGGGTTGTGTGTTCTCTGTTATGGTTACTTCTGGTAGAGTTCCCTAATGAGAGACAAGGCCTTTTCCTTAAAAATAGAATGATAGTTTAATTTTTCCATTTATTTATTTTTGAAGACTTAAATTCCTGGCATTGGGCTTGGTGTGTGAGAAGTTCAAAGTAGAATTAGACAAAGTTTCTTGCCTCTATGAGCTCACAGGTTAGCCAAGGAGACAGAGAGACACAGAATCCATACAAGCCAGTGGCCAGAAGTTTAAACCCATTGAGAGTCGAAATATAAATTCTGCTTTGTGAGACTGGAGAAGGCTGGGTTGAAGACAACACCTTCAATTGAGTCTTGAAGCCTGAGCAGGGTTTCCCAGGAGGGAGAAGGGGAGAGGGGAATTTGGCAAAGAACACAGATGAGCAAAGTCGCCGAGGTGCACAAGTCCAGGCTCTGGAGGGAGCATCTCATGTTCCCTCATCCACACCTTCGTTCTACAGACACGGATTGAGCCCCTACTGGGTACTGGGCCTTGCTCCGTCTCCTGGAATGCAGCAAGCAAGGTCTTTGTCCTCAGGGAGTTTAGGGTCCAGTGGAATGCCAGACAGTGAACAAGCACCAGGAGACACAACAAAGACAGGGAATGAACTAACCTTTGGTGATGAAGCAAGGGGGGACTGGGGTCTGCCTCAGGTGACCGTGCAATCTGTGAAAAGTGTCATTTCAGCTGAGACCTACTTGGATGATAAGTAGCGGTAAGATCCAGGGAAAGGGGATCCCAGGAAGACGTAATAGCAAAGAACAGAGAGAAGGATAAATATCTTCATCCGTTTCACGACTGGGACCTAGAGAAATTCTGTGTGGAAGAAGGAAAAAAGGGTATCCCTGACTGATCCTGAAATCCAGAAGGAGTTAGAAGTTTGAAATTTGGGAGAAATCATCTTTCTGGCAACTCCTTACAACTGTCAAGCAAAAACCAATAATTTTCACTACCTCCCTTCCACTAGTTAGAAAGTGGTAAATTGTTTGTCATTAATCTCGAAAGTTCATAGAATGCACAGCAGATTCAAACTACTCATAGGCACCGGTGAATTCTACCTGTTGAAAAAATGAATATGCAAAAGTGGGATGAGCCAGGATATTGTCCAAATTCAGAGAATCTATTTCATAGAGTGATAATTCCTTTGAATTTCACAATAGCCATTCTATACTTTTTGTTTTTAAGCGAGGCTTTAGTATAGATCAATACTGGGCAACACCAGGTGTCTTCAATGAGTGAGTTGCCAATTCATTAGTAAAAAGGAAGGTTTTTAAGGATCTGGGTTGAGAAGAGAGTTTGGAATTTTAACTAGTAGTGCCTTTCCTACCCAGGTGAGGGGAATGAGAGCAGGTGGAGTAAAGAAGCATGCATCTTAATAGAACCTTTTTTTAAAAATCATGCTTTTGTTTATAAAACTGTCGATTAACAGCTAGAAATAGACAATAAGATTTCTTCTTTGAGCTGTATTATTGTTTTCATTGCAGAAATCCCCTTCATTGAATCACCATTTTATTGACAGCACACAAATCATACTTGGGCTGTTTTTTCTCTTTGTATTCTAAGATAAATCTTAGGTGATGAAACTTCGGTTTTGCAGACATTTTTAAGCTATAATAAATTGCCAAGGCTATGCTCAGGACCCACCCCCCACCCCCCAACCCAAAAGCAACATGCTTGCCACTGTCACATTAAAACAAAATCCGAAATGCATTACATAACTCAATCAACAAATATTGTGCTTCATTTGGAAGGATCTGAAGCCGTATTTCTCCCCCTGAATTGCGGTATTTTCAGCTAGACCTCGTGGTTAACAGCTTAAGTTAATTCTGCCATGTGTCAGACATACATAAACGCATGGACGTTATATTACAAACTCAGCTGCTGTTTAAATTATTGGGTAAACTCTTTTCACGGAGCTCCAACACAACAAAATCCACAACAAAAATAGCAGGCCAGCTGCCCACGCTACCAGGAGAGACCCTCATTAGATGTCATTTGCATTCCATTAACCACCAAGCAGTGGGTCAGTCATTGCCTGTCAGACGTTCAACTCATTCTTTTTGTGTTAATTAGCAGAGAAAGAAGGAGTTAATGAAGATCTTATGATCTGTGATGACTCATCTGGTTGTTTGAGCCGAATCACCACTCTGGGCCACTTCATCGGACCCAGCTAGGGTGGCTCGGAGCAGGAGAGGGAGGCTGCTGTGGGGCGCTCTCAGGGGTCTTTGGCGTGGTGGGCTTTGTTAGCTCAAGATTAGAAGGAGTTAATTGCTTCAAGATTGCTGGGAGATTAGGTTACTGGGTAGGATGTATCTATGTAAGCATATGTCAGCACTAGTTAGAAGATAGGAGACGCTTATTTTAATAAACTTATGAAAAGAAGAATTAATTTGTCATTACATTGGAAATCTTATTTTATTAACTTAATTTGAAAATGTAAAGCTGCCTGAAACGCCGGTTTTTCACTCACTTTCCTTCTGAATATGTATGAATCACAGATTAGTTGATGTGTAACACTGGTCATCTAGGCTTTTTTCCTGGATGTTTTCCCCCAAGTCAGTTTGCTGGTGGTGTCTGACTCCAGGGGAGTGGGCTCGTTACCATGAGCCCAGGGTTCTTTCTCCGTAGTGCGTTGCATGTGGCCTCCGGGAGACTCCTTGGCAATTCTGCCAAGAGAAGAGAAGGACCTGCTTCTGTCTGCCTTGCTTCCTCCCCTCTGAGTGCTATTCGTATACAAATGCTGTTTGTATTTGGGGCCCATGAACAGGATGGGGCAGAGACTATGGGAGAAACCCCAAGGACCCTTCTCTGAACTGGCACCATCGAAGGTGTTTTCCAAATACTCAGTTTACATTTCATGGTTGAGGCAAATGACCTAGCAAGACAGGCTGTTCCAAATTGCCCTCATCTCCTAGAATCTTACAGGAGAATATAGGAGAAGGAGGCCTGTTTATTCAGCATTTACTGTGTGCCAAGGACTGTTCTAAGCACTTTGTTCTTATTACCCTTTTAAATCTTTACAACAAACATATACGATAAGGACTCTTAATTATGTCCATTTTTCAGGGGAAGAAACTCAGGCACAGGGGGATTCAGTAACTTGCCCAAGGGCACATAGTAAGAAGTGTCACCCATCCACCCCAGAGCCCTCCCTCGCCACTACATCCCTGTGTGTCTGTGACATAATTGAGGGAGCTTGGCTGTGTGACATCAGGAAGGGTGGGTGACGGCGGTGGTGACTCAGAGAGCTCATTCTCTGTCTAAATAGGGCAGGGGCTGTCCCAGCAGAATGTGGCCAGGTGGGAGGAATGTGGGCCCAGTGTCAAAAAAGATTCTGAGGTCTTTGGTTTTATTTCTCCAAAGAGGTTAAAAACCTGAAGTTTTAAATGAAATCTCCAGATTTTAAAATATTTTTCTAAATTAAAAAAAATACTGTGCAGGTCAAACAAGAAACTTCTGGGGACAACTATTGGTGACCCCCGTGGAAGGTGGGAAGCCCTTTGAGATAAGTTTTCCCTCCAAAGTGCCTTGTACGTAGGTACTCAGTAGTAACAGTCGAATACGTCAGTGAATCCAGAAATAGGTCCCTGGCCCCATGGGCACATCAAACCACTGAGTTACAGAGAGTCGTCACCCAGTGACTTCAACTCCCTGTACCCAGAATCCCTTTATCAGATCAGCCAAATGACCCATCCCCGATCTAACCGTTCTTGTGGAAGACAGCGTGTTGGGATTATGGTGATTATAATTTCAGTAGAAAAAATTTGAACCCTCTTCCTGGACCGCTTACAGGGTCCCCTTTCCTGACTGGGGTTAATATAAATTGGGCCAAAAATAATCTTTAAAATATTTAACAACTATATAGCCAAAGAAGTGGTAACACTTGGCTCAGCAGGGCCTCTGAGACCCTGCCACAATACGGCAGCCTCTCTGTTGGACAGTGCCCCGACATTCTGTTGTTAAATATTTTTAACATCATCTCTCCAAAACAGATTTAAATGCAAAGAAAGGTGCATGATGATGACTCTGGGGCCCTCTGTCATCATTATAACTAAAGTTACAGCTCGAATTTTGGGAATCCTGTGATAAGGATGTATAAGCATTGTTGAATTTTGTAAACACTATAAAGTGGGTATTTTGATATTATTATCATGATCCCATTTTACAGTTGAGGGAACTGGGTTACTTCTCAAGATGACACATCTGGTACACTAAGTTGAGAAAAAAAATCAACCTTGCTGCCTACAAAACCCAAGCAAGCCCCTATGCAACTTTTTCTGTAAAAGGCCAGACACGTGGGCTGTGGGGGTCTCTGTTGTGACTGCATGCTTCTGCTGTTGTAGTAGAAAAACAGTGATAAACAATCTGTAAACAAATAGGCCTGGCTGTGCCCCAATAACACTTTATTTTGGGGTTTTTTTTTTGTTTTTTGAGACGGGGTCTCACTCTGTTGCCCGGGCTAGAGCGCAATGGTGCAATCATGGCTCACTGCAGCCTCTATCTCCCAGGTTCAAGTGATTCTCCCACCTCAGCCTCCCAAGTAGCTGGGACCACAGGCACGTGCCACCATTCCCAACTAATTTTATTGTTTGTAGAGATAAGGTCTTGCTATGTTGCCCAGGCTGGTCTTGGACTCCTGGCCTCAAGCAATCCTCCTGTCTTGGCCTCCCAAGCTGCTGGGATAACAGGCATGAGCCACTGCACCTGGCCTAAAACTTTATGTATGTATGTATGTATGTATTTATTTTTGGGATGGAGTCTAGCTCTATCACCCAGGCTGGAGTGCAGTGGTGCGATCTTGGCTCACTGCAACTTCCACCTGCCAGGCCCAAGCAATTCTCCTGCCTCAGCCTCCAGAGTAGCTGAGATTACAGGCACATGGCTAATCTTTGTATTTTAGTAGAAATGGGGTTTCACCAGGTTGCTCAGGCTAGTCTCAAACTCCTGACCTCAGGTGATCCGCCCGCATCGGCCTCCCAAAGTGCTGGGATTACAGGTGTGAACCACCTTGCCGGGCCAAAACTTTATTTTTAAAAGCAGATAGTAGGCTGTATTTGGCCCACAGACCATACTTTGTCAAGCCTTGCACAAGGCTATTTCTCAATAATGGTTGAAGAAATTCCACCTGCTCAACCCCTCACTCTCCAGTGCCTTCAGCTTACCACAGGAGTTATTCTAGAGTAGGTAGAATTGTGACTTTTCAATGCTTCTTTCCAAATTCTTAAACTTTCCCACGTGCTCCTATATGAGGTCCTTAGTCTGTCCTCATCAGGAACTCATGCCAGGGACTGATGCTTTTTGTTATATTGGATAAGCCACTGGGCATGTGCTGTTATGAAATCTCCATACTCAACGTGTGGTCTGTGGACCAACATCATCAGCATCATCACCTGGGAGCTAGCTAGAGAGGCGGAATGTTGGCATGGCCCCAAGCCTATTTTATCAGCCTGCATCTTAACAAGATTCCAGGGGATTCACATGCACATTGAAGTTTGAGAAGCACTGGTGTAAAGAAAATTTAAAAATTGGACCTGCTGTGGCTTGTTTGAATTTGGTTCCAAGTATAATACATGACATGTGACAATGAGACTCCTTTTCTTTTTTGAGACAAGGTATTGCTCTGTCTCCCAGGCTGGAGTGCAGTGGTGTGATGACAGCTCCCTACAGCCTCAACCTCCCCAGGCTCAGGTGATTCTCCCACCTCAGCCTCCCTAGTAGCTGGGACTACCATCACTTCTGGCTAATTTTTCTATTTTTTGTAGAGATGAGGTCTCTCTATGTTGCCCAGGCTGGTCTTGAATTCCTGGGCTCAAGCTAGTCATGTGCCTTGGGCTCCCAAAGTGCCAGGATTACAGGTGTGAGCCACTGTGCCCAGCCAAGAGTATTTTTAATAAGCTACAAATAGATGTTACAAAGTAGAGACTTCCCTTAACCTTATTAATAAGAGAACTGTTTCTGTTTGGTGACTGAAAAGGATACCTGTTATTGCCAATTCCTGACGCTACATTAACTAGGTTGTGTTCAGGCAATACATCAAAATGGACCATCTGTCTGGCTATATGGGACCCCTGCTGTGATTGCACTTTGTTCAAAATGGGCCTCTGCAAATATCAAGGAGAACCTGAGGCTGAGCTCTATGTCAGCTGGTGTCCGTTGTCCAGGTGGATGAGTTGAGCTCTGTATGGCAGCTGCCTCGTGATGGGACCCATGACCTGGGGGGTGGAGGGGGGTTGAAGTGACCCTCATAACTCGGGATGAGAAAGGGAGCCTCCTTTTAGAAAGAGACAAGTCCTTTTTCTGGTCAGTTTGTTTCCAGGGGATTTTGTGAACCACATTACCTTGACTATAGTGTACAAAAACTGCAAAATCAAAATCGGTCTGAATTACAGTCCTTGCAAGGGGTTGGGGTTAATTTTAATCCCTCCCTCCCTCCCTCCCTCCCTTCCTTCCTTCCTTCCTTCCTTCTTTCCTAGCAGAAATGCCGTCAGGGTTTTAATCCCCACAGCCCCTTGCCAGATGCCAGTACCCAAGGTCACCCATCTTTCTCCATCAAGGGACTCTCTGAAGCTCCTGTCAAGTCCGTGTGTGGTAGGCAGCTGTGGGCAATGGCAACTTGCAGAGGGGATTAAATCAAGAGCGAACCTCGTCTTGGACTAGACCTTGCTTCTGGCTGCTCTGGGAGAGCTACACAGGCTTTCTAAAACCTGCTTTCCTGGTGTTTTCCAACTCAGACAAAAACCGAGGATTTACTAATGTCAAAATTGCTTTGTCTTCATATTGGCAATATATTTAAAAATTCAAATTATCTCTTTAGCCTGCAGTCAAAAGGTTAGCAGAGGTGGGATGCAAGCTCTCTGCATTTACAAAAAAAAAAAAAAAAAAAAAAAAAAAAGAAAGAAAAAGAAAAATGAGTAGGAAAAGGAAAAGACTAAGACAGCTGCCCATCAACAGGGAGGGAACTTCCTGGAGGCTCCAGGACAGGGAATGCTGGCTGCTCATGTGCAAATAAACCCACTGGGAAGAGCTAATGTGGACATTGTGAATTGCTATTTTTTTCTTTTTCTTTTTGAGTTAGACAATAGGTCTTCTGGCAATTAAAATGTTTCAGTCATATTTAATCACTTTTCCATAAAATAACTGGCCCTGGACGTGATTTCTGAGATTCACTGATTTGTAAAGGACCATAAGATAAAATCACTGGGAGGTTAAGAGGCAGGGACTGAAGAGAAGTAAGAAGTTATTTGCCACCTGAGGGAAGAGAATTGGCTTCCAGAATATCATTTATTTTCTTATTTCTTGACCTTTGTCAAGGAGGTAGAGACCAAAGGAGGCTATCAAAGGCTGAAAATAAATGATGCATGCATTTATTTGCACACAAACAACCATGGCTAAAGTGCTGGATGAGTTCTGGCAAAGTCACCATCCCCTCCCCAAACACACCTGTTTTAATGGACCATTTTGTAAAGTTCTGGTGTCACTGTCGCTTGGTTTGCAGAGTCCTTGAAACAAAATTCTTAGAAGAAAATTGGTGTTTTTCACCTCCCTCCCCTAAAAATAAATCACTTAGTCCAAACAAACTAAGGAGGAACATTATTTGAGGACGCTGGCTACTATCTTCAGAGAACTCATTCATTTATGGAGACATATTTTCTGCCCAAACCCATGCAGAGTGCTGGGGATACACAATTGGCTAAACATAGTCCCTGCTTCTGAGGAAGTCACAGCCAAATAGTGTGGAGAGACAAACATATAAATATTGATTTATTTATTCAATTAGACATTTATTTATTAAACATCTTCAAAGTGCTACTCCCTGGACAGGCAAGTTATAACAACCATACCACACCATAGTGTGGTTATTCTAGTGCGCTGAGACATATGTTTCTTGTCTATTACAGGTGGCACAGAGAAGGAAGCAAGAAAGGGAATTCAATGTTTTGGAGGAGGTGACATGTTGCTGGAGGATGGGACATTTGGCAGACGGTCAGGAAAACTGAGAGTTATCCAGCTGGGGAGGGGAGAAAGGGACCTCCAGGTAGTAGGGATGGCAGGGAAAAAAAAGCACAAAAGAAAGAACCAGTGGCGAGCACTCAGGGTACTACAGACATGTCATAATTTTTGAGCCATAAATTACAAAGCAGAGGATGGGGAGGATGTTTCTGGGGCACTAGGGAAACCCCAGTCCCCAAAGACTGCTTGAGCCTGCTGTCTTCAGGCCTGTTACTCTACCTGATGCCTGGTAGCCCTCACCACATGTATGATTGTGCCTTTATTTCCATGATTCGGTGGTAAATATTTGTCTCCTCCATCAGCACAGGTCAGGCACATGCTCACATTATACACCCAAGGCCTTCCACACTGCCCAGAACATGGTAAATGCTCAATAAATAATGCTGATCAAAGGAATGAGACGGTGATCAAAAACCAGGCAAAAGAAAGCTATTTAAAAAGTTAAGAAAAGGAGTCATGTGGTGAGATTTGTTTTTTAATAGATCATTCTGGCCGTAGCATGGAGAGAGGAAGCAAGGGACATAGATGGGGAGTGGGACAGTGGCTGAAAAGAGATGGTGGCCTCCAGAGGCAGTGTCGTAGGAAGGGAGGAGCTGACAGAGGAAGGGACGTGTTTGAGAACTATCTTGATGGCAAAATCACAGGACTTAGTCGATGATTAACTACATGGGGTTATGGAAGGAGGAGGCATCTGCAATGACTCCTAGGCTTGCAATTTGGGTGACTGAATGGATGATGGTGCCAATCTCGAAAACAGAACCCAAGGCACTGGCAAAGCAACAGCTTAGTTTTCAACAGGTTGAGTTTAAGGAGCCTACAAGACAAGCAGGTTGGGCTGATGGCTGAGGCATAGGGAAGAGGCTGGACCTCAGAGAAATACTGAGAGAAACTAGAGTTGACCATGACTCACTGAGGCCAAGGAAACACTCTCTGTTCCAGCCTGCTCTTGGCTTCTCCTCTTGTGCTCTACAAGCTTGTGTGATATTCTTCCATGGGCCTCATGGTCCTCTTCACCCAAACCCCGTGGGATGGAATTGGCTAATCTTCTACAGGGCGTGTGCCTCCAGTTCTCATAACCACTCTGTAAGGTAGGTACACCACTATACCCATTTTAAAGATGAGGAAACTGAGGCTTTGAGAGGCTGAGGTACTTCCCATGACAAGCAGCTAATAAGTAGTAGAGACAGGATTCAAGGCCCTTTCTTTCTGACTCCAGAGTCCAGGTTCTGTACCTCTGACTTCTTAAATGCTCAACACTTAATTTATAGGCTGTCCTTAGGCTGTGATGGTATGATCTGGAAGACTCCATTCATCCCCACTAAGTGCTGAAAATGCTGGCTGCCTGCTTTCTGGTCCCCTGGCTGGAGCACTTGCCCATTAGAGTAGCCGTGATCCAATGGCCCAGAGTCTGCTGTCTTATTGTGCTGTACACGCTATGGTGATGAGCAGATCCATGCTGAATTTCTCTTTCAGTCTAAGCTAAAAGTGGATTTTCTCCTCATTTAGAAAAACATGAATGTTGTGTTGCTTCTCTGTGAAGAATCGGTACATTTCCCTGACCTGCCCACCCTTCACCCCTTTGCAGGAGCTCCTGAGGGGGTTTAGTTCGCCTGCTTCAAGATCTAATCTGTGTGAACTCCACTGTTTGTCCCAGGTGGCAAGACAAGATGTTGGAAAGAGCTTTGTGAGCAGCTCAAGTGGTGGTCAAGTGATTTTTTAAAGTGTTTACTTTCTAGCAATCTACATTAATCAAATCATTCCTGTCTATAATGCAATTTATACAAAAGTTGCTGGATAGATTTTCTCCAAAATTGGAGGGTATATAAGGGAGGTACTGATGGATAACAAAATAGAAACATGGCTGGGTGTGGTGGGTCATGCCTGTAATCCCAGCACTTAGGGAGGCCAAGGCGGGCGGATCACCTGAGGTCGGGAGTTCAAGACCAGCCTGACCAACATGCAGAAACCCCATCTCTACAAAAAATACAAAATTAGCTGGGAGTGGTGGAGCATGCCTGTAATCCCAGCCACTTGGGAGGCTGAGGCAGGAGAATCACTTGAATCCTGGAGGCGGAGGTTGCGGTGAGCCAAGAGAGCGCCATTGCACTCCAGCCTGGGCAACAACAGTGAAATTCCATCTCAGATAATAATAATAAATAAAAACATTGTGGTATACAAAAAAAAAGTTTTCTGGTTCCTGGGGGCACCTCAAATGAAGACACAGGAAGTTATCTTCCAGAGCACCAGAAACGGCCATCTACACCAGGGTGTCTGGGTGACCCATAGAGCCATATCAGACACATTAAGATGCCATGGATAAAAAAACCAACAGGGTGTTCAAATATGAGCTGAAAACAGAAGGTCATGAGGACGCATGCTCCATAGGTTGAAATTCACAGCTTCTCATATGGGCAATTCTCTCTGTAGCAGCTTCCAGGGCACAGAGAAACAAGGATTTCTTGATGTATTTAGTGATGGTCAGTGGTTCTCCTAAGCAAACAGTGGGTGGAGAAGATAGCTGGCTACTATAATAAGTTTTTACTTTACTATGGAAGATGATATTTTTAGCTTTCATCATAAGTAGCAATGTTGCTCCTTCAGGCTACGTGATTGGAGTAGCTGTATAGAATGTTCTGGGTCCTGAGGTATGATTGACAGAAGATCATGTTAAATCTTCCCATCACCCCTTTTCCTGGCCTTATGAGTGTGAGTACAAACAACCTCTAGAACTCTTCACCACCTTTTATTCTTAGGGTCACAGTATTAAATGCATTTATTTAGTCCCAGAGTTGGATATAAAGTCATACACAGAGTTTCCTCCCTGAAATGAGATAAAAATCTCTCACTTCTCATTGAAGCAACATGCCAGAAACTCAGAACGGATGGTCCAGATTTAGGGGGAAGCTGATTATTCATGATGACTGCCTGGCAGCATCATGAATTGGTAATGAGGACACCACTATCATGGAAGGATCAAGCCCAAAGCCCCGGGATAGCTATGAAATACAGTATTGTGTTTACACACTGTAACCTCATCCCTCAGAAGTGAATGGAAAAGCAAGCCTTCAAATGTTGCTGCAGCTCAGACTTCCTCTCTCCCAGCAGCACCCTGGCTAGCATTGGCCATCCAAGGAGGGATGAGATGGGGCAGGAGGAAAAGACAGGCCAACCAAAACACTGCAAAGCAAGCTCTGGTGAAACTAGACTGTTAACATCTTATGAACTTTGTGGCATAACGAACATGTAGTAAAAATCATTTGTATTCTCTGATTATATATGTCAGATTCCTAAATATCTTGATCATGTTATTTTGCTAAAGATATTCTGATGGTGGATCTGTATATGATTTACATAAATGAGGCATTTGCATAAATTAAATTAACAAATATAAATACATGCATATAAAATGCTGATACCACTTACTACACTCATAAAAATAAATTATGAGGGATAGCATATGATAAGCCATGTGGTTTCTAGGCAATACTCGCATGTTCCTGTTGCATGCTTGGCATTTTGTTACTAGAAGAAGGAGGAAACTCCAGCTCATGCATTTCTGAAGGCGTGGTTCTCCTAGGGAAGCTATGGAGCAGACTTTTGAAAGGAGATGATGTTTTAGAGATGATTGAAAACTCAGTTCTGGGTAGTGACTAAACACATGAACACTAGAGCCAGATTGCCTGAGTTCAAATCCTGACCATCATTAAATCAATGTGAAGTTTAGGACAAGTCATCTAATCTGTGGCTCAATTTTTTCATCTGTAAACTGGGGATAGTAACAGTAACAACCTTGAAAGGTTGTTTTCAGAACGAAATGAGTTAAGCTCATGAAAGAACTTAGAACAGTGCCTGGCATATGGAAAATTGGCAATAAATATTAGCTCTGTGCATATTGCTGTTATGTTGTCACTTGACATGTTGGAAAAATCATTTTCCAAGGCCATATAGCTTCCTACATACTCTCTCTATCTCTTGACCAGTGATGCTCAAACCAGTCTTAGAAGCCCTGGGATGAGAGAAGAAACATTCCTGAGGATCATGCCCTTTACCAATATTCAAATCACAGCCTAAATTGGGTGGCTGAGGTGACCCTCTAGGGTATACTAGATCTAAGACATGGCCCGCAAATGATCAGCATTGCATCGGAGGCCCCAGTGGGCTGGTCTGGCTGGCAGATTACATGGAGAAGATCACTGATGATAGGTAGGTGACTCTCCCAGTTCTAATCAGGCCAGGGATGGGACAAGAGGAGGCAGGAGAACTTAATGCCCAGCCAAGCTCAGTCTTTGTCCCAACGCAGCCAGACAGTTCACATTCAGCCAGCTGCTACTGATGAAATTTGCATCTGAGGCTGGATACTGATTCTCAGAAGGTTTTCCTATAAACACAAAAGATTCGGCCGGGCGCGGTGGCTCACGCCTGTAATCCCAGCACTTTGGGAGGCCGAGGCGGGTGGATCATGAGGTCAGGAGATCGAGACCATCCTGGCTAACAAGGTGAAACCCCGTCTCTACTAAAAAATACAAAAAATTAGCCGGGCGCGGTGGCGGGCGCCTGTAGTCCCAGCTACTGGGGAGGCTGAGGCAGGAGAATGGCGTGAACCCGGGAAGCGGAGCTTGCAGTGAGCCGAGATTGTGCCACTGCAGTCCGCAGTCTGGCCTGGGCGACAGAGCGAGACTCCGTCTCAAAAAAAAAAAAAAAAAAAAAAAAAAAAAAAAAAAAAGATTCACCAATGAGTTAACACTGCCCTCCTTGCCCATACCAATGGGAATGATTACTCCTGTGAAGGAAATTATTTTATTTTCTAAATTAAGCTAGATTTTATTCAAAAAAAATTTTTTTACCAATTCTCAGAGATCAAATTACTGAGTCTTTTTATTGCTTTTTGGGTCACTGGGAAAAATAGTCTCCAGACTTTTCCTACTGAGCCGGGTCTAATCAAAATATCCACTTCTGTTCATTAGCTGTTCTTCACACCATAGAGCACCTTCAGATGTTTATAAACCAACCTCGAATCTCTCTCTCAGGCTTTTTTCCTATTTGAGAAGCCCAGTTCCCACAGTGCCCTTGTTGATTAGGGGAGGGCTGCATGTAGCCTTGCTGGGACCATAACCCCAGCTGTGGTGTCTGAGGGCACCAAAAGGCCCTCTGCCCTGCAATGATCACACTTGCTTTGCAATTTTGCCTCACATTGGCCTGGCTGGACTATCCCAGAGGGCAGTATACATGTTTCTGGGGTCAGAACGATAATTACCATAATAGCAGCTATCAGTAATCCAGCCTTTTCTATGGGTCAGGCCATATGCTTTACATATGCTATCTCAACCATCCTGGGAGGTAGCTCTGCATATTTGTGTTAGTAAAAATGTAATGCTCAGATGAAAGGCTGAGGTCCTATCCCTGAGTAATGCACCATTTGCATTAATGAGAAAGTCTAACTCAACTTGATGGGCCCATTTATGTCCATCCACATTGTGCCTTAGTGTCTGGCAAGGGAACCAATCACACAATGTCTTAATCTCCTCAGGGTCACCCTGATATCCTAAAGTCCTGTTGCCCCCATCGTCCGCTCCCCAGAATGCCATCAGAAACTCGGTCGGGGTACTCTTATCTGAAGACTGTGACACAGCTTCTCATTGGACTGCCCTGGGCCTCAGCTCTCACATCTGTAGAATGGGAACATTGAGTTCCTGCCCAGCATATTTCAGAGGGTTATTGCAAAGACCAAATTTCCCCTTTCTAGTGTATTTCTTAATACACTAGAAAGGGGAAATAAAGTACACAAGTCCAAGTCTAAAACTTTAGTACTTTTCCACGCAGATTTGTGCACATGTGAGAGGGTATCCAGTTTGTCTAGTGATTGTTATTTAGAGAGTTGAACCACTATTGTGTGTTGCTAATCATTGACTGTGGTCCCAAAAAAGCCTTGTGAAGATGTTATGCCCTATGTAACAGCAGAGTAACATAAAATAAAATTACATTTTATAAACCATTTACTATGGCTTTGTAACAATTGCATACCCATATTTTAAGGGACAGGTGAATTTACTGCTTTCTAAAGTTTATTGATACTTCCCTTTTATGTAAAATGTAGTAGTGATACCTATATTTCTGCATTGTGCATTGTGACACACTTGTCTAGGGATGCCTGGAAATGTATAAAATTGGACTGCATTTCTTAGAGTGTTTTACTATAGATCAGTCTCATGGGCCATCTCTTCCTCAGATGTAAATGATATCTGGTTAAGTGTTATATGGAATAAAGTGGACATTTTAAAACTAAGAAAAAAAAAGTTAGATCATGAGTGTGAGAAGCACCAGCACCAATGCTGGTTATTGGTATTATCTTCCCACGGGGACAGATAGCCTCTCAGGCTTACATCTGAACAACTATTTTGTGGAAACTTACACACTGGAAGAAAATAACACATGATTGAAACTACTGCTTGAATTCTTCTAATTCAAGATGTCCAGCCCTAACCTTTCTCATAAGCTCCAGACTCAAATATTCAACTGCAAAGTGGAATGGCCCCTGGATGAAATGAACGATATTGGCAATGAAGTTTCATGTTGAAGGAGCGCTAACTGAAGTGGCCCCAGTTTTCATGACCAGGAAGCAGGACATGAAAGCTTCCTCTTTCCCCTTCTGCAGTCCAAGACTGAGCCCAAGGGTCTTCCCTGAAGATGTTAATCTCTTGCTGATCCCACATGGAAGTCCCAGCCTAAGAAGAAGCTCTTGGTGGTTACAAAATAGGCGCTAAGCTCTCAGTACAGCAATAGTTCTTAATGAGTTGTCCCCCAACTGCCTGTATGAGAATCTCCAGGGGTGCCTGACACAGCAGCAGATTCTTAAGTCCACTAAGTCAGAATCTAAGCATGGACCTAGGCACTTGCATTTAAGAAGATTGTTAGGTGATTTTTTTTAATGACCTCTTTTCTATGTACACATGGAGACAGAAAAATCTCTGATGTTGCTTCCTCTTCTTGTTCAGACAGCAGCCCTATAAAGATAGGCTCAAATATTGTCACATTGGAGGTTAGAGCTTCAGTGTATGAATTTGGGGAGGACAAAATTTAGTCTGTAACAGTTACTGTAAAGATTCTTGAACATTTAGCTTGTCTCTGTGGCACAATCCGTTAGCGCGTTCGGCTGTTAACTGGAAGATTCTTGAACATTTTTAATAGGTCTAATTATTTCTCTGTTAATTTTCTTAAGTGTTGAGAGCCACAGTGTTAAAATTACCACGCTCTTCTCTTCTGCACTGTTTCATAATGACCCATAGTGATATTTTCACTAAACATTTATGAGAGAAGGTAAATGGTGTTTAAATTCAATTTTGCAACTTGCAGCATAAATTGTGGGACTTGAAGGCATCAGGAAATTGAAGGGCTATGAGAAAGGCTGTCAATTATGAAAAAATAAAATCTTCAAATCTGTGATCATTTTATTGCCTTTGCTTCTAAGAGCCCACAATGCTTACCTTCATTCATTCATTCATTCATTCATTCACTTCGTACTTTTTTGTGTCGGATGCTAATGAAATAGATGAACAAGACACAATCCCTGTCTTAAAAAAGTTTTTATCTACTAGAGAAGAAAGATGACTACGTCAAAAAAGGCAATGCAGTACTCCAATCACTGTCTCAAATTTTTCCTCCAAATAGCCTGCCATCTAGCCAAACTGTTCCAGCCTTCATGTGGAACTGTGGGACAGGACCCATTTATAGCAATAATGACTTGAAATAGATTTCTTCAATTTGTTTGATTCAACATAATGCTACAAATAGGGCCTGTACCTTATCCAAATGGTTTAGTCAAGTCATTGAATATAGCATATGCCAACCATTTCGGCAGCGGGTGTTTCATTTTAAAGCAGTCCCTGTGTTTTAAAGCTTACAATTATGACAACAAAGTGGTAAGACAAGTATGTGGATGGGGTATTGGGCATGTGGCTGGGCTGGCGATGGGAGATGAAGACCAAGAATTCAGAGAGTGAGAACAGAAAAGAGAAGAAAGATGATGAGAGACGGAATGAAAGACAACAGCAGAAACAACGGGGGGTGGGGAGACAGAGATATGTAGGGAATAGTTTTTAAAGGGGGGGGCCAAGTGCTGACCCACAAGTGGGGGCTGTCTCCCATTGCTACCCCCATCTCCTATTACGGGGTGTTCCCAGAGTAGAGTCTGCTGGTGACAATGACAGCAGTGCTGAGAAAGCCAGAGTGGGATGAAGCTGATCTTCCCCCCAGCCCCCGCGCTCTGTGACATCCATCAGAAAGGGCTAGCTTTTGAGCACTGAGAGAGGGGGGAAATAAGCAGAAGTAATTTATTCGGGATCTTTGAGAGGATAATAGCCAATTATTTGTTTATAACACTGGTTAAATTTTCATTAGGCAGATTAATGGAATATCATGTACTGTCAACATTGGACTGAGGGGTGGTCCGTAAGAGATAAACGGGCAAACAGGCGCCGTGTCTCTCTGAGTAAATTAGTTTTTGCTTTCCTGTTTTTCATATGAAAATGGGAAAGGTGGGCAAGGTGGTGCATTTTAAAACAGGTCTTGAGATGGGCCAAATTGGTTAAATATGAAAGCAATCCTGGTAATAAATACATTATAATAATTTAGCATCATGGCCATCATTTTGATTTCATGAAAGTCTGGGATAATGTCGATTTTTAACCTGCTCTCTTAATACACAGTCCCTCTCCCTGAACTCAAACGCTGCTCACTGTGAGGTGAAAACATATTACTTTGGGGGGCCTGATTTGTCTGTGTAATGCACTCAGCATTACAGCTGGTAAGTGCGAGAGGCTCCTTGGCTTTCTTCTGAGTTTGGGCATTGTTGTCAATCCCCCAGGGCTGTTATCAGGATCAGAATTCCCTGTGCTCAGCAAGCCAGGGGAAGTCCCTTATCACTCTGGATGTAGACTGGAAGGTGCACACTCAACCGTTTCTTTGGGGCTACATCTCTGGTTAGGAGTGAAGCTCTAAATGGGCTGGGTTCAGAATCTTGACATTATCCCATATATGAATCAGAAGGTTAAACTTTACAATTGAAAATTCTGTTAGCAAATTGGAAAGGACTGTCTCTCACTGAAATTGGCCATCTCCTAACAATTG